>NC_000002.12:74167625-74792625 GCF_000001405.40 Homo sapiens | reverse complement strand
GGGCCTCTGAAGGCAATTTTGACAATAGAAAAATAGTACTTTAAGTGCTGACACCACCATCACCACCCCCATGAGACTCTAGTCCTCTCCCAAGCATCTGGCTCTGAGCCAGGCCTTGAGCTCGGCCTCCATCCCTCTTGCTTAGGGGAGTGTACTGCTGAAGTGGAAACCTCATTATTCACTTTGCCTACTAGGCCCTGCCTTCCTGGGGCTTCTACCTCTGCCCCCTCACTCTCAGAAAGTCGGGGTGTCAGCCCACATTGCTATTGCAATGCCAGCCTAGCCATCCATGGAGAGGAAGTCCTGGTTTATACAGCACCTGCTTTTGACCTCACTTGGCATCTGTCTGACTCTGGAGCCAGGCAGGGTTTCAGCAAAGCACAGGTCACGGCCCCAAACCTGTCGGTCCATCAAAACCAGTGGAGGGATCTTCAGTGATCTCCAGGTAACTGCCAGGCGTCTGAGCCCAAGCTAAGCCATCATATCCCCTGTGACCTGCACGTATACATCCAGATGGCCTGAAGCAACTGAAGATCCACAAAAGACGTGAAACTAGCCTTAACTGATGACATTCCACCATTGTGATTTGCTTCTGCCCCACTCTAACTGATCAGCGTAGTTTGTAATTTTCCCCACCCTTAAGAAGATTCTTTTTCTTTTTTTTTTTTTTTTTTTTTGAGATAGAGTCTCGCTCTGTCGCCCAGGCTGGAGTGCAGTGGCACGATCTCGGCTCACTGCAAGCTGCGCCTTCCGGGTTCACGCCATTCTCCTGCCTCAGCCTCCCGAGTAGCTGGGACTACAGGCGCCCGCCACCACGTCCGGCTAATTTTTTATATTTTTAGTAGAGACGGGGTTTCACCGTGTTAGCCAGGATGGTCTCCATCTCCTGACCTCGTGATCCACCCGCCTCGGCCTCCCAAAGTGCTGGGATTACAGGCGTGAGCCACTGTGCCCGGCCTTTTTCTTGACACAGAGTCTCGCTCTGTCACCCAGGCTGGAGTGCAGTGGCGCGATCTCAGCTCACTGCAACCTCCGCCTCCCGGGTTCAAGCAATTCTCCTGCCTCAGCCTCCCGAGTAGCTGGGACCCATGCCAGGCTAATTTTGTATTTTTAGTAGAGATGGGGTTTCACCATGTTGGCCAGGCTGGTCTCAATCTCCTGACCTCGTGATCTGCCCACCTCGGCCTCCCAAAGTGCTGGGATTACAGGCGTGAGCCACCGCACCCAGCCGCCTCCCACTTTCTTAACTCATTTCCGTTTGCCCCGAGAATGCTCTTGTCTCTAATCCTAGTGTAACATCATATACATTTCTGTTACACTAGGATTAGAGACAAGTTCTGCTTAGAAATAACTCCAAGAACAGTTTTTATATTTTATTTTCACACTGAAAATCGGTCAGCTTTGCTTCAGCATCAAAAAGCATATTTACATCAAATTAAATGAGCGCTGGCAGCGAGCGGCACTTTTTTTTCTAAACGGGAAATGGGTTAATCAGTTATGGAGGACCACCTGAAACAGGGGTGCACAAACCATGGCATATGGGCCAAATCCAGCCTGCTGCCTGTTTTTGTATGGCTACAGTCTACAGCTAAGAATGGTTTTTACAATTTTAAATGGTCGGAAATAACTGTAAAGAAGAATTAATATTTTGTGACACATGGAAATTAGAATTGTTTTAGTGTTCCTTCATAAAGTTTTATTGGAACCCAGCCACACTCATTTGTTTACAGACTCTCTATGGCTGCATTTATGCTATAATGACAGTGCTGAGTAGCTGTAACAGAGACCTAGCGACCTGCAAAGCCTAAAATATTTACTATCTCGCCCTTTACAGAAGAAGCTCATCGGCTGGACGTGGTGGCTCACGCCTGTAATCCCAGCACTTTGGGATGCCAAGGCGGGTGGATTTCCTGAGGTCAGGAGTTCATGACCAGCCTGGCCAACATGATGAAACCCTGTCTCTACTAAAAATACAAAAAGTAGCCAGGCATGGTGGTGGACACCTGTAATCTCAGCTACTCGGGCAGGAGAATCGCTTGAATCTGGGAGGCAGAGGTTGCAGTGAGCCAAAATCACGCCATTGCACTCCAGCCTGAGCTACAGCGCGAGACTCCATCTCCAAAAAAAAAAAAAAGAAGAAGAAGAAAAAGCTCATCAACTCCTAGCTTGAAGAATATACAAACCATCCAATCATATAGCTGTAATGTTTAGAAATTGTCTCCTGGCCGCTTTCTGGCAGGATAGGGTCTGGATGAGGCCAGGAAAGCCTAGAGCACATGCCAGGTCTTCCTTGTTTTAATTCCTCAGAGCACAGATTTCACTGAATGGTTCCAAGACACCTTATCAAAGGGATATTTTTGAGGACCCCTAGGAGATATTTCCCTTAGTTCACAGGATCAGGAAAATCTTTGCCACTCCCCTTGTGATGATCTTTGTCACAAAATATTTGCTTTGGCTCTGAGGATGCTCTGAGCCCAATCCATAGCCCCATCTTCAATGAAACAGGCTCTTAGATGGATTTCTTGAACACTGCCACTAAGTTTGAATTATTTTATTGCCCTACACATTTTTCTCTGCCTCCATCACTTCCTTTTACAATTTCACTCAATTTCTAATGTTTCTCTAAGCTGCTTCAAAAATCCTATTTTGAAATGAGGCAAAATATGAATTAGTAAATATAAAAACAAACCAAAGCAATCATCAATTATATTACATCACTATAATAATGTGCTCAATGGTTCTAGCATCAACTTGGCTATGTTGAGAACTCTGTCTCACAGAACCCCTCACCTGTATGGTCCTGGGTCAGAGGTACAGCTGAGTGAGAGGTGGGGGACAGAAGCCACAGCCATCAAGCTCTGCATTTGTCATATGTCAGAGGAGGTGAGAGACACCACAGAGGTGCAGGCAGGCACCCCACTCTGTGACTAGCTCTCCTTCTAGCTCTTTCCTGATTGTCAACCTTGCTGATCAGTAGTAAGCCCAGGCCCCATCATCAGAGAGTTTACTTCAAATCTGCAGAGGCTACTCTGAGTCCACCACCTTCTATGGACTTCTACACCAACGGTAGAACGTGCCTGGCTTCCAGATTTCCCTGCAAGTTTCAGTTCATTTGCCAGCACAAGGGCCAGTCAATGACTCTTCCTCTGATTCTTCAACTTCCCTTCACAAACCTGTGTTTCCCCAGATTCTCTCACAATTGCATAAGGTCTAGTTCCTCTAATAAATTCCTTAATCCACAATACTCACAGTGGTTCAGCTTCCCTGATTGAACCCAGATTGAGACAAGTAGTGCAACACACTTTACTATAGGTAGGATTAATGGTGAAGAACACATCTCTATCCTAACTCCTAACTTCTGTTCTTAGCCATGTGTGATCCTCTCATTAAATGAAAATGTCCTCCTTTCTATATCCCAATCTGCAGAGGAAGAATATCTAATTATGCAAGGCTCCATTGCTGTGAAAATTTCTCTCAAGTCTTGGGCCAACAGGAAGGTACAGACTGTGTTTGAGGCAGGTAGAATAATCATCACTTTGAGCTACCTTCTCTCTCCCATCCTAATTGAAATTCTTAACAAACCAATATCAAGTTCCAAAACTGAATCAGTAATGAAAACACCTACCCACACAAAAAAATCCCCAGACCAGATGAATTCACAGCCAAATTCTACCAGAGGTACAAAGAAGAGCTGGTACTAATTATACTAAAATTATTTCAAAAAATTGATGAGCAGGAATTACTCATTGATTCTAGGAAGCCAGCATTACCCTGATACAAAAATCTGGCCGATACACAACAAAAAAAGAAAACTACAGGCCAATATTCCTGAGGAACATAGACACAAATCCTCAACAAAATACTAGCCAACTGAATCCAGCAGCAATCATATAGTTAATTCACCACAATCAAATAGGCTTCATTCCTGGAATGCAAGGTTAGTTCAACATATGCAAATCATTCCATGTGATTCACCGCATAAACAGAATTAAAAACAAAAACTATATGACCATCTCAACAGACACAGAATTTTTTTTATAAAATCCAACAACACTTCATGACAAAAACCCTCAGCAAATTAGGCACTGAAGGAACATGTCTCAACATAGTAAGAGCCATCTATGACAAACCCATATCTAACATCATACTGAATGGGCAAAAGCTGGAAGCATTTCTCTTGAGAATTAGAACAAGACAAAGATGCCCACTGTCACCACTTGTATTCATCATACTACTGGAAGTTTTATCTAGAGCAATTAGGCAAGAGAAAAAAGTAAAAGGAAAAGAAGTCAAACTATCTGTCTTCATAGATGATATGATTCTATATCTAGAAAACCCTGAAGACTCAGCCAAAAGGCTCCTAGAACTGATAAATGACTTCAGTAATGTTTCAGGATACAAAATCAACGTACAAAACTCAGTAGCATTTCTATACACCAATTAACATTCAAGCTGGAGAGCCAAATCAACAAAAAGAAATACCTAGGAATACATTTAACCAAGGAATTGAAAGAATCTGTAGTTCTACAAAGAGTATTACAAAACACTGCTGAAAGAAATCAGAGATCATACAAATGGAAAAACATTCCATGCTCATGGATTAGAAGACTAAATATTGTTAAAATGCCCATAGTGCCCAAAGCAATCTACAGATTCAATGATATTCCTATCAAACTAGCAACGTCATTTTTCACAGAATTAGAAAAAAACTATTCTAAAATTCATGTGGAACTAAAAAGGAGCCCAAATAGCCAAAGCAATCCTAAGCAAAAAGAACAAAGTCAGAGGCATCTAATTACTCCACTTCAAACTATACTATAAGGCTATAGTAACCAAAACAACATGGTACTGGTATGAAAAGAGGACACATAAACCAATGGAACAAAATACAGAACCCAAAAATAAAGCCACACACCTACAGCCACCTGATCTTCAACAAAGTTAACAAAAATAAGCAATGGAGAAAGCACTCCCCCATTCAATAAATGGTGCTGGGATAACTGGCTAGTCGTGCAGAAGAATAAAACTAGACCCCTTTTGCCGTACACAAAAATTAACACAAGATGGATTAAAGATTTAAATGTAAAAAATTAAAGATTTAAATGTAAAGATTTAAATATAAGAATCCTAGAAAAAAACCTAGGAGACACCATTATGGACTTCAGCCTTAGGAAAGAATTTATGACTAAGTCCTCAAAAGCAATTGCAACAAAAACAAAAATTGAAAGGTGGGACCTAATTAAATGAAAGAGCTTCTGCACAGCAAAAGAAACTATCAACAAAGTAAACAGACAACCTACAGAATGGGAGAAAATATCCGCAAAACTATGCATCCAACAATGGTCTAATATCCAGAATCTATAAGGAACTTAGACAATTCAACAAGCAAAAAAGAACCCCATTTAAAAAGTGAGCAAAAGACATGAACAGATACTTTTCAAAAGAAGACATGTAAGTGGCCAACAAACATATGAAAAAAAATGCTCAATATCACTAATCATTAGAGAAATGCAAATCAAAACCAAATTGAGATACCATCTCACACCAGGCAGAAGACTATTATTAAAAGTCAAAAAACAGATGCCGACAAGGCTATGGAGAAAGGGACCACTTACACACTGTTGGTAGGAATGTAAATTAGCTCAGCCATGGTGGAAAGCAGTTTGTAGATTTCTCAAAAAACTTAGAACTACCATTCAACTCAGAAATCTCATTACTGGCTATATATCCAAAGGAAAATAAATCACTCTACCAAAAGACACATGCAGCTCTATTCACAATAGTAAAGACATGGGATCAACCTAAGTGTCCATCGGTGGTGGACTGGATAAAGATAACGTGGTACATATACACCATAGAATACTACACAGTCATAAAAAAAGAACAAAAATATGTTCTTCCAGCAACATAGATGCACCTGGAGGCCATTATCCTAAGTGAATTAATGCAGGAACGAAAACAAAATACCATATGTTCTCACTTATAACGAGGAACTAAATATTGGGTACACATGGACATAATGACAACGGTAGACACTGGGGACTACTAGAGGGGGAAAGAGTCGGGGAGGAAAAGGTTGAAAAACTAACTTTTGTGGCCGGGCGCTGTGGCTCACGCCTGTAATCCCAGCACTTTGGGAGGCCGAGGCGGGCGGATCACGAGGTCAGGAGATCAAGACCATCCTGGCTAACACGGTGAAACCCTGACTCTACTAAAAATACCAAAAATTAGCCGGGCGTGGTGGCGGGTGCCTGTAGTCCCAGCTACTCGGGAGGCTGAGGCAGGAGAATGATGTGAACCTGTGAGGCGGAGGTTGCAGTGAGCAGAAATCGTGCCACTGCACTCCAGCCTGGGCGACAGAGCAAGACTCCATCTCAAAAAAAAAGAAAAAAGAAAAAAAGAAAAACTAACTTTTGACTACTATGCTCACCACATGGGTAACGGGATCAATCATAACCCCAAACCTCAGCATCATGCAATATACCCATGTAACAAACCTACTCATGTAGCCCCTGAATCTAAAATAAAATTGAAATTATAATTCTTTAAATTCTATTACTGATTACTTATACAGCATCAAAAAATGTTTACAGGATTGGCCGGGCACGGTGGCTCACGCCTGTAATCCCAGCACTTTGGGAGGCCGAGGCGGGCGGATCACCAGGTCAGGAGATCAAGACCATCCTGGCTAACATGGTGAAACCCCCATCTCTACTAAAAATACAAAAAGAAATTAGCCGGGCGTGGTGGCGGGCGCCGGTAGTCCCAGCTACTTGAGAGGTTGAGGCAAGAGAATGGCGTGAATCCGGGAGGCGGAGCTTGCAGTGAGCTGAGATCGCGCCACTGCACTCCAGCCTGGGCGACAGAGCGAGACTCCGTCTCAAAAAAAAACAAAACAAAACAAAAACAAAAAACGTTTACAGGATCAAAGGAAAAGACAGGTTTTATGCCAAATGATCCTCTGGCTCCCATCCCTCTTCTCAGCTTTTTCTTTCTTTCATGTCTGGTGTTGACCAGCACTGGTGTGGAATTAGGAGGCCCTGGATTTGAATCCTAACTCCTTTACTCTCTAAGCCACAGAAGCTCAGCATTGTGAGGAGGAAACATGATGGAAGCGGAAGCGGAGGGCCCTCCTCTGTGCCTGGTGCATTCTAAGTACTCAGCAAGTTGGTAAAAAGTACTATTTCCTTCCATTGCTCTCAAGGATACCACTCCAAGTTTCTTTCTAGGGCTCTAAGGCCTGATTGTATTCTGTCAAGGTGTCTAATTCCTTCTAACCTACCTCATTTGGGGACCCCTTTAAGACAGTGCTATGGATGCCTAGGCGCTAGTGGAGGAAGACGACGAAAGCTGATCCCCTCATTTTACAAATGAGGAAATCAAGTCCCAGAGACAAGAAGCTATTTGCTTTGGGTCACACTGTAAGTTAAAATGGAGCTGAAATTAGAACCCACCTGTCCTGACCCTCTGCTGGGGGCTTTTTCAATTCTGAAAATTCTGCTTAGAGTTGTTCTCCATCCAGGTTGTTTAGGACGCATTCTTTAATCCATGGGAAGGACTTTGGGAAGGACTGGAGCAACTCAACCAAGCATCCAGAGACACCATGCCCAACAGTCTATGTCCCAGTTACTCTTTATCCCCACCCTTGAGCTCTCTTCCGAACCCTAACTCATAGATAACATTGACTACTGAGTAGCATCTGGATCTCACAGACTCCTCCAGCCAAACAGTTCAGAACTGAGGTCATAATCTTCTCCAAACACATCATTCCTCCTATATTCTCCATCTTGCTTAATGACCTCTCCATTCATCAAACTGGACCCCAGAAAGCATCTCCACCTCCTCTTTTCTCACCCTTATTCTCAGTTAATTCATGCCTTAGTCTTTTAGCTTGGGAGGGGCACCCTAATCAGGGCCCAGAACCTGCTGTGTCCACAGCCAGCTCTACGTTAATGTCACCTGAGACCAGCTCCAAAAAGCTGATGATGAGATTGTAAAAGGGAAAATGGTGCTTAAGGAACAAAGTCTCCCTCCTGCCTTATCTCCAGCCAATTTGGATCCTAGGAGAAGGTTGTTTAAAATGCTTTGAGGAAGACACGTATACAATTAAATGTTATCCATCATCTTAGCCAAATGTTTGGAAAGCAGGAAAGGTTGGAAAGCTCAAATTAAAATTCTGGGATGGGAAGCATTTATCTTCCAAACATGGGGAGGTTAGGCTGCTCAACTGGTGTGCTCATCTCTCTGTCCTCAGAGCTGAATCCTCTTCTGGGTGGTTAATCCTCAGGGAGCTGAGCCTGTAAATGCCACTTGGCAACAACTGCAACTGCCAGTCTCCCAGAGGCAACAAAGAGCCTGACCTGAGATTGGGAGAGCTGGTGGATGAGGGATAGGACTGCATTAAAGGCAGATGATTTTTTTAAAGTAACTAAGCTCACTTCCTATTTAACCTATGATGACTTCTGTTCTCACCACTGTCACTGCCAGCAACCTGCTTGCCTCTGATGGTCTTTTCTTGTCCCCACTCCTCCACTTTAGGCCTCTGAGCTTTCCGCACTCTCCAGGTCTCCTTATTCTTAACAGATTCTCCTACAGATCCCCTTCTACCTCTCTGATGCCTCTTCTAGATTAGTTCCAGAGAAGGTTCTCTCAAAGGTTCTACTTTCTTCTTCCATCCTCTAAATGCCAGTATTTGCTCAGGATCAGTCCCCGGGTCTCCACATGGCTCTCTCTACACTCTCCCAAAAAGAGATCACTACCTCTACCCTAACTGACCTTCAACACTGCCTCCTCCCTGTGAACTATTCATCACCTTCGCCTGTAACATCCCTTCCCAATTTCCATGCCTTTCTCAAGAGTCGTGCCCTTCTGTCTTTCAAGATCAAAACTGAAGAGTAATTTCTGTCTCTTCCTTCTCCTTTTTCCTCCTTATTCAGTGAGACCCAGGTCTTTCTTGTCTAGCTAAACCCTCCTGTACCATCCCTGTTTCCATCACCACCCCTCTAAAATGAGCTTTCAACACATGCCCACACAAAGACCTCAGCCTCCTAACTGCTCTCCAGGCTCACTGTCCTGAATGCCAATTTTAGACTCTACGAAAGTCCGGGTTTGGCTCTTAAACTCCCCTACTACCCAAATTAGTTGTTTGAGCATTCTTACCACTTTTGCTTTGGAATCACAGCCTTTTAAGTCAGATACACAGAATAAAATCAACTTCCATGCTATCCCTGTCCCAGTAATTCTATATTGAATTAATTCTCCTGTTGATAATTTAAACTCCAGACAAAATTTTAAAAAAATTATTTGAAAGCATTGGCGAGAAGTGAAGAACATACAGAAACTTAAGAGGATTTGACTTTTAAAAGAAGAAAAACAAGCCGGGCGCAGTGGCTCAAGCCTGTAATCCCAGCACTTCGGGAGGTCGAGGCAGGTGGATCATGAGGTCAGGAGATCAAGACCATCCTGGCCAACATGGTGAAACCCTGTCTCTACTAAAAATACAAAAAATTAGCCGGGCGTGGTGGCAGGCGCCTGTAGTCCCAGCTACTTGGGAGGCTGAGGCAGGAGAATGGCATGAACACGGGAGGCGGAGCTTGCAGTGAGCCAAGATCATGCCACTGCACTCCAGCTTGGGCAACAGAGCAAGACTCTGTCTCCAAAAAATAAAAGTAAAAGAAGAAAAACACAGCAGATGAGATCCATATTTATCCCATTTTTCCCCTAAGGATTGTGTAGTGTAGTGTATGGAAATAGAGCTCAGGCAGAAATCATCAGTCTTACTGGGCTAAGGAGTCAGAGGTCAGAGTTTGGGACTGGCAAAACAGCTGGATATTGAGAGAGAAATCCTGGAACGGAAGGAGTCTCAAAGGAGGAAGCCCAACATCTGTGTGCAAATTCTCCTCAAATCCTTGGATGACTCTGAACTGTACATGTTCAGGGAAAGGTCCAAGAAAGCCAGTAGAAAGCAACAAATGGGAGGCTGAAAGCCTGTGCAGATATTTCCATTGCTGTCTAGTGCTGGGGAGACTGAGTTTGAAGAAATCTCACTAATTCAGAGGGCCTTAGTTTTACAGTGAAACTCCAGAAGGGCCATAACTTAGCAGTAAGAGCCACGTCTCAAGACTAAGGCCTAAACCTAGGATTCAGAGTAAAATAGACTTGCCATACAGAGTCTAAATGAAATATTCATAGAAACAAGGTGATCCTTCAGTAACTGCCAGCTGGAACAAAACTCTATCCTCATCAGAGTAAGATAGGTCAACCCAGAATCTCTACAATGTAATATGCACGATAATGAATAGTACTTACTTGTGAAGAAGCAGGAAACCCATAAGCAAGTGAAAATAGTCAATAGAAACAGACATCTTGGCAACCCATATATAGGAATCAGCAGACAGGATTTTAAAATAACTATGATAAATGTATTAAAGCACCTATGGATGGGTGTGATAGACGAAAGAATGAGATGCCTCAGGAGAGAAATGAAATGCTAATAAAAAACAAAATGAGGCTTACAAAACTGAAAATTCTAATATGTGAAATTTTAAAAAACTCATTGGATGAAATAAAGATTAAACAATGTATTATAGAAGCAAGAATTGGTGAAGTTAACAACAGTTCAATAAAAATTATCCAAATTGAATCACAATGGAAAAAAAATTTAAAGGAATGAATAGAGTCTCAACAATTTGCAAGATGAAGTCTAACACACAAGCAATTGGAATCCCAGAAAGAGATGAGAGAGAAAATTATACAGAAAGAATGCTTAGAGAAGCATGGACAAAAATTTTTCCAAATTTTATTTAAAACATAAACTTACAGACCTAAGAAGTCCATCAAACCTTAAGTGGGATAAATACAAAGAAAATCATATTATCAGTTAAATTTCTGAAAACAAAAGAGAAAGATAAAATCTTAAAAAGTACAAAAGGAGGAAAAACACTACATACAGAGAACTAGTGATAACAATGACAACTCATTCCTCCCCAGAAACAAGAGACCAGAGACAACAGAACCACATCTGTAAAGTGTTGAAAGAATAACTGTCAAACTATAATTCTATACCTAGTAAAAATTCCTTTAAAATTGAAGGTAAAAAAAATTTTAGGCAAATAAGAACTGGATTTATTCTCATCAATAAATCCACCTAAGAGAAATGTTAAAGGAATTTCTTCAGGCCAAGGGGAAGTGATACCATAAGAAAATTCATATCCACGGGAAGGAAAGAAGAGCATCAAAAATAGTAAAGAGCTGGGAAATGCTTTTAATATCTGCTTTTCTTTCTTTTCTTACCTTTTTAAAATACTGTTTAAAGCAAAATAATCCATTATGGGGATTCCACTTTTACTTTGTGGAAGTAAAATATATAAGAGCCTCTTGTTTTCTTTCCTATCACCTAGCTATCCCTAAGAGAGAGAAGAGCCTGAAAATTGGCCACCTCACGACCTTCCAAACAACCATGCAAAGGTTATTAATATTCTCTTTAGGTAGGAAGGAGCGTCACTCCTGGATTCTGTCCCCTTTGCAGACTTCTTGATGTCTTTCAGGGCCTGGCCAAACTCTCCAGGTGTGAAGGTTTCTGAGCTCTCATTCAATCTAAGTAGAAAGGCAACTCATTGATTCTGTTCAGATAGCAGGCATTGGTAGCTTCTTCTCTCGAGCCTTCACATTTTGCTCCCTCTTCCTGGAATCATTTCCTCCTCTATTTGTCTAGTTACTTCTGAGTCAGTCTTCAGGTTTCAGCTCAGACATCCCTTCTTCAAGGAATCCTTCACTGACCACTACCCCTCCCCATCATGCCCATGTCTGTGTCCATGCCTGTATCCCCTGCTCAGTCTCCCAGTCTCTCTGGACAAAGCCCCATCCTAGTCCTGGCCCAGAACACTGAGGCTGAATCCACATGACCACTGCTGGATTAGTGGAACACCTGCCTATCAAGCTCTCACCTGCCTACCAGGGTTTTCATCACTTCCCAGCTGCTTGAACCTTCTTGATGCTGACTGACCTACAGTGTGAACTTCTCTCATCACCAACTGTGAGAGTCTCCCTGCTGGGGCCACCTGCAATCCAGCCAGTCTGCTGGTCATGGCCATCCCTGTTCTGCACCAATATTCTGCCAATAAATGCCATTTTAGGTAGGTTTGCACAAAAATGAGTGTATTAGTCCATTTTCAGCCTGCTGATAAAGACATACCTGAGACTGGGCAATCTACAAAAGAAAGAGGTTTAATGGACTTACAGTTCCACGTGGCTAGGGATGCCTCATAATCATGGCAAAAGGCGAAAGTCACTTCTTTCATGGAAGCAGCAAGAGAGAGAATGAGAACCAGGTGAAAAGTGTTTCCCCTTATAAAACCATCATATCTTATGACACTTATTCACTACCATGAGAACAGTATGGGAGAAACCGCCCCCATGATTCAATTGTCTCCCACTGGGTGCCTCCCACAACACATGGGAATTATGGGGGTATAATTCAAGATGAGATTTGGGTGGGGACAGAGAGCCAAATCATATCAATGAGTTTTAGAAAGTGACAATACTTAGAGACAGGAGAAGGGCAAGAAGATATTTGGGTTGGGACCCCCTCCTAGGCACTCCATGGCACCTTCACAGCACTCATGACATCAACCTGTGGTTGGCCCACAAACCCCGCCCTCCACTGTATCCCCAGTGTCCAGCAGAGTCTGATTGCACTCATACAATCAGTATTTACTGAATAAATAAATGAAAAGTTGAAGAGTCAAGAAAGACCTAGAGGAAATGGATTTACTGAAGTGAAGGAAGGAAAGTTTCAAGAAAGCTAGGTGTGCTGTTCTTTGCCCCACCTCTTGCAGCATAGCTGTGGCATTCGGTAGGTGACGGTCACCTGGGAGAGGCTGGATGAGTGCCCATTTATTCCTGATGCTAAAGGACACTGTGAGGTCATGCCTGCTTGAGAAGTTTTCAATGATGGTCATTTTTTTTGTACTGAAAGACATTTCATAATGAGATAAGTGGCATCGTTGCCATAAAGGCTTGGAACTAATCAGATAACATAGTCTTAGTATATTCTGTTCGATTATTCAAGTGTACTTGACATTTACTTCTAATTCAGTGATTCACAGTTCTGGTGTGACTGCTTTCAAGTGTCTCTAATTATCTCAAGCGTGTCAACAGAGTCTCATAATGAAATGAATTTACATTCCCTTAATACATATTGCCAGGCCCCACCCAGACATAATTAATAGGAATCTCTGGGGTTGGGCCTAGAAATCTGCATTGTGTAATGCAGCTTGCATCTGCTTCTCAGATGATTCGGACGCAGCACTTTGGAATTATTGTTCTATTCCAGCCCTCTCACTTTCCAGATGAGCAAACTGAGCCAGGAGGATGGAAAACACTTGCCTAAGGTTATGCTGTGCCAGGATTAGGGCCAAAATTCAGGCCTCCTGACTCCGATTTCAGTGCTCTCTTAACTGTACCTCACTGCCTCGGAGTACCCAGGCCTGGTACAGCAAATCCAGCTCTGCCTGATTGCCCCTGAGCACCTCGCAGCCTGTGGGTGCAGGGAGGAGAGGGCAGCGGCTCTGGTGGAATGTAATCGCCGATGAGGGGCTTCTCCCACCAGAGCAGCAGAGCTGAGAGCTGTGAGCCACTACCCCACAGGTCGCTGGAAACCCTGGCATTCATCAGCTGTTTTCCCACCCGGGCTGCACTTGACTTCTCCCACCCCATTCACCAGCAACTCCTCCACAACTCTTTCCAGGGATGAGAAAAAGGAGGAGAGAAAGCCTCGCATGTATCTCCTAGAAACGGATGACACAAACAAAGGAACCTAGAGGTTGTGAGTGGAAAGGCCGCCTGGGCAGTTTCCATGGCAACGCCTCCATGCCTGCCGTAGCAGCTACGTGCTGCCTGGCATGTGCACTCTGCCAGGTCCCTGGAGGGCACTGCTGTCTCTCACTTGCTCAGGGTTCAGGAGTTGTTAATCCCGGATTCAGATAATAATATCCAAAGGCAATCAGGGGACATTGAACCAGCTGGAGCTGAAGGCTCCTCTCTGTGGGCCTTGGAAGGAGGGGCCTCTGCATTCCTCCGCCTGCCATAGGCTGGGCCTGCAGCAAGTGCTCAACTACAGTGGGAAGAATGGCTGAGTGAAGGAGAGACCCTCCCAGACTACAGTAAGTTCCTCTGCTGATAGAGGTGAGAGAAAAGCAGAGCCTGGAGTGGAGGAAGGGTAGGCCTTCCCCCAAATTATAGAGGACACACATTGATCATCAGATTGCTTTTAAGAGCCTCGCCTCTTTACTCCTCCCACACCAAGTGTTTGCTGCTCCCTTTCAACTGCAAACCACCAGTACTAAGACATCAGTAACCAAGTGTCACCTCTCCCAGGGTGCTGTGCTCCCCTCCCTCTGCAGAACCCTCCTTCCAAATCCCCCTGCCCCACTCCCCACACCCACTTTGAGAGGCATGCAGCCATGGACCACTGAGAGTGGGATTTCAAACACGAGTGATGAAAGTGATGTTAGGAAAGAGGAGGAGCTACAGTGGAGTCCTGCAAAGTATTTGCCATCACAGCCTGCAGCATCTTTAAACACATAACCTCAGTGTCTCCTTCCCTTGAGGGTAGCTATCACCATTGGAAAGAGCAAACAAATCTTGGGAACAAGGTAAGTAAATAAGCTGGATAATGCCAGATGGGATAAAGGCCTTCTCGCAGCACTGATGAAGTGCTAAGACTTAGGGTTCGTTTATTCATCTGTTTTTGTATTTGCAGGGTCGATTAAGTAATTTGAGAAACATTTCTTGAACTGTGTCCCATGACCAAGCACCCACTCAGGCCCTGGGGACTATGAAAAGTGCCCTGGGAGTAGGAGGGGGGTTCCAGTTCACTGGGGAGACAAACAGGCAACCATAGGATAGAACTGCTTACCCTCTTCCCACATAGTTTCAGACCTTGCTCACTGTCTAACGTCCTCAACCCACTGGCCCCTTCCCTTCTTCACTTCCTTCCGGCCCCCTGCTCAGGCTCCCAGTTGGTGAAAACCGCTAGAGAAAGCTTCTTAGCCACGCAGACTGCCAGCACCCAGGTTTATGGGGCCTTCAACAATAGCTGCTTTACCATTTTAACCACAGTCCTCATGCCCTCTTGGCCACCATCTCCTCCCTCACTAGGAGCAGATAACCTAACTAATATTTTCCATAGATAATAGAGGCCTTGAGGCAGGAGCTCCATCAACCCCACCCAGGGCCCTGGTTTTATCTCTTTAGGAATGAATCCTCCCCTTACCTCGTCCATCTCAGGGAAGGAGGTGTGTCTGCTTCTGCCCAAAGCTAATGCCTGCCTCCTCCTGATCCTGCCTTCCCTCTTGTCCTCCTCCTCAGATAACTGGCTCCATCAGCCTTTTCCTTTCTACTGCTGTTATCCCTCCATCACCTGAACATACTCAAGTCTTCCCCCAAGCGTTTAGCAAACAGCAGCAGAAACAACAAATGGTACTTCTTTTTTTTTTTTTTTTTTTCTTTTGAGGCGGAGTCTCGCTCTGTTGCCCAGGCTGGAGTGCAGTGGCGCGATCTCAGCTCACTGCAAGCTCCGCCTCCCGGGTTCACGCCATTCTTCTGCCTCAGCCTCCCGAGTAGCTGGGACCATAGGTGCCCGCCACCACGCCCGGCTAATTTTTTGTATTTTTAGTAGAGATGGGTTTTCACCGTGTTGGCCGGGATCATTTCGATCTCCTGACCTCGTGATCCGCACGCCTCAGCCTCCCAAAGTGCTGGGATTACAGGCGTGAGCCACCGCGCCCGGCCAACAAATGGTACTTCTAGATACCGTTTTATATGGTTCTGGCCCTCCCCGGTGAAGTTTTATTTAAAGAAAAAAGAATTATCTTGGAGAGATACATTCATGGGGTTTAAAAAAAAATAGAAAAAAAAAGCACACAGCGAAAAACGTCTTTATATCCCAGAGGCAACTTTTCTTGCTAGTTTCTTACATGCATAGAGTTATGTGATTATATAACCCTTCTCTTATTTACACTTGCTGTTTTCACATAGTGCCAATCATTCCATATTAGCATATATAGATTTTATTTCTTTAACATCCACAGAGTACCCCAAAGTATGTACTATGGACATACCAACATTTATTTGACAACTCTTCTATTAGTAGATGTTTGCATCCCCCTTTTGCTATTTCTTTTTATTTTTATTTTAAATGGAGTCTCCTTCTGTTGCCCAGGCTGGAGTACAGTGGCACCATCTTGGCTCACTGGAACCTCCGCCTCTGTGTTCAAGTGATTCTCCTGCCTCAGCCTCTCGAGTAGCTGGGATTACAGGTGCCCGCCACCACGCCTGGCTAACTTTTTATATTTTTAGTAGAGGCGGGATTTCACCATGTTGGTCAGGCTGGTCTCGATCTTCTGACCTCAGGCGATCCACCCGCCTTGGCCTCCCAAAGTGCAGGGATTACAGGCGTGAGCCACTGCACCTGGCCTGCTATTTCAAATAATTGCAATTAATCACCCTGTACATGTGTCATTTTGTATATGAATATTTTTGTATGATAAATTCCTAGATGTGGAATTATGGGATCAAGCTGTGTGTGCATTTGAAATTTCTACTGATATTCCCAAATGTGCCCACCATAGAAAATGCACCAATTTATACTCCCATCAGCAAATAATAAGAATGGCTCTTTCCTCAGGCCCTTACCAACAATTGAGTTATCCAACTTTTTTTTTTTTTTTTTGAGATGGAGTCATCTCTGCTCACTGCAACCTCCACTTCCCTCCCAGATTCAAGCAATTCTCCTGCCTCAGCCTCCCGAGTAGTTGGGGTTACAGGCGAGCACCACCATGCCCAGCTAATTTTTATATTTTTAGTAGAGAACGGGTTTCATCACATTGGCCAGGTTGGTCTCCAACTCCTGACCTCTAGTGATCCACCTGCCTTGGCCTCCCAAAGTGTTGGGATTACAGGTATGAGCCCCTGTGCCTGGCCCCAACTCTGTTTTTATACTTCTCAATCTAAGTGACAGTGATATTTTAGTGTAGTTTTATTTTCTCTTACATTTAGTGTGAATGGCTTTTTTCATATGTTTAAGAAACATTTATATTTTCTTTTCTGTGAACTGTTCATATCTGTTACCCATCTTTACATTGGGTTGCTCTTTTTCTTATTGATTCATGCAAGCTGTTTATATATAAGCCCCTTTTTATAATGAGTTACCTATTTTTTCCAATCTGTCATTTATATTTGGATTGTGCCTATGATGTTTTTTGTAATGCCATTTTTAATTGTGGTAAAATATACATAGCATGAAACACACCATTTAGCCACTTTTGAGTGTACAGTTTGATGGCATTAAGTATATTCACATTGCTGTGCAACCATCACCGCCATGCATCTCCAGGACTTTTCATCTTCCCAAACAGAAACTTTGTACCCATTAAACAATAATTCTCCACTACTGAATTTATCAGTTTTTTCTTTAGAACTTTTGAGGTTTATATCATACATAGAAAAGCTTTCTCCTTTCTCAGGTTTTAAAAAATCTGTCCCTTTTGTCGTTATGTCTTAGCCCTGGCTGCATTCCAATCAACAGGAACTTTAAAAAAATACCAATTTCTACTATGCAGCCATAAAAAAAGAATGAGTTTATGCCCTTTGCAGGGATATGGATGAAGTTGGAAGCCATCATCCTCAGCAAACTAACACAGGCAAAGAAAACCAAACACCTCATGTTCTCACTCATAGGTGGGAGTTGAACAATGAGAACACATGGACACAGGGAGGGGAACACCATACACCGGGGCCTGTCGGGGGGTGGGGGTCCAGGGGAGGGAGAGCATTAGGACAAATACCTAATGCAAGAAAATATAAACCTAGATGACAGGTTGATGGGTGCAGCAAACCACCATGGCACATGTATACCTATGTAACCTGCATGTTCTACACATGTATACCAGAACTTAAAGTTAAAAAAAAAAGTTCATAACGCATACTTAAAAAATACAAATTTCTAGCTTTACCTCCAGTGATTATGATTTAAATAGCTGTGGGGGGAAGTGGGGGCCAGTGGCAAACACTGGTAATTCTTTTTTTTTTTTTTTTTTTGAGATGGAGTCTCACTCTGTCGCCAGGTTAGAGTGCAGTGGTGCAATCTCGGCTCACTGCAACCTCTGCTTCCTGGGTTCAAGTGATTCTCCTGCCTCAGCCTCCCAAGTAGCTGGGACTACAGGTGCACGCCACCATGCCCAGCTAATTTTTGTATTTTTAGTAGAGACGAGGTTTCACCATGTTGGCCAAGATGGTCTAGATCTCCTGATTTCATGGTCCACCTGCCTCGGCCTCCCAAAGTGCTGGGATTACAGGCGTGAGCCACCGCGCCCGGCCTTAAACACTGGTAATTCTTTTTTTTTTTTTTTTTTTTTTTTTTTTTTGAGGCAGAGTCTCACTCTGTCGCCCAGGCCGGAGTGCAGTGGCGTGTTCTCGGCTCACTGCAAGCTCCGCCTCCAGGGTTCACTCACGCCATTCTCCTGCCTCAGCCTCCCGAGTAGCCGGGACTACAGGCGCCCGCCACCACGCCCGGCTAATTTCTTTTTGTATTTTTAGTAGAGACGGGGTTCCACCGTGTTAGCCAGGATGGTCTCGATCTCCTGACCTGGTGATCAGCCTGCCTTGGCCTCCCAAAGTGCTGGGATTACAGGCGTGAGCCACCACGCCAGGCCTAAGCACTGGTAATTCTTTTTTTTTTTTTTTAGAGACGGAATCTCGCTCTGTCGCCCAGGCTGGAGTGCAGTGGTGCGATCTCGGCTCACTGCAAGGTCCTCCTCCCGGGTTCACGCCATTCTCCTGCCTCAGCCTCCCGAGTAGCCGGGACTACAGGCGCCCGCCACCACGCCCGGGTAATTTTTTGTATTTTTAGTAGAAACGGGGTTTCACCGTGTTAGCCAGGATGGTCTCCATCTCCTGACCTCGTGATCCACCCGCCTCAGCCTCCCAAAGTGCTGGGATTACAGGCGTGAGCCACCGCGCCCGGCCAACACTGGTAATTCTTAAATAGACTCCCCAGTGATTCTAAAGCTCAGCCAGCATTGAGAATCACTGTTTTTGTATATTTAAGATTTCATCTTTTATAATTGTCTTTGATTTATCTGGAATTTGTACTAAGGTAAAATGCGATATGAAAATCAACTCCATGTATTTCCAAATGGCTTTTCAATCATTCCAATACCATTTAATAAATGTCAGTCATTCCAATACCAACACCGACTTCAAAAGAGAGAAATCTCTGCTCCCACCACTTAGTATCTGGGTGATTTGGGGCAAATTACTTAAACTCTTTTTGCTTCAGTTTCTTCATCTGTAAAATAAGGATAACGATAATACCTCTCAGAGTTATTGTGAGGACTGAAAAGCTAATACATTTAAAGCACTTTAAATAGTATCTGGGCCTCAGTAAAATGCTATATTGATATTTGGTACAATTATTTGTTTTGGTTACTACAAATGAAGATGTGTAAGTCAACGCATAGATATAATGAACTATCATATAATCATTACAAATTATGCTTTAAAAGAGTTTCGTTTCAGTGAAAGGATGATATGAAATTAACACATCTAGATAAAGTATGTATAAGTTAAACAAAGACTAAGTAAAGAAATATGCTAAAATATTAGCAATGGTTACATTCAGGTGACGGGAGTTCATGAAATCTTTTTTACTTTCTTCTTTAGTCTCTCCTATATTTCTCAGATTGCATACAATGAATATGTATTATTTATATTTAGGGAGAATAAGGAGGGGCTTAAAAATTGCTCAGTAGTCTGTTGATCTGGATTTCATCCCTCAGCGTGTATGCTGCCCTGCCCAGCACAATTTTATGTTCAGTTTGATGAGCCTGTTCTCTATACTGCATCCATGCCATGGAGAGCTTTCTCAGGGGTGATGGCCCAACATTAGGACTCTGCCTCCCAGATGGTATTAATGATATTTTCTGGGAAATTCTAACCCAGCTTTTGCCCTTGCTTCCAGCCTGCATTATGCTGTGGCTTTATCAATCAGTTTATGAAAGATCTTATCAAAAGCCTCGCAAAATGCCCTATTCATTCAGTCAACAAATATTGATTGAGTCTCTATTATGCCCCAGGCCTTGTGCCTATCATATTTTCTTAATAAATGAGTCTAGAAACAATGTCAAAGAAAGAAAAAGGTCAAGCAGACATACTTTGTTTTTAAAATCTCAGGCTGAATGCCAGTAATTGCTGCTTTTCCAAAAGTCTCCCAAACTTTATTGTTATTATTTTAAATAATCTAGTCTAGAATCTTGTCTGGGACTGAAGCCAAACTCAGTAGTGGTATTTTGAGCAAGCCATCTTCTGTGGTCTTTGGGGATCCAGATGACTTTTATTTAGCTCTCTTCTTCCAAGACTTCTGGTATTGCCCTAAAATGTCTCAAAGACATTGGGCCATTCCTCTGTTCTGCAAACTTTCCAGTAACTGAGATGTAATTCCTTTGTACCTAGAGACTAGAACTCAAAGAGAGCAGAAAAATCCTGTTTTCTTGTCTTGGCACTAGTGTGGGAGAGGGTCAAGGGGTCTTCAGACACTTTTAATGTTCTAGAGAAAATATCTCCTACTTCACTCAAATCCCTTGCAAGTATAAACTTCCAAATACCATTGAAAATACATATTTTTAAAATAAAATCTGAAAATAAAACAGATCTGTTCTTTCCTAATGCAAAAAGGACTGCCAGAAACTGGTAGAGAATAAATACTTCAAAGAGCTGAATGGTGATTATTTGAATGAATGACAAACGAAGAAATGAGTGAGTACTCTATGGTGTCACAGAGTAGGTCTGTCTATAACTACATATGATAGATGCCAACCATAGGAAACTACTTTCCATTTTAGAAGTTAGAAGGGAATTAGATGCATGACCCAAAGTTCTTTTTAAAAGCAGTCCAGAGACATTTAAAATAATGCTGTCTTTAATATGGTGTCTCAGTGTAGCAAGTAGAATGTTTTCCAGGGTTCATTCTTTTTCGGCAGCACCTATTTTAAATGCATAGCTTGAAATTTGTGAGACCTTAGAGAGCAAGAGTTTCTTAACTATTGTTTAACTTCTCAAAATAATTCCAGAACTTTGACTTTCTTTCCTTCTTTCTTTCTTTTTCTTTTTCTTTCTTTCTTCCTTCCTTCTTTTTCCTTCCTTCCTTCCTTTCTTCCTTTTATTCTTTTTTTTTTTGAGATGGAGTCTCACCCTGTCACCCAGGCTGGAGTGTGGTGGCGTGATCTCAGCTCACTGCAACCTCCGCCTCCCAGGTTCAAGCGATTCTCCTGCCCCAGCCTCCCGAGTAGCTGGGATTACAGGCGCGTGACTCCATGCCTGGCTAATGTTTGTATTTTTAGTAGAGATGGGGTTTCACCATGTAGGTCAGGCTGGTCTCAAACTCCTGACCTCGTGATCTGCCCCCCTCGGCCTCCCAAAGTCCTAGGATTACAGGCATGAGCCACAGTGCCTGGCCCGTTTTATTCTTTTTCTTTCTTTCGAGACAGGAACTTAATCTGTCATTCGTGCTGGAGTGCAGTGGTGTGATCACAGCTCACTACAGCCTTGACTTCCCAGGCTCAGGTGATTCTCCCACCTCAGCTTTCCAGGTAGCTAGGATTACAGGTATGTGCCACCATGTCCAGCTAATTTTTTTAATACATATTTTTTGTAGGGATGGAGTCTCACTATGTTGCCCAGGCTGGTCTCAAATTCCTGGGCTTAAGTGATCCACCTTCCTGGGCCTCCCAAAGTGCTGGGATTACAGGCATGAGCCACCGCACCTGGGCTAGAACTTTGATTTCTAAGAATGGTTCTCAAATTTGAACAGACTTCAAAATCCTCTGGAGGGCTTGTTAAAATATAGATTGCTGTGCCCACCCCAGGCTCTCTGATTCAGCAGGTGCAGCCAGGGAGTTTGAACTTCTCTCAAGCTCCCAAGTTAGGCTGTAGGCCTAGCACTAGTTTTAAGAACCTGTGCTCCATAACACACTGGGGAGCTGCAGTGAGCACTTGGACAGGCAACAAACAGATTTCAAACACAGATTTTTTTTTACCTTTGGTTTCTATAGGTCACTGCTGCACGTTTTAATAGGCTCTCATTTTTACATACTATACTAATGACTATAAATATCTATTTCCTAATACATAAAAATGTTCACAGCATCTCTGGAGCGGTAATATGATGTGTGTTTTCATTGTCTTCTTTTTGTCTTTCAACTTTTTTTTGAGACGGAGTCTCGCTCTGTCGCCCAGGCTGGAGTGCGGTGGCGTGACCTCGGCTCACTGCAAGCTCCGCCTCCCAGGTTCATGCCATTCTCCTGCCTCAGCCTCCCAAATAGCTGGGACTACAGGCGGCCGCCACCAGCCCAGCTAATTTTTTTTTGTATTTTTAGTAGAGACGGGGTTTCATCGTGTTAGCCAGGATGGTCTTGATCTCCTGACCTGGTGATCAGCCTGCCTCAGCCTCCCAAAGTGCTGGGATCACAGGTGTGAGCCACCGTGCCCAGCCTTGTCTTTCTACATTTTATAAGTGGTTTGTCTTGAGCATATATAACCTTTATAATCAGAAAAAAATCTAAAGGCTAACAAAAGAAAGAAAACGTGGTAAGGGACAGTCTTGTTGGAAAGCTTGATATTTCTATCACTAGCTACACAGAGAACCAAGGGGGAAAGCATGAACATAGCAGCTAACATACTTCATGAGTGAGTCCAGTGTACTCCATTCTCACTGCATCAATTCAATTCACCTTCTGTAACCCTGAGGAGATGGGTACCATCATCTTCATCTTCATCATCCTCTTCATCAGCATCATCATCCTCTGCTTTTAACAGATGAGTAAACTGATGCACCTGGCTGGTAACTAGAAAAGCCAGGATTTGGACCCAGGAGTTTCAACTTCCATGTTAGCGTGCTTAACCCCACGTTACAAACCTTCCTGAGCATGTGAGACCATTGTCCCATCCTCCAGCAGAGAAGATCTTGGACAGCAGCTTTCCCTCACATTCTCTCATCTAAATGCTTTATGGATAGTCATTCATGCAGAAGCCTGGGTCTCCAGCAAGGGCTGGCATCTGCCCATCCTAATTTTTGTTTTAACCTGGTGAAAATGGGAGGAGAGTTATATGCACTGATGTTTCATTTAGGTAAAGGGTGCAATGTTGCAATCCATGAAGATCCTAACGCAAGAAAGGAGAAGAAGACTCTAAATATGAAGGTGATGCTCTACCGGACATATGAGTACCACAGGATTGTGGAAATCTGTGCTCCTCCAGCCTAGAGTCCCGACCCCATGAGCACAAGGAGATCCAGAGGGAAACCCTCCCCAGCTTTCCTGGAAAGCTGAGGATAAGGCCTCAATAAACATTTATTAGGGGCAGTTGTAGGCCACATTGTACCAGACACTTTACATACATTTTCTCTAATTCCCAATGCCCTCCAAAGTAGATCATTATCCTCTTCTCCACTTCACAGATAAGAAACTGTAGCACAGATAGGGTAAGTCATTTGCCCGTGGTCAGACAGCAAACAGGTCCCAGAGCTGGGGTTTCAACTACAATTTGAACCATGGTCTGCTACTCCAAAGGCCAAGCTCATCCTATGGCCCTGCCTTCTAGGTATATTGAGTGGCTTTCAGTTATCTGCTTTCTGCAGCACAGTCAGAAGTTGGTAGGGAGGAAGGCAAAGAACCAGGACTGACTGCAGCCTAATGATCTGCCTGGGGCTGGGATCTGGGGTCGGGGTATGAGGGTGGCAGCCCCAGAGCAGCTTGGGGTGGGAAGAATAGGACCAAACTGTAAGTGTGTGGGAGACGGAAGCAGAGGAGATGGGGAACCACAGCGCCTGCACTATCTTAGCCTTCTCAGGCCAGGCCAGCTGACTGGGCAGCCTTTGGCCTCACCCAGAAAGAGGGAGGGGAGGGTTCCTTTAACAGAATATGGATTGGAATCCCCAACCCTCCCCCCCACCACCCCCGACACCTAAGGCCTGTTAAGGCCAGGGCTGAGGCCCCAGGGTACACCCACCCTCAGGGCTGCCAGCTACTAGGTCCTCACTAGACAATCTTTTTTTTTTTTTTAGCTTCTAGACCTAAAAATAGGTCAAAGGAGTGGAGAGGGGAGGAAATAGCTAGACTCAAAATAATGTGTGGAATGATAAGCAAAGCTTACTGTGCATGAAATCTGGGTAGAGAAAACTATGTGGCCTTTTCTTTTTCAACATTTCCCATAGACGGTAAATTTGAAGTAAAAACATTGTTACTAAAATATAAAAATATTATAAAAGCTGTACTATCATTGTGTATTACCCATTTAAACATAAAGTAGTGAAGTTTTTAAAAATTAAATATATTCCTGGATCCCCCATCCCCCATACTTATATATTTGGGACAACAGCATCTGAGTGCCCTTTAACTGACTGGCAGCTCTGGGGTCCCCAACACTTTCATCTTCCCCTATCCCTCCAAAGCTTAGAGACCAGTCCATTGTTAACTTCAAACCACCTCAAAGCTGACTTTCCAAGTTCAGTTTCTTGTAGAATTTTTTTTTCATGATTTTTTGGGTTTATTTTATTTTTAATTTGAAAACCACTAACCTGTTTCTATGAGGGAAAATGTGCTTCAAGTTCCAGACCACACACTTTTAGGACACGATCTGTTCCTACTGCAGGTAACAGAACGACATAATCAATGAACTGGTATCAACTACTGCAAGAGGCAGTGAAACAGAACCTAGCCTCCCAACTCAGACATCAAAAGCATTCCACACTCCAGAGTAGCTGATGTTATGATTCCCTTTATCCTCTTTCAACTAAACACATCTATTCATGTTTTATCAATGATTTATCCAGCCCCTGCTATGAGCCAGCCACAAAGCCTGGCATTAGGAAGACTGAGATGAATAAGCTGAGGATGGTCAGCTTTGTGGGAAAGATGGATGGGGAAGCCAGTGAGCTCTCTTTAGTAGGGAGGGTGTGCAAAGAGACAGGGGGTCTCCAAGGGGAATGGCCCAGCTTCATGAAGAAGGTAATGCATAATTGAGACTCAAAAGATGAGTAAGTATTGGGAGTAGGGATGATTCTAAAGCATAGAGCACAAGCCTGGAAAGACACGACAACAAACCACAGGTGCCAGGTGGATCCACTAGACACCTGCCACCCCAACTTCCCCTTCACATGGAAAGGGCCATGGCCACAGGCCCCTAACCAGGTGAACTGGGACAGGTTGGCCTTCTACAAGAGTGGCTACTGATTGGATGAGTGGGCACCTAACCCAAAGACTCAGGCTGGCTGAGGTACCCGATGAGGTTTTCAATACCAGTGACAGTAACTAAATCAGCCAACCAACCTGGCTCCCTCTGGCATTTATGCAGAAGAATATCAGGAATTTGGCTGGTACGTGAAGAGTCAAGTGCACAGAATTAAGGACAGCAGACTAGACTAGGCACTAGACACTACATCTGCCTCCGCCTCTGCCTAAACTTTGAGTTCTCCTTTGAAGCTGTTCTGCATAACAAATCACCACAAAACCTAGTGGCTTATTATAATAATAATAATTTTATCTCTCACAATTTTCACAAGTCAGGAATTTGGGAAGGGCTCAGCGGGGTGGTTCTGGCTCAGGGTTTCTCAGGCAGTTGCAGTCAGGTGGTGGCTGGAGCTAGAAGAGCAGGGAGCTGGAGCATCCGAGGACTGGTGGGGTGTCTCTGCCTCTCATTACATCCCCTCAGAACTTCTCCATGGTGTCTCTCCTGATGGGCTAGTTTGGGCTTCCTCACAGCATGGTGCCTTCAGGGTAGCCTGCTTGCATGGCAGCTGAGGGCTTCCAGCTGAGAGTTGCAGCAAGCAAGGTAGGAGTTGCATTGCCTTTTTTGACCTAGCCTCAAAAGTCATTTGGCATCATTTCCACCTACTGTCTTGGTTGACCTGGTCACAAAGCCCAATCTATTTCCTTTTTTTTATTATTTTTAATTTTTGTGGGTACATAGTAGGTATGTATATTTATGGGGTACATGAGATGTTTTGATATAGGTATGCAGTGTGAAATATAAGCACATCATGGAGAATGGGGTATCCATCCCCTCAAGCATTTATCCTTTGAGTTACAAACAGTCCAATTATACTCTTTATTTAAAAATGTATAGGGTTTTTTTTTTTTAAGACTGAGTTTTGCTCTTGTTGACCAGGCTAGAGTACAGTGCGGGATCTTGGCCCACTGCAACCTCCGCCTCCTGGGTTCAAGCAATTCACCTGCCTCAGGCCTCCCAAGTAGCTGGGATTACAGGCCTGTCACCATGCCCAGCTAAATTTTTTGTATTTTTAGTAGAGATAGGGTTTCATCATGTTGGCCAGGCTGGTCTCAAACTCCTGACCTCAGGTAATCCACCTGCCTCAGCTTCCCAAAGTGCAAGGATTACAAGCATAAGCCACCACTCCCAGCCAGTTATTATTGACAATAGTCACTCTCTTGTGCTATCAAATAGTAGGTCTTATTCATTCTTTTTAGTTATTTTTTGTACCCGTTAACCATCCCCATCTCCCCTTCCATCCCCAACTACCCTTCCCAGCCCTAATCCATTTTCAAGCCCACCTCCTTTTTTTTTTTTGAGATGGAGTTTCACTCTTGTTGCCCAGGCTGGAGTGCAATGGCACGATCTCGGCTCACAGCAACCTCCGCCTCCCAGGTTCAAGCAATTCTCCTGCCTCAGCCTCCCAAATAGCTGGGATTACAGGCATGCACCACACACCCGGCTAATTTTGTATTTTTAGTAGAGACGGGGTTTCTCCATGTTGAGGCTGGTCTCAAACTCCTGACCTCAGGTGATCTGCCCGCCTCAGCCTCCCAAAGTGCTGGGATTACAGGCATGAGCCACCGTGCCCAGCCTTCAAGCCCACCTCCTAATGGAAAGAAAGTAAAAAAGATGTGGACATATTTTTAAACTTCCACACAATCTCAGCTCAGCCTTACACTGAAACTCCATTTTCCATTTTCTTTAGGTGAAGTGTTTAGGTGAAGATTGGGATTGAATCTCTGTTCCACGCACATTAGGCAAGCTACAGTTAGCTCAGCAGGGCTGGGGCACAAGGTATGAGCACAGCACAAAAAGAAAAGTCTAGAGAAGTAGGCAAAGGTCTTCCATGTCAGGCTAGGAGTCTGGGCTTTTTCCTACAAGTGTCCACTCTTCCTTCCAGAACAAATAGGGACAGTTACAGGTGACTTCCATAACTAGGTAGCCTCTAGAACAGAGACTGGAAACAGGTGGCCCACAGCAGAAGGCACCCATACAATACTCCTTAGCTTAGAAAGTTTCTTACCAAAAAAAAATCAGCATTTCTGGCTTCTCTTGAAAAATTAGAAAACCTGGTCATAGTGGACTCTCATTCTTGCATGGATGCAAATAGGGGAGAGAATAGCAGCCGTCTTCAAATAGGATGTATGCTCTTGGCTTAGCCAGAGTTTCCACAATTTCCTGTTGCATCACAGTTGTCTTGTTTCATTATTTATCTTATTTTCACAGTAGACACTTGAGTTTGTGACCCTTGATCTCAGGCTTCCTATGGGCAAGAGCTCTGCTGGAGTCGGGCTAACAAACCCCCCTCTCATTTCACACTCAGCGAAGAAATGGAGACATATTCTCTCTTCATTCAAAGCATAGTTTGCTTCAACTTTGTAAACACTGTATGCAAACATGTTCTCAATCATTTTCAAAGAGAAACCTTGTGCTTGGAGTCATCTCATTTGCTGAACTGGATTTGGTCAATTTGTTTAGAGCAAGTGAAAACAATTGCATACCTTGCAAAGTGTAAATCAGGCACAGGGTCACTTCCTGCAGGGGAAGGTCCCTCAGCTGCCTTTGTGAGCCAGCATCTCAGCCTGATGGCTGGGCTGATTAGCCCACAGGTGATTTCAGTCAATCATAACACATAAATGCCCAGTTTAGATGTAAATCACTGAGTGATATGTAGTTTCACCTCACAGGAAGTGGCTCGTTATACTCCTCTTCAACTCTACAAATCCTACCCTTTCTTCAAGCCGCAAATCCAGTCCCAGCTTCTTCTGAAAGCCTTCTTCAATGACTCTAGTTGTGTAGACAGGGCTTGCTACCCAGGACAGCCTCTGTGCTGGCTTTGTGCCTGCATTTCTAAGTCTCTTTATCCCAGCTCCCTCCTCTCTGTGCCTCATCTCCCACTGGGCTCCCTTTCAGCCCACAGCTTGCCTTAACTTTGTCCCCAGATGGCTGCAACCCTCATTTTCCTGGCAGCCTGATGTCCTGTCTGGCTAAGTCAGGTCAGCCCCCACAAGGCCTGTTCCTCCCTGCTGGGTAGCTCTGGGGCCAGAACTGCACTCCTCTCCCCACCTGATCTTCCAGACAGCTTGCCTTAACTTTGTCCCCAGATGGCTGCAACCCTCATTTTCCTGGCAGCCTGATGCCTCTCTGGCTAAGTCAGGTCAGCCCCCACAAGGCCTGTTCCTCCCTGCTGGGTAGCTCTGGGACCAGAACTGCACTCCTCTCCCCTTCTGATCTTCCATAAATGCCTATTCCTGTGTCTATATCAGAGACACTGATACCAGGGAGAGGGTGAGGGAGTGAGAAGAGCAAAAAGAATAGATTCTTGGGAGGCAGATGCAGAACTAGACAAAGGAAACTCCAGCTAGGGGCTGGCTGACATAGACCTTTGTGTCTTCACTCAAGATTGAAAATGAATGACTACAGACATGTAGGCACATAAGTGGCCACCAGTGGTCCACACCTATTTTTCTATTCAGATTGTATCTTCAGATTTGAGAAGAGCATTCCTGAAGGAAGGAGTCAACATGACAAGGTAGACAGTCGGAGGAAGCAAGTAGGAGAAGTATCACCATTAGGAATAAAAATAACAAGAGGACAGTGGAGGTCTCAGAACTGTTCATGAGAGAGAATCAAAAGCAACAAAGGGTGAGACAGCCGGATGCTTCTTTGTGTTGATTGGTAACTGTCCATAGGCATCTTAGCCCAAACATTTAAAATGAAGCACTATTATAATTTAGGGTATACAGACAGGGAAACAACAGACATGGGGATCATGCAGGCCACTGAAGGCTTTGTAAATACTTGTTAACTCTCCTTGCTTATTGATTTTGTGCTAGTTATAGGAAGTCTTAGCTTTATAAGTCAAGTTTTCATCAAGGAGCTCAGGAGATAGAAAGCTTCATGCTTGAAATAAAGTAACCTGATAATTTAATTGCTGCAAGAAATGACCAAAATTTGATTCATGTGTCTAATACATAATGAACATTGAATAATATTGCAGACATGTTAAAACTGTATAGGCAAGATGGTCATTGAGATCATATCAGATAACATCCTAGGTAATGGTTAAATACTGCCTATTATCAATAATTACACATTACACATGCATTAGATGACTTTCTAATATCTACTAAAGGCCTACTACGAGCTATATGTTGGGGCTGCAATGCTGAGTAAGAAAGACACAGTCCCTGACGTTATGGTCATTACATTCCAGGGTTAGTTACCTTCAACTGAAGGTAGTAACATTCATATCTCAGGGGACATTTACACATGTGGAGCACTTTTAGGTGCACACTGAGGACCCCACTGGCCTTTGGCTGACAGGACCACAGATACTAAACACTCTACAGTGTGTGGGCTTGGACTAAAAGGCCAACAGCAGCCCCATCAGGAAATACTGGTAGTGCAAGATATATCTCGCCATGTTTAGAGGCAGGGTTTTTTTTCATAATAACAAGACCAAGTACATAATGTTTATTTGTAAAGTATAATTTTTTCCAATTCTTCTATGGTATTCCTTTTTAAATCTCATAGAACTCTTGTCTTCTAAGTTTCACACTTTAGAAAACCTCTAGAGATTAAGAGCAGACACTGCTAGGTTTGAATCTCAACTCTAGCACTTAAAATTTCTGACCTCCAGAAAGGGACTCAACATCTCTGAGCTTCCTAACACGAGGCAGATAATGGCTGGCTCACTGAGACATTGTTGGTGTTGTCAGGAGGACTAAAGGCAGCAAGGTCTATAAGTTGCCTTGCACAGTGTCTGGAAATCTGGATGTTACGAGGAGGTGGCCATTGTAGACAATGTGGCCCAAGCAGTTTGGGTGTGGGAAATGACGATGTAATGGGTGGAGGGGAAATTAGGGACAGGGCATGGCTTCTTGAAGAATACAGACACCTGAGACACTGAAGGGCAGAGAAAATTGAGAAAGGGAGAAGGGGAGAAGGACAACAGGTGAGATGGAGGACGATGGGGAAGTGATCCAGGTGAGAAGATCTGGAAGGCATTATTCCTATCCCATTGCAATCTGAGGACTGACTCAGCTCCCACACAGATTCTCCTGAGCAAACAGATCTCTCTTGATACCTCCTCCTCCTTTTTTTTTTTTTTTTTGTTGTTGTTGTTGTTTTTGTTTTGAGATGGAGTCTCACTCTGTCACCCAGGCTGTAGTGCAATGGCGCAATCTCGGCTCACTGCAACCTACACCTCCCAGGTTCAAGCGATTCTCCTGCGTCAGCCTCCTGAGTAGCTGGGATTACGGGCGCAACCACCATGCCCAGCTAATTTTTATATTTTCATTAGAGACAGGGTTTAACCATGTTGGTCAGGCTGGTCTCGAACTCCTGACCTTGTGATCCGCCCGCCTCGGCCTCCCAAAGTACTGGGATTACAGGTGTGAGCCACCACGCCTAGCCACCTCCCCCTACTTCTATCCTTCATCTCCTTTGTGAATCCAGTGCCAGTCCCAGAGGAGACACACAAACCCATTTTCTTGGTCTCATGTGGTCCTGCTTCAGACTGATTCTTCCTCTCCTGGAGGGAGAGGGCAGAATCTGACCAACGTCTAGCCAAACCCTTTTCCTAGCCTCTCTTGGAGGTCATCTCAGGGCCCCATGCTCATTGTGAGGTCAGGAGCAGGGACAAGAACAGGGAGTCTAAGCACATGGAGAATTGGCTTCTACTCAGCGGTTTTATTTGTTTGTTTGCTTGACAATGTTAACTATCTTGACAAGAATTCTGCAAAGTTACTTCAGACCACTTCCTTGGGCAGAAGGCTGTGTCTTGGCCTGAGTTCCCCACACTGGCCATGAGTAGTGTTCTCATGTTCTGGAGGCAATTCGTGTGCCAGTTGCATAATAAAGAGTGGTACTTTGGGTCAAGGAGGAGGCAGAGCCATGGCAAAGACTGTTTCTTGGCACTGATCCCCATGCAGGCCATTGAAGGCTTTGTAAATACTTGTTGACTCTCCTTTCTTATTGATTTTGTGCTAGTTGTAGTAAGTCCCAACTTTACAAGTCAAGTATTCGTTCCACCCGCACTTTAATAAAAGGCAACATCCCCCATTACCCTCATCCTCTTTGCCTCCTTCCCCATAAAAAATATTCAGAAATAGGGTAAGAGTTGCCCCTGTTTTGGTCTCACCCGTGCTTTTCTTTCATTCTCAGTGTCCTGTCCAGGCACTTCCCTGGAGCTCTCTGAGAAGGTGAGTTACAGCTCCCAGTCATGGCCAGTAGAGCATGTCTCTGTCCTGTGCTTTTGGACATTACTTTTTTTTTTGGCAGGTTTTCTTGGCTGAATTTTGGCATCTGTCCCTGGCTAAATGCTGAGCTCTCCAATTGGTCCCCTTGATCGATACATGTGGGGTGATTGAACTGTGGTGTCATTTAGGTTGTTTAGAAAAGACAAAACTAAAGCCATGCAACTATTCCTCCTTTTCCATAGTCACACTCTGGAATTAATGGTCAAGCAACATTATTTATAGAAGAACCTAGGCCTTTCATATTGATAGGATCTCCAAAACCTATCTTTCCATGCAAAATTTTATCCTTCCATTTGTGCTATGGATTCAGTAATCAGGGAGGCAGTAACCACTCTCTTCAGGAACAAGTGCTGTGATAGATTAATGATGTCTGTCCTGAAAGCAGAATGGGGAAGCGGCAACATGCATGCCATGTGTTTGTCATTCCTGGTCTATAACCAACTGGATTATGGAATTGCTATTTCTATTACTCCTAGGGTCAGAGGTCAGCCCAGTGTATCTGTCCTTGGAAACTACAATTACCTTTGAAAGAAATCTGTTTCTACCTGGATGACTATATCCCATATCTTCATGCCACTCAACTTCTTGTATTCAATCAAGAAATATGTATTGAGCCCCAGCTATGTGCCAAATACTATTCTAGGACAAAATAGCAGTGAAGAAGAAAAAAAAGATCCTGCCTTCATGGATCAGAGTTCCTACAACAGGAAGGCAAACAATAAACAAACAAATACATACATAAGAGGTAATAGTGTTTTGAAGAAATGGACATACCAATGGGATAAAGAGTGACTAAAAAGGATTTTGTTGTTTGTTTTTAAGATGAGACATTATGACATGTTTGTAAAACAGCAGAATTGCTGCACAGAATGAGAAATTGGTGACTCAGAAAAGAGAGGGGATAATTACAGCAACACCAAGATGCCCATTTCTCTTCTAAACACTCTTTCTGTACCAGAGAGCAGTTTTCTCTCTAATTGATCCCTTTGCAGTCTGTGGCCATCAGCTTTTCTGTGCCTCCAGGGTTGTTTTTCCATCATAAATGCCATGCCTGTCAGCTTCTCAGGAAAGGTCAGGCCTCAGAACATGACATACCCTTGTATCAAGCACCTTCATATAAGTTTAGCTATTTTTCCACTCTCTGGACTACTTGTGTGTTCTTAATGTCAGTTTGAGTGTCTCTTATTCTGTCACCAAGGATTAGCTTCCTTCTCTCATATTTCTTCAAGGGGATCCATTTTCATATTTTCTTCTCTCAAATAATCTTCTCCATCCATTTTTGGCAGGAATAGCAGAGACAATTTTCAGCAAACTATTATGGTCATATAGTATTCATTTTTCCCCGTAGCAAGTGAGGGAGCAATTCCTATAACACCAAATCCCCAAAGTTATGGTCGGCTACTCATCTCTTCCATGAGCTCCTTTAAAAATATGCAAATGTAAAGTGTTTGTCACTACAGGACTTTGGGCCCAAATCCTCACATGGATTTGCTAAACATTGTGAGCTCAGCCGGCTAAACATGAACCATAATGAAATTTTTGGATCTCCTAGCCCAAAGCCTAGAATAAATCCAGGCCTAAACTTAATCCTGGGATAAACTTAATCTTGGCTCAATTAATAGTGTATTTTTCTACATTCTAGAGCATAGTTGGCCAGGGCCTACCCCAGGCCAGAGAGCCTTTCATTAAGTGAACTGCCCTAGAGGAAGAGGACCAAGTACCAGGAGGGCTCAAAAGAAAGAATCTCAAGAAATATCAACAGGAAAAAGGAACTAACGCAGGAAAGATTTTAATCCCTCACTGATTCTACCACTGTAGCCCGCTTGTCTCCCTGACTTTGAACTCTCTCAAAGCTCCTCCTCTTTTCCTCCTCCTCTTCTCTTTCTTTCTGCTCTTCCCTCTCCTCTTCCAAAGTGTGTGTGGCAAGGTCTGACAGGGAAGTTCATTGGCTCTTGTAGAGATATGAGTATGCCTTCGACATAAAGCTGACAGACTGCAATTGATAGAACAATCAAATGTCCAACTACTGAATGTTACTTCTTTAGCAATCCCTCCCAAAAGGGTCATTCATATTTTCTTACCCTTACATTCTAGCTCTGAGATTATGGTCTGGATCCCTGAGACTTGCGCCTCCTCCCAAGGCACTTGTTTGTGATTCTTCAATGGAGGAATAGGTAGGAAGAGTTCTTTAGGCAGCCAGATACAAAATAAGCTCATTTAGAAACCTTCTATTTTCTATGGGTCAGAATGTAAATTGAAAATGTCTCCTTCAGTGAGGAAGAAAGAAAAATGCTTTAAAAATCATGCTGCTATAAAGACACATGCACGTGTATGTTTATTGTGGTACTATTCACAATAGCAAAGACTTGGAACCAACCCAAATGTCCATCAATGATACACTGGATTAAGAAAATGTGGCACATATACACCATGGAATACTATGCAGCCATAAAAAAGGATGAGTTCATGTCCTTTGTAGGGACATGGATGAAGCTGGAAACCATCATTCTGAGCAAACTATCGCAAGGACAGAAAACCAAACACCACATATTCTCACTCATGGGTGGGAATTGAACAATGAGAACACTTGGACACAGGGTAGGGAATATCACACACCAGGGCCTGTCGTGGGGTGGGATTGGGGGGAGGGATAGCATTAGGAGATATACCTAACGTAAATGACGAGTTAACGGGTGCAGCACACCAACATGGCACATGTATACATAAGTAACAAACCTGCACATGGTGTCATGTACCCTAGAACTTAAAGTATAAAAATAAAAAAAAAAAGAAAGAAAGGGAGAAAAATCCTTCCCTCATGGATCACAGTTCCTAGAGTAGAAAGGCAAATAATAAATAAACAAATATATATTAATACATAAGAACACTCAGGCAATGATGCTTTGTAGAAATGGATATACCAATGGGATAAAGAGTGACTAAAGAGGATTTTGTTGTTTGCTTTTAAGATGAGAGAGACACTAGGACATGTTTGTAAGACAGGAGAATTGCTATATAGAATGAGAGATCAGTGACTTAATTCTCATTGTCCAAAGCACTCTCCTGTTTCTTTGCCTCGCATCCTGACCCTAACCCATGTTAATTAATTTGTCAGGTAAAATATATTTTTGGTGACCTATTTGGGTCAATTTTAATTCTATCAGGTGCCAGTTACATAAAAGCAAGCCATCATATTTGTCAGTGTATTATTTTCAAGTGTTTAAAAACAGAGGTTTGAAATTTTAAAAATTACTTAGAATGTAATATAGTTATTTGTACCTGCTTTCATGCTACAGTGGCAGAGTTAAGTGGTTGCAACAGAGATGGTATGGCCCACAAAGCCTAAAATATTTACTAGCTGGTCCTTTGCAGAAGTTTCATTAGCTCCTGACATGTGGCACTAATAATTATACTAGCTCTCTATATTAAATAGTTAATACTTTTTCCCACTGATTTAAGCATCACACTTATTAGCTATAAACACACAAACACAAGTTTACAGCCTATTTATTTTGTTCTACTGATCAGCTTGCCTATTTCTATAATAGTATAACATTTTATTTTTAAAAACTTTAATTGTAAAATATTATTTAAATGTTGATAGTGAAAGCTCTTTCATTATCACTTTTTAAATCTTATTGATTATTTTAAAATCTATTCTTTTGAATGAGCTATGGAACCATTTTTGTCAAATTCCTAAAACTTTTATGAGTGCTCATATATGAATTTTTTTTTTTTTTTTTGAGATGGAGTCTTGCTCTGTCACCCAGGCTGGGGTGCAGTGACACGATCTCAGTTCACTGCAAACTCCGCCTCCTGGGTTCAAGCAATTCTCCTGTCTCAGCCTCCTGAGCAGCTGGAATTACAGGCATGTGCCACCACTCCCAGATAATTTTTCTATTTTTAGTAGAGATGGGGTTTCACCATGTTAACCAGGCTGGTCTCAAACTCTTGACCTCGTGATCTGCCCACCTCGGCCTCCCAAAGTGCTGGAATTACAAGCATGAGCCACTGCGCCCAGCCCATATATAAGTCTTTGTGTGGACATATGTTTTATCTTGGTGAATACCTAGGAGTGGGTAGAATTACCAGGTCATTTGGTAAGTGCACATCTAACTTTATAAGAAATCACCTGTCTTCTATTATATTTTAAATATTTTTTATTTTGCATTGTTTTGATTTTCTCTTTTTTTCCAGGGAAGCCAATTATGCCTATGCTGGATCTCCTTTGACTGTTTTCTACATCTACCATTTTCTGTTTAATCTGTTTTAACCTTTATTTTCATTTTCTTGTGTAAGTTTCCTCATTTCTATCTTGTGCTTTGCCACTACCATTTCCACCTCATTGTTTTCCAGGTTTTCTCTAGCTGCTCTTCCCTTGTCTCAAGATTGCTAACTTAGCTCAGCTTTTGTGATGTATCTGCATTCACTGAAACTTTGGCTCCAGCCTTTGCATTTTAGGTTACAACTTGGCACAACCATTTCAGAAAACTGTCATTATCTACCAAAGTAAATTATAAACATACCCTAAGATCCTGTGAGCTCTGGACCTTTACATATTGTAGACACAAGCCCTTTGTTTGCCAAATGTTTTGCATGCCTTCTTCCTCTGTGGCTCTCTTTTTTACTTCCTCTTTTTTTTTTTTTTTGAGATGGAGTTTCTCTCTTGTCACCCAGGCTGGAGTACAATGGTGTGATCTTGGCTCACTGCAACCTCTGCCTCCTGGGTTCAAGCAATTCTCCTGCCTCAGCCTTTCAAGTAGCTGGGATTACAGACACACACCATCACACCCGGCTAATTTTTGTATTTTTAGTAGAGACAGGGTTTCACCATGTTGGCCAGGCTGGTCTCAAACTCCTGACCTCAAGTGACCTGCCTGCCTCGGCCTCCCAAAGTGCTGGGATTACAGGCGTGAGCCACCGAGCCCAGACTTCTTTTTTACTTCTTAATGTTATTTTTGATGAACAGAAGTTTTTATTTTAACATAGTCATTGCTATGGTTTGAATGTTTTTGTTCCTCCTCACCAAAGTTCGCATGTTGGAAACTTAATCCCCAATGTAACAGTGTTGGGAGGTAGGATCTTTGGGGAAGTGTTTAGGTCATGAAGACTCTGTCCTCATGAATAGATTAATGCCACTTTAAAAATGCTTGTGGGGGCCGGGGCAATGGCTGATGCCTGTAATCCCAGCACTTTGGGAGGCCAAGGCAGACAGACCACTTGAGCTCAGGAGTTCGAGACCAGCCTGGGCAACATGGTGAAACTCTGTCTCAACAAAAAAATAAAAAATACAAAAATAATAAGCTGGGCATGGTGGCATGCACTGGCAGTCCCAGCTATTCAGGAAGCTGAGGTAGGAGGATCACTTGAACCTGAGAGGCAGAGATGGCGGTGAGTCATGATCACACCACTGCACTCCAGCCTTGGTGATAGAGTGAGACCCGTCTCAAAAAGAAAAAAAAAAAAGTGCTGGTGGGAGCAGACTCACTCTCTCTTGCCTCTTGCCCTTTCTGCCTTCTGCCGTGTAAGGATGCAGTAGGAAGGCAATAAGAAGGCCCACACAAGCTGCTGGTGACTTGATCTTGGATTTCTCAACCTCCAGAACTGTGAGAGAATAAATTTCTGTTTTTCATAAATTACCTCGTCTGTGGCATTCTGTTACAGCAGCACAAAATGGACTAAGACAGTTGTATATGTCAGTCTTTTTCTTTATGGTTAGTGCTTTTTATGTTCTACTTGAGGAGTCTTGCCTTATGCTGAGATCATGATGATATTCTTTTATATTACCATCTAAGACTTTTATTGTTTTGCCTTTTCTTTAAAAGAATCACTTATTTACATTTTGTTTTTGTGTATGTATGAAGCGAAAGCCAAGCTTTATTTTTTTCCAAATGGGTATCTAAATATCCCCACACATTCATTGATAAGACATTCCTTTCACCTGTGCTCTATAGTGTCACCTTTGACATAATTAATGGTTCACATATCTGTTTTATTATTTTAATTCATTGATAAAGTTGTCCATCCTTGAACCAATATGACAAAATCTTAATTGCTATAGTTTTGTAATAAATCTTGATACTACTAGCTAATTTCTCCCATCTTTAGCTTGTTTATATATATATACACATTTTATATATTTATGTATTTTTATATATTAAGTTAATTTATATAATATATATTTACCTCTCCGCCACATCGTCGCTGCGCCGCCATCATGAACACCAGCCGTGTGCAGCCTATCAAGCTGGCCAGGGTCACCAAGGTCCTGGGCAGGACCGGCTCTCAGGGACAGTGCACACAGGTGCGCGTGAAATTCATGGACGTCACGAGCCGGTCCATCATCCGCAATGTAAAAGGCCCCGTTGGGTTCTTCAATGTAAAAGGACGTTGGGTTCGCCCGCATGGCCGATGGGAATGGTCTGTCACAATCTGCTCCTTTATTTTTTGCCCGCCACACGGAATTGAGATGCGCCTTTAAATAAAGCGTTTGTGTTTCAAGTTAAAAAATATATATATATTTACATATTATTCAATATATAAGTGTTACATTATACATATATATTAATATTTACATACATATTTTCCTGTAGGAAAAGTTTTATCTGCATCCCTCAAGTTTGGATACACAGTATTTTTGCTATTACTTAGCTCAAACAATAATATTATTAGATACATACATATTTAGTGTTGTTATATCTTCCTGGTGAATTAAACCTCTATTGTATTTTTTCCCAGGGCAAATTTATGTTACTTCTGCCATGTGCCTGGAAACACTCATACCCTGGGATCACTTTAATCCAGCTTCAGAGACTGGATAAGTAAAGCTGAGTTGCACCCCCTCTGAAGGTCTATTTACTTCTGGTTCAACGTTACTCCTAGGGTGCAGACAACCCTTTGGGGTCTCAGTCTAAAGAGAGGAGGGCTTGTCAGGCTTCCTTCGCCTGTGTCCATGCTCCATGAGTCTATCAAAGGTGTCATTCAGTCTCCCAGCACCCCAGTAAACTTTTATTGCTAGGAAATAAGAAAATTATTGCTTTCAAATATTAGTTTTAAACTGATCATGATAATGAACTTGCTTATTAATCCTGGAAATTTTTTCTGCTGCTTCTGTTACATATTCCAGGTGGATAATAATATCATTGGCAAACAATTATGCTTTTATCTCTTGTTAGCATTTAATATTACAGAGGAGATATATACAGCCAGTCTAATTTTTTTTTTTTTTTTTTGAGATGGAGTCTAGCTCTATCCCCCAGGCTGGAGTGCAGTGGCACACTCTTGGCTCAACCTCCACCTTTCAGGTTCAAGCGATTCTTCTGCCTCAGCCTCCTGAGTAGCTGGGATTACAGGCGCACACCACCACACCCGGCTAATTTTTGTATTTTTAGTAGAGATGGGGTTTCACCGTGTTGGTTGGGCTGGTCTTGAACTCCCGACCTCATGATCCACCCACCTCAGCCTCCGAAAGTGCTGGGATTACAGGCGAGAGCCACCACGCCCAGCCAGCCAGTTTAATTTTTAAACTTGCCTCCTCAGCCTGAATGCTTCGCTCATTTTGCCTGGTGTGCCTAAATGTGAGTCTCTTTCCATCGACTTGATACAAAAGGAGGAAATCACTTTTAATCAATATATAAGGCTCTTTCTGGCAGTCTGAAAATATTCTTTTATATTATACCATAGTTAAGTAATTATTTCTATCCCATTTGTTCTGTTCTGAGTCATGTCTCGATTTTCTATTTTCTGTATTTATTCTCTCACTTGATTTTTTTTTCCCTTTCTGCATTCTTGGAGGACTTTTCAAGCTTGTTCTTCACATATTTCTGCTTTCCTCTCCTGTGTTATCAATTCTGTTCTTTATTGGTTCAATGTGCATTTTAATATTTTGCCATCTTATTCTATCTCTTTGTGGTTTTATGTCCTGCTTCATAAAGACCCCATCTTCTTTTACTTTACTGAGGATATCAAGCAGCCTCCTAAAATTTTCTTCAGAACCTGCATTTACATTATTTTTGAAAATACATTTGGTCTCTGAATCTTCAATCTGCTATTCCCATTCCTTTGTTTCTGTAATTTATTTATATGTTTCATATTATATTGATTCTTTCTCTTATGATCTTATGATTTTTAAAATCATAATCTTCATCATCATAATACAGCTTGCACTTGTTGAGTGCTTACTGTGTGCTCTTCCAAGTATTTCTATGTATTGACTCATGCAATCTCACAACAACTCTATGAAGTAAGAAGCATTATTAACCTCATTTTACAAATACAAATGCTGAGACATCAACATTAGGTAACTTGCCCATAGTCACAGAGCTGTAAGTGGTGGAGTCAGGATTTGAACCCAGACAGTCTGGCTCCAGAGTATCAATGCTAGACTGCCTCTCAGTCATGTTTAAGACATTTTTAAAAGGAGAATGCTATCTAACTCAGTATTTGACAACAAATTATGTGTGTGGATTTTTCCCTAGCTCCATTTCTATTTGTGTGAAGGTCAAACTCCATTCTCAGCCACACAGCTGAAGAGCAGATTGGAGTACATAACATGCAGTCCAGTCCTGACTTCTGCTGGGTATTCATCCATTTAAACTCTGCACCTCATACTTTCAGCCAACGTGATTCTTGAAAAGCTATAGTTCCGACGGGTTCCAACAAAGCTTTTTCTCTCCATACCCACTCTAGCAGCTCTTTACTTGTAGGGCTTATATGACCCAGGATAGGGGTACTACTGTGGTTCCTTACCTTAATGTCTATACACGTACATGCACCTCCCCAACTCCACTATTTACTCTCTAGTTAACTTCTGGGGGATTTCTGCTGTCTTTAAATAGATGCAAACAAATAACAAAGAAGGAGGAGGAGAATCAATATGGATTGGTTCACAGGACCCACAGCAGAGGGACAGCTGGGTCTTTGAGTGAAGAGCTAAACAGTGGTGATGTCTGAATGGTCTTGAGTTTTCAGGTAAGCTCTGTTTCATGAGCCACATGAATTGAAGTTAACCATCATTCATCTGCATTAAAGATTCCTCTGAAATTCTGGGTCAGCACTGTCCATTAGATTTAGTTTTGAGGCTGGTTATGAGCTTTCTCCTCACCACTCCCTGCCATGGCTTCCTAGATATTTTATTGAAAAGTTGAGAGATGCTGGTTTTTTTTTTTGTTTTTGTTTTTGTTTTTTGAGACAGAGTCTCGCTCTGTCGCCCAGGCTGGAGTGCAGTGGCGCAATCTCGGCTCACTGCAAGCTCCGCCTCCCGGGTTCACACCATTCTCCTGCCTCAGCCTCCTGAATAGCTGGGACTACAGGCGCCCGCCATCACGCCCAGCTAATTTTTTGTATTTTTAGTAGAAACGGGGTTTCACTATGTTAGCCAGGATGGTCTCTATCTCCTGACCTCGTGATCCGCCCACCTCGGCCTCCCGAAGTGCTGGGATTACAGGCGTGAGCCACCGCGCCCAGCCTGAGAGATGCTATATTAAAGGCTGTTAATCAGGTGCCATTTTAAACCAGAACTACCCTCAGCCATTGTTTTCAAAGCTGACCAAACAGATTAGATCAGTGATCAAGGGACTCGTAAAGGGATTGAAGGGCCATATTAATTTTTAAACCTGATTACAGTTTCATCCATGGACTTTGTATATATACAGATACTTTTCAGCTCACTTAGCATCTCCCAAATCCTCAGCATAGAAAAATATCTATTCAAGACTACCCAAAAGCACAACCTTCTTGAGTCAGATATAATTAGACAACAATTACAGACTGTTTGCCTACCCAGTACTACTCTCCTGTTCTTCCTGAGTAACAAAACCCCAACTTTATCAGGAATGACCACATTTTTCAGCCTCTTTTAAAACAGTGTGGCCATGTGACATTATTTTAGCTAAGGAAACATGAGTAGAAGCTGTTAGGGGGAGCATAGCGCACAGAAAAAGACTCTTTTTTTTTTTTTTCGAGACGGAGTCTCGCTCTGTCGCCTAGGCTGGAGTGCAGTGGCACAATCTTGGCTCACTGCAACCTCTGCCTCCCCAGTTCAAGCGATTCTCCTGCCTCAGCCTCCTGAGTAGCTGGGACTACAGGTGCCCGCCACCATGCCTGCCTAATTTTTGTATTTTTAGTAGAGACAGGGTTTCACTATGTTGGCCAGGCTGGTCTCGAACCCCTGACCTCATGATCCGCCCACCTCAGCCTCCCAAAGTGCTGGGACTACATGTGTGAACCACCACACCTGGCCTAGAAAAAGACTCTTTAAAGAGACACAGGCAGCTGGAGATTGCACCTTCCTTTTTACTCTTCCTCACCTCCTTCTACTTCCTGCCTAGAACACAAATGTTATTCCTAGATTTCAACAGCTATGTAGACCATGAGCAACCTAGAGATGGAAGCTATGGACTAAATCTCTTGGAATTTCTTTTTTTTTTTCTTTTAATCTCTTGGAATTTCATGGATGATAGGAGCATCTTTCATTCTAAAGAAGCAACCCTTGATGGGCTCCTGGACAGCTTCAGGGTGGAAGCCGGTCACCAAAAAGCCCAAGCCGTGATTAGAAGCTTGGAACTTTCAGCCACACCCCACCCCTATCCTCCAGGAAAGAAGAGGGGCTAGAGGTTGAATTAATAACCATTCATGCCTTCTTGATTAAGCCTAATAAAAGTCGCCAAAGTACAGGGTTCAGAGACCTGGGTTGGTGAACACATCTATGTGCCAGGAAGGTGGTGTGCCCTGACTCACTGGAGACAGAAGCTCCTGCAATCAGACCCTTCCAGACCTCACCCTGTGTACCTCTTCATTTGCCTGTTCATCTGTATTCATTATCATATCCTTTATAATAAGCCAATAAACATAAGTCTCTCTCCAAGTTCTGTGAGTATAATTTGTCAGAGCAAATTATCAAACCTGGGGAGGAGGTTGTGGGAACTCCCGACTTGTAGCCAAGTCAGACAGGAGAGTGGGTAACCTGGGGATGTACTACTTTTGATTGGCATCTGAAGTAGGAGGCAATCTGGTAGGACTGAGCCCTTAACCTGTGGGGACTGCATTAATTATAAATAGCGTTAGAATTGAGTTAAATTGTAGGACACCCAGTTGGTATCCTGGAGTGTTGGAGAATTGGTTGGTGTCAGAAGAGCTCACATATCTGGTGTCATAAATGAAGAATTATGAGGGGAATTCTTATAATTATCTGAGAATATATGGGGGGAAAGGAGTGTTTTTCCTATACAGTCACCATGCTAACCACCTCTAACATCTCAACTCAAACATCAAAACTGGCCCAGAAAACACACCAGGCACTGCAATGAGATAACTGTAGTCCCAACAGTTAAACAGGGCAATTTCCAGGCCCCCGTGTGTCTTTCATGGTATTCTCTGACTATCTGAGCATCAGATCACAGATGTCGACAAAAACCTAAACTGACAGCCTGCTGCACAGACTGAGCTGAAATCCTGGGCTGGGATTCCAGGGCACTGTTGCATGCAGGCGATGGGCCCCCTACTACCTTCAGGCAGGACATTCCAGTTGCAATTACACATTCACATCACATTCAGGAATATCACAGTGTAAGTCAGCCTTTGGCAAAATCCCATTTTTCCCCCAAATAATATAGAAGCAGAACAGTTATAAAAATTACATATCAGTAATCCTTTAGCTTTTCTATGGCAAAGTGGCTAGGTACGGCTGTCCAGATCATTAGCATATATCACCTAGTCCAGAGCAACATTCCTAGTTTTTCTGTCTGCAGCTGTGTTCCTTTCACAGCTCACTACAGAGTAATCATAAAATTCATTTATAAGAATTCATCAAGATTCTTTGGGACATTTGAATAAGCATTCATAGAAAGTGTTTTCCAGCCCTTTCTTGATCAATTTCAAGTTAAAATATCATTATTATGCTTACAGAAAGTTGTTGCTTTTCCCCTTCTTTTCTTTTTCACCCACAATCCGTTTAAAAATCAGACAGCATCTGAATTAAAAAAGCACAGTCCAAGATACACCAGAGTGCATATAAACATTCTGAACATTTTACCAGACCTCAAACACATTAGCCTATATTTCAGTAGGACCTCGTTTTAAAACATGCATCGCCACAACTCAGGGTTTTAGAAGCCTGGAGAGATGGAGACCAAAGGAAGAGAAGAAAGAGCCACTCTTGAGCAATTTGGGTAATTCCCTCAGTATATGGCATGATTTGATAGTGAACAGGAAGACTCTTCTAACTGCAAATTTCTCCCGTTCACCTAATGTCTGCAATCCTACCATGGTAGACCTCTTTCAGTTCTTCCTACAGTTAGGGATGCAGATGCTACCAGGAAAGATAATACACAACAATGATTTCCTTCTCCAAGTAAAGTGACCTAGATTATCAGTGCCTTTTCAACCTAACAGCTACCTGAGAGGAAATAAATCAGAATGCCGAAAAAAGGTGTGTGTGGCCAGGCGCGGTGGCTCACACCTGTAATCCCAGCACTTTGGGAGGCTGAGGCAAGCGGATCACCTGAGGTCAGGATTTTGAGACCAGCCTGGCCAACATAGTGGAACGCCGTCTCTACTAAAAATACAAAAATTAGCCAGGCGTGGTGGCAAGCGCCTATAATCCCTGCTACTTGGGAGGCTGAGGTGGGAGAATCACTTGAACCTGGAAGGTGGTGGTTGCAGTGAGCCGAGATCGTGCCACTGCACTCCAGCCTGGGTGACAGAGCGAGACTCCGTCTCAAAAAACAAAACAAAACAAAACAAAAAAAAAACACACAAAAAAAGGTGTGTGTGTCTAGAGGGATGGGGGTGAAGAAAAGAGGACATACACAGAAAGGTGGGACGGGTGAAAGGGTGGGGGCCCAAGGAGGGTTAGGGGCATTAGATGTGGCCAGGGGTGCACAGAGGGGAGTAGGGACGCTCGGAGGAATGGGGTCTAGTGGGGAAGCCGAGGAGAGGAGAGCTGGACAGATGATCTTCAGCAGCGAGCATTGCCCTGGATGGGGACCCCCAAGTAGAAGATCTGACCACTAGGGAGTGAAAGGCAGCAGCATATGGGCCGGAGGATTCCAGAGGATGGGAGGAGGGGCATGGTGGGAGACCGAGAGGAAGAAAGACAGTATAGTCCAATGTCTCCTACTTCACCAAACACTGCCTTGCTGAGGCCAGCATAAATCCTATGGATGCTGTTCCCAGTTAGCTTCCAGCCGGCCTCACTGCTACTATTTCCAAGGTCAGTCTCCAAAAGCTGGTTGCCCAATCAGGCGGGAATGAGTCAGGGCCCCACCAGGCTGGTGGAGGTGGGTGGGAGCTTGGGGGACTTGCACAAGCCTGGACTGCTGAGATCACCAGAGAAGCCCAGCTGCCCACGAAGCCCTAGAATGGCTCCTAAAAAGACTTGGAGAGGGGGGTGCCAGGCAGTAGGATTTCTGGCTTCCCCTCTGGCTTGGTCCTCGTATGTGCCCTGTCACTTCCCAGACCATGTATTAACAGGAATAATGGGTTCTGTCCCTGTCAGCCCCTGTGGGTAAGGGGAGGGCCAGGGAGGTGTTGGAGCCAATGCCCCTGACATCCCCAAGCTTGACTTTATGTTCCAGGACCAGCACCTGCCTCTTCTGGGCTGGAGAGTGGCATCAGTGCCTCTCAGGGGCCTGCTGGTCCAACCTGATCTGGTGGCTTCCCTGGGCCTCTGTCAGGGAGGAATGGGGCCCTTTCCAGGGTAGCATTGGCCTCCGGATCACCAGCCAACTTGGGTTTAGGGGAGGGGGATAAGGGATGCTGGGTGTCCAGCCCAGGTCAGCTCAATCTTAGGGACTGCAGAGCCAATCTAGGCTTATAGCAAGCTTGGGGTGCAACCACCTCCATCCCCAAAACTATCTGCTGAGCAAAGGCAGTCAGCCAAGCTGATGGGAGTAAAAAAGCACATCATTAGAGATGGTTCAGAAAGCAAGTTAGAAATGGAGGAGCCTGTCCCTTCCTCTAGACATGTGCTTGTCACTTCTGAGTGAATGTCAACAAAGAAACTCTCTGCAGTGATTCCAAGAGGGTACACCTCTAAGGGGGCATGTGTGCATCTCAGTAGGAAGAGGGAGAATTTTTTAACTCCCTGCAACCACCACCACATTCACCTGCAGAAATTCTAAATCACCTTTCAGGTAAAAATGGCTGCAGCAGCGACAGCCAACAAGGTTCAGAATCTATGTATTGAGCACCTTCTGTGTTCTGGGAATATTCAGACAGACCCAGGTAACGAACAACATTCCACTGTGTCATCCCTCTGGACTTGTCTGAGCACGACAGTTTATTCAATCACAAGACAGTCCAGTCACAAGATAGGAAGGTCTGAAGCAAGCCCAATTTCACCCTTAGGGTGTGATGGTCCTGAGGAAAGTGACCTGCTGGCCCAACCTAATCCCAGACACTCAGCCAGGCAGGACAGGCTGATGTCACAGTCACAGGCAATCCCCAGCTCTGGTGGAAGCAAACAGTGAACAGTGGGGGACCAGGCTGGTTAGACTCACAGGTGGGTGGAGTGCAGCATCAGGCAATATTATCATAGTGGCACTTGGAAGTCTGGTCAGGCAGGTTATCTATAGCCAGGAATCTGCAGTTTTGCTCCAGGATTTAGGAGAATTCTCTGGCCTGTGGCTGGGGAACTAGTAGATACAGGCAGTGAGGTGGGGGTATTAGGAGATTACCAGGAAAGGAACCCAGGACAGAGGCCAAAGGGACAGCAAATGGGGTTCAGGCCTTGGATCTTGGAGTTGGCCCTAGGCCACCTTGTCATGGATCAGAAGAGGTTGTAGGGGGGTGGGGGAAATGAATGACACAAAGTCATGGCAGAATATGGACTGGACAGAACTGTGAGCCTGCAGAGGAGGAGAGCATAGGCCTCGATGAGGAATCAGGAGCTGGGTGTAAGGGTGGGTTCCTGAGCAGCAAGAAGTCTGTTGTCTGCCTCCTTCAGGTGCACAACCACGGCCTCCACTAGCCCAGGTGGAGCCTTTGCATGAACAAAAAATGGTGCCTCCTTTGGGCAGACCAGTTGAGTACACACCCCAGAGGCACACAGGCACACCTTTGTTCAAACAGAAAGGCACCACTTCCTCCTGCAGGTGCAGCCCACACCAGGGCACATAACTTGAGAACAGAGCCTGCACTAGATCCCAGCGCCCACTTTCTTACTTGGTCAGCACCTGTGTGCCGTCCATAAAATGCACACCTGTCCGTGGATGCCCTGGGAACGGCTCAGGGAGAGGGCGTGTGAATCCACCTGTTCTCCCCGGCAGTGGGCAAGCCTAGACCTCCCAGCACGGAGCAGGGACCATGGGTGGGCTTAACTCTGTGGTGGAGGAAGTGGTATTGGAATAAACTTGTCTTTGTGCTGTTGAAAACCAGCCCCTACACCTCAGCGGCCACCCTGCAGTGTAGCCTGTAATTGATTCCTTATTCATACCACGTTGGAATTCCAAGAATCGGTGCTAATAACACCCTTTCCCCTTCTTGCAGCCCGAGCTGTAGCTGGAGAGAGAATGACAAGCTGGGTAGCCTCGGCCACAGGCCCCCAGCTAGAATCCTGACCTGCAGGTTATAATAATTATCAGTAACAGCTAACATTTATGGTGCACATTGCAACTTACCAAGTGCTTTCATGTGCATTCTCTCCCTTGCTCCCTGTCAGGCAGGGATTCCTGGCAGTCCCTTCACAAATGAGAACACAGACTAGCTCTTATGTGTCCAGATGGTTGGTATAGCAGCATGTATTGGAGTTCCCTGGAGCCTGACTACCAGTTTCCCATCCCAGTATGACCATTTCTTGGCTGTGTGACATAGAGCAAGCTGCTTTACCTTTCTGTACTTCAGTCTCTCTATGCATGAAATGGGGATATTAGTAGCTCCCTCGTGCATGAGGTGATGTGGCAGTTAAAACACTTAGAACAGTCAGTGCCTAGCATGAAACAAGTGATCCCAGCATAGAAGCTCTGCTTTCATAGCCTCATCTGGAAAACAAGATCCACCTAAGTGTGCAAAAACCTCACATCCTTTGGCAATCCATTTGTGGCACAAATAAAACTGGATCAGATTGCAGCATCACATTTGAGAAATGTAATTCCTGATAAGTTTCTTGAGCACGACTTAGCCCCCACGAGGCTGGGTAGTCAGAGAAGTTGCCACAAATGCTGTTGACTGTGTTGAGGAGAGCAGGTGGAATGGGCTCTGGCTGGACTGGGCAGTATGTACCCTCTGCACAGAGGTAACTGGCCAAAGGTGCCCATTTTTCAGCAGAAGCCCCAAACCCTGATTTTTAATGTGAAATATCCTGATTTCCAACTTTAGCAACTCAATTTCTTCTAAACACTGTGTGGGCCAGACCAGACGCAGGTGCATGCAGCCAGTTTGTGCCACCTCTCCCAGTGGCCCTCTCTGACTGCCACCCCTGGAGCTTTTAGTGCCTGCGGCCTCACACACTTCTCTCCAGGTTTGTCCTTATCTGTCCCATGATGGAGACCACCCCACTTGGTCCTCTCCTCGAGGTCCTTGGGTGGTAAAATGTCAGCCATGAACATGATGGGTGTTCTACCTGGAGTACTTCAGAGGGAAAATGCCACGGACAATCAAGTACTCAGTTACCATGGAGGATGAAAAAGAATGTGCTACATAAAATAAGATAAAATGAAACATGCTTTGGCATGTGAACATACAATGGGAAGTGTTTTGTCAGCTCCACACAAAGTCAAGATGCCATGTGCTCACTATAATTTTTTTTAATACTTATTTCAGAGGAACAATTTGACACCACATGAAAACCCCTTATTAAGGGGAACTTTAATGTGATCTCTGCCAAACTCTCGTGTTACAGCTAGAGAAGCTGAGAGAGTCCTGCATGAGATCTCAGAGCTGGAACCCAACACGGCGCTGCCATGTGCTCACTCAGCCCATTCTTCATTTTCATGTGCAATGCCTGCTTTCCAGGGTCTGAGATTTCCCTCCTTGAGGCAGATCCATGTATGTCATCCCAAGCATGTTCTTATGAGGCACTTACTGCGAGTGCAAGATAATAACACAGTAGCTTTCATTTGTAGGGTGCCATATATGGTCATCCAAGGACCCTCGTGTGTTTTTCTTTCCTGACAGGGGCATGAGACATGAACGCAAAAACCCACGCCCAGGGTCAGGAGAGCTGGGCTGTCGTCTGCACCACTAACAAGCTGTGTGACTTTGTGGGAGCTATTTGGCCTCTTCAGCCTACTCTCTTCTTTTCTCATTTTGGATAATACCAGCCATGCCTTAGTATTGGTATAATTATTATGAGCTTTCCCCAGCTACTGGTTGAAGACATGAGGCTCTGACTCCAGTCTAAGGATGCTTCTTGACTGACACCTTGAAAAATGACACAAGGACCCTGAATCCACCAAAGAGGAGAGTTGCACACAGAGAGACATACACAGGCCTGCACGCACATCCATGTCCTGCCAGGTGGGGTAGGCAGAAGGCTGCTGAGAAGGTGGCCCTCAGGAACCCACCCCTGGCAGCTACCACAGTTCATTGCCCCGTGTGCCAGACTTAAGGTCACCCAGGCCTTCCTGGAGCTGAGGGTCAGCAAACGCCTTGGCTGGGGCTGGCAGCCCCTCTACTCAGCTGGCTACGGGCATGGGATGCCTTCTCCTTGACTTCTGAATCTATTTGGCAATCCTGGTACAGGTTGAGACCAGACTTTTAGTAGTGAGTTAGAGAGACAATGATCTCAGCAAGACCGAGGCAACAGGATTAGAGCTGAAGCCGGTCAAGAACCGCACCTGTGCTCACATGTGTGCCAATAAAGTTAAACAAGCTAGTAGTGTTTATACTTGAGGGGATCAACTTTGGAATTAGAAAGGATTTTCCAGAAGGGGACAGCCAGGAACTGAGGAAGAAGAACTTTTGAGAGAATATATGGCAGGGACAGAGTAGCCTGCGCCCTAGGCTAACTGTACCATTGGATCCTAATTAACTTGGGAACATATCTTAGTCTTATGGACTATTGTTCCCTCCATTTACAAGGAGGTATAATACTAGCTGACATTTAGTAAATGCTTGCAACATCCCAGGTGCTATATTAAGCACTTTGCATGTGTGTCTAATTTAATCCTCACAATGAATTAGGGTTCTATTATAATTCCCATTGCCCAGATGCAGAAACTGAGGTTTACAGAAGTTTAGTTATTTGCTACCATAAAGGAGTGATACATTTTGCAGGGGAAATCTTCACAGAAGTGGTGACGTTGAAGCTGTCTTAAAAACCAAGTAGCTATTTGTCAAGTAGGCAGCACCAAGAAGAGGAAAGTGGACAGGGGGGCACTTTAAGAAGAGGGATCAGCTTGTAGCAAAGCTCAAAAACAGGAAATGACCTGGAAAAGCCCACTGGGATTAGACTGTGAAAGGCTATATAGGGAGTTGGACAATCATGCATCATTGGAATCTTTTTGGTAGGAGAGTCACAGGATCAGATTGGTTGGGTGGACTAATGATTTTATAGTGTCTTTTGGAATAATGTTTTATCTTCTTCATTTATTATGGCTACAACTTACTCTTTTTTTTTTTTTTTTGAGATGGAGTCTCACTGTGTCATCCAGGCTGGAGTGCAGTAGTGTGACCTCAGGTCACTGCAACCTCTGCTTCCCAGGTTCAAGCGATTCTCCTGCCTCAGCCTCCTGAGAAGCTAGGACTACAGGCATGCGCCACCACACCCAGATAATTTTTGTATTTTTAGTAGAGACGGGGTTTTGCCATGTTGGCCAAACCTGACCTCAAGTGATCCTCCCGCCTAAGCCTCCCAAAGTGCTGGGATTAAAGCTGTGAGCCACCGCGCCCGGCCAATTTGATCTTAATTCTCCACCAGTTGCATCTTACTCCCTATTTTATTACCCTAGTGTAGTGTATATTTGTGCCACCTATTTAAATCCTCTTGGGAAGGAGACAAGAAATAAACACCTACTTACTTATAAATACATGAGGACGTACACCATATAGGTGGCATGCAGATCAGGGAAGAGAAGATGTCAAGAGAGACCAGGAAGAGGGCATTGGAGAAACAGACAGAGTAGTAAAGAGATGGGTCACAGAAGCCAAGAGGAGAGAGCATTAGAAAGAGGGAGCAGCTGGCTGGCAGCATGTCACATGTTGCCAAGAGGTTAAATTGGATGAAGACTAAAAAAAGGCCTTGGGATTGAGCGATGAGAAGGTCACCAGGGACCACAAGGACACTTCATTGCCCTATTGCATCAGACACAAATGAGAGATGAAGAAGTGGAAGCAGCAAGGACAGACATACAAGTTCAAGAAATTTGTAAGCAGGAAGAAAAAAGAACCGTGGATTAAGTGAGGGGAGGAGGCTTTTATTTTCTTGTTTTGTCTTGTGGTTTTTAGGGAGTGGATGCAAACACAGATGGGAAGGTAAGCTTCAACAGGACACTGCCAGGAAGAAGCATGAAGAAAGAGATAAACCCAGAGGCGGAATGAACCCTTTGGCAGTGGAGATATCTGACCATGGAGATGGTGAGAAAGCTCAAATCTCAGTTCTGGCTTTCCTTTGCATTTATAGCTGAAGGACTGACATGTGCATGGTGATTGGAGGAACCCAAGAAGTGAGTTTCTATCCTTTCCCCTACAGAAATACTGTGGGAGGCATTGCTCCAGAGGTAGACTCCTGGCACTCCTATTCCTGCCCCGCACCCTCACACACACTCAGTGCACGTCCCCAGGGACAGTCCCTTCTCTGGGCCTTATTTTTCCTGCCTGAGGCTCCTGGTGGGAGTGATGCTACCTTGGGGGAGTCTCAGGAGAGGAAGTGGAGCACACAGGCAGGAGGGAAAAAAGGAGGGAGGCAGGAAGAGCATAAACCAGGGCTCGGCTATGCCAGCTCAAGGCTCAGGAATTCCATATTCTAATTCCAGCTTCTCTTAAAGGGCTGGGTTCTCTCTGATTGATGGATAATTCCTGTTCTGCCTATTCTGCAATCATGCTTCCATTTCCATTCCAAAGATGAACCCAAAGAAACTTGTATCCAAAAAAAGGCTTAAAAAGTAGTGGTGACTCGGAAGGGCGAGGCCCGTGGCTGCTGGCAGCATATATGTCATGCCACCTATTCCTGCGTGCTTACATAATCGCAGTGCAACCGTGACTCACAGCCCGACAGCCAAGCTGAAACGTGATTAAGTCCTACAACCCTTCTGCCTGGAGCAGGGCAGGGCATGCTGTTTAACCCCTCTGCTGCCACAGCCTGGTGAGAAGGTAGTGCCCTTCGGTAGAAGAGCTCCTCCAGATGGATGAGTCCAACGCATTGGGAAAGGACCCCTGACCTGCATAAATACTTCTCTGAGACAGCAGCAAAAGGTCTTTCATTCCACAGATACAAATATTCCTGGGAGAGGTGACACATGGAATCCCTGCGTTTTAAAGCTGAGAAAACTTTAGACTTACCCAAGTTGAGTCATCCCCTTTAACAGACGAGGCTACCGAGGCCCAGTATCTAGTGAGAGATTAGTGACCACTCAAGGTCACAATGTGAGATAGCAGCAGAGTGGGGACTTGAACCTGGGTCTCCTGGCAGCAAGTCCAAAATGTGGTAGCCCTGACAACCCATTGAGAAGATTGCCCCTCTATATTCCAGGCTGCCAGCCAAGTGGTTCCGCACTTCACAGTAGCCTGCGTGCACCTGCTGTCTTCATACAGCCCTAGCAAGAATGACCCCAAAAGGGTTGTTCCTTAATCTCCAAGCTCCACTTAAAAGTCTCACAACTGGAGTTCTGGGGAGAACAGTATTTGGATTCAGGTCGAATCTCCAGCTCTGGAGTCTGTCCACATGGATGTGGTTGTGTCTGACACTTCCTAGCTCAGTGACTTTGAGCATCTATTTGAGTCTCAGTCACCTCATCTGTGAAATGGGGATAAAAACAGTAGTGCTGTTGTGAAATCATTGAAATAATTTGTCAGAGGTGCCTGTCACAGTGCCTGGCATGCAGTAAGTGCTCACAAGTGGTAGCTGCTACTCCAGTGTTAGAAGCACGGCTGCCTTCACGAACGACAGGGAGTTCCCGCTGGAAGCACTCAGAGAATGCTGCCTTCAGGCTGACCCCCAACACTCACAGGCTTCATGATAATCTCAGTGCAGAGCTTCTCTATAAAGACCTCAAAGCTCCACCAGCCAGCTAGACACTGTGTGACCTGAATCCTGTCCAGGCCCCTGCCTTGCTGTTGCTGACATCCAGATGAAAAGATCTGGATTGCCACATCCTACCTGGTGTTATCTCTGGCAGTGGCAGCAAAGGATTGTCTGATGGGGAATGGCTCCACAAAAGGTTAAAATGCCATCCCCTTCCCCAAATGTCTGTCCTGGTTTCACTTAATAACCAAATGATTCTGTCATCCAAGGGTTCATCTAGATAAATGATTGCAAACAAATCTTTTATTTTTATAATTGTCCTATTGAAACATGTTTAAAGCCTGTATTCTAGGGGAAGGGAAGCTATAAATATTAACAGTAGTGAGAGAAGCACTGGACTGGGGACAGCAGGAAGAGGGGAAGGGAGGGTGAGGGGATGGCTTGAAAATAGAGAAGAAAGTAAAAGCCTGCACACTGAATGGTTAGACCCCCTCACCCTTCCCCTGCTTATTTCCAAGAATGCTGGCAATCAGGTTCATATCCTCCAGCAAAGAGACTAGAGAATCTTAATCTGGAAAATTGAATCATACTGGAAGAAAGCCATACAGATCCTACAGATACTGACATTTGGAAGTGTCTCAGTGCAAAAATCCTGTCATTGCACAAATGTACTGTAGCAGTTGGCCTCAACCCTATCAGACTCAACACCTTCTTTTTTGTTGTTGTTTTTTAACAGCTTTATTGAGGTATAATTGATATTCAGTAAAGTGCTCATGATTAAGATGTGCAATTTGGAAATTTTTGACATATGCATGCACTCATGAAATGATCACCAAAATCAAGATTTAAAAACACAGCCATTCCCCAGAAGTTTCCTTGTGCCATTCATTGCCATTCTCTGTCCCAGTTTCCATTCCCAGGCAATCACTGATCTTTTGGTCACTATAGGGTTAGCTTACATTTTCGAGAATTTTATAAAAATTGAATTATATGACATTTGAGATGGAGTCTCCCACTGTCACCCAGGCTGCAGTGCAGTGGCATAATCTCTGCTCCACTGCAGCCCTCACCTCCCACGTTCAAGCAATTCTGCTGGCTCAGCCTTCCAAGTAACTGGAATTACAGGCACCCACCACCACACCCGGCTAATTTTTGTATTTTTAGAAGAGACATAGTTTTGCCCTGTTGGCTAGGCTGGTCTTGAACTCCTGACCTCAAGCCAGGAGGTCAGGCTCGATCATCAGGTCAGCTGATCTGCCTGCCTCACCCTCCCAAAGTGCCGGAATTACAGGCATGAGCCACCAGGCCCGGCCAATATGTCCTCTTTTTGTCTGGCTTCTTTCAGTCAGCATAATTATATTTTGAGATTTGACCATGTTGCAGGTACCTTCAACTTTCTTTTTAAAGCAAAAATATTGAAATACCTCTTTTACTATGTGAAATTAAATTCATAGTTAAAATAATCAACCTACACATTATTTTCTTTAAATTATAATGTCCTTACGAAGGAGAAAAAAAAGGAAAGTAGTTCACGGCCCAAGATGGTTTACTAAGTAGGCACATGGGCAGCATACCTGGGAGACATAATGAAACAGTTAGATGCTTTCATTTTTTACAATGAACAGTCCAACCTTAAAAGAAGTTAGACCATATTCAACTGAATATTGTTGATACCATTGTTCATTTTATTTTGTCATATTTCTTATATTTGCCATCTTGAAATAAGATCTAAGTTAGTGCATTGGAACCCCTCTGGGTAAGAGGGACAATTGCAAACCTAATTTTTGCAATTGTAAAAATTATCTGCATATTTGATCATGAGCAGTGCTGTTGCCATTGACATGTTTTTCTAAATGGTGACAACCCTTGGTTAAGTTCTAAACAAAACAAAGTCCAGTCTCCTCTCAATTTACATAGTAGCTGCATTTTAAAAAATCACAGGGTATGTTAAATCCATGTGAAAAAAGTATTTGTATTTATATATAAAGCAGAGCTGATATCAAGAATCAAATCATTATAAAGAGCTTTTCACCCACATAACTGTGCAGTAGGACATAGAATAGGACACAGACAGGGTTGCCAGATTTGGCCCATAAACATATAATATTTGAGACATACTAATACAAAAAAATGTATTTGTTGTTTATCCAAAATTCGATTTTAACTGAGTGTCCTTTATTTTAGGTGGCAGCCCTAGATACAGGACAATCTTTGTTTTGTGGAACTGTCCTGCAATCCAACTAGCATTCTTGTCCCCCACATATTAAATGTTAGTAGGCCCCCCAATAACTGTGATAACTAAAAATCCTCACAACTTTCCAAACTGCCCAGGAGCTGCCCCTACTGAGAACCACGGTCCTACAAAGGAGATCACCAGAAGCAAGCCCTACCCCTGCCCATAGAGCCCACATCAGATTCTTAGTGATTGACTCAAATATTAATGAATGGTTAAGGATCCATAGACATCTGAAAAAGACCCCCAAGGTGAAAAACAAAGGCCAGAACAGACAGAGAAAAGGGACTTGAAGAAAAGAACAAGAAGAAAAACAACTTTAGAGGAAAAACTGTATGTATTCTTTGGAGAGATAATAGCAAGAAGAGGATGCTATAGAAGGAGGAGGAGGAGAAACAGGAAACCTATCAGAGAAGTTGGAAATTAAATATGATAGCCACAGTCAAAAAAAAAGTCAATAGGGAGGGTGGAAGGTAAATTCAAGGGAGTCTCCCCAAAAACAAAACAAAATAACTAGGAGGTAAACAATAGGGAAAGAAAATGAGCCAGAAAATTAGAGGATCAATTCAGGGAGTCCAATATTCAAGTAATAAGAATTCTAGAAAGAGCAAACAAAAACTTGAGAGAGAAGAAATTTATCAAACAAATAATAATTTTTAAAAATGCTTCAAACAAAAAGATTAAAAGAGCCCATCAGGTACCAGAAAAAGAATATAACTTCTGCCATGATCATATTTTAGAACACCAAGGAGGAACAGAAGTTTCTAAAGAGAAAAAAAATTACATCCAAATAACTAAGAATAAGAATGGCCACTTCTTAACCGTAACAGAAAAAGCTAGAAAACATAAAGCACTGCTTTCCAGGTTCTGAAAGGAAAAAAATTATTTTCAGTCTAAAATTCTATACCCAGCCAAATTATCAGTCAGGCATGAGGACAAAGGAAAAATACAGGCTTGAAAGATCTCAGAAAACTTTGCTTCCACGGACTCTTTCTCAGGAATAGTTATTTAAGAACATGTTCCATGAAAATGAGAGGGTCAATAAATCAAAAAAAAAGAAAGACTTAGGATCCAGGAAATGAGATCAAACACAAATAAGAGTCAAAAGGGATTTCCAGGTTGATGAAGGGAAGGCCTAGAGCCATGCTGCACAGCTGTTTCCAAGAGCAACAAGTCAGCCTGAAGCAAGAGGATGGAGTCAGGAAAGTTATCTGGTAAGTTATTTAACAATGGGAATAATCATGTTCAGATACTACCCAAAGGAAACAAGTAATTTAAGCAAATGGATGGAAAGGCAATTATTAACCCTAGGAATATCCAAAAATGTATAAAAATAAAACATTATAATATACTCCTTTGCTCTGCAATAAACAATATTTACATAGTCATAATAATATAACATTTTATAATATAAAATAATATAATGAAATAATATATAAAAAATATAAATCTGAAATCAGAACAGAAAGAAAGTTATATCTCTTGTAGTTCATGAGAAAGCCAAAAGATAAAGTTTAAAATTGATGCCTCAAACCAATGATACGCACATATCAAATAGAATAAAAATAGAGATAAACGGCAAAGAAAAAAACTTAATAAGAATAAAGGAGTGGATGGGGCAGGAGACTGCTGTTTTTTCATAGGAGACTTCTGTCATTAACTTTTAAAGATATGTGTGTACTGCTTAGATAAAAGGAAAAATTAATTTCAAGAAATTAATGGCTGTGGTGGAAGTAGTCTGGAAAGGTTCCAGCAGGAAGAGCTGCTACATTCTGTCACTGAATTTAATCATTGAGCTACTCTCGACCCTGGGATGAGGCCAAGTAGACAGGCTCCTTTGAAAAGGGAAACCAATGACTCCTTCTGATTAGAGAAGGCTCGGAGGAGAGGGGGTTTGGGAAGGACCCTGCTGTGCACACCTGCCATGGCCATAATCTCTCTCTCTTATTCAATTTTTTGCCAAGTCACTGGGAGCAGGAAGCTGCTTTTTCTATTATATAGAGCAACAAAGGGGATGAGTGGTTTGATAATGAGGACTGATAACTGTCTAATACAGAGAAAGCCTGGGCTTCCCAAAAGCTTTAAATTACAACTTTGATCGCACTGATCAGGGTTCTTGAAGTTGCAGCTGGGACATAGAGAAGCCACAGAAGATGCAGTCTGAATGTTTTCTCAAACACAAAGAAAGACCTGGAGTCAGATTAAACAAAGATTTCCAGCTATTGAAGCAGATCAGTGGCGGGGGCGGTGGGGAGGTGGGAAACTAAGAGATGTTTCTGTGTCTTCAAATCTTATTATAAATTGCAGGTTGCCTTGTGTGTAAAGTGGAGATTAGAAATCGTTTAATTGCTGTTCAGTTTTAATGGAGAGTTTTATTTTAGTCAGAAAAAAACACAAATGGGTTATACAGGATGTGATAGTTTATGACTCAGTTAACCATACTTAGGAAAAACCTGTCTGCTTGGATCATAAGTCCAAAAGCCAGCCTCCACTATTCACACAAGTGGCAGCTTTACCTGGGCTACAGGCCTGGTGCCTAGGAGGAGCAATCACCTTACAGTGGCATTGCCTAACCTAGGACTTGGTGAGAAACAGCGTGTCCCTTCTGAGCCTGTGTATATTTTCAAACTAGGCTGTCTCAAGCCAGATGTATTTGTATATGTTCATCACAAATTCTGATTGAGGTAATGCTGACTTGATTCTGCAGACCAAAATTTACTGCATCTCAGATCTGTTTCAACAACTATTCCATTAAGATCCTTTGAACATCACATCTAATGTCCATCCAGTTAGGTAGTGTGGGGGTTGGGGTGGGAGGGGTTGAGGCCTGGCCTTCTCACCCCAGCTCTGCACAACTCTGAAAGTCACGTCTAGCTTCATCACTCTCTATAGGATCCATTGAGGGCGTTGTAACAACATCATAGCCAAGTTCTCCCTCTGCTCAATCCTGCTTTCTTCCTGCTTCCTGATTTTAGGAATACTTCCTAATTCATGTGTGCATACTAATCTCTAAAAAACAAACAAACAAACAAAAAACCCAGAAAACTCTTTGAACATTTAGTAAGAGCAGTAAAGATCTACAAACCAGAGATTATGGTCGTCATTTCCAAAGAGGTTTTTTTTACCAGACTTTGGCTGGTTTTTCATAAGCTGTTTTAACTAGATGCTAAATATCCCCCTCAAAGTTGATTTGATTTGGAAAAAAAAAAAGACAAAAAGATGGGCTCAGGACATAAATACAATGTGCAGTTCTACCCTCAGTAGAATGAACAAACCTAAATTCTCAGAGGTATCTTACATGACTTTTTGTGACTCCACAGATCTGAAACCACTATCTCAAACTGCAGAGCTCTTGGCTCCCTCAGATAACCTGTGGCAAAATCTCCCCTCATTACTGATGAAGTTTGAGATTTTCCTGGACTCTGGCTACCGTGGCCTGACCATTAGTCAAGAGATAGTCAGTCAGGGCCTCTTGTGCTCCCTGGGGGTATTCATGGTGGAGGAGGATATTAGCAGCATGGCTGTCTACACCAGCAATTCTTACAGCAGGTCATGGTGGAGTTCACGGGCGTGCACATGTGAGAAAGAAAAGGCCTGCCTCACTCCCTCTGTTACCTGCCTTCCAACTTCCTCTAGGAATAACATGCTAACAACACAACTTCCTCCACTCGGGTGACCACATACTATTCAATTACTGCTAGACTAGCACCATGTATTAAGTGATTAACATGTGCTAGGCCCATTTCTTATCTTATTCAATTCCCATAACAATCTCCAGAGAACATGGGTACCCTTTCCCAGATGAGAAAACAGAGGCTTTTAGAGGTTAAGTAATATGCCAAAGACCACATGGAGTTGGTATTCAAACTTATGCAATCTGAGCAGGCATCCTGTTTCTATTTATTTATTTTATTTTATTTTATTTTATTTTATTTTATTTTATTTTATTTTATTTTATTTTATTTTTATTTTTTAGATGGAGTCTCGCTCTGTCGCCCAGGTTGGAGTGCAGTGGCGTGATCTCAGCTCACTGCAAGCTCCCCCTCCCAGGTTCATGCCATTCTCCTGCCTCAGCCTCCCAAGTAGCTGGGAGTACAGGCATCCGCCAACATGCCCGGCGAATTTTTTGTATTTTTTAGTAGAGACGGGGTTTCACCGTGTTCGACAGGATGGTTTCAATCTCCTGACCTCATGATCCACCCGCCTCAGCCTCCCAAAGTGCTGGGATTACAGGCGTGAGCCACCACGCCCAGCCTTCTATTTATTTTTTTATAAATAAATTCAACTTGGGTTTCTGCCACAACCAAAAGAGTGTCATTCAATACAGAAAATTAATGTGATGGGCAAAACACGAAACCACAAAGCCAAAAGAAGAACAGGCAGCTGGGTCTCAGAAGCTTCTGCAGCCGCAGGGTCACACGCTCAGGGCTTCACCCCTTGTTTCTATTTCTCTACGTGTGTTGGTTTCTGGCACTGAGTGGTTGGTGATATTTTGGACGAGGATAAGTGTTTCTGTATTTCTGAGATTAAAGGTGATTTTCAATTTATTTTAACATTTTTTCTATCACTTTTTTTTGTTTTCTGCAATAAATTTATTTCTTATGTGATTTTTTAAAAGGCGTGAAGAACACAAATAAAATCAAAACAAACTCCAGAGTGCTCACTGTTCATCCCCTAACTGCTAACAATCCCAGAAAATACATCGGGCAGACTCCTAGATGCAAGAAAAGTGGACTGAATGTGGCTGGATAATATGCTGAAATGTCCTTTTTTTCTCTCTCTCTCTTTCTCTCATTTTCTTTTTCCCTTCTTCTTTCACCCCAGTTTAAGGAGTAGCCTACTCCATCTCAGAGGAGGTATGTCATGGGGCAAAATATAAAAATAATATGCAAAATACTTTCCTTCCTGGATTTTAATCCCAAGAACTTAAACAATAGAGAAGGGAGAAGAATTGAGGATGAAGGTAGAATATGTGGAAAAAGCATGAGCAGAAAAGGATTTCCTCAAAACTCAAAAAAAGACTTGCCAGGGAGGGAGTAGGAGGCAATAGTTACCAAAAATTAAGCTTTTTCTTCATTATTTTTTTTTCTTCTCCCCGCCCCGCCACCTTTTTTTTTTTTTTTTTTTTTTTTTGCTAGCTCCATACTAAATAATTATATAAAACTTTTTAAGGCACATTTCTAGTAATTCATACATTGAAGCATGTAAAATTATACATGGAAAGCACTGACATAAGGAAATATTTCAGCATCAACTGCAGAAGCACCTGAACAGGCACCCCCACCAAAAATATTTAGGAAGCTCTGCAGAGAGGAAAAAAGCTATTCGATCAAGGATCTGGGATTATTTCTACTTTGAAACTACTCATTATTAGAAATAACTACAGAGTTCTAGAGACAGAGATTAAGAAATAAAGTCCTGCAAAGATATATTTGTTACTCTGCTTTCTTAAGAACTTATGGGAATTACACATTAATGTTTTGTTTTTGGTTTTGTTTTTCCCCTGCATAAATGCCTCTGTTTTGGTTTCTGCTTCTCAGCTTCTGAATGTCACCCACCAAGAAGCTGTGAGCTGGATGCTCCACAGATATGATATACAGAGCCTTCCCTGCTGGCCTTTTTCCTTCCATCTGGAGATCAGCCCGGGTCCATAGGTAAATCACATCTTCCTACCTAATAATGACCAACTGCTAAAACCCAGGTAAGAGTACAAGGCTTGGAATTGGGGAAAGGGAAAAGGCAGCATTTTATCAGCTGATTCAATTTTTTGTTTGTTTTAAAGGCTTTTTAAAAATAAACTTATTTTGGAATAATTTTAGAAAAATTACAGAAAAGTTGCAAAGATAATACAGAGAATTATCATATACCCCTCACCTAGTTTCCCCTAATGTTACCATCTTATATTACATGGTACACTTGCTAAAACTAAAAAAAAAAAAAAAAAAAAAGGGTACATTATGATTAACTAGCCTTTATTCAGATTTCACCAGTTTTTCCACTAACATTCTTTTTCTGTTCCAATTCAGGAAATCACATTGCATTTTGTGATTTATAATTTTTAAGTTTAAGCTCTATTTTTACAAAAGTTAACATGTCCACAATTGAAAAAGGAAATGATCATACATGACTTATGAAAGGCAATCTTCTGCCCAAACCCTCCTTGCTTCTAATTTTCTCCTTCCAACAGCAAACAATTTCAACTTTCTCACTTTTTTCACCCTCTCTCCCTCGGTCCAGCCACACTGTTCTCTGAACATTCCTCAAGTATGCCAAGCCTATTCACATTTAAGGCCAAATCTTTGCTCAAGTTTTCTCTTTGTCATGTCTTCTTCCCAATAAAGTCTACCCAGACAGACCACTCTATTTAAAATTGTGGAGACTTCTGGTTCTGAAATGGCAGAACCAGAAACGAGTGTAGAAACAAGCTGGTGTAGAAACAAGCTGGCTTCACTCACCCCAAAGAAAACCAAGATCAAATATACAGTGCTGAGATTATCACTAGCAATAAATTATAACTCAAATATGAAGATGAGAAAGTTCTCCTGGCCTCAGAGAAGCGAAAAAAACTCCAAGCAGATGGTAAGAGACTTGGACTTCCATATCTGTGACACCCCTTTCCCCAGTCTGCCTAGCACAAAATGCATAGAAAATTTCCCCTGACGCATGGTTTCTACACTGGAAAAAGTGAGTTGGGGTGGACAACCAGCTTGCCCACCCTCTTGGTTCTCTGTCAGGAGACCTGTCCCTGCCTCAAACCACAGGATGCACTGGGAGTGCTTGAAAGGAGAAATCACCCTAAGGAAACTGAGGAGGCAGGACTACCATCTCCAGCTGTGAAAACTGCTCTCAGCCAAAGAAGACACCAAATTAGAGCAGCACCACACTGTAGGTTTGTTCCACATATCCTTGGGCATAAACTCTTAACCAGCCTTTCGATATTACCAGGATATTCCCCCTTGAGACCTACCCCATTCAGTACTGGTGGTACTCTGGTTGTTTAATAGAACCAGGGCAAACCCGGGCTTAAGGCACCATTTAGTGCCAAAAAGGAGGCAGCAACCTAGCAGTGGAACATAAGAAAGAAAATCAACTGATAAATTACAAAGAATCTCTAAGCAAACATACCCAATAAAAACCAAAACAAGCCAGACAAAGAAGACTGGAATAACTAATCCTTCAATGCAAAAACATAGACATACATCCACAAGAAACGGCAGCCAGTAGAGTGCTATGACTGCCTCAAATGAACAAAGCAAGGAACCAGTAACTGACCCTAACAAGATGGTGATATATAAACTCTCTGACCAAGAATTCAAAATGGCAGTTTTAAGGAAACTCAGTAATTTCCAAGATAACATGGAAAAGCAATTCCAAAATTTGTCAGAGAAATTTAACAAAGATATTGAAGCAGTTTTTTAAAACACAAATCTTGCGGCTGGGTGCAGTGGCTCACACCTGTAATCCCAGCAGTTTGGGAGGCCGAGGCAGAAGGATCACTTGAAGCCAGGAGTTTGAGACCAGCCTGGCCAACATGGTGAAACCCCATCTCTACTAAAAATACAAAAATTAGCTGGGCATGGTGACGCATGCCTGTAATCCCAGTTATTCAGTTGGCTAAGGCATGAGAATTGCTTGAACCTAGAAGGCGGAGATTGCAATGAGCCAAGATTGCACTGCTGCACTACAGCCTGGGCAACAGAGTGAGACTCTGTCTCAAAATTTAAAAATAAAATAAAATAAAGTATAAAAAATCACAAATCTTGAAACAGAAATACGTTTACTGAACTGAAAAATTCATTAGAGGCTCTCAACAGCAGAATGGATTAAGCAGAAGTAAGAATCAATGAGCTCAAAGACAGGCTATTTGAAAATACACAGAGGAGAAATGAGGAGAAAAAAAAGAATGAAAAGAAATACAGGTCACCTACAAAATATACAAAACTACCTCAAAAGACCAAATCTCTTTTTTTTTTTTTTTTTTTTTTTGAGATGGAGTCTCACTCTGTCGCCCAGGCTGGAGTGCAGTGGTACAATCTCGGCTCACTGCACTGCAACCTCCCCCTCCTGGGTTTAAGTGATTCTCCTGCCTCAGCCTCCTGAGTAGCTGGGATTACAGGCATGCGCCACCTTGCCCAGCTAATTTTTGCATATTTAGTAGAGACGGGGTTTCACCATGTTGTTCAAGCTGATTTTGAACTCCTGACCTCATGATCCACCTCCCTCGGCCTCCCAAAGTGCTGGGATTACAGGCATGAGCCACCGTGCCTGGCTCAAAAGACCAAATCTAAGGATTACTAGTGTTCAAGAGGGAATTGAGCAAGAGCAAGGAATAGAAAACTTACTCAAAGAAATAATAATAGAAAACTTTCCAAAACTTGAGGAAAAGATAAATATCCAGATACAGGAAGATCAGAGAACACCAAACAGGTATAACCCAAATAAACTACCCCAAGGCATATAATAATCGAACTCTCAAAGGTCAAGGACAAAGAGAGATCCCTAAAAGCAGCAAGAGAAAAGAATCAAATAACATATACAGGAGCTCCAATTCTTCTGGCAACAGACTTCTCAACAGAAACCATACAGGCCATCAGGGAGTGAGATGACATTTTCGAAGGGCTGAAAGAAACAACAACAACAACAACAACAACAACAACAACAAAAACTGCTTACCAAGAATAGTTGTAACCTGCAAAGCTATCCTTCCAATATGAAAGAGAAATAAAGGACACACACACACAAAAAAAGAAAACTGCAGGCCAATATCCCTGATGAACACAGATGCAAAAATCCTTAACCAAACCAAATTCAACAACATATTTAAAAAGATTCACCATGATCAAGTGGGATTCTTCCCAGGATACAAGAATAGTTCAACATACGCAAATCAATAATGTGATACATCACATTAACAGAACCAAGAACAAAAACCACCTGATCATTTCAATAGATGATGAAAAAGTATTCAACAAAATTCAACATATTTTTCTAATAAAAACCCTCAACAAATTGGATATAGAAGAAACATACTGCAAAATAACAAAGGCTACATATGACAAACCCACAACTAACAGCAAACTGAACAGGGAAACATTGAAAACCTTTCCTCTAAGGTCTGGAACAAGACAAGGATGCCCACTTTCAACATTTTTTTCAACATAATACTAGAAGTCCTGGCCAGAGTAATTAGTCAAGATAAAGAAAAAAAGGACATTCCAAATGGAAAGGAAAAAGTCAGACTAGTCTTATTCACAGAAAACATGATCTTAGAAAAACCTAGACTCTACTGAAAAACTGTTAGAACTAAAAACAGATTCAGTAAAGTTGCAGGACACAAAATCAACATACAAAAATCAGTAGAGTTTCTATATGCCACTGTGAACTATCTGAGAAAGAAATAAAAAAAGCAATCCCATTTACAATAGCTACAAAAAAAAACCTAGCAATAAGTTTAACCAAGGATATGAAAAATCTCTAAAACTATAAAATATTAATGAAAAAAATCGAGAGGGACACTAATAAATGGGAAGATAGCTCATGTTCATGAATTGGAAGAATTAATATTGTAAAAATGTCCATGCTATCCAAAGGGATCCACAGATTTAGTGCAGGTTCTATCAAAGACCAAAGACATTCTTCAGAGAAATAAAAAAAAAAATACTAAAATTTGTATGAAACCACAAAATACTTCAAATAGCCAAAACAATCTTGAGCAAAAAGAACAAACCTGAAGCCATCACACTACCTGACTTTAAAATATACTGCAAAGCAATGGTACTGACATACAAACAGATGCATAGACTAATAGAACGGAATAGAGAACCCAAATATAAATCCCCACATTTGCAAACAACTCATTTTCAACAAAGGTGCCAAGAACATACAATGGGGAAAGAAAAGTGTCATCAATAAATGGTGCTTGGTAAACTAGATAACCAAATGCAGAAGAATGAAACTAGACCTTTATTTCTTACCACATACAAAAATAAATTCAAAATAGATTAAAAATTTAAATCTAAGATCTGAAACTATGAAACTACTAGAAGAAAACATTGAGGAAATCCTCAAGGACATTTGTCTGAGCAAAGATTTTTTTGCTTTCTGAGCAAAGACCCCAAAAGCACAGGCAAGCAAAGCAAAAATAGACAAATTGGTTACATCAAGCTAAAAAGCTTCTGCACAGAAAAGGAAACAATCAATCAACAAACATCATATGTTCTCACTCATATGTGGGAACTGAAAAAGTGGATCTAATGAAGACAGGGAATAGATTGGTTGTTACCAGAGGCCAGGAAGGCTAGGGGGTGAGAGGGATAAAAAGAGGTTGATTAATGGGTAAAAATATGCAGTTTGATAGAAGAAATAAGACCTAGTGTGTGATAAATTAGTAGAGTGGCTATAGTGTACAATAATCTATGGTCTATTTCAAAATAGTGATAAGAGAATAACTGTTTCTAGCATAAACATTGTTAAAATGTTCATACTAACCAAAGTGATCAGAAAGAAAAGCATAAAGAACAGATATTTAAGGTGATGGATATCCCAATTACACTGATTTGATCTTTACAAATTATATGAATGGGATAAATTATTGCATGTACACAGAAAATATGTAGCTATATTTTGTGTCAATAAAAATAATAAGGCTCAGCACAGTGGGTCACATCTGTAATTCCAATACTTCAGGAGGCTAAGGTGAGAGGACTGCTTGAAGCCAGGGGTTCAAGATCAGCTTAGGCAACATAGTAAGACTGCATCGCTACAAAAAAAATAAACAGCCAGGCACGGGGGTGCACACCTACTGTAGTGCTAGCTACTTGGGGGGCTGGTGCAGGAAGATCACTTGAGTCCAGGAAGGACTTCAGTAAGCTATGATCACTCCACTGCACTCCAGCCTGGGTGACAGAGCAAGACTTTGCCTCAAAATAATAATAATAATTAATTAATTAAAATTAAAAATAGCCTGGGCACAATGGTTCACACCTATAATCCCAGCACTATGGGAGGCTGAGGTGGCCAGATGGCCTGAGGTCAGGATTTCAAGACCAGCCTGGTAAATATGGTGAAACCCCAACTCTACTAAAAAATACAAAAATTAGCTGGGCGTGGTGGCAGGTGCCTGTAGTCCTAGCTACTCGGTAGGCTGAGGCAGGAGAATCGCTTGAACCCAGGAGGCAGAGGTTGCAGTGAGCCAAGATCATGCCACTGCCCTCTAGCCTGGGTGACAGAGCAATACTCCATTGCAAAATAAATAAATAAAAATAAATAAACTTATAGGCCAGCTGTGGTGGCTCATGCCTATAATCCCAGCACTTTTGGAGGCCCAGGTGGGCAGATCATCTGAGGTCAGGAATTCGAGACTAGCCTGGCCAACATAGCGAAACCCTATCTCTGCTAAAAATACAAAAATTAGCCAGGCACCTGTGGTCCCAGCTACTCAGGAGGCTGAGGTGGGAGGATCATTTGAGCCCAGGAGGCAGAGGTTGCAGTGAGCCAAGATCACGCCACAGCACTCCAGCCTGGGCAACACAGTGAGACTACATCTCAAAAAGTTAAAATAAAATAAGATAAAATTATAATACACCTCACCCATGCACTCCCAATGTCCCTTACTCTAATTCTTTGTTCTTTTTTTCCACATAATGCCATATACTTTATTTATCTATTTATTATGTATATTGTTTATTATTTCTCTTTCCCTACTGGAAGGTAAACACCTAGAATAGTGCTGGGCCAGACAACAGTCTTTAAATAAATATTTGTTGAATAAATGAATGAATGAACATTGAGAGAGAAGTAAGCAGACAGGAAGATGTTCTTTCTGTCTTCCTCCTCCAACTCTGCAGCATCCCTCTAATTTCCATACTGACAGAGCCTAACATGAAGACAGCCAGCAAAGAAGAAATGTGGTTTGCAGCGTTCCAGCCCCAGCATCACAGAGCAGAGTGTAAAAAGGTGAGCTTATGGCTGAGAAACAGTGTAATAACTGAAACACACACACTCAATTTTCCTGCACTAATCTTCCCAATATAGTTATATTTCCATTTTTGTTTAAATTTATATTATTCTTTACATTATTTTTAATATAGAATATTATTTGCCGCTGAGTCATATGGTGTGCAATGATTACATTTCCTTTCTTACACAACTTTCTGTTTTTCCAGGATTTAATAATTGCTTATCTTTCTTCATCTCAATTTCATTCCCCAAATTCTCACATAACACTCCTCTCAATACAGTCAAACACATCAGGAACCTATCAGCTCATTTTTTTTCATGACTAGATGCTTCAGTGCAGTCCTCTGTCCTCTTGTATTTTCATGTTTAGCTTCTTTGTTTCTAAGATTACTTCTTCCCCTATTCTCTAACAGCCTCTTGATACAGTTTTCCACATATTCATATGTATCTGATGATCCATCTATTATTTTGTTTTCCTTCCCCATGGAGCCCTGTACCTCTCCTACTGCAGACTGGATTGTTTCTTCTTGAGGCCTGCTACACAGCTGTTCTGGAACTTCCCTTCCCCAGCATTATTCTGAATGTCCTCTCCTGTGTTGAATCCCATATTTCCCAGATCTCAATCTTCCTCTTTCCTGGTTTAATCATTTTTGAGGCTCACATTCTCCAGTATCTTTCTGAGAACGAATGCACAGGATATAAGCATTTTGCATGTCCGAATTTGTCTACTGTAAGACTTTATGGATGGTTTGTCTGTGTAAGAAAAATCTAAATTCAAACTACTCTCCTCAGTATATCAAAGGTATTGTTCCATGGGCTTTTAATTCCTCAAGTTGCTATTGAAAAGTCTTATGTTACTCGGCCTCTCACTCCTTTATATGTATCCAATTTTTCTTTTTTGTGCTTCTCTCTGGACTTTAGGACTTTCCTTTTTTTCCTGTGTTTTTTGTTTGTTGTGGTCTCTGGTGATCCATGACTGTTCACTCATATGTGAAAGTGAGAAACCAAAAGGCCGACTGATAGTTCAGTGCATGTGAGCAGGGTTTGTTGATTGTCAGGTCTTGCCTTGCTATAGGATGATTAGGTGGGGACCCAGCGATTTTGTTGATGAGTCCTTTCTGTCAGTATTTTCTTTTAGACTTGTCAGTTTCTCCAGATAGAAGTGACTGTGTTTCTTGTCTTAGGTATTCCTGATGACGGTGAACTGTAAGGAGGGGAGCCTGCTTGGCTTGTGAACTTTTACTTAATACCGCTCTTCAAATACAGTGCTTCTGCTCTGCCCTCTGCCATACTGAGTCCCCAATTCCCTGGCCTCTTCAGTCAGCCTCTGCAGAGAAGACATTCGCCCCAGTGCCCTGGCAGAGCAGACAATCACCTGGCTGCGTAGAGTGAGGAAGGAGCTGTAGAAGCCTAAGCGTCTCATGCCATTCTCGTTTGGAGTCACATCCTGAACCGCTTCCCAGTTCTACCACCTATGGCCCTGAAGTATCACGTAGGGAACTCAACTTCTCCCTCTGAGCTTGGAAGACCTTTGAAACACATAGGATGTCCAGGGCCCTCTTGGCCCTGGGATTCTATGATCCATGAACCTTCAGAAGCTAGAGAGCTCTGCCTAGGTAGTAACATAGACAGGAAGATACAGGAGGTGAAGAAGGGCAAGGTGACAGTGGGATAGAGTGGCAGGAGACTTCAAAGAAAAGGTGGGATGAGAGCAGGACAAGAGCCAGTTGGAGGAATAGGAGAGGGAACGCCTCCTCAGGTGTCCAATACTGGGGCAGGATCGTCACAGCATGCTGGGGGCTGGTAGGCAAAGGGTTCTAGAATAATAAAGTGGAAGAGTAAACTTCAATTAGAATGTGGAGAACTTGAATTTCTTTTTTACATTAGCAAACCCCACAATCAAAGTCGTCTAGAGATTTGTTTTCAGTGCCAGAGACCCTACCCCAGACTTTAAATCAGAATATCAGAGAAGAGCCCAGGAACCTATATGCCTTTAAACTTTCCACGTGAGTCCAATAAACTGGCAAGTTTTGGAACCACTTCCTTAGGCAATGGAGAACCATGGATGGTTTGTAATCAGGATGCATGATAGAAGTGGAAATTCTAGAAAGATGAATTTGACAGGCATACGCAAGGTGGACTGGAGGTTGAAGGACATGTGACAGGGATTCAAGGGAGGAAATTTCAATACTTCACAAAGATGGTCATGAGAGTCTATAGGAGGTAAGTGGTCAGGGAAAAGAAAGAAGAGACTATACCAATCCTTCTTTCATGGATTGAATTATGTATCCCCCAAAAATTCATAGGTTGAATTCCTAACCCTTAGTACCTCGGAATGTAACCTTATTGGGAAATAGAGTCACTGCAGATGTAATTAGTTAGGTTAGATGCGGTCATAGGGTGGACTCTAATCTAATAGAAGGGGGAACTTTGGACACACCAGCATGGACAGCCATAGAGGGAAGACGATGAAAAGCAAAGTAGGGAGAAATGGTTATCTATCTACAAGCCAAGGAGAGACGCCTGGAACAGATCCTTCCCTCAAAGCTAACAGGAGGAACCAGTCCTGTTGACACCTTGATCTCTGTCTTCTGGCCTCCAAAACTGTAAGTCAGTAAACTGCTAATCACCAGGTCTGTGGTACTTTGTTATGGCAGCCATAGGAAACTAATACACTGTCTTTTTGGAAACACATTCCTGCCTTCAACTACCTCTTCCTCACTTTCTCTTGAGGAATGATTTCTCAAAGCCACCCACCTGAGAGGGCTGGAAGCAGTGGTTACAGAATGAAGCATGTGTTTCTAACATTATAGGATGCCTTTTTACTGGAGGAGTGAGTGTGGGGTAGCTTTTTGGAGTCCTTGGCCAGTTTGCTCCCAGAACCTACCTGAGATATCAAAGAACTGACTTGTGATTGGACCTTGCTGAATAGAAAAGATGTTATCTCTAGGAGAAGCAATTCACATTCTCCCCACCTGAGAAAGGAATTGGTGCCAAGAATATCAGACAGTGGGTAAACCCCCAGAGGAGAAGGGAGACTCATTTCTTTGGAGCCACTACCGTCCCACTGGTGGCTCATCCAGATGTTAGAGCTGCAAGAGGAGGAACAATCTACAAAAAAAGGTAAACTCTCATTCTATCATTTTGTGGCTTGGCCTATGCTGAAATAACTATCTTCCTTGGCTAAACAAAGAATTTCCAAGAACCCAATACATGAAGGTCAATGTCATGGTGGCTGATATAACCACATGGGACCAAGCACAACCACATTCCTGGCCTCCCTCACTGTCCTGCTCAGCCTGGACCCACACCAGCTACTCTGCACTGCCCTTGCTAACATCCTTGGGACACTTGGCCCTTTTACCTGCCAGTGTCCCCAGTGGCAACCCTCACTCTAGATCACCCACCACCTGCTCACTCCAGGATTGCCCACTTTTGCTAGAAAAAGTGTCATAACTATACCACAGGACCCGCTAAGTATTCCCACTCCACAACCCTATCTGGGCCCTTCCTGCTTCCATGGTTATCCATCTGGAGTTAGCTTCCTGTTGCTTCCCTCCCAGCCCTTGCAAAGAATTCTCTAGGCTCCATGAGTCTTCAACTCCATCCCAATGACTCTTACCATCAGCCAAGGATGTCACTTCAATTTTCTGGTCAAGTGAAAAGTCTTCAGGCATCTACTACCTCACCTCTGTTTCTCTCCACTTTGGAGTTTCTCTATGTTAACATCACTCCTTTTCTGTATTCCTCCTATTTCAGAGGAAGAGGTGGTGTTTTAATTTCCTTGACCAGGCAAACCCATCTGTTCTGGGTCCCATTTTATTATACCAATAATCTCATTTTTAAAAAATTTTCTTACAGAGCATTTTAAATACATACACATAATTTTATTACCTTTTTATATCTTCAAAATTCTCTGGCTTATTTCACTTGCAAGCTCAAGTCTCTTCCAGCCTTAAAAACAAAACAAAAAATAAATAAAAAATAATCTTAATCATTCCACTTCTTTGAGCTACTTCCTAATTTCTTTCCATTTTTTAAATGGCCACTGTTTCCAACAGGTTACCTTTTCTTTCTCCTCTTTGTTTCTTAACTTTCTACAATCTAGTTTCAATCTCTATCACTCCACTAAAATTCTTCTTTCTTTTTTGTAACTTTGTTATTTTGAAATTTCAGTTTTTTAAACAAGTTTGCAAAAAACTGTGAAGAGAGTTCCCATATATCCTTTGTCCAGCTTCCCCAAACTTTAACATATTACATAACCATAGGACATTTATCAAAAGCAGGAAATTAACTTTCAGACAATACTATTAATAAAACTATAGGCTTTATTAGAATTTCACCAATTGTCCTCCTGTTAATTAATTTCTAAAGCCATTCTTTTAAAAAAGTTTTCTACTAAAGTCATTTTAAACTTTGTTTTACTTCATAAATTCTGAATATAAAATTAAGGAATAATGAGTGGAAAACTTAGAAAATATGAAAAGATATAGGCCGGGTGCGGTGGCTCACGCCTGTAAGCCCAGCACTTTGGGAGGCCGAGGCGGGCGGATCACGAGGTCAGGAGATCGAGACCATCCTGGCTAACATGGTGAAACCCCGTCTCTACTAAAAACACAAAAAATCAGCCGGGCGTGGTGGTGGGTGCCTGTAGTCCCAGCTACTCGGGAGGCTGAGGCAGGAGAATGGCGTGAACCTGGGAGGCAGAGCTTGCAGTGAGCCAAGATCACGCCCCTGCACTCCATCCTGGGTGACAGAGAGAGACTCCATCTCAAAAAAAAAAAAAAAAAAAAGATATAAAGAAGAAAAAAAACTACCCACAATCTGGCCAGAGATAAAGCTTCTAATCTACAGGGCATACCAGGGACAGAAGAACATGTTAAATACCACCATGGAAATATCAACACAATTCAGACGGTGGATTTATTTTTTATTTATTTATTTATTTTTTGAGATGGAGTTTTGCTCTTGTTGCCCAGGCTGGAGTGCAATGGCACAATCTTGGCTCACTGCAACCTCCGCCTCCTGGGGTTCAAGCAATTCTTCTGCCTCAGCCTTCCCAAGTAGCTGGGATTACAGGCATGTGCCACCACGCCTGGCTAATTTTTGTATTTTTAGTAGAGACGGGGTTTCTTCATGTTGGTCAGGCTGGTCTCGAACTCCTGACCTCAGGTGATCTGCCCGCCTCAGCCTTCCAAAGTGCTGGGATTATAGGTGTGAGCCACCAAGACATTCAGTTCCCAGGGGCAGGCAGGAGACAGTGGCCTTCCTCTATCTCAACTGCAACGGGCTTTCCTCTTTCACAAATCCACCTCAACACAGACCCTTTACGGGTGTCGGGCTGGGAGACGGTCAGGTCTTTCTCACCCCACGAGGCCATACTTCAGACTATCACATGGGGAGAAACCTTAGACAATACCTGGCTTTCCAAGGCAGAGGTCCCTGCGGCTTTTCACAATGCATTGTGCCCCTGGTTTATTGAGACTAGAGAATAGCGATGACTTTTACCAAGCATACTGCTTGTAAACATTTTGTTAACAAGACACATCCTGCACAGCCCTAAATCCCTTAAACCTTGGTTCCATACAACACATGTTTTTGTGAACTCAAAGTTGGAACAAAATAGCTGGGGCAAAGTGGCTGGGGCAAAGTTACAAATTAACAACATCTCAACAAAGCAATTGTTCAAGATACAGGTCAAAATAGAATTCCTTATGTCTTCCCTTTCTACATAGACACAGTAACAGTCTGATCTCTCTTTCTTTTCCCTACAACTGTGGATTTCTTCAGGAAAAAAAATTCAAGGAAAAATAAAAGAGATGAAAGGGGAATCTGTAACTTAAAAAGATGTTCATAAGCTAGATTAACCAATTGCAAAAGGTGAACTTTGTGTGGATTCCAATTTAAATAAACTACAAAAATTATAAGACAATCAGGAATCTGAAAATCCTGAATATTTATTTAGTAATGCTAAGAAATTATTGTTATTTTTAAAGCATGATAATACTATGCTTACATAAGGAACATTTATTTTAGATATAGCTATTGAAATATTTAAAGATGGAATGACTGCTTCAAAGTAATGGGATGGGGGAAATAGGTGGGGGTATAGGCGAAACAGATTGCCATGCACTAATAATTGTTAAAGTCAAAGGATGAGTAAATTAGGTTCATTAAAACGTTTTCTCTGCTTTTGTGTATGATTTGAAATTATCCATTGTGAATGCTTTTTAAAAAAAAATGAATCATCTATTCAACATTCAAAGTCATTAAAAATAAATTTAGACTTTTTTGCCTTAGTTTTTCAAATACATAGCACAAAGAATCACATCGTTTAAGTCTGGCAAATACCAGCACAAAAGACCTTTTATATCCACCTGTGTCCTCCAGGTCTCACTAACCCAGCCAATATTTCCCTTGTCTGACTCACTCCCAAACTCTGCCCTACCCAGGCTGTTCTGCCTTCTTTGCCTCCTTCGTGACCCTTTTACTCTTGCCCTTTGCTACCCTCTTCCTGATCTTCCCTGGATCCTTCATGCAAGTAGCTCCAAGCCCTTTCTAATTTGAAGCAATCCAGTCTTTCAAATTCCAGTTCCATGGCTCTGCTCATAACCTTCTAATTCCATGGCTCTGCTCATAACCTTGCTTCACTCAATAAAAGCACAAGAGCCTGGCAGAGAACAAAGGAAAACTCCCTAGTATATGTTAATATTCTGTTTGTGTTTAAAAGGTAGGCAGACAAAATAAACTTGGAATTATGTTTTATAGACATAATTGTATCCTCTCTTACGCTTTAATTTCTTTCTTTTTCTTTCTTTCCTCATTCTTTTCTTTAACATTATATTATAAACACTTTGCCAATTCCCTGTTCTTTGAAAACCTGGTTTTTAATGTCTGTGGAATATTCTGTCACATACATGAGCTGTAATGTATTTATCTCATCCTCTTTTGTTAGATCCAGTGACCCCTTAGTTGCCAAAGAAATTCAGTCCTCACCCTCCTTGACTTTCTACAGTACTTTGACACTGGTGACCACGCTCTGCCTTAAAATGTTCTCTCATTGGCTTTCCTGATATCCTCTCAATCTCACTCCTCTCTGACTGGTCATTCTCCTGCCTTCTGTGACCTGTCTTCCTCCTGCTCCCTGAATAAAATCCCTCCCCAAGGTTCCATTAGATTCTTTCTTTTCCTCTCTTTACTCTCATTCCCTAGGTGGGTTCTTTCTCCCTTGGCTTCACGTGAAGGACTCCCAGATCTTACAACTTCATCCCTAACCCCTTCCCAGTGTCCCAGACCTGCATCAACCCTGTCTGTTGTGCATGTTCACCAAAATATAGCCCAGTGCAGTCCCACCAACACGACTAAGCAACCAAAAGGAGCTATCCAGAAGCAGCTCAGCCTGCCTCCTCCCACCTGACCACAATGCTGCATCTCCTCAGGATTCAGCTCAATGCCTTGGATTCACCACCAACCCTTTCCTTCACCGTCCACTTCACCAAGTCACCAAGCCCTAAAGAATCTACTTCTGACATGTCTCCCATGACAATTTCTTACTTTGGATTCTCACTGCTCCATTCAGACTGTGAATAGGGTCAACAATTTTCATCTCCCATTTGCATTCACCTCCTACTTGGTCTTTTCTCCTCCTCCTCTGTCTCTGTTCTCTCCAATCCATCTTACCAATCAATCTTCCTAAAGTCTGACTTTAGTTAGGTGACTTACCTGTTCAGTAATCTTCAGTGGCTCCCTATTACTTAACCAAATTGAATTCTGACATTTAAGGTACAATTTAATAGGACCTGCCAAACAATTTCCCTAATCTCACTTCTCTCTTCTTCCCACACATATCTTGGAGGGGGAATAGCATGGCTCCAGAGTCGAATCCCAACCTAGTAGTGCTATAGCCTTGGGTAAATTATTTAAGTCATCTGAGCCTCTGCTTCCCCATCCATAAAATGGTAGTATTAGCAGCATCTACCTCATGTGTGATTATGAGGATAAGATGAAAAATATATATATAAAGTAAATAATATCCAGCATACAGTAGGTTCTTGATAAATATCACTTACTACTTTTATTGCATCACTGCAGTCAAACTGCATTGCTTGGTTTTCCCATATAAATTTTACGACTTATTTCCCCTCCTAATTTTGCTCCTACTCTTCCCTCTGCCTAACTTTGACACAACATCTTTGCCTTCTGAAAGCACCTCCTAGACTCTAAGGCCCTACTCAGGTGCTGCTTTCTCTGTGAACTTTTCTTTGACCACCAGCCACAGGAGCTCTCTTCTTGCTCCTCTGAATGGTAGCGCTCTGCTTCCAGCACTCTGAGGCATTTATACTGCCTTCTGGTGAGCTGTGTGAATGCTTTATCTCCTACAAATCAGGGCAGGACCATGTCTTCCTCATGTTTAATTTCCTCTACACTGTCCAGCACAGGATCTGGCACAAAGTTGAAACTCAGGAAACTTTAATGGAAAGATTGAGTGGATGACATTTCCTGTTTCTCATCAATAAAGTTTCATCTTCATACTCAACTGTTAAATATTTATTGTCTCTTTTTAATACATCTTATTAAGCCTAGGATTAATCAATATGGTTCCTGTTCTCTCAAAGCTCACAGCTAGTTCAGATTATACTTTCAGAAAGTAGAATGAAAACAAGTCAGGGCAATATTTAACAATGTGTTTAATCAACTATAATCAAATTTCATAATGTATAATCTAGACAGTCATTCCCGGGTGGTCAATCTAGGGAGGAGTCTGTAGGAATTAGAAGGTGAGATGGGGAGGGGCAGAGGCAGAAATCTTCACCAGAAGGTTGAGCAGACAGAAAGGCAGTTGAATTCAGGTCAGGAAAGTAGGAGGAAAAATAATTTTACAGGAGAATAATCATACCTGCTTTCATGGAGGTGGGGGGCAAGTGGGACGGAGTGTAAACTAAGAGGAGTGTGTCATCTACTTAGTTAATGACTCTTTGTCTTGCAGTACTGGTGGAGGACAATGGACACCAGCTACATTGTTCACAAGTGGTAATTATCATGACTACAAACACCAGGGATTAATACTTACCTATCGAAGACCATATGAGTAATGGGTGTCTCCCAAGCCTGTAACTGAAAGCACCTTCTAGACTCTAAGGCCCTACTCAGGTGCTGCTTTCTCTATTATACAACTTCTATTCCTGGAAAATCAATGTTGATTAAAGAAGTTTCTGGCCAGGCATGGTGGCTCATGCCTGTAATCCCAGCACTTTGGGAGGCTGAGGCGGGCAGATCACCTGAGGCCAGGAGTTCGAGATCAGCCTGGCTAACATGGCGAAACCCTGTCTCTACTAAAAATACCAAAAAAAAAAAAAAAAACTAGCCAGGCGTGGTGGTGGGCTCTTGTAATCCCAGCTACTCGGGAGGCTGAGGCATGAGAATCACTTGAACCCGGGAAGCGGAGGTTGCAGTGAGCCGAGATTACGCCACTGCACTCCAGACTGGGTGATGGAGTGAGACTCTGTCTTAACAATAAATAAATAAACTTTCCTGAGTTTTTGCTTTTTCTATTTTGAGGCTCCCAATTGCTGTTCAGGTTAATAAGGTCACAGCTCCATGCTTCACCTAAGAGAAGAGGGTTTACCAGGAAGTCCGACTTGCCTCTTAGCCACAGATGGTTGTAAGGCATGAGCCGATTGTGAGTTGAGGTGTAATTTAAATAATCCTAGAAAGAAACGCACATGTCTGAAATTACACCCTTATATCTCATGAAGTTGTATCCAGTTCCCTTCCTAACAAATCCAAGCATTCCTGACGAAGGACACAGAAAAGTCTCTAATCTTTTGGCTTGAATGTGATTAGCATCCTTTAAGAGGAGGAGAGAAGGCATGGAACGAGACGGAGGAGGACAGGTCCCTGAGCAGGAAAGGTGAGGGACAAAATAACCCGCACCCTGTCAGGTCTAAAGAAGCCTCCTGTCCCTCGCCTGCAGACCTGGGTCGGATTCCTCTGCTCCCACAGGGGACAGCAGTACGGGGGAAGGCAGCTTGGTGGAGTCCGCAGGCGTCCCCCGCTTGGAGGTGCAGCGCGGAGCTCGCAGTCCCCAGGCGGGAGAGCGCGGGAGGGCGGCCGGCGGGCTCAGGTCCTCGGTGGCGGGGGGGGTGCAGCCATGTAAGGCCTTACGAAATGTGCAGAGCCGGCCCTGGCGCCGGCAGTACGGCTGCGGAGGGACGGACACCCACGCGAAAGACCGCCCCAGGCCCTGCCAGCCGCGGACTGCGGAGGCTTCCGCACAGGCGGGCAAACCGCGCTGCGTCCGCCCCGCCCCGGCCTGCCCTGAGCCGCGGGGCTCCAGGGCCCACGACGCTTACTTAGGTGGAGTTTCCAGTTGAGCTCGGCTCGAGGGTTTAAATGGATGATGTGTTCCATCCGAAGTCGGAGTTCATGTGATCTTACTTTTGTGTCTAACTCCGTTCTCACCTCTATCCCTAAATTACTCTCTTCGGCTCCCACCCCTGAGCGCCCTCGCCTGACAGCGATCGGCACTCGTGCTGCCACCTGCAGGTGAAAGAGGAAATTGAGCGAACTCAAGTTGGGCGGCCCACTGCTGGAGGAGGGCTTTCAGGACAGGGTAGCGGATATTCCAGATTACTGGAAATCCTGGAATTACTAAGATTTAGATATATTACGCCCAAAGAGCACAACAATTGGCAAGAGACTTGATATAGCCTTCACATCCTCTGGAGGTTTTCCTTTGGTTTGTTTTTCCATTATGCGGATTTGGCAGGGGATGGATGATAAATATTTGCACGAATGCAATTTAGGGCTGTAAAACATATGTTCGCCACCAGGTCTTGTAATCGATGCACATCGGGCAGAGCTGGTTTTTTTTTTACCAGCGCCACCTCCATGATGTTACTGTGATTTCCATCATGGCAGGCTCTGCCCTGCCTATATTGCTCAGAAAGGGCCTTGTGCCATGACCAGTGGTCATACCTGGGTCATTCCTAGCCTGGCGGGTTACCCCATTACAATGTTCTCTGTGCCATAGCAAGTCTTTTTTCACGCATTCCGATACCATGATTTTGAAAATGAATGATTGTTTTTAAAATCATTTTAGAATAATTCCATTAGCATTGTGGTTGAAGCGCCCTGGAGTCAGGCTGCCTGAGTTTGAACCTGACTCCAGTTTACTTACTTGGTGACCTTGAGAAAGTTATTTATTCTCTCTGTGACTTAGTTTCCTCACATACTGAATGGGAATAATATACAGGCCACATAGGATTGTGCGTTTTAAATGAGATAATACACACAAGCACAGGAATATAACATAAAAGAGGATGTGCTCTAAGCTCAAAATGTCCAAGAAAAAAAAAAAAGTGCTCTGAGCTCAAAACATCCAGTGTCAAAAAGTCAGGCTTTGACACTAGCTAGTTTGGGAATATGGGACAAATTACTTCACTTTTCTGAGCCTCAGTTTTCTCACCTGTAATATGCAGATGATGAGAGTATCTATCTCACAGGTTATGAGAATTAAATGAGATAAAATGTCTTCCATGCTTAGACACAGTAAGGATTCAATAAATGCTAGTCTTTTAAACCTTAGCTAGTCTTTACTATTTTCAGCATTCTGTTGTTTGGAAGATTCTGGGTTTTAAACTCCCAGATAAACAATCTTCATCTGTTTGTTCACTGTTTTACTTTTGTATCTAGTACAATCATATGTAGTCCTTCTACCATCCTGGGAGGTAGGTGTCCTCATCCCCAGTTTACAGATGAAGAAGCTGAGGCTCATCGTAGTTTAGTGCCATGCCTGATATCATCATACAGCACCTGAAACCAGGGCACATACACAGCTCCACTCTCCAAGACTAGGGCTCTTTTTCCTGTATCACAGCTGCCTTTATAATTCCTCTAAATGTGATGAGCACTCATTTTATTTTACAAGCTTTTGCTAGATGCTCATGCAGTGTTTGAAATTTTTCAAGTTATGGCAACTTCCTAAAATCAGACTTGAAAATTTCAAGAAACTAAAAGAAATATACTTAGAGCCTTTTCTTCATGGCAAACCTTTTCTTCTGACTTATTAATGGCTTATTAGGTGTTGCTTTCAGAGGGAAGCATGGAGGGGGCAGCAGGAGGGGCTGCTGGAAGTACCAGTTGCTCAGAAGTGACAGGTGTGTTAAGTTCATGCATCTCCCTCCTTCCTAGCACCCCACATTCCCCTTTTGAAATGTTCCTCCCCTGTACTGAAATTGCTTATTTTCGTCCTCTTTCTCCCCTGACAGACTGTGATCTCTATGAAGCTCAAGACTGTGTCTAACATGTCAGTTCTCTAAAAGTTCTTTCAATTTTATTTCTGTAAGAAAAGAAATTCATAGAAGAAACACTCTTCAATTCAGGAGTCAGGAAACAAGATAACTTAAAAAAAAAAAAAGAAAACACTTAATAACAGATCCACACCAATCTGTAAATCAAAAGATTAGGGATAAATTTCATAATTTTGCCCAAATATCCAACTGAAGATCTTTCTTTGATGATTAGTAATATTAATAATGATAACAACTAGCACTTATCAAATGCCAACCATGATCAGGCCCTATGCTAAGCATGTTAGATGTATTGGCACATTCAAGTCCTGCAGTAACTCCATATACTAGGTACTCTAGTCATTGTCATTTTACTGATCAAGAAGCAGGCTAGGAGAGAGCTTGGGCTCATCAGCATCCCACAGCTAGTAAGTAAAGTGGCAGACCTGGACATGAACCCAGGCCTGTCTGACACTGAAAGAGAAGGCTCTAACCACTGCCCTGTGCTGCCTTCCAAGGAGTGGCAGAGTGCAGCAGGAGTGGCAGCTAGCTCAGGGAGGTGCCCGATGTGGAACAATGGATGGGATGAGTGTGTGCATGCTTCCTACATGAACCAGCTTGATTCCTTCTCTTTTATTTATTTTCCACTTCATCAGCTGGGTTTGTACCACAGTCATCTTCTTTCGCTGTGCCTGGCATCCCTGTCCCTGACTCAAGCCCAGAGTGATCTCTCCCCTAGTCCTTGGCACCAGGGCAAGGGGAAATATCCAGTGTCAGAGATCTGCAAAGCCCTCCATGTGACCACCAGACAGATCGGTGCTCATCTTCCCAGCAAACTGCATCCACGCCTCCGATGAGTGGTTTCGATGGTGGTCAGCTAGGCCAAGATCACGTCTCTCCCTCAGTAAGTCCCAGATGCCCAGGTCACCGGGAACAGCTGCCCGTTGCATGCTCTGTCCCCAAAGGCCAAATCTTTCTACTCAGTTCATGCAGTCCTGAAGCCTCCCACCCTCTTCCCATGTCCCCATTTGCCCCTACCCATCAAACCTCCCAGGGCCAGATCCTTTTACAACTGATTGGCACAGCCAATTCACTTCTGGGATTTGATTTCCAAATACTCAACAGCCCCAGTAATTTCAGCAATAACTGCACAGGCAGGCCCAGACCATTCACAGCTGCTGTGTCCAAGATTTTTTAAAAAGGTTTTTAAGGGATTTTTTAGAATTCCAAACTTGTTTTCTGTTATATTTGGTTCCAAATAATTAGTAAGACCCATGGCAGACCCTAGAAACCACCGATCATGTGCTGAACACCTGCAGGAAAGATAGTGGAACATCGAACGCCTTTATGCCAGTGTGGCACTTAAGGAAAAGTAACTATGACTAGAAAAGGCAGAGGAGTGGGTTGAGATTCTGAATTGGGTTCGAAGCAACTTCAGAGGCCATAGAGCAAGAACTTCTCGACTCCCAGATGCAGAGGAACCATCAGAAGAGCTTGTTGAAATGCAGATTCCGGGGCCGGGTGCGGTGGCTCATGCCTGTAATCCTAGCACTTTGGGAGGCCGAGGCAAGCGGATTGTCTGAGCTCAGGAGTTCAACACTAGCCTGGGCAACATGGTGAAACCCCATCTCTACTAAAACACAAAAAATTAGCCAGGCACGGCAGTGTGCGCCTGTAGTCCCAGCTACTTGGGAGGCTGAGGCAGGAGAATCGCTTTACCCCCAAAGATGGAGGTTGCAGTGGGCCAAGATAGCGCCACTGCACTCTAGCCTGGGCGACAGAGCAAGAATCCATCTCAAAAAAAAAAAAAAAAGAAAGAAAGAAAATTAATTAACGTTAATTAATGTGTGACTGACTTATAGCTCATATTCTTCCTAAAGTTTTTAAAACAACTTTATTGAGGTGTAATTGACATATAATAAAATACACCCATTTAAAGTGTACGATTTGATAAGTTTTCACATATGACTATGCCTGATAAACTAGCCCCACAATCAAGATAATAAACATATCCATCACCCCAAAAGTTTTCTCGTGGCCTTCTATTATCTCTCCCCCTGCAACCCACACCCCATCACACCTAGGCAACCACTGATCTGATTTCTATCACTATAAATTATGTTAGATTTTATAGAATTTTATATAAATGGAGGCTTACAATATGTACTGTTTTTTGTCTGGCTTCTTTACTCACCTTAATCATTTTGAGATTCATCCATGTTGCTGCATGTGTCAATACTTCATTCTTTTTCATTGCTAAGTAGTATTCCATCTCATAGATATTTATTCATTCATCCATCGATGGACATTTGGGTTGTTTCCAGTTTTTTACTATTATAAATAAAGTGTCTATGAGCATTCATATAAACTCTTTGTATGGATATGTGCTTTCATTTCTCTTAGGTAAATATCTAGGCATGGGATGACTCAATCACATGGTAGGTATATGTTTAAGTTTGTAAGAAACTGCCAAACTGTTTTCCAAAATGGCTGTGCCATTTTACACTGGCAATGTATGAAAGTTCTAGTTGCTCCATATCCTTGCCAATACTTGATATGGTCAGTATTTTTTTTTTTTTTTTTGAGATGGAGTCTCGCTCTGTCACCCACGCTGGAGTGCAGTGGCATGATCTCGGCTCACTGCAAGTTCCACCTCCTGGGTTCTCACCATTCTCCTGTCTCAGCCTCCCGAGTAGCTGGGACTACAGGCGTCCGCCACCATGCCTGGCTACTTTTTTTGTATTTTTAGTAGAGACGGGGTTTCACCGTGTTAGCCAGGATAGTCTCGATCTCCTGACCTGGTGATCTGCCTGCCTCAGCCTCCCAGAGTGCTGGGATTACAGGCGTGAGCCACCATGCCTGGCCGATATGGTCAGTATTTTTAATTTTAATCATTCTAATAGGTAACCAGTAATATTTCATTGTGGTTTTAGTTTGTATTTCCCTAATGAATGATGTTGAGCATCCTCTTGTCTCCAATCCATATATTGTCTTTGGTTGAATAGTTGTTCAAATAGTTGTCCTATTTGGGGAAGGGGAGATTGTTTTCTTATTATTGACTTTTTTCGTAGTTAAATCAGGGGAATAGATTTAATTCACTGTCTTATTAAGGTATTCCATACTTTATGTCCTTTACTTACCCAAAAGACACAAAATTGATAAAGAAAATATAAGCAAATGAAAAACTCAAGCATTTCCCATAGAATAGCATAGAATGTTCATTAAGTTATTAAAAGCTCAAAGATAACTTAAATCAAATGCTTATTTAGATCCAAGAATTGTGCTTGGTTCCACCTCAAAAAGCTTCATAACCTAAAAAGGAAATAAATATAGGAAAAGAAAGCAAGTGCAAAGTTTTGAATGAATAAAATTAAAGCAAGCTCTAGAAAAGAAATTCTAAATGGAAACAACAACAAAAATGTACTTAAGAGCCAAATATTCTTGGAAACTTAATTCACAGTGCAACCATGTTGAAAGGTAGGACCTTTAAGAGGTGGTTTGGTCATGAGGCCTCTGCCTTCATGAACGGATTAATGCTGTTATGTTTCCCAGATAAAACAGGGTTCCTGATAAAAGGGTGATTTTGATCTTCTTACTTCTCTCTCTCTTTTTCTCCTTCTCGCTCTTTTCCACCCCGTCACACATATACACACATGCCCTCTTACCTTTCCACCTTCTGCCATGGGATGACACAGCAAGAAGGCCCTCACCAGATGTGAACCCCTCAACCTTGGACTTTCCTGCCTCCAGAACTGAAAGAAATAAATCTCTTTATAAATATTTTTTAAATAGCCAAATGCTGAACAAAACCGTTCAAAAACAGTAGATTACATACTGTATTATAATGGAGTGCTTTAACATGTGCAATATAGGCATATAATATATACTGGTTTTACAAACTATTTCCATTATTTTGTATTCAGCTTGCTTGTAAAATAACTTTTTCTATCTTGAACATCAGAGAGTAGCAAAAAACTGACTGAAACTGCCTAGAAAATTACATTAGGCTAAATTATAATGTTTTAATATAGCTAGGCAATCTCCCTTTTATTCCTGAATGACATTTTCACTGAATTAGGATTCTGGGCTGACAGTTCTTTTCATTCAGGACTTGAAAAATGTGTGATGCCTCCCTCTGGCCTCCACAGTTTCTGATGAAAAATTTCTGTCATTCAAATTATTTTCCCTCTCTGTGCAAGGTGTCATTTCTCTCATTCTGTCTTGTCTTAGTTTTACAGAAGTTTGATTATGATGTGCTTTGTCATGGATTTCTTTTCAGTTTATTCTGTTTGAGGTTCATTAGCTTCTTGAATTATGCAATCACAGCTCACCGCAACCTCTGCCATCTGGACTCAAGCCAACCTCCCACCTCATCCTCCTGAGTTAGCTGGGACTATAGGCACGCACCACCACACCAGCTCTTTTTGTGTTTTTTGTAGAGACAGGAATTTGTCATGTTTCCCAGGCTGGTCTCAAACTCCTGGGCTCAAGCGATCCTCTTACCTCAGCACCCCAAAGTGCTGGTATTAATGGGGTGAACCACCGCACCCAGCCTATTTGGCTCCTCTTTATGTCTTGTGTTTTCCTGCTGAGACATTCTATTTTTAAATTTGTTTTAAGCATGTTTATAACTACTCATTGAAGCATTTTTATAATGGTTTCTTTAAAATTTTTGTCAACATCTGTGTCATCTCAACATTGGCATTTGTTGTCTTTTCTCATTCAAGTTGAGATTTTCCTGGTTCTTGACATGATGAGTGATTTTCTATTAATTCCTGGGCTTTGGGGGAATTATATAAGACATTATATCTTATTTAAATTTTCTGTTTTAGCAGGCCCTGTCTGACACTGTGCCAGTCAGGAAAGGGGACTGCTGCTTCATAATTGCCAGGTGGTTGTGTAAGTCCACAGTCCTCACTTGGCCTCTGTGGACACTCCACTGGGGTAGAGTGTCTCATTACAGCTGGTGAGGGTGAGAGTTCCAGGTCCCCACATGGCCTTCACTGACATAATCACTGAGGAGAAGGTCATTACAGGGCACATCACCCCAGCAAGGAAGGGTTGGGGTGCCTCATCACAGCTGAGTGAGGGGAAAAGCCTAGGCTCCTTTTTAATATGGGTCATATTTTTCTACTTCTTCTCATACCTGGTAATTTTTGCTTAGATACTAGACATTGTAAATGTACTTTGCTGGGTGTTAAATATTTTTGGATTCCTATATATATTTTTGAACTTTGCTCTGGGATAAGTTAAACTACTTGGAAACAGTTGGATCCTCAGGTTTTGATTTTATGATTTTTTTTTTCAAGGGTGCTGAGAAGTGCTCAGTCTAGGGTTATTTATTGCCCACTTCTGAGGCAAGGACCTTCTGTACAAACTACTGAGTGCCCCAGGAATCATGGGACTTTCCAATCTGGCAGGTGGGAACTGGCACTGTTCTCAGCCCTGAGTGAGCACTGAGCAGCGCTGCTTCTAATCCTCGCAGATGGTTTCCTCACACACATGTGCTGATTGGTACTTAGTTGAACCGATCTTGAGGAGACCCCTGAGGATCTCCTGGGCTCTCTCTGTGCACCTCTCTCCTCTCCATCATCTATCCTGCAAACTCTAGTTGCTTTGGTCTCCCCATACTCTTATCTCTGTTTCCTCAACTCAGAGCATTTTCCAGGCTCCATCTGGGTTCCACCTTCCTGAACTGTGCCCTAGGAACTTCTTCAGGGCTGTAAGCTGGAGCAATTGTAAAACTCTCCTCAACTCCCAGGAATCACTGTCATTTGTCACCTGATGTCCATGTCTTGAAAACCATTCCTTCATATATCTTTATTGTGTTTGTTGTTGTTGTTGTTATTGTTTCAGGCAAGAGGGCAAATCTGAACCTATTACTCCACTTTGGCCAGAAGCAGAAGTCTTCAAGAGAAATTGTTAACCTTTTTAAAAAAAAAAAAAACTTTCATAAAAGCTGCAAGAATACAATGAACATTTACATACCTTTAACCTAGATTTACCAGTCGTTAATATTTTGCCTCATTTGTTTTATTTCTCTCTAGATAGTTGGATAGATGGATAGATAGATAAATAGATAATCTGCACACATGCACACATTATTATTGGTTTTGCCTAGCCATTTAAGAATAGGTTGCTGACATCATGCTCCTTAACCCCAAATACTTCAGCATCTGTCTTTTAAGAACAAGGATCTTTTTATATAACTACAGTATAATTAACAAATTTGGAAAATTTAGCATTGATAACAAACTATTATACAATATATAGCCTACATTCAAATTTTGCCAATGTACTTTATAGTAATTTTTTCCAACCCAGAATCCAATCTAGGATCATGAAATGCATTTGTCAGATACATATTTTTAAAATATATTTTAAAATATAACCCATATGACTTCCTAGTTAGTTAAATGCAGGTAGCAGAAGGGTGAGATCCAGCCTTGTTCTGCTTCCAGGTAGCAGAGGAGAGGGAGTGGCCTACCAGGGATCCTGCTTGGTCACTGCCTCTGAAGCCTACTACCTAATCCCTGCAGTTAGGGTGTCTCCTCTCCTCATTTGGCTCTTTGATGAGTGTGAAGTGAAAATGCTCACTCACTGAGAAGTGCTCAATGGAGTATAAAAACTAATAGAAATGAGATGAAGAGATTTCAAACAAATAGGCAAACTCAGAAGTGAAAATCAATGACACAAAAGTGGTAATGCTATAAAATAAATAAATGCAAAGAGATTAACCGTGAAATATGAATCAACAAACCTCGTGCAGACAACCTTGTCCAGTACTGCCTGTGTCAGAAACTTCCCCACGTCTACTCCAGACAACCCATCTGTCCCTACTCTTCCTCCTTGCCACTGCACCCACATTCTTTGGCCTTCGGGAAAAGCTCTAGCCTCAATTGCTGATTCCTGAAATCTGACATCAAGTTCACATCAGATCTCACTCCCTGATTATGCAGCCAGATCTCCCCTCTATGCATCTCCATGACCCTATGTTTGTCTCACTCATGAGCCACTGATCTGGGTCTGCCTGGACCTGAAGTCTTTGGGTTTGTGGGTTCTGAGCCCCTCTAATACTGCAAGCTCCTGTGGTGTCATGGAAAAATTTTAAACCTGTATGAATATCGATAAGTTCTTTGGCGTCAGATCTGGTTTCAAATCCCACTGAATGTACAATCTTAGGCTAGTTTCTAATCTTCTATGAGCCTCAGTTCCCTTATCTGTAAACTGGAAACATAATATCCCATGCAATTATGGTAAAAATTAAATGAATTAAATTATACAAAGGATTCAGCTCATTGCCTAAAATGTTAAAAAAAATTCAATAAATGTTGTTTCTCCTTCTCTTATTCATTTTTTGAATTCCCAAAGCCTAAAATGTGTTACTAGTAATTTAATGCAAATTAAAATGGCTTGTAATTACATGACTAATTCACATTAACCATAAAGGAATCAGAAAATATACAAAAAAAAAGAAAAGAAAATAGAGAATAACTTGTAACCTCCAAACACCAAGATACTAGTGTATAAATTGATACATATCTTTTGAAACTTTAAAAATGTGCAAATATGGCCAGGCCCAGTGGCTCACACCTATAATCCCAGTGCTTTTGAGAGGCTGAGGCAGGAGGATTGCCTGAGACCAGCAGTTCAAGACCAGCCTGGACAATAATAGCAAGATCCCATCTCTACAAAAAAAATTAAAAATTAGCTAGGCATGGTGGCACACATCTGTAGTCCTAGCTACTCAGGAGGCTGAGGCAGGAGGATCACCAGATCCCATGAGTCAGAGGCGTCAGTGAGCTATGATTGTGCCACTGCACTCTAGCCTGAGTGATAGAGCAAGACCCTGTTTCTATAAAAAGTTTTTAAATACTCATTGTAAAATACTGTACATAGTGCTTTATAATCTGCTTTTTATATGATAATATATGACAAACATCTTTCATTGACCATAAATAGATTTCTCAATATTATCCATTATGGCTACAGAGTAAACCTATACAGGGATGTCTCTACTTACTCAACCAATTCCTTATTTTTGAATACTTAGATCTTTTGCAATTTTTTCACTATTTCCAGGCAATTACTGTGATGACAAGCTTGTAAATCTTTGTTCTTATTCTCAATTAAATTCCTAAGAGTGGAATTGCTAGGATAAAGAAAATGTGAAAATGTTAACACTTTTGAAATACATTGCCTAATTGCTCTCCAGAAAGATGTTACCAAATTATATTCCTCACCTACTCAGGGTATACGGTCATTCTTTGCTTGCCTTTGCCATGGGGAAATGGTATTTAATTGTTATTTTAATTTCCTTTTTTAAAAAATGTAATTTGTATTTAGAAAATGTTGGACTGAATAAATGCACTTCTCTGTCCATCCTGACCCTCACACCAAACCCATCTGCACATTTGCAAGCTTTCCCTTCTAGGATGAGTGGTCATGAAGAGAATATGATCCTAATTTGCATGAAACTGATGGACCCTTGGATTGAGGGGCAGGAGGAGGACCAAACGCATAGGAGAACAAAGACATCTGCAGTGTTGGGAGGAGCTGAAGAAGAGCAGGGCAAATCATAGGATTCCAGGGCTAGCAGAAATGAAGGTCAGGATTATGGGGCCGGGTTTGGAGAAGGAGAGAAGATAGGAAGGGACAAATCCAGTGACCATTCGGAGGGCAACTGGGGTTCTGCTAGGGCTGGGAGCATTATTGGAGACGTCTGGCTAAGTGTGAATCCAGCCCGCATTGGTAGGCAAGTTACAGTTTCCACTCACTCTTGTGTCGGCTCGTTATACAATATTTGTCCCCTAATAATTACTTTTCCTCATCTCCAATTGGTTAGATAATAAAAGTAATAACAATAAACAATTATTGGTGCTATACTCTACATGCATTATCTAATTTGATCCTTACAATAACCTCATGAAGTTTACACTAGCCAATTGTACAGACAAGAAAACAGCCTGAGAGACGTGCATCAACTTGCTCAAGGCCACGTAGCTGGTAAGAAGGGATCCCAGTTGAGAACTCCAGCCTTTTTTCAAAGTAACTGCAATATTTTACAAGGGCTGACATCTTTATCCAACCCATGCATCATACTAGATACTATTTCAAGTTGAAGGCCAAATAGCCATGAGAAAATAGAGGTAAGACTCTAGTAGCAATTCTACATGGAGAATGAGGAAAAGGAGATCAATAATGCTGCCCCTCTCCATACCCAGTCCACTATAGTGACTCATCTAAGGCCCCAATTATTCAAACATCTACTTTGTTAGAAAAACTTAGCACCTACCTCACCAAGCTGGGATGAATTTAATGTACTTGACTCTTTGGAGATTTGACACTCATTTAGGCCCAAAGAACCAATCTATTTCCTGATTCACACATCCTGCCTGTCTTCTCCCCTGTGCAGTCTAATCTAAAATGGGTACTAGGAACTCACTCTTCTCAAGCCCTACTTTACACCTGGCTACCACCCCCAAGGTTCGTGTCTGTGTTCTTTGGGGCTCCTCTAACACAGACCACAAGTGGGGCTTGGCCACATCTCTAGAGTACAGGTACAAACCCAAAGCCTTAAGAAAGAGATGCAGGAGGACCCTCCTATTGGCAGCTCCTGGTGGTTAACTCAGAGCAATCTGTGGCCCCCTTGGATTTTCATGCTATAAAGATTTGGAAGTAGAAGGTGTTACTGAATCTGCAGGGGTTGGTTCCTACTGAGTTCAAAGCCTGAGCTTGACCTGAAAGACTTGTTCCCTCTCCAGCCAATTTGGCCAGGTCACGTGGGGATCCACTGAAGCTATTGTGATTGTTTTTCTATGCCCGTTACGGTATCTCCCCATGACAGCCTCTTCCTGGAAAAGGCCAAGATTAGTGTTTCATTTTGGCCCATTGCAACACAAGCTGCTTCCCAGCAGCTAACGGGAGGGGAGGAAGGATGGAAGAAAACTTGCTTCACTATTTCGCGGCTAAGTTCCACTCCCTTCAGGAGACTTTTCCAGACCACTCATGCCAACAAGTCCTTGGGCTGCATCCCTTCCTGCTCCCCAGCTTCTCTGACCTTTTAGAACATTGCTTGTCTCCATGTACATAATAATGCCTTGTTTGTTCTATCACCAAAATTGGCATGTGAATCCTGTCTTATTTCCTTAACCAAAATGTGCATTTCTGGAGGGCTGGGACTATATTTTAAGATTTTTTTGTATCTTCCCCCAGCTCAGAAGATGACGTTAGGTCCCAGATCACTCTACTTAAAAACTCCAAATGAATCATCTCCTTTCCTCCAACCCGTAGTATTATTTATTTTGTTCAATATATGACCCCCAATAGAAGGTTAGCTTCAGAAATGTAGGGATTTTCACCTGTTTTGCTCACGGATTTTTCTTCAGCATTTAGAGCAGTGCCTAACAGCCTAACATATAGTAAATGCTCAATAAATACATACTGAATTAAAGGATTAATTCAGAAAGATTTATGAAGTGAACCACCAATATCTATGGGAAAATGACCATTTTCCATTTCAGCTTTTCAATGAGTATTTTACATGTTTCTCTTTATGCATTTCAGGATAATTTCTTTAGGCTCCCAAATCAATTTCATTTTTTACTTTATTTCTAGCTCAGAATATCCTAAGATAAAGCATTACTACCAGTAGTTAACTGAGCTTTTACTATGCATCAGTGACTATACATATTCTCATTTAATCAACACCCCCTCCCCTAGGTTGATCTATGAATCGTCTGGAAAGTAAATAACTTTCCTAGTCTCACAAGCAGTAAGTGGCATGGACCCAGGCCATTGATCATCAATCTGCTTTCCTGCCTGAACGGAATCCAGGTTTCTAGGATTCCCCTTGATCTTCCCTCCCTTGCAGTCCTCAGGCCCTAATTAGATGAGATCAGCCTTTTGATGAGAGACCAGGTCTGGAGATGCCCAGGAAGAGTTCAAAGTCCATACTAACAAAAGAACTACCATAGAGTAAGTTTATGGAAGAAAAAGAAAGTAAAACAACAATGTCTGATTGACAAAGTTGCTTCGTTGCTTCATTAGATGCTGATGAGCAATTTTAGCTGTATCATAAACATGAACTGAATGGAGATGACTGCAGATAGAACAGGTTTCAGGGCAGAGGAAGGAGTTAAGTTTTGGTCATCTTGAATTTGAGATGTCACTTCAACACTCAAGAGCAGATGTTCTGTAAACAGTTGTCAATAGTCTGAAGTTCAAGCAAGAGGGCTAGAGATATAAATTGGGGAGTTGACATCATCATGGGAGCTTGTTAAAAGCAAATGCCTCAGGGCTGCCAAACTTACCTCTTGGCTGTCAGGTCCCTAATCCTGATGATTGTGTTAAATGTTTTTGAGAGGCTCGGAAGAGCCATGGAGAGATCTCAGTGTTCCCCAAATTGCTGCAGCTGCAGCATTATGAAGCTCAAGTTTACCACAATGCCCTTCTCATCGGGGTCCCACTGGAACTCCATGAGTGTATGTGTGATCAATTGCAATTGCTCAACGGCTGGAATGGTTGACCTCTGGGATTACCTTTTTCCTGGGCTTCCAGGCTGCCCAAGACCCTTGTAAATAGACACATTCTTTTTAGACAGGTTAAAGCCATACTCCAGACCTGGGATCCAACTTGCTTCTTTTCAGTGACTTTGCATATCTCTAAACTGAAACAAGTGACAAAGATTTCATAGTGTGATGTGAGAATCCTCCAATTTCATTTCTTTTCATACTCTAGGCACAGCATGTACCACTTCACCAACTACTCAGTCAATATGCATCTCACCCCTGCCCCCAGCTGTGAAGATAGAGGCTACAAACAACGAGAGGTGCTGAGGTTGGGGGAGGGACTCACGGAGCATGGCGAGAGCTCAGAGCAATGGACTTGGGGTATCTGAAAAGTACTGACTGAATGAAAAGATTTTTTTAGCAGCATTGTGAACACAGCTGAGGTTGGAAGTCATAAATTTGTTCTGGAACCACTCAACCTGGCTGTGGAATTTTCTATAGCTGAGTTCGACTAGAGAAAATAAATGGTAGGGCTGATTCAGGACTGGGAGATGGCCTGACACTGACAGGTGCGCAGGGAGAGAAAGGTGGGATTCATTGATGAGAATGTAGCTGAAAAAGCTAGTGGGTCCCAGGCTGGGTAAGGAAGGAAGGGAAACCCAGAAGGAACTGATAAACAGTGTCCCATCTCTGCCAGTGAACCAGTGATCACCTCAATAGGATGGAATGTGGGGCAATCCAGGAAAGGCAAGGTCAGAACAATGGAGACCTCCATGCCCGTTCCAGCTCAGTAACCTCAACAGCCCCATCCTCTCCCACAAGCAAGGCAGCTGGGTGCTACACATTCCCCTCTGGCTAAGCCATACCCCACCCATCAGAGATCCCCAAATATCAGGGGCTACTGAAGGCTAAGTGTCCCAGGAATGCATCAGAACCTCCAGCTGAATCTCTCCAATTTCATGTTTTACTAGAATGACACTGGGGTATCTCACAGCATCAAATGAATAACTGAAGAATTAAGCCTCAAGAAAGCAGGAACCAGGAATTCTCCAGAGACCTCAAGCACAAGAACCAGGAACTGAAACACCATTAGAACTGTCTCTTCACCTTCCTTCTGTCCTTTGTTCTGCATGTTACCTTCACTTTCTTTTACTAAAGAAAGTTAAGAACATGGTCTCTGGAACCAGTGCCTGAGATTTGAATCCTAGCTCTGCTCTTCCAACTGAATGACCTTGAGCAAGTTACTTACCCTCTCTGTGCCTCAGTTTTTTTATGGAGATAACACTAGTGCCTACTTTGTATGATTGCTTGAGGAATAAATGATTTTTCTAAAGCACTTGGAAGAATCCCTCCCACACCCCCAGGCTCTGCCTTATCTAAGAGAAGAGTTTGGACAACAAGAGTATTAATCAGCAATCTAGCCTGCGAGGCTGAAGATAATAAACTGAGGTCCCATTCAGGCCAATGGTTGGATCCAATGCCATGGATGGGGTAGGGGGCAGCAGGAGCCATGGTGCTACTCAGGGTCAGGCAGGAGACATATCATTTAGTGAGGAGCAGGGGAACCTATTCCCACATGTGGCATTTATTCTCAGACCCTTACTCTACCATTGCTCCCTTTACTGGCAACAGATGACCTCATCTACTACGTCAAGGCAAAACTAGACATCTTGCCCTCTACCCTACCCCTACATTCTTTCAGAGATGTCTGCTCTGAAGCCCATCCACATTGCCTTTCCTCCCCCTCTGTGAATTATCTGTCCTTTCTGCAGATTATTTAAGAATAATTCCCTCCACTGTCCTTTCATGCCCCCAACGCTCTTCCTCAAGACCATGTCAGCCGTGGTGTTCTTCCCATTCTCCGCATATCTTCCACCCACTCTCCTCATATCTTCCACCTCATCCTCCTCCTGGCTCTTTCCATTAGCATTGAAACAAGCTCGGGTCTCTCCCACCCTAATCACAAATGGCACTCCTTTGACTCCCCTTCCCAGCTAGCAGCTCAAAAAGTTGTCTTCACTCCCTGCCTCCACTTCTGCCCTCCCATTCTCTCCTCAGCCCTATGTTCTCTAGTTCTCATTCTCACTTCTTCTGAGAAGCTGACAAATGCCTGGGCCTCTGCTATATTAGACATCACTGCTATCCCTATTTTGAACACCCTCCTCCCTGAGTTTCTATGGTAACACTCTCTTGGTCATTCCCCTGCCTCTCCAACCGCTCCTTCTCCATGTCTCTTGTATGCTCCTCCATCTTCCTCCACCTACCCTTGAACAATCTATCTTCCCCCAGGTTCCATCCTCTCTTAATCTTACAGTTTCCATAGGTGACCTCAACTACCTTCAACCACCCCCAACATGAGCTAATGATTCTCAAATCTATATCCATTATCTTAGTCCTCCCTCTGAATGTCAGATTATTTATCCAACAGCCTATGTGGCATCTTCACTTGGAGGTCCCCCTGAGGCATTGCAAACTCAGCATGTGGGTGTAGGGGATAGTTCCTGAAGCCATGTCATGTGGAGAATGGCTGAAAACCTAGGAGGTATCTGATCCACAGAGGTGACTCAGATGGATTATGGTAGTAAAGTGGGCCATAGTCTGGGTCAGCTGGGAAAGGTGCTGGAGATATTCTGTGTGTACCCCAAGGGGTGACATGAGGACTAATGATTGGAAAATTGGAAAAGACAGATTTCAGCTGAACCTAAAGAAGACCCTTTGGAAGTCAGAGTAGCTCAAAGGTAAACTTGGGTACCTTGTAAGTTACCTCAGTTATTGACAGCATTCAAGCACCAGGCTTTAAACTCCCTCAATAAGACAGGGCACAGTGGTTCACACCTGTAGTCCCAACACTTTGGGGAGGCCAAGGCGAGAGGATCACATGAGGCCAGGAGTTTGGGACTAGGCTGGGCAACATGGTGAGACACCGTCTCTACAAAAAGAAAAAAAAGAAAAAAAAAATTCCCTCAAACTTCAGGAGTCTGTGATTCTGTAAGAAAGCAAAATGGAGCTTATGCAGATTTGACCAAATACCATGAAACCTGGTACTACTGCTGCTTATTAATTGGGCATTGGTTTGCTGTTGGGGGCCCTGACCCTCTGAAGTGGAAATAACAACAGGGATGTTTTAGGATACCTGAGAGAAGAGAAGAAATTGAATACGTTCTCAAGTGGGAAGGACTGATAGTCAAAGGAAAACTCACCATGGCATGACTTTCTTGGAGGTATTTGTACTTAGTTATATTTGTAAGGAACCTCTCAGTGGATATGGATTTGGCATGACTCGTATTGCAGTAGGGCCTTTGTGCTAAGGTTCTGTTTCAACAAACCTAACGAGATATCCTTTGAGGCAGGGCCCCCTGAATCTGGGTGGAGTAAAATGGCCTGACAACCAGGCTGGGAAGGACTTTTGTGACTGAGTTTACAGATACCTCTGCCTTCTAAGCAGAGGACAGAAGACAAGAATTGCTGTCTGGAAAAGGATAGCTCCCACTTACAGCCAGCTCCATGAACATCTATAAGACAATGTACCCCAACTCTATGACAGCTCCATCCCATCCCATCCCATAATATGTATCATACTTATATTTTCTTGCTTATGTGGCTCCTACAACCTCTGCTTCCTTTCTCCCCATTTAAAACCTTCTTATGAACAGATTTCTCTGACTTGCATCTAGCTTTTTCATACCTGGATTTTCCAGCTTTGTCTAGTCCCTTTGAATTCATGATTTAACTGGATTATTTCCCATAGCATCACTCTTAGACCTAGGACCTATGTTTTAGAGGGTTCTTCTTTGGGGAAATCTATGGTCCCTAAGGGATGTGCCCATCTGGAGTCCAAACTTCCTTCTGGGCCATCTTGCAGGTACCTGGGACCCTGGAATTTCCTATCCAAACAGTCCTGATCCTGATTCCAGGGCCTGGACAAGCATCTTCTCTGGGTCTGGAGAGGGGACCTTGCTGCCTGTGAGTGAACTCCCAGGCCTGAGGGGTGGCTGAGGCCAGTGCACAGGGCTTTTTGAGATGCAAGATGGAGCCAGGGCCAGGAAGAGAAGGGGGAAGACTGGGGGCTGGGATCCTCTGTTTGTACTGCTGCCCTGGCCCTGCTAATCCTAGAGGTTCCAGGTACGAAGATGAATGAGGTCCAGCCCCTGGCCCAAAGGAACATCAAGAACACAAGTAAACTAGGGATCAAAGTTGAACTAAAGATTGTTTCTTTCTTCTATCTAAAGCCTGGAGCCTGGAGAGGCCTTCAATGTGCTGCTCTCTACTCCCTCTGAATGATCTGCACCTCCCCAGCAGGAGGCAACCCCACCTCAAAGTGTTGCCCTCTCAAAATGCTCTCCAGTTCATCAAGACCCCAATCTTACAACTGGGGCTCATCTCAGAAGAGAAGAGGGTAGTAAGAGGGTGCTATCTCTTCCCTCTGTGCCTCAGCTTCTTCATCTGTCAAGCGGAAGTCATATCTGCCCCCTCACTTCTCCAGGATTACTTTGAGGATAAAATTAGAATTGATCACCTGATTGCCCAACATTCAAGGCTATTCTAAGAAACAGCCTCTCAAAGAGAAGTGCAAGAAAGAGCTAATCTGGGGTGACAGACACTGATACTCTGGACTATACATTGAGCTCTAGCCATGCCAAGTTCTTGAGTCAATGCTGGTTTTCCATGTCACCCAGCATGCCTCAGGACTAATGCCCCCAAGTATGTATTCAAGAGATGAAAGAATTTAATCTTAGTCCAAGAAGACTATAACCTGGGAAGACAGATCTCCAGCAAGGGCTAACTCTAGCTGTGGGTAGACAGGCACACTTCTACTCTGTTCATGGAAATGCAAAATGGTACAGGCCTTTGGGAAAGTATTTTGGTAATATTCGTCAAAAGTACACATGCAATTACTCTTTGACCTTGCAAATCCATTTCTGGGAATCCACAGATATACATTCTTATGAGATGACATATGTACAAAGTTAGTTATGACGCCACAGGTTGTAAGAGCAAAAGATTAGAAATAACCCCAGGGTCCATAAATAGAGATTAGTTAAATATACTATGATTCAGCCTTACAACACAATAATTTAAAACAGAACAAGGACACTTTCTATGCACTTATGTGGAAGGATCTCCTTGATATATTGTTTATGTAAAAAATAATGGAAATAAGAATGCATTTTAATATTTTAATTTTTTCTTTCTTTTCTAAAAATATTTTTTATTTCCATAGGTTTTTGGGGAACAGGTGGTATTTGGTTACATGAGTAAGTTCTTTAGTGGTGATTTGTGAGATTTTGGTGCACCCATCACCTGAGCAGTGTACACTGAACCCAACTGGTAGTTTTTTTATCCCTCACCCCCTTCCCACATTTTTATATTTGATTGTATTTTCACAAAGAAACACTAGAAGGGTACAGAAGAAATTAATAAGAGAGGCAGGGCCGGGCGCGGTGGCTCATGCCTGTAATCCCAGCACTTTGGGAGGCCGAGGTGGGTGGATCACCTGAGGTCAGGAGTTTGAGACCAGCCTGGCCAACATGATGAAACCCCGTCTCTACTAAAAGTGCAAAAAAATTAGCTGGGCATGGTGGCAGGCACCTGTAGTCCCAGCTACTTGGGAGACTGAGGCATGAGGATCGCTTGAACCTGGGCGGTGGAGGTTGCAGTAAGCCAAGATCATACCACTGCACTCCAGCCTGGGCGAAAGAGTGAGACTCCGTCTCAATTAAAAAAAAAAAAAAAAAAAAAAAAGAGGCAGGAGAGATGTTTTTCAGTATACAAACTTTTATATATATATTTTTAATCATGAATATTTTAACTTTGCAAAAAAGAAATTAATAAAGATTTTTTCAAAATCACTTCAGAATGCCTTCTAAATGGGCAAAGAGTGCTGAACTAGGTGGCAGAGGTTCAGATTTGATTTTAGGTGGGGCCCTGGCTTCCCTGAATTTGCTCAGCTGTGAGACTAGGGTGGCCCTGTATGCTCTCAGTCCCTTACAGCCTTGCTCTTCTATAAATAAGGTATTTTCCTGGATCGCACCCTGTGTTGTATTACCACTCCCTTCTGTGCCCTTTCGTTGTACAGACAGTATCAAGTTTAATGAGTATGTTTGACACCAACTTCGGGAGAATTCCCAGCATCTCACAATTCATATCTGGTTACTTCCTGCTCTTGGATTATATTTGTCAATCGTCCATGCCATGTACTTCTCTCTTAGGCTTTATTCAGAGGCTTTTAAATTTGCACTTTAACTTGGATTAGTCCTTTTAGAAAGCAATTTGGTCATATAAAAGGTAACTCATTTACTCTTTTGAAAGAGTTTAATACAGCGTCCTGTTTCTTGGGGAATTACCCTCTATATGACAAAGTCCAGTTGTTTTATTCATTGATTTGGATTTACTTCTGTTGAGGGTTGTAGGGATGAGGGAGTAGGGATAACAGAAATCCATGGGTAGAGGATATGGAAAACAAGGTGAGCCAACTGCTCTGCTACATTTGGAGAGAAAAAGGCAAGGCTGAGGACGACAAAAGTCCAGACAGGGGAGTGCTCTGTGCAGAAAAGAAGCACTGTTGTGCTCTGAGGTTGTGCAAAGGAGATCATTGTGTGAGAAGCATGGAGACAGAGCCTGAAGGTTCAAGGAGGATAGAGGAGCTCTACGAGTATAAGACACCAGCTCTGCAATTGAGTCTGCTCCCAGCTACACGGGAGGCAACTCGACTCACATCTGGCTGAGTGTCTGATGCTGTTGTGGACAGTGTTGCTATAACCTGCTGAGACACGCAGAGATCCCAGCACAACAATTTTCCTCTTTTTATTCCTTAAAAACCATTTTAGTTCAAAAACAAAATTTCAAATAATAAAAAAAATTCTCCTCCCAGCTATCACAGTCCTCAGTATCTACTAAAAGGAGTTGAAAACATATCCACAAAAACACCTGCACATGTATGTTTATAACAGCTTCATTCATAATTGCCAAAACCTGGAAGCAACCAAGATGTCCTTTAGGAGGCGAGTGGATAAATAAACTGCAGCACATCCAGACAATAGAATATTATTCAGCACTAAAAAGAAACAGGCTACATTAACCAGTCAATGTACATATTGCTTGGCAAGACTAAGCTTCAGCTTGTCCAGCATAAGTCTTGACTTACACTTCTGTATTCCCTACAGCAACTAGCCTCATGCTTTCCACCTGAAAGATGTTCCACAAGTGTTTGTTAATTTTACCTGATTGGCATCAAAATGAAGATAGCAACACAGAGCTGTTATTTAAAAGAATAAGCCAGAAGCTGAATGGTATTGTTTTTAACTATTAGGACATGTCACCACGCATCAGTCTTTCCCAACTCATTGTTAGCTGGGAATGACTGGGAATAGGAACGCTGGGGGAAAAATCCTGGATGGGTGTGGCTAATAAAGAGGATATGGCTGTGGAGCAGATAGACTTGGCTTCAAACTCTGCATTTACTACTTCCTAGCTGGGGACCTTGAGCAAACTGAGCTCTGGGTTCCTCATTTTGTAAAAAGAGTTCAAAAGGGCTCTTGGTGTGGTTGAAATGAGAGTTCGAAATAATATACTCAGAGCACCTGCCAAGGTGTCTGGCCCCAAGCTGCTCAATGTCTAACAATGATTTCATCACCTTCCTTGCTTCCATCATGTGCTGGAAAATCTAAGTGCATTAAAAAAAATGAGAGACTGAAGGATGTGAATCGCTATGAGAAAGCATGAATATCAAGAAGAAAGCATAAAAGGTATGAAAGAAGCACGCACACACACATGCACACACACGTGCAGCAATTCCAGGCTCAACTGTCTTGTCTGCAGATGTTTTATCAAACATAGGAATATATTATAGCCAAGTTGTCTAAACTCTGTTTACCTGAGTCTATCAGAGTTTATCTGTTAGTAATCTATCTCTAAAAGGCTGAAAGCTTCCTGGTTCATTCTAACACAGCAGTCCCGTTTCTGAGAATTTACTTTAAAGTATATCCACACACCTACAAAATAATGGATTTATGGGGTTGCTTACTGCAGCAGAAGACTGGAAACACCTCAAATATCTATCACTACTGGGAACTGGTTGAATAAACAAACTATGACACAACCACACAAAGGAACACTGTAGCAATAAAAAAAAAATGAGGAAACACCCTATGAACTGATAGAGGACAATTTCCTTGATTTACAGTTAAAAAGAGCAGGTATAGCACAGGTTATAAAGCATGCTACCTTTTCTGAAATATTTTCAAGGCAACAACTTCACCTTCCCGATCTGCAAAACCACTAACACAGGGATGATCTTAGGAACCAACGTGGCTTCAGCACTAGGACATTCACAGGCTAAAGGAGAAAAACTATACCATCATCTTACTGGCTGCTTATGAAGATATTTGACATAATTCAACATCCATCCTATCCTCTTAAAAGAAAAATATAAAACCCTGTTAGTGTTAGAGGTAATGCAAAGACTCCCTCTGTATTACAAACCTATTAGAAACCAAGAGGAAGTGTGAAAAACAATGGTGAAATACTAAAGGCACTGCTATAAAATCAGGTTCAAGTCAAGAATGAGTTCTGTCTGGGCCAGTTCTGGAAGTTCCAGCCAACATGCTGAAATAAGAAAGAGAAGAAAGAAACAAATGTATTATTTTCAAATGATGTGATGTTAATCAATGGAAGGTTAGTTAAAATAAGAAATATCAAGCAACAGAATCCTATGCAGGATGATGATATAGAATAACATTTTATTGTGGAAAAGTACCCAAGATATAGTATCAAATGGAAGAAGCAGTTTACAAAATAGTATCATACTATGTTTATTGAAAATATCTATTTATATCCCTATGTTGAATATATACATAGAGAAAAGTCTGAAAGGAAATCCACCAAAATATATTTACAGATTGTATCTCTGGCCTATGGGTTTTGAAGTGATTCTTATTTTTATTTACTTTTCAGCATGTCCTAAATGCTTTATTACGAGCATATGTATGTAATTGTTTAGATAAATTTCTTTCACCCACAAATAAACACACTCGTGTGTGCACATGCAAAACTCATTTCAAGGTCAGTGAGATGAGCTGCATTTCTCTTAAAGTGGCTAGTGTTTGTGACCTAAGGCCACTTTCCAACTCACTCCCACCTTTGTGAAAAACCAAGCTGGTCTGCTCTGCCTGGTCCCTGCCCCTCTGAACAGAAGCCTCAGATCTGTGGGCTCCAAAAAAGCTTACTCTGGGTTTGATTTCCCAGGTGACCATGGCCCCTGTCCTCAGTACTCATACCCAGTCCTAGCCCTATCCTAGCTGTTTGCAAAGAACTCCCAGCCCTCTGAAGCCTGCCCACCTTGCCTGAGTGAAGAGGGCTCCTCCTTGCCACACATCCAACAGAAGCCTTTGCCTCCCCAGTGGGTGAATTTGGAGATCCCTGTGGCAGTCTGAAGCCTCCAAATGCCAGGCTTCTCAGCCCCACAATGGGGCTGAAGGTCATAGGCAGAGCATACCAGGTCCTGTCACCTCATCCCCGGTCTCTTGGGACCTTAAATGTCCCCCATATGTGTTTCCTCCCTTGGGTCCCTGCCTTGTATTTCAGACAGCTAGTTGGGTGGATTCTGCTACCTCGTTTCTGTTGGCCACATTTCATGAACTCTGTGTCTGCCTTTCCCCACCTCATCTTAGGCACATTGCCTGGCACAAGCTGCTGGTATGTGTGGTGCATCTGATCCTTACTTATTCTCCACCCTGCACCCTGAAGTTGTGAGAAGGCCACTCCTAGGTCTCAATTCCTCTGGGGAGAGGACTGGATTTGTTATCTTCCTGCGTCAACTTGAGTCATAATCCAGCAGTCTGCCCCTAGAGCCTGGTACTTCTTTTGCCTGGTACTTGCCCCACACCCCACCAGCTTCCCTCCTGGCCCAGTGCCCACCACACCATCGGAGGGTGGTCAGGCCTGCTCCGTAAGGCTGGACACTGTTACCCCCGACAGGAGCATTCCAATGGCTGCAGCAATGGAGTGACCGAGCCATATATACGTCCAGCATGACTCAGTAGACTGAGATCAAAGCTGGCCTTGATCATCTTGGGACTCTGAAAAATATTGGCATAATCATCCCTCATCTATCCAGAACCAGCTTCCTATCAGTCAGTGTCTCCTTTCCATAATTTAGTTATGAACCAGGAATTAATGCACCAATACAAATGCCTTCAAATAGAGTTACTTTGAACCTGGGAAAACTTTACATTATGCTCATTTCTACCTAGCTTGGTTATTTGATTTCTAACTCCAAAACGTTTTAGGAAAAGCAAACTAGGAAAAGGGAAAGCAGCAGCTATGTGGCAGTCCTCAGGAAATGATTGCCTGATAATTGATAACATGCAAGGTTTGGAAAAGTACGAGACCTCCAAAAGAGGGAGCAAACAGTCCTTTGCATCTGATATTACCACTCAGCACAAAACCTCATGTTTATAACGTAACCCCAAGTCACACACATGCAAACATGAGTCACCTTCAGCATGCTCCCCGAGGATGCCTAGGTGTTTCCGAACAACTCCCAGACCTCTGAAGGCTGCACACCTTGTCCAAAGTTGAGAGGGCTCCCCCATGTAATGCATCTCTGAAAGCTTTTGCATAATCACAGTACGTGAGCAGCATGGTCAGTTCTCATAATTTGTACTGCAGTTCTCAGAGACTGATGGGAATGTATTTTTACGGTTGACATATTTACAACAGTAAATATATATTCATATATTTAAAGCACAAATCGTGCTTTATTTGCTGCCTATATCCTTGTTTCTTGAATTAGCTAATGGAGGGGAAAGAAACCTTGACCAATTAATTGTTAATGACTTCAGTTTTCTAATGAACTTCGCCTTCCTCATCTCTAAAATGAAGCCAATAATACCTGCCTGAAGCACTTTGGATGACCACGAAAATCTAATAGGATGGCTATGTGAAAGTTCTACAGAAAGGAATAAAGAATGTGTAGTAATTTCCCTTATCTAGATTGGATCATGGATCTAAATTACAGAAGGAAGGAAAACTACAAGTACACATTACTCAAAGGTTAGAGATTAGGCAAATCTTGAAGACAGATAATTGACAGAATTGGGCACAGCTCAGAAGGGACTTCCACCAGCATTAGCAACAGGCTATTCTTGGGGAAAAAGCGACACCTACTGCATCTAACTATACTGCAATGGACCCAGAAAACCAAAAGTCTTCAAACTTGTGTTCAATGTTAGTCGGGCACGAGATCCCTACTTCACTATTGCAAAAATAAAAAATTAGAAATAGTCATATTGTATTTCTCCGGAAAAATCACAATCTCCTTTCATTTAAAAATAACTGTTGTTTTTCATATTCAAGTGTAATGCATATTAGTTATAGATATTTAAAGAACATAAATATCCTCTAATAACATCATTATCAAACGTCTTAGTGCTGCTGCCACTGCCATCTTCATTTCTCTTCATTCTTCCATTTTTTTCCTTCACTTATTCTCCTTCCCCACCTCTTCATCGTCCTCCTCCTTCTATCTCAATTCATGCACATTGTAAAAAATAAATAAATAAATAAGACAGTAAATCAAAAGTAAAACCCCTCATCAGGGGTGACCATTGCTAACAGTTTGTTGTGTGCTATGCCACACAATTTTATAACAGTGGAAATACATTATCTATTACAAATGATTGTAAGATAGTACTGGTTGTCATTGCTGTCCAGCCAAAGATCACTGGGAACACACCTGTAGTCAAGCAAGTTGGGGTTATTACTCTTTGCTGCGGGGGAGAATGCATGGCATGGGGAACCGTGGGGTGTTTCAGTAAGAGGGTGTTAGAAAGAACTTATTATGGGACTCAGGCTTGTGCTAGGGGGTTTGCAGAAGGGTTTAAGGAAGCAGGGTAATTCTGTGCGTGGGTATCTTAATAACTCTCATCCGGAAGGAGGGAAGACTGCTGCAAGGCTAAAGCCAGTGAAGAACTGGTAAAGAAGCACCAGTCATTCCTATTAGCCAGGACAGGAGGCTGCTCGGTCATTTTGTGGTCTGGACAATGTACCTGTTTTGCCTGTGTTGAGACATGATTATAGAGTGATCTCATTTTTTTCTTCATCATTGGCACTGAGTGTCCTTGTCTGATGTTGGTGTTCTATGAAATCCTTTATGTTCAATAGGAAAACACTGAGGCCTGGCTATGAGTGCCAGGCCAGCTCCTGTCTGTCAGGAAACACTTTTCTCTTTCTTATTGTTTCCTCCTTTTTTGCTTAACAATGTGGACATTTTTTCAGGTCAATACTGAAGCTTATTTAACCAAATTTCACTTGTTGAATAATTGATTTTTTTCCCAACATTTTAGGCTTATAATTATTATAAAAATAAAAATCTTTAGAAGTATGTCTTTGCACACTTATACTGCTATTTCCTTAAAATAAATTTCTAAAAGTGTAATTACTGGATCAAATGATATATACACTTTAAAGTTTTCAATAGATATTACCAGAATGCCCTCCATAGAGTGTGTACTAATTTCATTTCCAACAATAGTATAGAATGCCCACTCTCCACAAATCCTTGTTTGGGGAGCACACAAGGTCACCAACCTTTTTTTCTTGTTTTTTCTGGTTCCATAGACAGAAAAACATCTTATTTTAAAGTGTTTTATTATGTAAAATTTGATATACACAAAAGACAAAATGAGGCATGTATATGTCTCACTAGACTACACTACATTAGACTGTCTCAGTAGCTTCAGGGGAGTCTGGTTAGGTGGTACAAATGCTTTGATTGGCATCCCAAACCTGTTTCTCAAGCTGCTAGTTAAGAAGAGAGGTCAGTAGAATGAGGTATCTTTGGGTTCCTCAGATTTGGAACACACCTTAACAATAGCGCCTTTCAAAGTGTGTTGCTGTCTGCTTACTCATCTGCCTATCCTTGAATTATGAGCTTTAAGGGGACAGGGACTATGTCTTATTCACTTTTGTGTCTCCAGAATCTAGCCCAGAACCTGACCTAAATAGACCTAAATTAATATTTAATGAACACCCCCCAATCTATTTTTTTAAATCAATTGATACATAAGTAGTTGGGGGTGATAAATTAGCTATAGATTTTCTATGTAAGAAACATACTTATACATAAAATTCAATTTGTCCAACTACTCCGTTGGAATAATTCCTACAGATTGGAACTGCCAGGGCAAAGTACATACAAGATCTAAATTTTGAGTAAATTTCCCAAAACTGGAGTAAATTTTCCCAGTGTTTAAGAGTTCCCTATTTCCTAAAATTCTATACAAATGTTAGATTTCTGTATTTGTGATCATTGATAATGTAATATTACAAAGAAACTGCTTTTTCATCTATTAATGTTAAGCTACATCATCTTCATATCACCTTATTAATCATGTGTATTATTTCATTTTCCTGTTTCTTTTATTTTCATTTCCCTTGTAATGTTAGCCTGTTACTGATTTCTAAAAGCTCATTTATGATTAAGAATGTTAACATTTTTTCAAGTATTGCAAATGAAATACCATGTTTTTCTCATTTATTTTAATGTGGTGTTTTAATTTTTGGTTGTACAGAAGTTACGTATTGAAATATGATCATGTTCTGTTTTATATATATGAAATGAACAATGAGTGAAGGAGGAAACACCACTCCACTCTAGGAAGGCAAGACCCAGTTCTCGGAAGTTGATCTGTAATGGGCACTATTTGGGTACTTTGTACACTGCAGGGGTTCTGAGCACAAGCTTTGGAATCCGAGAGACCTGGGTTTTAGTCACAACTCAGCTACAAACTAACTGTATGACCTGAGCAAGTTATTTCTCCTTCGAGCCTCAGTTTCACTGGCCGACAATGTGGCTAACACCACCAGTCTTTCTGAGATTGAGTTTGATGTAAAAAATGTTTAGCTCAATGCCCACATCATATCTAGTAGATGATTATATTTTAGGGCATTATTATTATTATTAAGGGCAACTATGATTAGGGAATTTATGCTTGCAAAGTGGTGTTGTGCCTTCCAGGGATACTTTGATTCTTTCACTCTGAAAGAAAGAGCAGAGAGGACCTACCTGTGGACAACCAGACACAAATTAGGGCCCAAAGCAAAGAAGGGTCCAGGATGGAGTTCGGAACACAGACAGGGAGAGGTCATTTGAGGTCTAGGAGAAGGACACCCTAAAGCTATCCCTTGAAAACCATGAGTCTATGAGCAGAGGATCCCAGGGGCTGCCACTTGGTACTGCAGAACCACAGGAGCTGGGAGCTAAGTGGCCTCCTACAGGAGTACTGACCAGTGGATGGTGTTGGCCTCTCAGCAGGACCTGCGTTCTTTCCATTACCCAGTGGGTCAGCTCGGCAATGGCCATATTCATTCACTCAATAAATATTGAGCATCTACTATGTGTCAGGCACTGTTCACTGTTCTAAGCACTGGGGATACAACAGTGAACAAAAAAGCCATAGTTCAGGCTTTCATGGAGTTTGCAATCTAACAAGAAGGAAAATAATTAAACTAAGCAAACAAGAAAATACAAATTGATGATATGCTATGCTGAGAATTAAAATAGGAGGATGTGATAGGAAGTAACTGGGAGCTACTTTATACAGAGTAATCAGGGTGGGCCTCTTTATGGAGGCAATGTTTAAGATAAAGCCTGACTGACCAGAAGGACTTGCAAAGATCAGGGGAAACAACTAGTTCTCCCTAGTTGGGAACAAGCTTGGTGTATCTAGAAAGCTGAATGAAGGTTGGTGTGGCTGTTGCTCCTGAGTGAGGGGAAAGTAAAAATAGTTTAGATAGATGGACAGAGGTCCTAACATGTGAGGCTCTGTAAATCAGAACAGAGGATTTGGATTTCATTCTAATTGTAACGGGAAGTGATAGGAAGGTTTTCATTTGGAAGGAACAACATTATCTTTAGTTTTCTTTTCTTCTTTTTTTTTTAAATTATACTTTAAGTTCTAGGGTGCATGTTGGTTTGCTGCACCCATCAACTCATCATTTTTACATTAGGTATTTCTCCTAATGTTATTCCACCCTCAGCCCCCCACCCTCCAACAGGCCCCAGTGTGTGATGTTCCCCGCCCTGTGTCCATGTGTTGTCATTGTTCAACTCCCATTTATGAGTGAGAACATGCAGTGTTTGGTTTTCTGTCCTTGTGATAGTTTGCTCAGAATGATGGTTTCCAGCTTCATCCAGATCTCTGCAAAGGACATGAATTCATTCTTTTTACGGCTGCATAGTATTCCATGGTGTATATGTGCCACATTTTCTTAATCCAGTCTATCACTGATGGACATTTGGGTTGGTTCCAAGTCTTTGCTATTGTGAATAGTGCCACAATAAACATACGTGTGCACGTGTCTTTATAGTAGCATGATTTATAATCCTTTGGGTATATACCCAGTAATGGGATGGCTGGGTCAAATGGTACTTCTAATTCTAGATCCTTGAGGAATCCCCACACTGTCCTCCACAATGGTGGAACTAATTTACACTACCACTAACACTGTAAAAGTGTTCCTATTTCTTGGCCGGGCATGGTGGCTCACGCCTGTAATCCCAGCACTTTGGGAGGCCGAGGCGGGCAGATCACGAGGTCAGGAGATTGAGACCATCCTGACTAACACGGTGAAACCCCGTCTCTACTAAAAATACAAAAAATTAGCCGGGCGTGGTGGTAGGCGCCTGTAGTCCCAGCTACTCGGGAGGCTAAGCCAGGAGAATGGTGTGAACCCGGAAGGCAGAGTTTGCAGTGAGCTGAGATCACGCCACTGCACTCCTGCCTGGGTGACACAGCAAGACTCTGTCTCAAAAAAAAAAAAGAAAAAAAAAGCATTCCTATTTCTCCACATCCTCTCCAGCATCTGTTGTTTCCTGACTTTTTAATGATCGCCATTCTAATTGGCGTGAGATGGTATCTCATTGTGGTTTTGATTTGCATTTCTCTGATGACCAGTAATGATGAGCATTTTTTCCTGTGTCTGTTGGCTGCATAAATGTCTTCTTTTGAGAAGGGTCTGTTCATATCCTTTGCTCACTTTTTGATGGGGTTATTTTTTTCTTGTAGATTTGTTTAAGTTCTTTGTAGATCCTGGATATTCGCCCTTTGTCAGATGGATAGGTTGCAAAAATTTTCTCCGATCTTATTTAGTTTTCAAAGGTCACTGTCTATATCTAACTCTAAGACAGCTATAGTAAATTACAGTAATTGTGGTTTTTATTTGCCCAGCCAACTTAACCATGTCCCTCGTTCTGACAATTTAATCCTGTCCTCCCTGGGCATGGACTTGACTCAGGCCTGACCAATCATAGTATCCCATTTCCTAGGACACAGTCATTGGTTCAGTGTGGGCATGTGATCTAAGCTGAGCCAATCAGACTCCTTCCCTGGGATTCCCGGATTGGAGCTAAAGAAGAAGTCTTGTCTCTACCCTACAGAGCTGAGAGAAGGTGAAGGAAAGATGGCAACCATCTTTCCTAGTTCTAGGAATATGTCCATTTCCAGCAAGCAGAACATGCAGAGATGACAGACTAATGGAAGAAAAATAATCCTGGTGGCATTAACACTGATTCCAGTGACTAAGGCCTCAGTTCCTGAGGCCCTTCTTGCAATCCTGGGGAATAACTACTCCTTATCTTTCCTACTAAGTGAGACACTAAGTTTCTCTTTTTACTGAACCCTGTCACCATGAGTCCTCTCTAATTCAACAGCCCTTCTTACCCAGGTATTTTTTAAAATATCCAGTCGCCATTTCTCTAAGAGGAAATTCACTGTACTCCATGGAGACAGAAGAAAGGAGAGGAAGTAGCAGGTGCTCAATAGGAGGGATGAGTGAGATTATGAGTGCAAAGATTTAGTATATGTTTCCCTTCAAAAAAGAAACAAAGAGGACATCAGCAGCTCTTGGTCCTAGCAAAAGGGTCTGAGGCCATAATTTTTGGTTTTGTTTTTGTTTGAGACAAGGTCTCGCTCTGTCACCCATGCTGGAGTGCAGTGGCACGATCATGGCTCACTTCAGCCTCCACCTCCCAGGCTCACAGGCTTAATCCATCCTCTCGCCTCAGCCTCCTAAAGTAGCTGGGACTACAGGCATGCGCCACCATCCCGAGCTAACTTTTGTATTTTTTGAGAGACAGGATTCCGTCATTTTGCCCTGGCTGCTCTGGAACTCCTGGGCTCAAGTGATCTGCCTGCCTTGGCCTCCCAAAGTGCTGGGATTACAAATGTGAGCCACCGCGCTGACCCTGTGGCCATACTTTAGGCACAAATGCTTAGTACTGTGGTCTGAGCACAAGGCTATCATAGCCCTTCTCCATCTGCTTGAACTTGCAAAGTCACGTGGCTTGCTTTGATCATTGAAATGTGATCATGCATGTTACTTCTAGACAAAAACTTTAGGTGCCTACCTATGGTTAGCCAAGTTCCCTTTTCCTTTCTCTACAATCATGGAAGCTTATGTCAAGATGGAGCCTCCCTGAGCCTTGGTTCCTGAGTGACTACTAAGGATAGACATACGGCATGAGTAACAAATGTTTTAAGCCACTAAAAGTGTGGGGTTGTTATCGCATCATAGCAAAGCCTGCCCTGGCTAGTAACACAATAAATACCCAAAGTAGAATAAGAACTTACCTAGCAAAGATCTTAATGACAGCTGTATTACAAACCTTTGTAGAGGTAGCATGTGGACAGCTTATTTTGTTGACTGGAATCCTGTAGGTTCATATTCCCTTTTTTCCAAGGACGTTTACCTAGGAATTACAAGGCAATCTCAATCTATGATGACCTATATTATTATGATGAAACCATAGGCTTTGTCTGGTTAAAAAAAAAAAAAAAAAGTTAATTTGGTGGATATGTGTGGGGAGAAGTTGCATTAGGGGGATGACTCCTGCAAAAGGTTGGAGGGAAGTCCTCTTTCTTCATTTTGAGCACTTGGTGCTCACTCAACTCCACCCCATTTACAGCTACTCTGCTCTATCTATAGGTAGGTTCATCACGCATATGCTCCAGACAGATCGTTTTAGAAATGCTGATATTAGTATAGTGGGCAGGAATTTTTCTCCACAAACTCATAGGTACAAAAACTATTTCTATTTATTTATTTAATCAAGTTAACCCGATTCTAAGCATCCAGTCATCTGATGAGATATTTGATCTCAGCCATCTTCAGGGTGGTCATCCCTCTCCCAAGAATTCCACATGAATCCAGGGGGCTCATGTGGCTCCCAGCAAAGGGCAGAAAATCCTCTGGTTCTTATGACTGCCGCTGAGAAGCTCCTCATCCAAGCCCATACAGAGGGTGAGCAGCTCCCTCCTTCCACACCAAGCATGGGGACCCTTTCTCACAATCCTCTATGCCACAGCTGTCTCCAGCAAACACACATTCCATCCCAGCAGAGGTCTGTCACATCTGAGGAAGTGGCATGGAAGCAGGGCATAGGTCTACATCACTCAAAAGAAAAAACTCCCATCCCCGTCCTCACCTCGGGGAAAGCCACTTCTGCCTTCTCTCTTCTTATGGAGGAAGGAATTGGAGCTTACGTATCAAACACACTTAAGTGTGTCTTGAGAGTGCTGAGGATGGGTGGCACGTCCTCGTGTTTTGGGCTGGCATAAAGTTCAGATGAACCCATGTGAGGTGATTAGTGGCCCTTACTTGACAGACATGCAACGTGCCTAATGAAGGCCTGAGGCCTCAGCCTCCCTGACTAGACAGGTCCAATCATCCTTCTCAATCATTAATCTTCAGAGAATCCCTGCTGTCTTACAAATGTACCCAGGTTTGTTTTAATAAGGTATAATAAGACACATAGACACAGAAATGACTGTCATCGAGAAAGCTGATACTCACAGGTCCCTAGAAACAGGAGGCAAAGCACACTATACAGGGGCCACATGGGGAAGCACCAGGGTCAGTTGGGATGCAGAGGGAGCAGGGAAAACGTGGGCAAGAGTGCTTATTGTGGTTTCCATTGGAAGGAATGACTGAGGCAGGGTAGGCAGACTTAGGATTGGCTAGTTTGAGTAATTTCAGCAGGCTTTGGGGTAAAGAGGCCATCCCTAGTTGTCTGGTGCCTGGCCCTAGGTGATTAGAGCAGGCAGATAGTGGCCCAGAGTATAAGAGCCCTGGTCTCTCTCCTCCTTGAAAAACTCTTCTCTCCCACTCCCCACAGGAAGCCCAGTCCCCTTTGACATCTCCCCACCTTCCTCCCTCCCCCAAAGAGGAACTAGGCCACAACCTCAAGTGAGTGGGGTTGAAAGATAGGCTGAGGGTAAACCAAAGAACACACAGCCTTCCTCCATTCTATACAAAGGGATCTCAGGCCACTAAGGTCAGACAGGTCTGAGGATTACAAAAATCATAGATCTGCCTCCTAAAACCTAGAAACCAGCAGCTATGAGCTGTCCAGAGGTGACCCAGAACAGGATATCTGTGAAACAATGACTGTCCTTTACTGAGTGAGGCTTAATATGATTGCGAGTGTCATGGTTATCTTTTTTTTTTTTTTTTGAGACGGAGTTTTGCTCTGTTGCCCAGGCTGGAGTGCAGTGGCGTGATCTTGGCTCACTGCAAACTCCACCTCCCGGGTTCACGCCATTCTCCTGCCTCAGCCTCCCGAGTAGCTGGGACTACAGGCCCCCGCCACCACGCCCGGCTAATTTTTTGTATTTTTAGTAGAGACGGGGTTTCACCGTGTTAGCCAGAATGGTCTCGATCTCCTGACCTTGTGATCCACCTGCCTTGGCCTCCCAAAGTGCTGGGATTACAGGCGTAAGCCACCATGCCCAGCCTACGAATGTCATGGTTATCATATAGTTAAGCTATATGGTTATGGATAGTAAGCCCATTTTTGCAATAACAACATCTATTGGTACAGACAGGTCTTTATTGTTGACATATTTTCTCATTTAATCCTTGAAGCAACCCTGAGGTAGGTTTTATTATCCCCACTTCGCAGATGAGTAAACTGATGTCCCTAGGTTAGGTTACTTGCCGAAGATCACACATTTACTAGTGGCAAAGCCACTGATAATTCCAAACCCAAGGGGACTCTTTTGAGTAGTTCACAGGCTGCTGCCAAGGAAAGTAGAGCAGAAAACTTCAAAGGGGAAGGACTGGATCATTGACTGGAGCTTGAGGGGCTCAAGCACCAGGGATGAACGAGGCACATTCACAGGCCAAGACCAGGACTCAGCAGGAGAAGCCTAGAGCCATGTGCGAGTGGTCAAGCAGGAAGAGGTCTTGACGTTTGGTAAGAGCTGACAATGTCATCAAATACACATAGAGCTCAGCTTCCAGGGACTGGAGAAACAAGAAGGCCTCCAGCAGCTACCAGTCCAGGGACTGGCCACAGTCAGTCAGACTCAAAGAGAACTGAGAGGCCACAACAGTCTTCCAGACCCAGCAACCTTTGGCATCTCAGTGGTAACTCCATTCCAGCAAATCACCCTGTTCCAGGCAGGGCAAGTCCAGGGAGAGCTGCCACAGAGTGATGCCATCCTAACTTGGCCTCAGTGCAGTAACCTCAGGGCAGTGGTCCTTTAACTTTGTTAAGGCCTTGAAAATCTGACAAAAGCCATAAAACCTCCCCACAGAGACATACAGACACACATGTACAAACAACATTTTGCATACAATTTCAGGGAGTCCATGGACCCCAGGTAGGGGGGACTCCTGCTTTAGGGCAAGGGTGTCACCCTGAGTAGTCACTGATTGCAAACGTATCTTTATACTGCTCGTATATCCTATGACTGTTCCCCTTCTGTTGTTCCCTAATCATTAGAATGTTGTTGATTTTTAATGGGAGCCAAGGAAATGGGGTACAGCCTACACTCCAGCCAGAGAAAGCAGCTGTGACATGGCAGTGGTGGCAGCCAGGGGGTAAAAACAAAGAAAAGGATGGGGTCATGTGTACTGCTGCCCTTCCCACCCGGAAGGTCACTTTAGGAGCTTTTCTCTACTCAAATTTAGAGTAAGGTTGTGGGGCAATGGGGAGAGGGGCAGTGTTTCAGTTCCTTTTAGAAAGGAACGCCATTCCCTCTATGGCTACAGGGTCTAAAGTTCTGCAGGCAACGCCCCCATTCCAATTGTCTCCCTCCCCATCCCTCATAAATATTCCTAAGCATCGGCCCAGTCATTCATGCACATGTGGCCAGGTCTCTTATGAACACTATGTATTTACACGTACTCTTTCATGGAAGGAAAACTGAGATGGGGAAGATCTCAGGGCAGAGACTCCATATTGCAACATGGGGATCATGCACTCCCCACAGATTCAGATAAACTTGAAGAATAAGCAGAACCACCCCAAGGACTCAGGGCACATTTGCCCCCAACCACCTCCAGGGCTCTTCCTTCCGGCCAGGCTCCAACCAGAAAGCAAAGTCATAGCTATGCCCTGTGCCCCATCCCCAAAACTAATGGGCCCAAGATAGGGGGCCAGGGATGAAGGTTTACAGGAGTTCAGATGTTAGGGGGAAGCCCTGATTTGCTGCAGAAAGCAGTTCTGATTTCTCATGGGAATCAGGAATCAGGCAAAGGTCTGGCCCCAAGCCCATCCAGGCTCAGAGAGAACAGATACTAAAATCCAAGTAATCACTCATACTCAAAGAGAACTCAGAGGCTGGGATGGTCTTCCAGGCCCAGTGACCCCCAGCATCTCAGTGGTCACTCCGTTCCAGTGATCACTTATACACTAGTGGTCATTTGCCCAGCTCTAGATGGATGTTTCATCACATGTGGCTAGAGGAGCCCCAGTTAGCCGAATGTGGGCTGGGCTTGGGCAAGGATCAAGCAGGAAGGGTGGTGAGAATCCACCAAAGCCACTGCCCCTCTTGGCCAGGGCCAGCGGCAACCGCTCATCTTCAGGAGAGGGGGAGGGAGGGTCTTGGCTGTAGCTTGTGGTCCCAGAAGGTGGAGCCCCCAGGTCCAGGCCCACCTTGTCTCTAGCCAGAAGTTCCCTCTGTCGCCGTCGCTGCTGACGCCGACCAATCAGAATGAGAGTCAGGGATGCTGCGAGAATCCCCAAGAAGAAGCCAGCCAGTCCCGCCCCCACTGTGTGGGCCCGGCTCGGAGCATCTCGCTGGCTGCCCCATACCAAGCTGTAAGCTGCTACCACATGGGCTGCCCCACCCTCCTGACATTCACAGGCATAAGCGCCCATGGCCCCTGGGGTCACCACCACCTCCAGTCCATCCCGCCGGGGGGTGAGTGCAGTCACTCCACTGGGCTGGTGCCACACACAGGATGCCCATGCTGAGCTTGGAGAACATGGCAAGACCACATGCGCAGCTGTAGCCACGGGAACTTCAAACACTACTGGACGTTCTGTGAGAAACAGCAAAGGCACAAAAGGAGGTGAGGCTAAAGGCTGGAGGTGTGATGAAGAAAAGTGTGGGGTGATGTCGGACATGAAAAGGGGCTATGGAGACTAAGCTAAAAAGGGGATTCCTAAAGAGGCTAAGGCCCGAGGTTCCTGGCTGCCACATCTTCCAGGATCCAAGGTTTAGAATCGTTCCAAAATGAACAACTCTCTAGCCCCTTTCCATCCACTCCACCCACATTTCCCTAATCCATACAGACCATACAGACCTCCAGGCTCTTTAGGACACAAAGAGGAGACATCTGCTGACTCTATGTCTTGGACCAACCTATAAAGAAGAGAATGCTTGGTAAATCCAGTGTGAACATTCCCTTCAACCCCCCTCAGTATTACTGAAGACTCCCTCATTCAATATATCTCCCATCATCCCAGAAATCACTCCAGAAATTATCAGTCAAGTTTCTCCTCATCACCAAATTTTTCCCCAATACCTCTTAATATTACTCATGACATTTCATTTGCCATATCAAGTTCCATGCATCTTTCTAGCAGACCAGTGATAGCTAAATTTGCACTAGGTCTGTTGTAAAGATGTTTAGTGGGGGTGCTTTAAAAGAAACAGAATCTTCTAAGAAATGAACCTGGTTCTCCACAACCACAAGATTTCTCTAGGAAAAAAAAGGATAAAAACTATAGGGATTTTTTTTTCTCTTATTTAAGAGAAAGAGCAAACTCCTTTTCTGTAGAAGCTAATCAAAATTCCTTTAGGGTCAGTGAGGTGACTTCTTGTTTCCTAAAAGCTACTTGTCTCTACAAAGGAACTCTTCAATAGTGGTTGATATATACTGGCCTATGTGTTATTTCAAAGGATCTGGGGTCATCCAGCCGGAAGCTCCAGGCACAGTCCTGTCACTTCCAGGATTTGGGTGGACTATATCTGATGGAGGATAGCAAGATGGACTGCTCACTGCTGAACTCTCTGGCACCACTCGCAGAGGCTGGGAAGTCAATGAGACCCCTACACTAGGGTTGTCAGTGAAAAGGTCTGAACACAAAAAGCCTCAATCAAACACAGACTCATCTGAGTATGAACTCCTTCAATATGAATTGAGGTCCCTGAAATGAGCTCCCAAGACTGGTATGAATAAATAGATGGAAATTTCTTGGGTAAAACCAAGGTTGATTAGTCTAGCTGAGAGTGGGGAACACAGGAAGACCACATGCACAGCTGTTGCCACAGGAACTTCACAGTCTATGTTCTTCTCCCTTGGATGAACTGAGGTATGGGCAATGTACACAAGAACAACCCAGAACACTGGCATAAACACACAGCCCACACTCCCCACCACCCCCCTCCACTCATGTATACCTTAAGGGAATCCTTGAGGCTCAAGTATAGAGGATATCTAAGACCAGTGAATTCTTATTTTAATGGAAATTAAAACAATAAAGGACAGAATAAAGCCCTTGCTTTTCTCTTAGATGTTTAAAAGTTCTCCCCCAAAAAACTAAAAGACCAGGTTAAAGTTCTTAACCAAAAATGCAAAGCTGGCCAAGCCTGTCATCCAAGAGTTACTTTATATCCCCAACTGGCAAAAAGTCAAGAATCTGATCAAGAGACGGCATAAGATTTTACACTTATAATTCATGACAAATATCAGAAAAACAAAATTAAATGTTATGACTATTCTAATTATATGCCAGTTTTTTCTTTCATATCTAGCCCTACAGATCAGTTACCATTTTAAACATTTCACTCTGTTTTGACATGTGTGAATTAATCTGTTTTATTCCAAAAGACAAGTACTTTTACCTCTACAGAATTTGTAGCCATGGGGTTTTGTAATATTCTGGATTTTGTATATACTTGAGGTTCTGTAGTATACAAATATGCTATAAATTAACTGGACTTCAAAATAGGAAATCTCAAGGTCAGTTTGCAAAAACACTTTCGAATCAAGTGATTAAAAATACTTTACTGGAAGATCTCAACAATTAAAATACACTTAAGAAACATATCAACCAATTACAATTAATAAGCATTATTTGGATACTGACATAAACTTTTTAAAATATATGCAATTGAAGAAATCAGAACACTGACTGGATATTTGATGACATTAAGAAAGTAAGTTTTTGGTATGATAATGGTAATATGGTTTTTTTTTAAAGCCCTTGTATGTTAGAGATACGGACAGAAAGATTTATGGATGAAGTGAAATGATGTCCAGGATTTGCATCAAAGTAGTTGGGAATGAGTAAACGTACTGATGAGGCAAGATTGACCAGGAGCTGATGGTTGTTGAAGCTGAGGGATGGATGCATGGAAATTCATTATACAATTCTCTCTACTTTTGGATATGATTGAACTTTCCCACAATAAAATGTTTTTAAGAGTCCTGGGCTGGGCGCAGTGGCTCACACCTGTAATCCCAGCACTTTGGGAGGCCAAGGCAAGTGGATTGCTTGAGGTCAGGAGTTCCAGACCAGCCTGGCCAACGTAGTGAAACCCCGTCTCTACCAAAAATACAAAAATCAGCCGGGCATGGTGGCGGGCACCTGTAATCCCAGCTATTCGGGAGGCTGAGGCAGGAGAATCGCTTGAATAAGGGAGGCAGAGGTTGCAGTGAGCCGAGATGGCGTCACTGTACCCCAGCCTGGGCGACAGAGTGAGACTCCATCTCAAAAACAACAAACAAACAAACAAAAAACTCCTTATCTAGTAGAGATACATATTGAAATATTTAAGATGAATATGATATAATGTCAGGGATTTGCTTCAACGTGACATATGCTTTTAAGCTGCTAAATGGAAAATGGATGGTAGGAGCCCAAAATGGTCAAAAAAAGACCAATTAGGTTATTAGAGTAGTCCAGTTAAGAAGCGATGATGGCTTGGACTAGAGTGGTAGTGGTAGAGGTGGACAGAAGAGGGTGGACTAAGGACATTTGGGTGCTAGAATCAGTACAAATCATAATACGATGTGGGCAATTTCTGGCTTGAGCAACTGGATGCATGGAGGTCCCTTTACTGGAATGAGGAAGACCAGAGGAGGAGCATGTGAGAGAAAGAGGAAACAACAGTGCATACTTTGACTTGCTAAGTTTGAGTTGCTTATGAAGCATCCAAGGGAATATCAAGTAGACAGTCGGATGGGGAGTTCCACAGCTCAACTAGATATATTTGTGGTTGTCATTAGCACTCAGATGGTATTGAAAGTAACCAGAATGAAACTGCCTAGAGAGTGCATGAACGTGTGAAGAGAATGGGTCCAGGACTGAACCCTGAGGAATATCAACATTCAGTTGTTGGATGGGAAAGTAAAGGAGACCAAAGAATGCAGTCATAGAGAGCAAGAGGAAAGTATTTCAAGGAAAGAGGGAGTGGACAACTGTGAAAACACTTCCAAGAGCTCTTGTAAGATGAAAACTAAGCAGCATCCACTAGAGATGGCACACTGTCAGGTCAAGGCAGGTCCAGCAGAGAGGCAAGGACATTGATGAGGTAGCACTAGATGGACAAACAGATGAGCTAGTATGGACTGACAGAAGGACACACGAGTGATGTAGACACTAACAGACAGAAAAAGAAAACAGCCTCCGGCAGGGCAGCATTAACAGATGAGAAACGTAGACATATGGATGGGACAGAGCCCTGGCACAGTAAGCAAGAAATCCAGGCAGCTACACTCACCCTCGGTGCTCCCCGGCATGGGCCACACACTCATCCAGCCGGAAGCTCCAGGCACAGACTGGGTCCTGGGCCAGGATGCACTCTGAGCAGCTCTGGAGACGGCCACAGTTGGTTGTATTCACTTGTGTCACCTCAGTACGGGAGCCAACCAGGAGCCAGCTCTATAAAAACGGAGTGGGGAAGGGGAATACACTGGATCTCCCAGACCTCAGGGTCACAAACTGGCTCTGGACTCAGATGTCTCCCCAATAGACTCTCCAAAATCTACAACTCACGTGGTACAATTTCATGTTCTCAACTGGCTGTGGCTCTGGGAATAAGGCCAGATCTTCAAGAACGCTGAGCTGAGCTCCGATCCGCACTGCTCGGTGGAGGTGTCCATCCTCTAGGGGACAGGAAAGGAACAAGAATAATTACATAATTGCCCCTGTGCCTGGGACTCAGACCTATATGTATTACAGTACCCTCTCTGTGACGAGAATGTGTATGCACTAGGTAGGCAGCCTGCTTGACCATTAAATATACCTGTCCCCAGGTAGAGCACATCATACTCTTTCCCTGAGAGGCTGGTCACCCTGTGGGCCACGACTCTGAGATAGGCTGTATCTGTAGTGACCAGCAGGGGGTGGCCATCAGCTGGAAACACTGGCCTGTCCATGAGTGGGTGGTCCCGGATGAAGGTGAGTACGCGGTCAGGCAGGGAGAGAGATGAGCCAAAGTGCCGGAGCTTCATGTTGTTGGTGATGCACTAGAGGAAATACAGGGCTGGTGACAAAGTTTCCCAGGAACAGGACATGCCAGTGATGCTTAGTGGGGCTCTTGCCTTAATAGCAGCTCTTGACTTCAGGCCTAGAATGAAGATCTGCCCCCTCACCTCTCCAGGTCTGGGCTGGGGCACATCATTGTCCACGACAGGCAGTCCTCTGTTGCAGTCATGTTTTAGTTCTCTGAAGGGACCATTCAGCACTGTCCGAATGTCTTGTGGTCGGAAGGCACAGACAGCAGAGATAGTAGCCCCCTCCCTGGAATTCACAGGTTGGAGCTGGATATATGGAGGGGTCTGGGGGATAGCAACTCATCCCTTGTCAAATGAGATGACCCCCGAGAAACGCACAGGGAGCCATGCAGCCAAAGGCGGGAGAGCCTGCCCCCTCTGGAAGAGACAACACTGACATTGTGCCAACCCCACATATCTCCCACCCTGTAACTCTCCTCCACACCAAGACCCCTCACCACTGGGAAGAAAAGATGCCATAAAAGATGGGAGTCCCTGCCCCAAGCTCAGGTCGAAGCACAGCAACATCCTGCAGGACACTGGAGGCCCGGCCATGCTCAGGCCCTGGACAGAGCAGGTCAGCTTTCAAAAACGTCGTCCATCTCTGCTGGAGGGTCTTCCGGCCCCCGAGGTCCCCCTGGGGTGACAAACACATGGGAGGTTCTCTTTAGATGATCATCATTGGGCAAGGAGCATGGAGACCAATTTAAGTTTCCTCCCTGACTTCAGGGCAGACAGACAGATGGGGAGACAGATACATACAAATGCAAGGACAGAGAGCCACACAGAGTAGCTGCGGGGATAATGAGATATGAGGGTGAAGGGGTCACAATAACAATGACAGTGACTAAGTTAACTGTGCCCTTATAAAGTGCTGTATTATGTGTTTTACGTAAGTTACCTCATTTAATCCTCAAACAGCCCTCACAGACAGGCATCATTATTATCCTCTTTTTATAGACAAGTTTCAAAGACACTAAAGAACCTGGACAGAGTTGCAAAGGCAGCTAAATGGTGGGTAGGGCAGGGACTTGAACCCTGGTCTATCTGTCACCAGTTCCTCCCTTTAACCTCTACACTAGTCAGTAACCTCTACACTGTAGACAGTGTGTCACAAGGGTAATTGTGCGTGTCAAAGAGGCCAGAGCCTCTCTCTCACATTCCTCAAGCTCCCAGAAGAGAAGTCAAGGCAGAGAAAATAGGAGACACAGGAGAGATTCAAAGACAGAGACCCAAAGAGGAAAAGATAAGACGGGGGACAGACAGAGCAGGAGATGACAGACAGACAGCTGGGATGGGGTCTCACCGCACACACACGGGCCACCCGTGGGACTTTAATGCGCTCGTATGAGTCAAATGCTCGGGAAGTCTCCGTAAAGAAGAAGTAGATTTCGTCGTCTCCATCTTCATCCCCCCATTCGGCTGGGCTCAAGGCCACGGCTGCGACAAAGGCTGGGGCTGGGAATACCAGTGGCCTCAGATCCTCACAGACACAACCTAGGACTTCCCAGACTCCACCCCATCGGTCTCCCCAGAGGACCCCTCTCCCTCTCCCCACCGTTCAGCCAGGAAGGCAAGGTATCTGTCCGAATCCAGTCCTCGGCACGACCCACTGCTCTGGTGATAATTGGCTCCGTCCCCAGGTAGTTTTTCACAGTGGCAGCATAGAGGACCCCCCCTGCAGGGCGACAGGGAGGAGATGGGCTATCAGGGACCCACTGAGGGAAGCAACAGAGGTCACAGGCAGAGTAGGGCATAAAGCAGGGCAGCGACTCTCAGGGACTAAACACCCATGAGTGCCAGACTCTGCTGAGCACATCACAGGCATTATTGCAATTAAGGAAATCTAGACATAAACTGCTCCAGGGCAGTCAGGGAAACCAGGATTAAGAAAATATTGTGCAGAAATGTCCATGTGTATGAGAATAAAGGCATCCCTCATAAAAATCAAGCTTGTTTCTCTGGGGCTTTTTTGTTGCTATTTCAGTAATCCTGTAATGTGCTGATTGTACTGTGACTCTCCAAAAGGGGCATTTGCTTTGTAACAGGTCCCAATCTTATTTAAGTTGTCCCACTATGGTAAATGTCTCAGGGAATGAATGTTCTTTCTGAACATTAGTGGGCGTACACTGCTTTGGAACAAGTCACGATTTTAGAGAATACTAGACTCACTTGGGGAAGTGATTTAAATGCAGATCCCTGGGCCAGCAATTCTCATTCAGTAGAGCTGGGCTTGGCTCAAGAACCTGCATTTTGAAGAAGCAATCAGAGTAATCGGATGCAGGTGATTCAGGACCTCACTTTGAGAGATACTAGCCTAGGAGATGAGTGGAGATTTCACAGGCAGCCAGGAGAAACAACAAGGAATCAGGTCCTCCCTCCTAGTACAGTGGAGGGGCAGAGGTGCTCCAGGGATAGTGGAGACTGAGTAAGAGACAAATCACAGACACTCTGAGAAGGAAGGGGGGTTCAGCTCTGTGGGTTGAATGGGAGAGAACTGTAGCCACTCTGAGTACCACCACCAAGGGCTCTGACATGAGTAGGAGGAAAATGAATCAGAGAGTAGTACCAAGTCATGAACACCCTGGAGGTGTGTTGAGTATCACAGGCACTCTGGAGAGAACAAGGTTGCATGCCTTCACCAGCTACTATGTACAACAACTGTGCCGGGTGCTAAGTAAATCCCTGGCCCCAAGAACCCCCATGTGAGTCAGGAAGACAAGTGTGTAATCAGATTCCGGGAGGCACAGACCAACAGATATGGGGGACCCAGCTATATCTACCTGAGGGAACAGTATCTCAGAGGCAACATGTGAGCTGGGTATGGGAATGAGAAATTTGCCAGATGGAAGGAGGACTTCAGGGAGGAAGACAAGCAACCAGTGAAGAGGGTAGCCATGCTCAGCCATGTGGGGGCAGAGAGGCTGCTGGGCAGGGCCAGTGAGCAGAGAGGAAGCTGGAGGTGTGGGGATGGGCACTCAGTTGTGGTTGGTCTGCTCTGCCATGCCAGCAGATATGCACTTTACCCTGCAGGTAAGAATAAAACTGCAGAGATTTCTTTTTTTAGGAGGAAAGTGATATAAACAGTTTTGTTTTTTAAAAAGATAATGCTACTTAAAAGGCTATTCATACAGTCCAGGCAAGAGTGAAAGGCCCAAAGTAAGGCAGAGGCAGAGGAAATAAAGGGGCTGGATTTGGAAGGTATTTCTGAGGTAGAATCCATTAACAGGATTTGAAATTCATCCACTGAACATGAGATGAGACAGAATGGAGTAAACCAATGTCTCTCAAGGTTTCTAGCTTCTAAGACTGATGGTAGTCAGTGGTGACATTATTAACCAAGCCAGCAAATGATAGAATAAGGCCCATAAAAGAGGCAGCTGGAGAGGAAATAAGTCCACTTGTTGCACATCCTAAGGCTGAAGTGCCTTCAGGATATCAGTCAGAGATCCTGGAAAGCAATTAAGGGAAGAGCCTGGGAACAGGGCCAGAGTCAGCAACTTGGGAGTCATCACACTTCATGCTTAAGTCATGACATGAAAGTCATAGCCCAGGAAAAAGGTAAAGCCAGAAGAGAGCACTCTCATTTAAGGGGAGAGCTACCAAAGGCAACTGAGAAGATCCAGTCAGAGGCCAGAGAAGCAAGACAGGCTGATGTGCTGGAAGCGGGTGCATGAAACCTCAGCCAGAACCACAGGGCTCATGCACACTGGGGGAAGCAGCAGAGAGTGGGGGGCCACTTGGAGGGAAGCATGATCATCCTGGGGTCACAGATGCTCCAGAGAAGCAGCGTGTCTCAGGCACCAGAAAGGTAACCAGCACTGAAGAAACACTCTATGCAGAGAACAAGAGGGCCAGAGCCCTACAAGGGCAGCAGTGCAGGGCTGAAAGCCTTCTTTTGGGGTGGGGAAGTGAGACTATTCCATTATTTGCAATTATAAAAAGAATCCAAGTGTTTGGGAGCCAGGAAGACTTGGGTTTGAACCCAAGTACTAGTACTTGTATTAATACTAGTACCTAAGTATTAGTACTATGATCTTGGGCAAAGTAAATTTCCTAAGCCTCAGGTTCCTCAAATGCAGAATAGAGATAATGCCATCTTCCACTCAGAATAGTGCTAAGGGTTAAATAAGATAAACAAAGAGACCTAGCTAAGGCCTGGCACATGGTTGACATTCATTCATGTTAGTTATAGCTCCTTATGAAACTTCAAAGGGCCATATGCTTGATCTGCCACCAGAAGAGGGGGAAGCTATACAAAGATATTCCATTCCCTTCTTGAAAATTTCAGGAAAGAAAAACCAAGTATTGGTCAAAGGTCCTGGCAGAAAATGGAGCAGCAAATGAGCCAACCCTCTGTATTTCCAAGGGGGGAAAAGTTGACACAGAGGCCAGAGTTTGAAAATGTTCCCTAAGAGCATGACACATTAAATGCTCTAAAACCAAAACCCTGGCAGAAGCCGTGTCATGGATACCCTAAGAATAGGAGATGTGGTAAAGCAGACGCTGGGAGCGTGACTTGGTACGTAGGGTTGGAGAAAAACAATCATAAATATTCTGGAAACAGTAAAGGACCACAGATAACCATGCAAAGACACAGCAGTAGATAGAGGTCACAAAACTTCCTAAGTGACCAATGTGGGAGTCAGCAACACTGGAGCTCAGAAATACTGAGAAGTGCGCAGTCACTCAGAGTGGAACAGCCAAGGATCACTGACACCATGAAACAGCAGGAGGGATCAGACACTTCGGGAGCAAGTAGCAGGGCTCCAGGTGCCCTAAGAGTACGAAGGGGCTTGCAGCTCATCTTACAGACAGACAGACAGACAGATATACACGTACACACCCCTACACAGCAGAAGGAATAGCAACCATTACAATATTGAGCATAGGAGTCCACAAGATCACATGTCCTGGACTCTTCAGGACACTCTCAATTCCAAATATTGTGATTGTGATACATTGCTTATATAATAACACTGACCATACAACTGTTTGGCAAATTATTGCTGAATGGATCAAGGCCACATCCGCCATTGGCAAAAGATGATGTGCAAAAGCGAGTAATTCCCACAGTGATGAGTTTGCTCAACAAGCAGGTTAGAAAACACACCAGGAAAAATTCAACCCTATTTTTATTTTTTAAAAAATAAGTATATATGCCTGCAAGCATAGGAAAGATTATTCATTGAATAATCCTTGTTTTTTGTAGTTAGCATCTTTTACTTTTATAGTGCAAAAAAAACTAAGATATTTTCATTTTGAAAATACAAAAAAAAAGACATTGAAAGCCACAAAAGACGAAGAAACACAGCCAAAGAAAAATCATAATTATGAGTAAAAATAGATCCCAACTTGCCCAAATGGAAAGCCTATAAACATGTGTCATGGCAGTGAATATTTCTCTACAGCCTGGGGGTTTAAAATTTCTATTCTGGCATCAAAATGCTTCCTTTTAAAGGAGAGTTACAATAGGAATTATCAGTTCATTCGTTTTTTGTTTGTTACCTTTTGTTTTTGTTGTTGTTGTTGTTGTTGTTGTTGTTGTTTGAGACAGAGTCTAGCTCCGTTGCCCAGGCTGGAGTGCAGTGGCGCTATCTCGGCTCACTGTAATCTCCGCCTCCCAGGTTCAAGCGATTCTCCTGCCTCAGCCTCCCAAGTAGCTGGGATTACAGGCACCCCCCCACCACACCCAGCTAATTTTTGTATTTTTATTAGAGACAGGGTTTCACTGTGTAGGCCAGGCTGGTCTCAAACTCCTGACCTCATGATCTGCCCACCTCGGCCTACCAAAGTACTGGGATTACAGGCGTGAGCCACCATGCCCAGCCTACTTTTTAAGACAGGGTCTCACTTTGTCACCCAGGCTGGAGTGAAGTGGCGTGAACAGCCTCAACCTCCTGGGCTCAAGCAATTCTCCCACCTCAGCCTCCCAGGTAGCTGGGACCACAGGCATGCGCCACTATGCCTGGCTAATTTTTTTTAAAGACAGGGTCATTTTTAAAGATGGGGCCTTTAAAGACCCCGTCTTTAATTTTTAACAACAGGGTCTCAGTATGTTGCCCCAGCTGGTCTTGAACTCCTGGGCTAAAGCAATCTTCCCACCTTGGCCTCCCAAATTGCTGGGATTACAGGTGTGAGCTACCACACCTAGCCTTGTACATTAGTTTTAAAAAGCTAATTTTTTTTTTTTTTTTTTTTTTTTGGCCACGCTTGGTGGCTCATGCCTGTAATCCCAGGACTTTGGGAGGCTGGGGCGGGTGGATAACCTGAGGTCAGGAGTTCAAGACCAGCCTGGCCAACAAGGCAAAACCCCGTCTCTGCTAAAAATATAAAAATTAGCTGGGCATGGCAGTGCATGCCTGTAATCCCAGCTACTTGGGAGGCTGAAACAGGAGAATCACTTCAAGACAGGAGAATCACTTGAACCCAGGAGGTGGAGGTTGCAGTGAGCCAAGATCACGCCACTGCACTCCAGCCTGGGCGACAGAGCAAGACTCTGTCTCCAAAAAAAAAAAAAACACAACTGATTTTTTACATGCCTTGGCCTTTCTTCTTCCACTGCCTTTTCTTCTCATAGTCAGATATTTTTCAGGATAGATAGCTCCTACTCAAAAAGTCTTTTCCTTATTTAAGGATTGAGCCAGCTGGATATTTTTTAAAAAAAAAATTCTTTAAGCCTATTATTGGGCACAATTAGATGATTGGAGATGCAGTGTTGACTCTACCTTTCCCTCTGTTGGCCATGTAGGATTTCTGTAGCTGTCTTGTTTTCATGTGTGAATGCTAGTCTCAGAGATTTAAGAGGTAGACTTGGCCTCAAAATGCTGGCAGCATGCAGTGCATCTGGAACATTTGCAGAGCTCCTTGGCAGATGCGTTCATCACAAGATGCAATGACACCAAAACCATACAATAAAAACACAGGATGGGTTCCCAAAGAGAAAGAGCAGTCTTCTGCTCTTCTTGATAGAAACCCTATCTATTATAGGATGTGATAGGGAGGCCCAAAGACAACTGACTGCTGTCTCTAGCTTGGGTACCTGAGTGAGTATGGCACTATACACTCGGAGGAGGGAAGACTGACAGAGAAGCAGGTTTGGGGGAGGTGAGTAAAGATGATGAGCTCACTTTGGGACATGATGATTTTCAGATTCCTGTGGGACATCCAACTGAAGATGTGTGGAAGGCAGTTGGATGTGTGGTCTGTACCTCCACGTAATGTCCAGGAGGCAGATGCAGATTTGGGAGCCATCAGAATGCAGTGGAAACAGAAGCCATGGGCTCACTGAGATCACAACTACACAGAGTGAGAAGAGAAGAGGCTCTTAGGTAGAAGCCTAAGGAACTCCAACATTTAAGAATGAGCAGAAGACAAAAGGCCTGTCAAGGAGACTGAGAAGGAATCACTGATGTTCTTAGGCTAATGTGAATGTCAAAATATTCATATTTTTCCAAATTAGAATAGTGCAAATAAAGACAATGAGATCATTTACTTAATTGTATCTAAGTATAGTACAGATAAACTTCGTATTTGAAAATAAGATTTCGGAGGCTTTCCCAAAAGAAATAGAAGTACCAATAAACACATGAAAAATTGTTCAACCTCACTAAAAGAAATGCCAATCAAAATATATATATCATACTGGACTTTGTAGGAGGTCACTGTTTGTTTGTACATATTACTTGAGACTGGCAATGGGACAGGCCCTTTAGCCACTGCTGGTAGCCATTGCTGGTAGGACTAACTGGAGAGCAATTAATTTGTCCAAATCCATCAAGCACCATCAAAATCTATACTCTTACACCTAGCAATTCCACTTTTTGGATTGACTCATATGCAATTAAGTAGATTAATGCAAAGAATTATGTAAAAGGATTCCTGCTGCAGCATTATGTTTAAAAACAATAATTTTAAAATTTGAATGTATAATTATATAGAAATAATTAAGTCATGCTACATCCATCTGTGTATGCAGCACAAATTATGTAATTGTATGCAACTGCTAAAAATCATGTTTTGAAGAAACAATTTCTATGATGAGAAAATGCTCAGTATACAATAGTAAATGAAATATACATAATTCCAAGTTATAATAAATACGCAGACACATAGACACAGTAGAAGAAAACACTCAAAATACTCCAAAATAATAATAGTGGTTACTTGGTAATGATAGAATTACAAATAACATTTTTACTTTCTTCTTTATATATTTCTACATTTTCTCAATTTTCTACAATGCACATTGTAATTTTTACAATTTTAAGTAAATACTCCTATTATATTCTAATCATATTTTCATAATTAAAAGCTCTTTTCATTTCAAAATACTGCTATTATCTTTAAGGACATTTTTACAGAACCTAATTGGGAATTTTGGTTCTAATGATTATATAATGTTACCACTATTTCTATACTGCTATTTTCAAAACAGAGGCAAAGCAAGGCATAATGAATCATTCTTGAAAGCCCCAAGTAAATGCTAGCACTTATGTCAGACCAGGAAAAACTTTTAAATTATAACCCTGTAAAGTAATAACTTCAGATGAAAATGTATAATATTAGTATTGACTATGATTTGGATCTGAGACAGCTAGAGACATAGAGTTTCCACATTAACTGAAGCTAACCATTCTAAACCATTAGGAAGTGAGTTCTGATCGCCTCCATCAATTATCAACTGAAAGGCAACCCTGAATTTTATTTAAAAAAAAAAAAAGACTTAAAACCTTTTTGAAAATGTTCCTCCCACTTTGTCTTATAATGATCTTTATGGAATTTGTATTCTTGTGCTCGCTTCAGCAGCACATTTACTAAAACTGGAAATTTGTATTCTTAAACCACATTCTAATATGAATTCACTTGCTGACCTAATAAAGAGAAATTACTCACAGAGGGCTAAACATGCTTAAAGATTACTGCTTGAGGCCAGGTGCAGTGGCTCACGCCTGTAATCCCAGCATTTTAAGAGGCCGAGGCAGGCAGATCATGAGGTCAGGAGTTTGAGACCAGCCTGATCAACATGGTGAAACCCCATCTCTACTAAAAATACAAAAATTAGCCAGGAGTGGTGGTGGGCGCCTGTAATCTCAGCTACTCAGGAGGCTGAGGCAGGACAATCACTTGAACCTGTGAGACGAAGGTTGCAGTGAGCCGAGATGGCGCCACTGCATTCCAGCCTGGGCGACAGAGCGAGACTCCGTCTCAAAAAAACAAAAAAAAAAAAAAACAAAAATTACTGCTTGAAACAAAAGTACGATAAATGATTATCTTAGAGTGTTGCAAGTAAGAAGTCATTTTGCTGATAAACAATTTTATAGACTCAAGAGATATCACAACCACGAAAACTCAGAAATCTTTAATGACTCTGAGTGTCATCAAAGATGTTGATTAAAAACCTAGAAAAATAAACTATCCACTAAATTGTTTTATTCAAACATGTATAAGGAAGGTCTCATCAATTTCAACAATAGATAATGATAATCATGACAACTCAAAATATTGTATTTAGTCAATATATACTTTATGCTCATTTTCAAAAACTTTTTTTTATTTTTCAGAAAAAGATAAGTCATTAACTATAAGACTAAAGAGTGACTTAATGGCTGGGTGCGGTGGCTCATGCCTGTAATCCCAGCACCTTGAGATGCCGAGGTGGGCAGATCACGAGGTCAGGAGATTGAGACCATCCTGACTAACACAGTGAAACCCCATCTCTACTAAAAATACAAAAAATTAGCCGGGCATGGTGACACGCGCCTGTAGTCCCAGCTACTCGGGAGGCTGAGGCAGGAGAATGGTGTGAACCCAGGAGGTGCAGTTCGCAGTGAGTGGAGATTGCGCCACTGCACTCCAGCCTGGGCAAGAGATCAAGACTCTGTCTCAAAAAAAAAAAAAAAAAAAGAAAAAGAGTGATTTAATTTGTATAGCTTTTAAAACTTTCCCTAAAAAATAAAGTCATGCATAGGAAAAAATTTTCATTGTTAGATCTTGTGTCCCAATTTTTGTTTAACATAAAATATTTCCCAAAAATATAGGTAAAAATTAATTTTATGATAAAGTTGGCAAAAAAAGTCAGCAAGGAAAGAAAAAAACAGTATGATCAATGATGCTGAGTCAACTGATTAGCTAGCTGGGAAAAATTAATTTAGATCCCCCCTCATGCGATTCATCAAAATAATGCCAAATATTAACAGATCAAAGAGTTATATGTTTGGAAAAAATTTTTAAGAAAAAATGTTATCTGCTCTTTAAGTGAAGGATTGAGCTTAAAAATTATATACAATCACAAAGGAAAAGATATGTAATTGAAATACTAATATCCTACCTCTTAACTGGTCCAAGAACATGAGCAGAGGATTTACCAAAGAAGAAATAAAAATAAGTACTAAAACATGAAGAACATTCAACTTCACTAATATTCAAAGAAATACAAATAAAAACAAGGTGTCATTTTTAGACTCAAAATAGCAAAGATTTTTTTAAATGACAACAATACATTCTGGTGAAATTTATGTGAGAGAAAAGCCACTCTCATTCACTGCTGATTTAGGGTGTAAATTGGTATACCCTTTCTAGAAACTCAATTAGCAACAGATAATGAGCCATTAAATGTTCACACCCTTTGATACAGTAATCCATTTCTAGGAATCTTAAGAGGACAACCTAAAATGTGAGCAAAAATTTATGCACAAAGATGTTCATTACAGTCATATGGATACTAGCAAAATCTTTGAACTAACTAAATTTATATAAATAATTTGGAATTGTTTAATTCATGGTAGGTTAGCAGAATGAGTAACATGTCATTAAACATTATCTTTACAATGAATTTTTAAATTATATAGAAATGCCTGTGATATAAAATTACATGACAAAATTCAAAATTACATCCATGTAGCATGACATTTAAAAGTTTTATACTGTGCACATGCTCATAAAATTTCCATTAACCTGCTTTACACTACCACAAGAAAATGGCTTTTCACTGAATTTGGAAGGTGCATGTTGGGTGGTCTGACCTAAAATTCAGGCTATGTGGCACAAAAAAAATTTGCTGTGTGGCTGCTAATAAATTAGACAGTCATTCTCCAGAAGAGGTTTAGGTTTGTGATAGAATCATTTCACACTTGAGGAATCACAGGCAGCTTGTTCAAAAGAAGTACTAGCAGGAATTTATTTAATAGTCATTACTGACTCCCCTGAGCAACAAAGGACTGGCAGCAAATGTATGTGCATGAATGTACATGGGTGTGCACACACATTAATATCCATTTAGGATATGATATGGCTTGGATGTTTTGTCCCCTCTAAAACTCACATTGATATGTGACCTCCAATGTTGGAGGTGGACCTAGTGTGAGGTGTTTGGGTCATGCAGGCAGATGTTTCATGAATGGCTTGGTGCTGTCCTGGCAGTAATGAGTGAGCTCTCACTCTGAGTTCACAAAAGATCTGTTTAAAAAAGCACCTCCTCCCTCTCTCTCTTGCCCCCTCTCTCACTATGTGACACACTGGCTCCCCTTCACCCTCTGCCATGACTGTACGCTTCCTAAGGACCTCACCAGAGGGAGATACTAGCACTATGCTTCATGTCCAGCATCCAGAACCATGAGCCAAATAAACTTCTTTTCTTTATAAATTACCCTGTCTCAGGTATTTCTTTATAGCAACACAAATGGACGAATACAGGGTATTAGGAAATATCCTAAAATATTAGCAATAATTTTCTAAGTAGAGATATTTTAGAATTACACTAATACGGTACCACTAGACACACAGGCCTATTTACGTAAAATTAAATACTATTTAAAATTCCTTCCTTCAGTCACACTAGTCACATTTCAAGGGCTCTATAGCCACAATAGCTAGTGGCTACTGTATTGGACAGTGCAGATGTAGAACATTTCCATCATTACATAAAGTTCTTTTGGAAAGTGCTGTTCTAGAAGTTTTCTTCATGTTCTTCTTTATACTTTTTCCAAATTTATTACAATATGCATTGTAGTATATTCCACTTATTAACAGGAATAAAAACACTATGAGAAAAGAAAATGAGGTTAAGAGAGGAAACATTACACTAGAGGTGCAGAGGACACATTCTGTGGAGAGAATCCTGGGGATATCATACTAGGTGGGGAAAAGCAGGTGGTTACACAGGCACTCAGGGAAGAACAGGAAAGGCTAAAAAGAGACATGAGAATAATAGACATTCCAAGGTAAGAAAGAACACAGAAATTCTAACAGCAAGGGTGGGGAAGGAGGCAATTAGCAAGAAGTTACAGGTTCTTGTCTCTCCCCACTCACCAGCCATTACAGCTGCTGACCGCTGAGCTGGCTCAAAAGGACATTTCCCCCGGCCACTCTCAAGTCTTTCAACCTGCTGGAACCTGGACACATCCTATAGACCAGAAGGGGGCAATTGGTTTAGGGGTCATAGGGAAGGTTCATGGTGAGAATTACAAAGATGGTCAGATGAAGGAAAAGGTCAATTCCCATTCCTCTCCCCTTCCACTCCCTACCCCCAACTATCATCCCCATATTACCAGTCAGCTATTCCTGATGCCCCCATCTACTCCTGCATTTCTCATCTCTGCTATCCTTTGTTCATCAGTTTATTCCTCTTCCCTCAATTCCCCCAGCAGCCAACACCCACATGCCCTGATGAAGAAATTCCTAGGACAGCCCAAGAAGCACCTAAGAGGCTGAAGGTAGGTCTTTCCTCTGAAACACTGCTGAACTGTAGGGTTTGTAACTGGCTGGAGAATATGCTACATGACAAGAAGGATCAGGAAGAAAGCAGGCCTCCTGAGGACTGGAAACCTTAGAAAGGACAAAGAAAAGTGCAGGCTGATAAAGGACCATCTGAAACCCAGAGGCCTAGAGAGACAAGGGCCATCCTCCTCCTATTCCCCACCCCAAGGATGAAAGACAGAGCTGCATCATACGACCAAGGGCAGAGGACAGGGGAACCAGCAAAGTCAGTAAAGAATGACCTGAAGCTCAGGTCAGAATGTGAGAGTTTGGTAGTAAGTACCTTCCTCACCCAGGGACTCCAGAGGGACTGACATGGGCAAGGAACAAGAGGTGTAAGAGCTTCATCAGGGCCAGCCAGAAGTTACCTTAGTCTAGCATTTGGCACTAAGAGAGGCTTCAAGATAACATCTAAAAACAAGGATGATTTCAACCTAGGACTGAGAGGGAAGTTAACAGTGGCTGGTTGAGAGTCAAAGTTATGGCACGGAAATGCCAGGGATGATATCTTTAGTTCACAAACTGGCGTGGGCATATGGTGTCATTGGAGCCTAATTACTTCCATGGTAGCTGTTGCAGAAATATCGATATATATCCCCTGAAAAATAAGTGTACTACTGGCCCACTCCGATTACTCATCTCTTGTTCTAGATGGCAAACAAGATTCTATTTTACTGAGAGTCTGGAAGAAGGCCTGTTAAAACTTTTGAAGTCCCCAAAAACGGAATGCTGGGTCAGAAGAGTCTGCTGGAATGGAGGACTCCACAGAGGCACAGCACTCCAGCTGTGTGACAGTGGGAGCATCCTCACCTGAGAAGAAAGATGGGTTTGGTGAGAGATTAACAAGATGGTTGGGCACTCTAGAGATGTGGTACTTACCTGCTGCTGCTTCCCTTCTTACCTCTCACCTAAACCATGGCAGTAAACTCCTTTCTCCACATCATCTAGCCACCCCCACCAACCAAGTTATTCTAATACCCACCCAAGATTAATCTGAAGTATTGGTCACTGACTTAATAATAACTTTTTGTGCAAGAGAATGAGAAAATAGTCCACCATTGCCTGGAGTACAACCTCATCAGCCAAACCTACTTATTTTCAACTACTTTTCAAAATGACCTTTGTTCTATCCAAACCAGATCACCTGTTATTCCTGGAAGACAAATAATGTTTTCTATGCCTATAACTACTGCCTTACATTTCTCCAAGGACTAAAGGGATGAACTTTTTCTCAGTTCTCATTCTCTTTAACCCTTATGCACCATTTGATACTTTTGACTCACTCCCTTCCTTGAAATATTCTATTCCTTGACTCTCCTGAAACTCTGCCCTTCTGGAATCCCTCCTATCTGTTATTTCTCCATTTCCTTCTTCTTCTTTCTAGCTCCCACATGTGTATCCTAAGAATCCACCTTTAGTAGCTTTCACATATGCTTCAAAGATCTCATTCATTCTTTCCAGCCAGATATTCTATGCAAATCATTCCCCAAACTCTCCAAATCTGATATCTTCTAAACTCTAGCCCATATTTTTATTTGACTGCTGGACTTCCTCACAGAGATTTCCTATCTGCCCCTTAAAACTCAATATGTTGAAACTAGTTCTTTTTCAGTTTTCCCCAGCAGCATCATCATATCATCCAGGTTTCTAACCTTTGAAGAGGTGAGCCTCCTATTAACTAGATAGGTTATGATTATTGCATGGTCAAAATGACATTTAACTCGGGTCTGAAAGAGACATGACCACTCCACTATATTATCTATCTGAATGTTGAGATTCTTCATTGTATCATCATTGTGTTAGTCAGCAGCATAGTCTCTGAGAATCAGCTGTGGTAAAGCAAAGTCCCTGAAGCTGAAAGCTGGAGCTGGACAGGAAGGCTCTCTCTGAGCTATGGGTTGGAACTGGTCCTTTGGCCTTGGCCAAGAGGAGTTTAAGGCATAGGAAGGACCTTTCCCAGGTGGCTAAGAAAAAAAGCAAAGAAAAGAAAGATGGTTCCTAGTACATGAAACACATCAAATGCCACAAGAAATTGAAGACAGATAAGGTCTTCTGGGCTGCAGGCTAGACTAGAGGGACAGGATAGTGGAACAGAGCCAGAGACAAACACAGGTTTAAATTTTGGTTCTGCCTCTGCTAGCTATTCAGTCTTAGAGACAATACTTAATTTCTCTGAACTTCAGTTTCATTACTTGTAAAATGGAAATAATACCTAAATATCATGATGTGGTGATAAGAATTAAACTTAATCCTTAATGTAAAGTACCTAATACCAAGTCTTCATCAGAGCAGACACTCAACTGAATGGTTGTCATTGTTGCTGTTTGTTGTTGTTGTTGTTAGAAGTCTAACATTTTTCTCTGTTAACTGCTAGAGGTCCCTCAACAAAACAAATTAGGATATTTTCCTCCAATGTCCAATGAGCTATCACTGAAGGACAGCACTCCACAGTGGGAGCCCTTAGATCCAATGCTGGAATTTCCTTTATGTAAGAACCTTCATTTCTCCACAATCAACTTTGATCAAGTTGCTATGTCTGGAACAAAGCTCTCAGATAATTGTTTATATACAGTCTCAAAGTCATCAGTCTAGGACATGAGAGGTTCAGCAGTGAGGATAAAGGAAGAACTTGGTCAAGCAGACTGGGGCTGCTGGGTAGTAGGATAAGACAGGTTAAGGCAGAAGAGAACTTTCAAAACGTCTACAGAGCAGACAGGATGTGGCTCAAAGGGTTACCAGAGTTGACCTCTTGCGGCTAGTCTCTATATTCTCCTTCAAACAAGCCTTGACCAAAGGATGGGCCCTCATTTCATAAGCCTGCTAGACAGGAGAGTTCAGGAAAAGAGCTGAATTCTTGGGAGCTCAGGACACAGACCCCTGGCTTCACTCTTCATTGCTGATGTTCCTCAAGAAGAGATAGGCATCCAAGTCACACCAATCCTGACAGGTATGTCCAGAAAGAACATTTTCTGTCTAGATACCTTATGTAACAACCACTAGAGTCCCACCTCAGAGAAACAAGGAAGAATTAAAGGCCCTAGGAGACTAACTTAGAACAATCACACTGTCTATAAGCCATGGCTCTGGGATTCATACCCATGGGATCCCCAAGCCTGGCAGAATGGAAAAGGACAAATATGGCAATGGCAGTACCATTGCTACCTTATAAACTTAAGGAGAACTGTAGGGAAATTAGACCTCAATGTTACCTGAGGGAATACAGAGATTTTCACCAACACCCTGAACTGCGAACCTTTCCAGAATGAGGGAGCTATCCAGATGCTGGTAGGGAGTGTGTATCACCTGCATTATGAAAAGGACTTAACATAAGTCCAACCCACCCCAAGGCAGCCCAGGGGGACTAACTGGAGCAATCATGCATATGATTATGATTAGCATCCTAAGCCAGAGATATGAGGGTGGTATGTAACAAAGAGGGGTTTAGAGATACACACTGACTTGATCCAGGTGGCAGGGATTACTGAGGACTGCAGAAGAGTCAAGACAAGATCTACAGTTAAGGATGAGGTCAAAAAAGGGAGCAGTTATACTCCCTCCTATTGCTCTACAGAGCAGAAAGAGAAGCCACTGGATATAAAGGATATGTGAGGCTTCTGACTCACGCCAGGGGCTTGTCACAAATGTGAGCTGCCAAAAGACCAGTGCTGACTACTGTGTAACAGATGGGAAAAGCTGAGAATTCAGAAACAGTCATCAGTCCCAGAGATCATGACTAGCCTAGATGTGATTAGGATACACATGTCCCAAGCCTGCCTGTGTTTGAGGCTGGTGATGTCCAGGCCTTCAGCAGCAATAAACAGGATCTATAAGAAAACATGATTGACAGAGTGCCCGCCCTGAAGGCAAGATCCAGAATATGGGGCCAGCAGATATTACATTAGTGGAAGTGACATCAGAAGCCATGAGAGGAGAGACTCACAGCCCATATACAATGAGGTTGGCAGTGGAAGTAGGAGAAGGTGGTAAGAGACAGTCACATGCTGTGAAAGGAAGAAACAGGCAATGGGCTGTACTAATTAAGAAATGGACACAGGCTGCCTGGACAAAGCATACACAGGGCAAGGGAAACATGAGTTTCTGGTTTCTGAAGTCTCTCCCTGGATTTGTTGTTTCCCCAGCCCAACCAGCATCCCTAACTTCCTTAACTATCCCACTATGTCTCTCTTCACACTTTGTATATCTTACCCTCTCCAGACAACCTCCCTTTCCCTCCCTCAGTGGCTTACACATACCCTCATCCCATGAGGACAGCCCCTACACCCAATGCTTATCATGCACAATGGTTGCCTTGACCATGCCCCCATCATGGTCGCTCACAGAAAACCCTTCCCATCCTCCCACCACCACCCCAAGTAACTCACACTGGTGCAGGCACCCTCTCCCTCTCCTCCCACACCGTCACTCACAATAACCCCGCACTTCGGATCAAAAGCGAAGGTGCCACAAGTGAGGAGGTGAGAGGCATTGGCAATGGCGAGAATCTGGACAAAATTGTGACATTCGTCCTGGGGGTCAGAGACGGTTAGAAAGAATCAGAAGCAGCAGGTACGAGGAAGGGTAAGGTAACGTCAGGACAGTTAGATGCAGCTTTGGGATCAGAGATGATGGGTGATGGCATGGTGTTAGAGTCTCTGCCTGGGCCCATTGGTATGGAAGCATTACAGGGGACTGAGAGTCAGGGCTGGGCCAAGGTCTCAACTGACACTCAAGACAGGGCTCAGATTTACACCTACCTCTTTCTTGCCTTTCTTCCTACAGTTCTGTCTGTGAGCCTCAGGAACCATCCAGTCAATCTGAGAAAGGAGAAGTGATCATTTCACCCAGATTCCCCTAACATCAAACTCCCTCGATGTTAGAGGAGATTAAACTGTTCTATAACCTCCATCAATTTGGGAACTTCAAAAGTCCCCCTAGAGCATTGTTTTTCAAATGGAGGTCCCCACCCATTAATGAGTAATAAAATCAATTCTGAAATCATGACCAACATTATTTTTAATGAAATAGAATATATCAAAATGTATCACATATAAGAGGTAGATATTGTTTCAAGAAAGGTTTCTTTCAGTACATAATTGTGTACCACAATACACAGTATACACTGAGCATCCCTTATCTGAAATGCTTGTGATCAAAAGTGTTTTACATTTCAGATTTTTTCAGGTTTGGGGATATTCGCAGAATACATACTGGTTGAGCATCCCTAATTTGAAAATCCAAAATCCAAAATGCTCCAATGAGCATTTCCTTTGAGTGCCATGTTGGCACACAAAAAGCTTCAGATTTTGGAGTATTTTGAATTTTGGATTTTTAGATTAGGGATGCTCAAACTGTATAGTTCTAATAATGGTCAAAAAAAAGTTTGAAAGCTGTTTCCCTAGAGTATTGTAATTTTAATGATCCCTCTGCCCATTGTCACCTGAAACCTGGTCACTGTGGTCTCCTCCCCATCATCATGAACCTCCTTCATATCCTCCCCAGTCACCCTGACCCGCCATACTCTTAGCTAAGAAAACAAAGTGGATGATCTCCCCCCATGTCTCCCAACTCACCCCCTCCTACTACCCCTGCTGTTACATCTTTAGTTATTATGAAATCCCCCACACACACTCATAAAATCATAGATTTAATCACATGCTACAGGGTCAGGGGTCCTTCCCTCTCTTGTCTCTCACCCTGCGGGGTCTCTCCCCTGAGAAGGGCAGGGATAAAGCGAAGATGGTGTCCCGGGCGCCAACATAAAGTGTGTGGGAGGCAGGATCCACAAGGAGAACAGAGTAATTGTATGTGTGAGGGACTGCGAACCGGGTGAGACAGGAGTCAGCCTCTGGCAGGAAGAGAGGAGAGTGATGTTAGCCATCGCTTCCTAAGGGTCAAGTCCACAAGAGCAAAACCAAAGGGGCCAATTTTTGTTTTCTTCCAAGTACCATTTATTAAGCAGCCATGGGGGAGAAACACAGCCTTGACAAGTGAACCAGAGATAGATGAGGCCAGAATATTTAGCACACAATCCAGTGGGTAAGTATGCTTTTTCTATAAAAATAGAGCACTAGCTGGACACGGTTGCTCACGCCTGTAATCCCAGCACTTTGGGAGGCTGAGGTGGGTGGATCACTTGAGGTCAGGAGTTTGAGACCAGCCTGGCCAACATGGTGAAATCCCGTCTCTACTAAAAATACAAAAAATTAGCCAGGCAAGGTGGCGCGCACCTGTAATCCCAGCTATTTGGGAGGCTGAGGCAGGAGAATTGCTTGAACCTGGGAGGCAGAGGTTGCAGTGAGCCAAGATCACACCACTGCACACCAGCCTGGGTGACAGAGCAAGACTCCGCTTCAAAAAAAAAAAAAATCTAAACCTCATATTAGCATTCAAAATTCGTATCTATTTAAAGACTGGAATAAGTTGGCATGAATTTACCTTCCTAGCTCAACCTCTGGTTCTGGGGACCCTACCCTTGCACCAATACAGCTCTGCTCTACCTGCTTCCTCTGCTCAGTACCCTCAAGACTGCAGACTGGACACCAACCCATTCATTCCTAGATGTACTGATGAGTCCCGCCCACTCCTTCCTCCCACACCCATACTTACCTCTGTGCCCACTCTCTCATGCTTAGTATAAGCCCTGGATCACCTAACTTCCCCTCACATCCTCAACTCTGCTTCACCTTGCTTGCCATCTAGACATCTCTGGATGCCTGGACATCAACCCAGCCTGGCAATCTCAACTTACTTTGTGGCTATTGCTTGGGTGCAAACTGAAACCCCAGGCTCTGGCCACAACTTCGCCTTCTGGAATCACAGCATCCCTATATGGCACTAGTCTGAATTTAAACTCTAAACTACTATTAACCAGTCCAGAGTTGTTGCCAACAGGTTGTACTCTTGGCTTCACTGGTTCTGTCTGCCCAAGGTGCTAATAACACTCAATGCCCACTGAGAAGACAACAAGGTCCACGGCCATGCTCATACCCACCTCAGCAGAGTCTAAAATGTGAATCGCCCCAATGATCACTTTTAACCTTGTGACGTCTCCTAGCTTCTTCCACATCTTTTCAAAGGATCATATCCCCCTCCTCTATTTTTCCTTCTGAAGACTTGAAAAATCATTTAAGCAGAACTTTACATCAACACATTGAATGGTTTACCAATATTCAATGTAGGGAATGGGCAGAGGCAGCGAGGAACACTGAGGAAGTTAAGAGAGTTAACGTGGATCCAATAATGGGAGAATGGGAGCTGCTGTCAGAGATGTCAGGGGAGCGGGAAGGGCTGTCAGAAGGGCCAAGAGGCTCGGATGATGTATAGAACTGATAGGGAAATGAATTGGAGAAGATGGAAATGCTGACCTGGAGATCGGAATGGAAAGCTGGAGTAGAATGAAAGACTGATGGGTCTGAAAGCAGAGTGGGCGTCAAGCTGGAATGATGGACCCAGGTGTATGTGCGGGGAAACAGGGGACTAAGGGAGACGGAACTTCGAAATGAACGACCTCGGGCAGCCCCCACCCGAGCTCTGGGCCTCAGTGTCCGAGTCTGCACGGTGAGGACTGGACGCTCCTGCGGCTCCGGGAATAGGGCCCGCTGGTGCAGCCTGGGCGTGTCGTGGGAGCCGAGGCGCGAGGCCCGGGCTGGGGATGAGGGGCTGAGGGGCGCGGGAGGGATGCAGAGAGGATGCGGTGAAGTGCGAAGATCTCGCCCCGGTCCCGGCGGGGCGTGGGCGGCGTGAAACGCCATACACCAGGCTGAGAGGCCCGGGTCCGGCCGAGCGGTCTGAGGAGCAGGTGGGTGTGGGTGTGGGTGTGGGCGCGAAGGGCTGAGGGCGTGGGCGTCCGCGCCTTACCAGAGATTGGAAGCGAGGTTCTGGGCACCGAGCGGGGGACGCGGCCGGATACCGGGCCGCTCAGCACCGCCAGCAGCAGTAGCGGGAAGGGCGAGGCTGTAGGCTGCCCGGGACCCGGGCGGGGCCGCGCAGCAGAGGCCGGCATCTTTGGCTCCGCCTGGCCGCGGGTGCGGCGCAAGCTACGGCCTCTGCTCAGGGCCCCGGGGCTACTGGCCTCGGCCCCACTCGGGTCCTCTCGGCTCGGTCCGGCTCAGCCTGAGGCTGAGGGATGAAACACCGCCCGGCTCCGCCCCCTCAGAAAGGGGCCAATGGTCGGGCCTCCTTCTTCCTCCAGCCAATCGGGATTGAGTGAAGGCGGGGCTGAGGGGAGGAGAGGCCTAACCCAGGCAGAGGCGGAGCTAGACCCAGGTGAAGGTGGGAGTTCTGCCTCGGAAGTGCGCTGGGGCTGCCACTCAGGGACCTCGAGTGGCGAGTTTGCTCCGGCCACTCCAAAAACTCAAACGCCCATAGCTGTACTAATAAGGAAAACTTACTAATAAGAGGACGTGGATACACGCACCAAGTTTCTCAAAATTAATACTTTGCAAGCATTTAAGGACGGCTGCCTATGTGCTGGGCAGGCACAGTGTAACGCGCGCGCGCACACACACACGCACACACACACACACACACACACACACGATTATACAGAAAATACTAAAAATCACGGCCCTTGCCCTAGGGAGTTCACACTGTAATGGGGCTTCCAAATGTAAGCAAATAACTGCAAATAGATAATTGCAATACGAAGCAATGCACGTTTGCTATAATAACGTGCAATAAGTGTGCAGAAGGGCCAGGTTTTGCCAGAGGAAATCAGGAAGGCCTCACAGAAGAGGTGACATTTGAACTGATTCTTCTAGGGTTGGTAGGCCTTTGAGGGCGAGGAACAAAGACTGCCTATGGGCATATCCACTTGGATATCCTATAAACAAGGCAAGCATAGGTCCTGAGGATAACTCACTATCTCCTCCATCCCAACCCTAGCTCCTTCTTTTTTTTTTTTTTTTTTTTTTTTTGAGACGGAGTTTCGCTCTGTCGCCCAGGCTGGAGCGCAGTGGCGCGATCTCGACTCACTGCAAGCTCCGCCTCCCGGGTTCACGCCATTCTCCTGCCTCAGCCTCCCAAGTAGCTGGGACTACAGGCGCGCGCCACCATGCCCGGCTAATTTTTGTATTTTTAGTAGAGACGGGGTTTCACCGTGTCAGCCAGGATGGTCTCGATCTCCTGACCTCGTGATCCGCCCGTCTCGGCCTCCCAAAGTGCTGGGATTACAGGCGTGAGCCACCGCGCCCGGCCCCTAGCTCCTTCTTCAAGCACTTAGTCTGCACTTAGTAGGTAGTCTTTGCTTTCTCCTCTTTCACCCCCATTGTATTAGTTATTTAGGCTGCAAAACAAATGTAACAAATTAACCTCAGAATTTGGTGGCTTAAAACAAACAAACAAAAGACATGGTCCCTGAATTCGAATTGCTTAGCCTGGAGGGAAAATCAGACATTTGGAATAAACTTTTATTATCTCTCACAATCTCTCTGCGTCAGAAATTTAGGAGTAGTTTAGCTAGGTGGTCTGGCTTCCAGTCTCTCACAAGATTACAGTCCAGATATCAAACGGGGCAGCAGTCCACTGAAGGCTTGCCTGGGGCTGGAGGATCCACTTCCAAGATGGCGGACTTCCATGCCTGCCAAATTGGTAGTGGCTGTTGGCAGTAAGTGAAGGTTGTTCTCCACATGAATTTCTCCATGGGGCTGCTTGAATGTCTTCACAAAATGGGGTGACTTCCTCAGAGCAAGTGATCCAAAAGAACAAGGCAAAAGAGCAAATGATATATTTGTGACCTAGCCTCAGAAGTAACACACAATCTCTCGGCCATATTCTACTTGTCACACAGGGCAGCCCTGATGCACTGTGGAAGGGGACTTCACCAGGTGGTACAGGGATTTCACTGGGAATACAAGGATTTCAGCCTCCTTTCTTGGAGACTAGCTACCATGCCCATATGTAAGAAATCACTATGTCCTTATAAATCTGACTAAAAAGTAACTTAAATCCATCCTTTTCTTTCCATTATCATCATAGTTCAGGACATCATCATCATTCACCTGGACTGTGTGATAATTTCATTTAAAAAACAAAAACCTAGCCTCCAGTCCCTCCCCTTCCAGACTGCCATCAGGATAATCTTTCTAAAGTGCAAGTACTAGTTCTAGTTTGTTCTTTCAACAGTTATTAAGGGCCTAATATGTGCCAGGCATTTTACTAAGTACTAGAGATAAGATTAAGACATGGTCCGTTGGCTGGGCATGGTGGCTCATGCCTGTAATCCTAGCACTTTGGGAGGCTGAGGCAGGAGGATCACTTGAAGACGAGTTCGAGACCAGCCACGTCAACATAGCAAGACCCTGTCTCTGCAAAATAATAATAATAGCAAGGCCTGGTGGCACACACCTGTAGTCTCAGCTACTTGGGAGACTGAAGCAGGAGGATCACTTGAGCCCAGGAGTTCAAGGCTGCAGGGAGCTACGATCACACCATTGCACTCTAGCCTGCCAAAAAAAAAAAGCCATTGTCCTTGAATTCAAATTGCTTAGCCTAGAGGGAAAATCAGGCATTTGGGATCAGTACTTCTAATCTTCTCTCTGAAATCTTCTTTCTAAAACCAACCTCAACACAATGGAACCCCTGCCCCCCGTCTGAGTTTCTTCCTCTAGCCCACTATATGCCTTTCCTAAGCTGCTTCTCAGCAGTCTAGTCTAGGCCTTAGTCCCTTCTCTGAACATGACTTATTGGTTGTCTTTTGATTTTTTTAATATTTTTTCAATTTTTTTCACAAAACATACAATAAGAGGTTCTTATTGTGCAACCTAATTGCACTTAAGTACATGCATTCATGTACCCAATGTACATATTAGTGAGTTAAATTTTTAACAAAGTCATACTTACATTATATTTATCTTTACTTCAGGAGCTAAATTCTCATTTTTTTCCCTATCATGTTGCATTTTATTCTATTCCATTTTTTTAAATGCTGGTTGCAGCCCACTAAATTGATTTTACTATTCATTAATGAGTTGAGATCCCCACTTTGAAAAAAAAAATCACTGTTCTATGTAGTCTCATTCATACTAATTTAGTTAATAATGATTTTCTAAATCTACATTTCTAGGCCATATCTTTCTCTTCAGCTTCTGACACACACATCCAAGTGCCTAGTGGACATTTCCACACAGTGTAACCACAGGCACCTTGATTTCAATATGTCCAAAACTGAACTATCGTCCCCACCCTCATAGCATCCTGGTAATTGTGTGGATGCTAAAACCAATGTTCCCCATAGCACTACTGTCTTTCCAGCTGTCTAAGCCAGAGACTTTGCATTTGTTTATTCAATAAGTATTCATTGAATGCCTACTATGTTCTAGGCCCTGTCATTTTGGATTCCTCTTAATCAAATCAATCATAAAGGCCTGTTAATTTTAACTCCTAAATACTTCCTCCCACATCTCCGCATCCCCTCTGCCAATACCCTAATTCAAACAACTATCTTCTCTTGCCTGGGCTCCTTCCTACTCTTGTCTTGTCCCTATGCCCTGCTGCCACCACCCCAATTTCAGCCCCCAATCCATTCCTTTTAAGGCAGGGAGGCAGGGAGAATGTTCTCTCCAGTACACAAATCAGATCATGTCACTCTTCTGCTTAAACACTTCAGTTTATCTCCCCATTCCAGCCCACCCCGCCTTTGCTATGAGATAAGATCCGAAATCTTTAATATAGTCCACAGATCGTATATGTTCTGGCCCTTTGCCTATCTCTCCTGCTTCATCTTTGACACTCCTCTTCCACATACTATACTCCATACTGGAGTATAGTTCAGCAAGACTGTTGGGGAATCATCAAGCCAATGTTGCCCATTAGAGGAGTGCTGTGTGAGGAGTGCTGTGTGAGAAGTGCAGTGTTTCCCAGGAATGGGTCTGCCTTAGTATCTCCACCACATTCAGTCAGTGGCTGGGAAGATGGCCTCCATGCAAATGTGGCAGATTTCTTTTTTCTTTCTTTTTTTTTTTTTGAGACAGAGTTTTTGCTCTTGTTGCCCAGGCTGGAATGCAGTGGTGCAATCTTGGCTCACCGCAACCTCTGCCTCCCGGGTTCAAGTGTTTCTCCTGCCTCAGCCTTCCGAGTAGCTGGGATTACAGGCATGCACCACCATGCCCGGCTAATTTTGGATTTTTAGTAGAGATGGGGTTTCTCCATGTTGGTCAGGCTGGTCTCGAACTCCTGACCTCAGGTGATCCACCCGCCTCGGCCTCCCAAAGTGCTGGGATTACAGGCGTGAACCACGGAGCCCAGTCGTGGCAGTAGATTTCTAAGGCAGCAGCTGATGCCCTTGGTCAGTTACACTCCTTGTAGTTTAAAGTCTGCAAGGTGCTTTCTCATGACCATTATAGTTTATCACCCTCAGAAAACAATTCTTATGTCATAGTCCCCATTTCTGGTACAGTTCTTTGCATATTTTTAATAAATGCTATAGAGGGTACGGAAAGAAATTAATAGTAGGTAGGAGCAATGGGTGGTATGGTTTGGAGTGAGGCTAGTGCTCAAGTTTGAATGCGTCCCCCAAAGTTCATTTGCTGGAAACTTAGTACCCAATGGAATAGTGTTCAGAGGTGGGGCCTAACAAGAGGTGATTAGGCCATAAGGGCTCTGCCCCCATAAATGAATTAATGTCATTATCTTGGAAATGAGTTAGTTATTGAGAGAGTGGGTTTGTTGTAAAAGTGAGTTCAGCTCCCTATTGCTGTCTTGCTCTTTTGTACCCCTTGCCCTTCTGCCTTCTGCCATGGGATGACACAGAAAAAATGCCCTCACTAGATGTGGGATTCTCAACCTTGGAATTCCTACCCTCCAGAATTTAAGAATACATTTCCTTTATTTACAAGTTAGTTGTTCTGTGGTATTCTGGTATAGCAACACAAAGGGGAGTAAGACAGGTAATGCTGGGGTTGAGCCTAGTAAGGTAGGTGGGGTCAGTTATAATGGACCCTCTAACCGAAAAGGAAACATAAGCCATTTTTAAGACAAAGAATGATATGATCAAAATATTTTTACAAGGACAATTCTAACATCAGTGGAAACGATAATCTGGAGATTAGAGACAGAAAGGCTAATTTGGACTATATGGGGGGAAAGAGCTGTTGAGAAGCTACCCTTTAAACTGAAACACAGGAACTCTATTGAATATCAGATTATAGTGTTTAAAAAAGGACATAGGTTAAATAGTTCTGTTCTTACCTGAGGAACAGTTGATAGGAGCAAAATGGTTTAGTGGGACTAGAATACAAGCAGGCAACTCTTTTCCTGTTGAAACATCTAACCTATCCTGTGCCACTCATTGAAATATTGCCCCACCCCACCTCCAACCTGCATCTAGACAATGAACTGAGAAAATAACAATAATAATAATAAAGAAAACAAGGAAAACTGCTTGTACATTTCTAGCTTGGAACTAGCATTATCTTTCCCTCTCCTGTGGACTAATTCAGAGAATTCCTTTTTAACCAGAGTTGAAGACCCAGACCAACCAACTGTTAAGGACCAGGACGCTCCTACCCCATCTGGAGTTCGTCAAAGGGACTATGGGAATCAACCTCAAGTAAGCGAGAATGAGTATGAAGAGAGCGACAGACCCTCTTGGAATACAGGAGTTTGAAAAGACTTAAAAGAACTTTGTGAAGGCAGCTATAACTTCCATGAGGGCAGTGACCATTGTCTGTACATCCACTGTACTCCAATCCTAGCACAATGCGTGGCACATAACGTGCCCACCACAGATGTTTAGTGAACAAAATAGCGACTGGCTGAAGGAAATGATGTGGAAGGGAAAAGTTAAAACCAAGAAAACGGTCGGTGGGGGAGCTACTGGCATGTTTCATGGGAAGGGGTAGAAAAAGAAAAATGTCAGGTTTAGCACAGCATTTCCAACAAATAGACAAAATTCTACCTAAGGGACAAAGAAGGACTGTTCTCAGGGTATCTAGGGACTTGGAGACCGTTTTCCTGAAGCGCCACCTGAAGCGCACCCTGAGGCAGCCAGGCCCCGCCTTGCCCGCAGTGAGCCTCCCGCCCAGCCGCGCCGGCCTGAGGGGGGCGCCTCCGAACGCGCGGGCGCACGCTGAGAGCCGGGAGGACCAGGTGAGGGGGCCTCCGTCTTCCGAAGACAGGTACGGTTCTCCACGCCTCGGGGAGGGAGGGCAGCCCGAGAGCAGCCGGCACCACTTCGCAGGCTGGGCTGGGCGTGGGCCGAGCTCGGGCCAGTCCTCAGGCAGGTGTTGGTTGCGCTGGCCGTGGCGGGTGCCGGCGCAAGACTGACGCCGAGAGAGGCTCCGAAATCGCTGTCGGAGTCATCCCTCCGCATACTGTTCTGGGCGGCCAGGCCTGCGCGGAGTCTGGGCCCGGAGCTTCCTCCGCGGGGCCCCCAGGCCCGAGGGCCGGGCTGCTGATCCGCCAGGCACGGTAGGCGCCATGCCGAGGGACCACGGAGGCTTCAGGGAGCCACGAGAATTTTTTTTCTTCTGGTTTTGCTTTGTTTTTGAGACGGAGTTTCACCCTTGTTGCCCAAGCTGGAGTGCAATGGCGTGATCTCGGCTCACTGCAACCTCCGCCTCCCGGGTTCAAGTGATTCTCCGCCTCAGCTTCTCGAGTAAGCTGGAATTACAGGCTCCCGCCACCACGCCTGGCTAATTTTTTTATATTTTTAGTAGAGACATGGTTTCCCTATGTTGGCCAGGCTGCTCTCGAACTCCTGACCTCGTGATCCGCCCGCCTCGGCCTCCTAAAGTGCTGCGATTACAGGCGTGAGCCACCGTGCCCGGCCACGAGAATGTTTTCATTTCGTTTAAAGTGAACCCATGAAGTCAAAGAAAGTGTTTTGATTTTTTTCTCACATCAGGAGGGGGAAATGAGATTTTTAGGGCCTACAAAATCCATTAACTTCTTTTAATCTTTTTTTAATGGAGGAAGGGGTCCACGAAGACGAAAGTGCCTTAGGGCCCACGAAATCTTTAATAGGGCCCTGCCAGAGGGAGAACCATTGAATCGTTTATCACGCGACAAAGTGAATGAGGGCTTGTAAAGGGGCCCTAACCTAGAATGCTCAGCACGGAACAGAACATCCGCAGAGGCAGACACAGCGAGAAGCCGATCTGTGAGAGGTGGATCTCCCGGGGTGCGGGCAGGGGAGGGCCTAGTGTGAGGATGGAGAGTTGGGCAGAAGGCACAAGCAGAACTTTAGGGCCAGGGTAAAGATATTGGATTCTGTTTCCAGTGGTGTAATTGGAAGTCCTTGGAGGGTTTTTAGTTTGGGCATAACTTGGTGGTTTGGAGTGGTTCAAGGCCCAGTTCCAGTTTTAACCAGTTTGCAGGGAGAATTCATTAAGCGAGTGTTCTTGGCAAAAGTGGAGAGTATAGGGTCAGAATAAGGTCAGAGCCTGTTTAGTACTATGCCCAGACACATCAGATGCATGAATTGATGATGTTTGAGGATGTAAGGAAGAGAGCTGCCTCTTACCTCATTTAAAATACAGTCTTCCAATTGCACATTAGTGTGGGATTGAAAAATGACTGCAAGCTGAAACCATTCAAAGAGATCTTAAACACCAATGGGAAAAATTACAGTTGTTCTATAACCTTGAAAAATTGTCAAAACACTAAAACTTTCTTACTAACTGTATAGGGAAATGTAAAACAGTAAAACTATTTCATACACTAACTTAAAACATTAGAAACATTGAGAGCTAAAGTGTTTTATTTGTTGAAAAAAAACTCTCATAGTAAAACTTATGAGAGAGCAAACATTTTTTGTGTGTCTTGGCAAACTGACATACTTCTTTCTAAGTTTGGGTTAGTTTCCTACATTTTATCCTTTGTACCTTCAATTTTGTAAAATATCTCTGAAAGTTTCTTTAATAATGAAGCTTTTTGCCAGTGGCCCTTTCTGTAGGATGTCTTCATCCTTTTCATCACAATGACTTTCCTCAAGTATGTTGATAAGTTTGCCTTCACTAAATTCCTCTGGCTGCTTCTCTAGAGTCTATCAGGTGGAGGCAGTGTCAACACTCTCATAGTCAGCTGTTTCTCCTTTAACTCCACTTATGTTAGATTCAGATTTCACTCCTGGCATTATCATTTTTTATTTCTTTGCTGCTCCTTTTATCGGCTAGTTTCCTCTTTCAGTTTTTGTTTTTATAAAACATCACATGGGCTTATCACTAGGAGACAAGGAGGCGACACAACTACACACTTCTGTCTGTGCTTTAACTGACTAATGGATCTGCAGTGACGGGTCACCAACAGACTTTGAAAGAAGTGATATAATTAATTACTGATCATGATGCACTGATCACTATATTATATCAGTACGCTATATCAGTATACTATACTATTGATACTGATAACTAGTAATTCGTGAACTAAAGAGCTAGATACTACTTTATGTAATTACAGTTAATATTCCATGGTAACTGAAATTTGAACTGTGTTGTTGGAAGACTAGTGTTAATTAACTAAACTGTAGTAACTGAAATCTATATACTTGAACCATGCAAAATGAGGACTGCCTCTACTTTATTTTTTTATTTTTATTTTTTTCAAGGGTGAGCTGGTGATGTTAAACAGCAACTTTTATTAAAGCAGCAGTGTACAGCAGCAGCAGAGGTACTGCAACTGTGGAGCAGGGCTACCCCATAGGCAGTGTGCCCAGAATAGCAGCTCAGAGGTAGTTCAGCAGTCATAGTTATACCCAGTTTTAATTACATGCAAATTAAGGGGGAGTTGATGCAGAAATTTCTAGGAAAAGCATGGTAACTTCCAGGTCATAGAGTCGTTGCTATAGAAAGGGATGGTAACTTCTGAGTGTTGCCATGGCAATGGTAAACTGACAGGGCACACTGGTGGGCATGTCTTATGGAAAGCTGCTTCCACCCTCGCCCTGTTTAAGCTAGTCCTCAATTTGGTCTGGTGTCCAAGCCCTTCCTGCAGAGTTGAGTCCCGCCTCCTACCTCACTATCAAAACTAAACTCATACGTGCCTTATGGCCCAGCAATACTGTGTCCAGAATTGGTGGGTTCTTGGTCTTGCTGACTTCAAGAATGAAGCCGCGGACCCTGGCGGTGTTACAGTTCTTAAAGATGGTGTGTCCGGAGTTTGTTCCTTCTGATGTTCGGATGTGTCTGGAGTTTCTTCCTTCTGGTGGATTCATGGTCTCGCTGGCTTCAGGAGTGAAGCTGCAGACCTTTGCAGTGAGTGTTACAGCTCTTAAGGCGGCGTGTGTGGAGTTTTTCATTCCTCCCGGTGGGTTTGTGGTCTCCCTGGCCTCAGGAGCGAAGCTGCAGACCTTCACGGTGAGTATTACAGCTCATAAAGGCAGTGCGGACCCAAAAAGTGAGCAGCGGCAAGATTTATTGCAAAGAGCGAAAGAACAAAGCTTCCACAGTGTGGAAGGGGACCTGAGCAGGTTGTCCTGCCTCTACTTTAAAATGGCGTTTTCAGATGTGAGAGATGGAGATGGATAATTAAATTTAATTATACATTAAATAAGGCCTCTGACTACCTGTTTGTGTGAATTTCTCTGTGTCAGCTTCAAGTTCAGCATTCCATGTAGAAATTGGCCCCATGTACTTAAAGTACAGTTTAAAAATATGTTATGTGCTTTCTTGGTAAATACATTAGTAATTGATTTGGGTTTCTGGTTCAAGATGACTTTCAACAGATTAGCATATTAATTCATTTATTTTTCTAGCTGTATCCAGCACGTAATTGGAACTCAATTTTTAAAAATGTTGAATGAACAAATGCTGACTTCCACTATCCAAAAAGGGAAGTTTGAAGAGAATAACTTCACTGATTCATTTGGGGAAATACATCTATCTATGTATTTTTTTTTTTTTTTTTGAGACGGGGTCTCGCGCTGTCACCCAGGCTGGAGTGCAATGGCGCGATCTTGGCTCACTGCAACCTCCGCCTCCTGGGTTCCAGCGATTCTCCTGCCTCAGTCTCCTGAGTAGCTGGGATTACAAGCGCGTGCTACCACGCCCGGCTAATTTTTGTATTTTTAGTAGAGATGGGGTTTTACCATGTTGGTCAGGCTGGTCTCAAACTCCTGACCTTGAGATCCACCCGCCTCAGCCTCTCAAAGTGCTCGGATTACAGGCGTGAGCCACTGCGCCCGGCCTATCTATGTATTCTTAGATCATTTTTAAAGATTCTAAATTCCAAAGTGTTTCTGAAAATTATCATAATTATCTTTGTATTGTCACAGGGGAAATCAAATAAGCTTTAATTTTCCCTACATTCTTTAGCTAAAAACAATTATATAGAATGATTTTAGTTCTCAGAGGTGGGGACATATTTTTTAGCTATCTTTTTTATCATATTTCTTTTGTTTTCTTTTGATTGTCCTAATGTTCTTCTTGAAATATTTTTATTATTAAATATAACATATATACAGAAAATGTCATAAAACATGAATGTGTAGTTTAATAGTAGAAAGTGAATACCCAATATCCACAATAAAGATCAAGAAATAGAACATTAGGCTGGAAGTGGTGGCTCATCCCTGTAATCCCAGTACTTTGGGAGGCCAAGGTGGGAGGATTGCTTGAGCCCAGGAGTTTGAGACCAGCCTGGGCAACATGGCAAAACCCTGTCTCTACCAAAAAAACACACAAATTAGAGAGGCATTGTGGTGCATGCCTGTAGTGCCAGGTACTTAGGAGGCTGAGGTGGGAGGATCACTTGAGCCTGGGAGGTGGAGGTTGCAGTGAGCTGAGATTGGGCCACTGCTGCACTCCAGCCTGGGCGATGGAGCGAGACCCTGTCTCAAAAAAAAAAAAAAAAAAGAACATTACCAACACCCCAGGACCCCCTTCTTTTGTCTCTTCTCATCATAATGCCTTCATTCTTTCCTAGGGAAAATCACTACCCTCATTTTTGTGATAATCAATTCTTTGCTTTTCTTTATAATTTTATCACTGTGTATGCACCTCTAAACAATATAACTACTTTTGCTTATTTTTAAAATGTAGATGAAATCATGCTACATGTGTATGTATTCTTTGTGTCTTGCTGCTTTTACTCAATATTATGTTTCTTAGAATCATCCATGTTGCCACATGGAACTGCAGTTCATTCATCTTCATTGCTGTATGTGGAAATATACTATGATTTATCCATTTTAATGTAGATTGACATTTGTGTTTTTTTCAGTTTTGGGTAATTGTGAACAAGATTGTTATTAATAGTCTTTTGGCTGCTATGATCTGACTTTTTTTTCATGTATCCTGTTATATATGATTATTTAAAGATTATATGATTAAGAACAAAAAAAATCCAAAAAGTTCTATAGATAAATTATTATAATTAGTAAGAGAGTGCAGCAAGGTTGTTAAAGTCAATATACAAAAATTAATTATAGCTGGGCACAGTGGTTCATGCCTATAATCCCAGCATTTTGGGTGGCAGAGCCGGTTGGATTGGTTGAGCTCAGAAGTTCAAGACCAACCTGGGCAACATAGCAAGACCCCATCTCTATAAAAGATTGTTTTAATTAACTATATTTCTATACATAAGCAACAAACTAAAAATGAAATTTAAAAAGATGAGAAAGGGAAACTTTGTCATCGATAGTTCTTTGAAATGTAAATTAATATTTAAAAATCAACAGATCCCTAAGACTAAAATTTGACAAAAGACAAGGAGATCTTTTGGGAAAAATTACAAAGCTGTAGATTATTTTAGATTTTCTATATACACAATCATTGGCACACAATGACAGTTTTCTTTCTTCCATTGCAATGCCTTTTATTTATTTGTCTTACCTCATTACTACCTTCACTATAATGCTGAATAGAAGTGATGATAGCATGCTCCTTGTCTTACATGGAAAGCTTTCAACATATCACCATGAAGAATGATGTTTGCTCTCTCTTTTTGTAAATATATTTTGTCAGATTATTCCTATCATCTATTCTTACTCAGTCTTTATCATGCACAAATGCTGGGTTTTAAACAGAGGCTTTTTTGCGTCTATTGGGATGATCATATCATTTTTCTCATTTACTTTTTTAATGTGACGAATTACGTGATTGATATTCTAATGTTATATCAACCTTATGTTCTTGGGATAAACTCAACTTGGTCATGCTGTTTTTTTTTGTATATTATTAGTTTCAATTTCTCTATATTTTATTTAGAATTTTTACAAGTTTATGGGTGAGATTATCCTATAATTTTTTTCTTATTACACCTTTATCTGGTTTCACTTTCAAAGGTCGTGCTAACCTCGTAAAATTAATTGAGGAGGCCAGGTGCCGTGGCTCACGCCTGTAATCCCAGCACTTTGGGAGGCCGAGGCGGGCAGAAGTTCGAGACCAGCATGACCAACATGGAGAAACCCTGTCTCTACTAAAAATACAAAACTAGCCAGGCATGGTGGCACATGCCTGTAATCCCAGCTACTCAGGAGGCTGAGGCAGGAGAATCGCTTGAACCCGGGAGGCGGAGGTTGCAGCGAGCCAAGATCATGCCATTGCACTCCAGCCTGGGCAACAAGAGTGAAACTCCATCTAAAAAAAAAAAAAAAATTAGTTGAGGAGTGTATCCTGTTATATATGTTCTTCTGTTCTTAAAATAATTTGTTTAAGATTGAAATTCTTGGCTGGGCGCGGTGGCTCACACCTGTAATCCCAGCACTTCAGGAGGCCGAGGCAGGTGGATCACTTGAGCCCAGGAGTTTGAGACCATCTTGGGCAACATGGCAAGACCCCATCTCTACAAAAAAAAAAAAAAAGATTGAAATTCTTGGTCTTTGCATGTTTGATGGAGCTCATCAGTGAAATCATCTGACCCTCTTACTTGTGGGAAGATATTTGATTACCAATTACATTTCCTTAATGATTATAGACTATTTAGGTTTCTAAAATTTCTTTAGTATTGGTTAGATACATTTTTCTAGGAATTTGTCCACTTTATCAAACTTATTAGCATAAAGCTATTCATTATGTCCTCCTATAACCCTTTTCACGTTTGAGCATTTGTGATGATGTCCCTTTCTCATTCCTTATATTGGTTCTTTGTTCTCAATTGTTCTCACTTCCTAATCTGAGTCCTGGGGATAAGTATAAGTAGCCAGTAGAGAAAGAAGGCAGGAGTATTGGAGGCAGAGAAGCAGCATGAGCAAATGCACTAAAGTGAATATATTTGGTATTGTTTCCGTGAAAATCTTGAGGCGAAGAACAATTTCTAATGAGGCTAACAATTAAGTAATGACAGGTCTTAAAGACAGTTTAAATTTTACCTTATAAGAGATTCAGACAACCAAAGAATTTTAACCAAGGAGAAATGTAGTCATATTTTCATTTTTAAGAATTATTCGTTAGGTACTAAACACACATATGCTAGGCATTGATGAATAATATCAACAAGACAGGTTCTCTACCCTTGGGAAGCTTACAATATAGTGGGAGAGGCAGTCATAGAAACAAATTGTAATAGAGTGCAATAAATGCCAATAAAGAAACAAAGTTTATGAGGGCAGATAGCTTACTTTGAGACAGAAGCTTGAGTTTTTTGGTGTAACTTTTGATTAGTTCCACTCAGCATCTCTAAGCATTCTCAGGCTTACATGATAGGCAAACATCTAGATCTCTTGGGAGCTGTTAAAATAGGATGGCCTGGGCCAGGTACGGTGGCTCACGCCTGTAATTCCAGCACTTTGGGAGGCCAAGGCGGGCGGATCGTGAGGTCAAGAGATCAAGACCATCCTGGCCAACATGGTGAAACCCCATCTCTAAAAATACAAAAATTAGCTGGGCGTGGTGGTGTGCACCTGTAGTCCTAGCTACTCGGGAAGCTGAAGCAGGAGAATCGCTTGAACCTGGGAGACAGAGGTTGCAGTGAGCCAAGATCGCACCACTGCGCTCCAGCCTGGTGACATACCGAGACTCTGTCTCAAAAAAAAAAAAAAAATAGGATGGCCTGGACAAGCTTTAGTACCCAATCTGACTCCTTTCTGGATTTGTTTCCCTCGACTTGTATTTTATATTTCAACAGAGCACACATAATTCAGTTTGAAAACCAGTGGTTTCTCTTTCCTTCCCTATAGGTGTAAAGAATATCCAGCTGGTGGCTACAGTTCCCCCTCTGGTTTTGCTGCCATGCATCCTGGGCGAACTACTGGTAAAGGGCCCTCTACTCACACTCAGATTGACCAGCAACCTCCACGGCTTCTCATTGTGCACATTGCTCTACCGTCCTGGGCTGACATCTGCACCAACCTCTGTGAGGCTCTGCAGAACTTCTTCTCTCTAGCCTGCAGCTTGATGGGCCCCAGCCGCATGTCCCTGTTCAGTTTATACATGGTACAAGATCAGCATGAGTGCATCCTCCCTTTTGTGGTAAGTATATCTATATTTATTCATTTTACCCTGAAAGCAAATACAGTGGTAAGGTTTCTGGAATAGAGATCACAGTTATTAATACTTATAACAATAACCGCACTACTTCTCCACACACAGTAGCCCCCGAGTAACACCATGAGAGCCAGAGGGCATCCTGCATATATAGGGGTGTGTACTGTTGAAGAGAAAATCCAAAATTATTAATCTGGGAGTATAAATAGGCTACAAGCTCCACTCCAGAGAGAGGGAGAGAAACCTTGGCATTGACAGATGTTTGAAATGTAAACAACTGACTCCTTTTATGCCCTTTGAAATGTAAACACACAAGGAGGGAAGCCTCTAAATCTCTTCTGAGGTCTCTGACTATTCAATCATCTTTTAACTTCCAAGACTTGCCCTTTAACCCAGGTACCAGTTTTCTTTGCTCAGAAAGCCCTAACTATGCAAAAACATGAAAATATTTTTTCTACATTCCACATAGACTCAGGTGAAACTGCCCCCTAGGGTTATGGAAGGCAATGGCTGGGCCAGGGGCAGTGTCTTTACAAAGCTCCTTCATACATAAACAATTATCTATGCTCCTCCTCAAAATTTCAATCTTCCCTTTCTCCCTTGTATAAAATTCAGAATCATAGTGAAGAGAAAGACTTCCAGAGGTTCTATGCATCTCCTTCCTTGAGGTAGCCTTGCTGCTAATATACGTTATCAAATGGATATAAGTCTTATTTAAGATTTCCAAAAGAGGAAATTTCATAAATCCATTGCTGAATTATGAATGTAATATATGACTGAAATCTATTTTTTTATTAATGCCTTAGTTTCCCTCATTGGAAGTGGAAAGATAACATCTCTGTTGATACTATAAAGAATGAAAATAATATATATTACTTCATGCTTCTTGAGTTAGAACATACCCTGGTTGCTTTGACAGAACCTTAGGCTTATAACAACTCATGGTTTATTTCTTGACAAAAGTCACACAGGGAAAGTTTTGAGTATAAATGCTCCAGTGCTAAGTATGGGGATTTTGTCTGTGCATTGTTACTTAGGCTGGGTTGGGGATGGGAAAAGGATAAAATTATTTAAGAAATTCAACTGATCCTTTCTACAGTTTGAGCAGAATTTGGTACCTCTATTCATTGTTTATTGCTGTGTAACAAATTATCCCAAAATGTAGTGGTCTAAATTAATAAACATCATCTCATAGTTACTATGAGTTAGGAATTCATAAGTGGCTTAGGTAGATCAGGCTTGGGGTCCCTCATGAGATTGTAGCCAAGATGTCAGTCATCTGAAAGCTTGATTGAGGCTGGAGGATCCAGTTGCAAGATGGCGTATTCACTTAGCTGTTGGCAGAAATTCTTGTTTCCTGACCACTTGGATCTCTCCAAAGGGCTGCTTGAATGTCCTTAATTTGTGGCAGCGGGCTTCTCCCAGAACGACTGATCCAAAAGAGAGAGAGAGCAATGAAGAAGCCAAAATACCTTTTATGTCTTAGTCTCAAAAGTAACATGTTGTCACTTCCTCCACATTCTGTTCATTGGAAGCAAGTCACTGTTCCACCCTAGATAGAATAACAGCAAGCTGATTTACCCTCTTGCCTCAAACAATAAAAAAAAACTGGATAAAACCTATGAAAAACACTTTTCAAAACACTGGACATCACGCAGCAAAGAACAAAGCCCCCTGGGTGATAGGAAGTCAATGAGGTGAGACTTAGAATTGTTCCAGCTTGCAGATCACCTGAGGTCAGTAGTTCAAGACCAGCCTGGCCAACATGGTAAAACCCCACCTCTACAAAAATACAAAAATTATCCAGGCATGATGGCGGCTGCCTGTAATCCCAGCTACTCGGGAGGCTGAGGCGGGAGAATCGCTTGAACCCTGGAGGCGGAGGTTGTAGTGAGCCGAGGTCGCGCCACTGCACTCCAGCCTGGGTGACAGAGCAAGACTCCGTCTCAAAAAAAAAAAAAAGAATTGTCCCAGCTTACTGCCTTGAGAAAGTTTCTAAGCTACAATGCAGAGAGGGAGAACCTAGGGGCGGGTGCCAGTGGTTTCCTTGAGTCAAGGAGATGGATCTGGGACTTCAGAGAGACCAAGGTATTAATAGCTAGAGGAGAAGGAGCTACATACAGAACTCTATAAAGACCTGAAGAGGGTGCCCCTTGAGTATTCAGCAGAGTACTGATCAGTACATGCACATGAGGAAACTACCCAAGGCCAAAGAAGGAGCCACCCTGAAGGACTAGAGACAGTGGTACCTGATACTCACAACTGGAATAGTACCTGTTCATATCAGCCAAGCTGGAAATCCTCATAATTCATGATACATTGGATAGAGGACTCACAAAGATCTTGCCTCAGTAGTAGGGCATAAAATAGCCCAAGACTTAGTACTGCTCAAGACTACCTAACATAAACACAAGATCCTAAGTGTCAAACTGTTTCCAGGTAACTTAACTATCCCAGAACAAAGCTCAAGAATATTTATAGAAATACAAAACTATGTAGCACCCATCAAGGTAAAATTCATACTGTCTGACATTCAATCAAAACTTAAATAGGTGTGCAAAGAAGCAGGAAATTATGACTCATTATGAAGAAATTATTAATTAAAACTGACCCAGAAGTGACATAAATGTTAGAATTAGCAGATGAGGACATTAAGACAATTGTTATAATCGGGTTCCATGTGTTCAAAAAGCTAAGTGGAGATATAGAAGACATTTTAAAAGTTCCAAATCAAACTTTTAGAGAGGAAAACTACAATTTCTGGCATGGAAAATACACTAGATGGAATTATTGGCAGATTAGACATTACAAAAGAAAAGATTAGTGAGCATGAAGACATAGGAATAGAAACTATCCAACATGAAACACAGAAAGAAAATAATCATTTTTTTTAAATGGATAGAACATAATTGAGCTCTGGGGCAACTTCACGCCATCTGATATATGTGTAATTAAAGTCTCCAAAGGAGAGGAACAGGGGATAGAAAAAATACTTTTAAAAAATGGCCAAAATTTTTCTAATTTTGATAAATACTCCAAACCCACAAATTTAAGAAATCAATGAATGCCATGCACAAGAAACATGAAGAAAACTACATTAAGGCACATCATGTAAAAACTATTGTTAAAGATGAAATCTTGAGGCTGGGCATGGTGACTCACACCTATAATCTTAGCACTTTGAGAGTCTGAGGCAGGAGGATCACTTGAGCCCAGGAGTTTGAGATATATGTAGAGGAAATACCTAAGACAATTATATTATAAACAAAGCAGGGGAAAGTGATATAAAGGGAGGTAAGTTTTCTACACTTCATTTGAACTGGTAAAATGTTGACACCAGTTGACTCTGATAAGTTTCTATGTACAATGTGATAATTAGAGCCACCACTAAAAAACCTATACAAAGAAATACACTCAGAAACACCATGGATAAGTCAAAATAGGGTATTTTTAAAATATTCAAATAGCCCATTGGAAGGTATGTAAAAGAAAACAAAGAAACTAAAAACAGAGGGAACAAGCAGAAAACAACAAATAAATTGGCAGGCTAACATATCAATAGTTATATTAAATGTGAGTGACCTAAAAACATCAATTAAAAGAAAGGGCTTGGCAGAGTTGATTTTTTAAATGACCCAACTATATCCTGTCTAAAAGAAACTAACTTCAAACACATTAAATGTAGGCTGAAAGTAAAAGAATGGAAAGGGATATATCATGCAAACATTAACCAAAACAAAGCAGGAGTGGATTTATTAATATATCAGATGAAACAGATTTCGGATCAAAGAATACCAGGTACAGAGAGGGACATTAGACAATGATGAAAAGGTCAATCCACCAAGAAGATACAGAAATCCTAAATGTGTATGCATCAAACAACAGAAGCTATAAAATATGTGGAGCAAAAATTGATTGATCTAAAAGAAGAAATAGATAAATCCACAATTATAGTTGGATTCAGTGTCCCTCTCTCAACAATTATAGAACATCAATAAGGATATAGAAAAACATCAGCCAACAGGATCTAATTGACATTTATATAATACTCCACCTAACAACAAGCAGAATGCACATTCTTTTCAAGCACCCGTGGAACATTTGCCAAACTAGACCATACCATGGGCCATGAAGGAAAGAAACTTAAACAAACTTTAAAAATTGAAATCATGCATAGTATGTTCTCTGACACAATGAAATCAAAGTAAAAATCTATAACAGAAACATAACAGAAAAATTCCCCCAAACACTTGAAAACTAAACAACACACTTCTAAATAATCCATTGGTCAAAAAGCAAAATGTCAAGGGAAATTTTAAAAGACAATACATTGAACTGAAGGTAAATGAAAATACAAATATCAAAATTTGTGGGATGCAGGTAAAGCAGTGCTGAGAAGGAAATTTATGGCACTAAAATGCTTACATTAGAAAAGAGAAAAGTCAAATCAGTAATATAAACTCCCACCTCAAGAAACTAGAAAAGGAAAAGCAAAATGAACTCAAAACAAGCAAAAACAAGGATATAATGAAGAGCAAAAATAAGTGAAATTGGAAACAGAAAATAGAGAAGATCAATGAAAAGAAGTTGATTCTTTGAAAAGATCAATAAAATTAACAAACCTCTGGCAAGAATGACAAGGAAAATAGAAAAAGAAAATACAGATTACCAATATCAGGAATGAAACAGGGGAGTGTCATTATAGGCCCTTATTATTCCAAAGGATAATAAGAGAATACTACAGATACCTTTACATACGTAAATCTAACAACTTAGATGAAATGGACCAATTCCTTGAAAAGCACAAACTATCACAATTGCCCAATATGAAACAGATAGTTTGAATGGCCCTGTAACCATTAAAGGAACTGAATTCATAATTTTTAAATTTTGAAAAAGAAATCTTCAGACCCAGGTGGTTTTATTGAAGAATTCTACTAAACATTTAAAGAAAAATAACATCAATTCTACATAATCTCTTTCAGAAAATATAAAAGAAGGAAATACTTCCAAACTCATTTTATGAGGCTATTTTTTATCCCCAAAATAGACTAAGGTGGTACAAAAAAAGAAAACTGAAGACCGATATCCCTCATGAACATAGATGACATAAAACTTAACAAAATATTAAAAAATAGAATTCAGCAATTAAAAAGAATTATACAACATAACCAAGTAGAACTTATTTCAGGGATGCAAAATTGGTTCAATATTTGAAAATCAATCAAAGTAGTATACCATATTAAAAGGCTAAAGAAGAAAACCACATGATTATGTCAATTGAAGTAGAATAAGCATTTGACAAAGTTCAACGTCCACTCATGATAAAACCTACAGCTAATGCCATATTTAATGGTGAAAGACTGAATGCTTTCCCCCTAAGATTGAGACAAGACAAAGATGTCTGCTCTTAGTACTCCTCAGCATAGTACTAGAAGTCCTAGGCAGCACAATAAGGTAAGAAAAGGAAATAAAAGGCATGCAGCTTGGACACGAAGAAATGAAATTGTCCCGGTTTGTGGATGATGTGATGGGCTAATTAGAAAATCCCAAGAATTTTGTACTACCCTTTGAGGAGAAGTATGTCAAAGAATTTGTATACATATTTAAAACCACCATGGTTCCCTTCTGGTGATATACTAACACCTTAAGTCAAGTGGTAAGAGCCTGGATTTCTGAGAGGGAGCTCAATCCTCAGGTACTTCCTACTGGTAGTTTTGCCCTTATGAAATTGCCTCTATAGTAACCACCAACCTTCTCATTACAAATATACAAGGTATTTGTTGGTCATTTTCAGGCACTCAATTCAGACAAATCGCTCTATTTGCTAATATGTTAATAACATTAAGCTGATATTATGGAGTGCTTACTGCATACATGGCATCATGCTAAGTGTTTTTTCCATGACTTTCACTTTTATCCTAATATGTTTGCTTATTGATGTGTGTATTCAATGTAGTTTTTAAAATCTATTGTTATCTTTTAGCTTATAACTTTAAAAAGTATTTTAGATTTTATTTTCCTTTTTAATTGAGTATTTATGTAAGGAGCTGTTAAGTCAGTCAAATTGCTAGGAAGAAACAGATAGATGGCACACTCAAACCAAATAATTTTCAAAGAAATATAGAAGGGAATATTTACATAGGTGTGGGCAGAGTTTAGGTGGTGCAATAGCCATACCACCTCTAGGACTGAAGAGGAGGGAACTGTCTGAAGAGGGCTGCCTGACGGGATCTTTGGCCTTTGTTAAAGAAAAAGTTATTCATGACATTGTTAAATTATGGTAAGAAAGACTTTACTGAGGACCAACACAATAGGTATGTTGTTATGGTCCTAAATAAAGGGACCATAGCACTGGTCCCTTGGAAATCCATCAATAGGTATAAGGACCATGACAATGGGATGTTGCAATGGGAAAGAGAGATTGGGCTCAATTCTGAATATGGCACAAGCAAGTGGGAATATATAGCCAAGGAGCCTGTGGGGATCAGTGGATAGATAATTACTAAGAGGAAACATCAGGGGTAAGGGGAATTCTGGCTAAACTGACTTACAGGATTCTTGCTGAAAACAGGCCAGGGTGATCAGACATCACCTGGGGGATGGTGCAGGATGAGGAACCCAATCAGATACTGAGAATGATCAGACATTAAGAGTAGGGGATTCTCGCCAAACTGACTTAGCAGGGTTCTTTGCTAAAATGAAATTTTACAAGGAAGTGCACAGATGGGCCTAAGAAAAGGTTTAGAAGCCTGACTAAAATTTGATCAAGCAAAGAATCATGTTGCCTTCAGAAGAAGGATGCAGCCATCCCATGGCAATCTGGTGAGGAGGAAATCAGGAGATGAAATACCCTGACCTCACTTTCCTCCCACATGCAGATCTCCTGCTGGTGCCTCCCATTGACCAAAGCCAGCTGGAAGTAAGAGTGTGAATGACCTCATTGAATCAGTCCCTATGGATCACCTTCCTAGGGCACAAAATAGGGTAGAGAAAGTAGAGAGTGATCTGGAAGGGCAAATAGAAGATATCCAGTATAAGAGGTTTCTTAGGAAATGAGCCCATGTCCCAAACAAGGGTAAAAGGATTTTTTTTCCTCCTCAAGTGGCTATGTTATATCCTTCTGGCACTCCTCAGTACATTTGGACCTAGTTGAATCCCTTAATCTTTTAATCACTCCACTAGAAAAGGCAGACAGCTTTACACTAGAAACCACTGACTTGTCAGAAGCTCAACTAAGCTAGGAAAGAGCTGAGCTGTCATAGTAGCTGATTAACGACATCAAGCCTCAAATAAAAGGGTAAGCCTTTGATTATTTACAGTAATAGTATAAGCAAGAATCTAAACTGGAGAAAGTGCCTACTCGCCCTATTCCATTTCCTCCATGGAACTGTGCACTGGTTGAAGATAAGTGCAGACATGGGGATAGTTTCACTGTTGAAGGAGTCCCAAACAAAAGGCTCTAGCAATTTTATGCACCCTGGGGTTGAGGGGAGGGCAAGGAGGGAAGGCTAGGAGTGGAAAAGTACTGAGTAGTGACTCAGAGTAGGGAAAAGTGTCTTTAAGGCTTCCTTCTCCCTTCCGCCACAAGGAGGTCTTGACAGAGGGCCTGAGGAGGACTTGGCCCAAGGCCTCAGATGAAGAGAGCTAGAAATGAAAGTACCAGAGCTAGGAATACAAATATTCCAAGAACATGACCAGCTAGGGGTTCTGAATCCTTGACTGCAACTCCCTACAGAGACTGCAGTGCATTGGCTGTGCACCAAGTCTGGTGTGGCAAAGGCAGCTTTTTCCCCATGAGGTCTGCCAGGTAAATTATTTGTAATTGCCTATGGTCAGGCCTGAAAAAATCACACATAGGTTTTTAACCAGGAATCAGACTCCTCACTGGCTTCTCAGGAAAAATTGAAAGCCAAAATTTCTTTCCAACCGAACAATAAGTTCAACCCTAATTAAAAGCTTAAGAAAATTGCAGAAACAATACTATTACCTTACGTATAGAACAATCCAATCTTTGCTTACGGAAAAACATGACCTTAAATCCATTGTCACTGACCTATATAAATATTTGACATTTTCCATCTGCAGAAGCAGCTTAAAATATAAATGGAGAAAGATACCATGTGGGAAATCTTACTCAGAATGAATACCTCAATATATCCTCTCATATTTAATTTTTGAGTATAATCAAATAATTCTGAATGTTTTATAAGGAGTCATGAGAAGGGATTCATAATTAATATTAAAATTCCTTTTATATCCATTGTGCCGTTAATATAAATAATTTCAACCAGAATGATTCATTTCCCCTCAAAACAGGGTTTCAGAAGAATGCCCTTACTGTGAAGATCTTCCCAATTATTTTACTTTTTTATAATAAAAAACTTATTTAAATCATATATAATCTACAATGAGATATTAGGACTCAGAGTATTCTAATTTAGCTATAATACTCATTTTCTCTAATAGCTGGCATTCAAATGGAATCACTTCAAGGTGACAAGTAATAGAGATATAATATATTAAACAGCATAAAGGTAAACCCCAAGAAAGATAATATAATAAACTATAAGTTAGTGCTGCAATAAAGGGAGCGTAAGAGTAATAAGAGGAAATACACTAATTTTGTCATTTCTATAGTGGTGAATTGATAGATACTGCTAAAGATTAACTTAAGGGAATTACACAGAGTTATAAAGATAATCACTAAAGCAGAAATACAGGCCTTCCTAATCATGACAAGACAAACATACAGAAAAAATAAAAATAAAATATACAGTAAAGTGATTTTCTAAAAGCTGTAAAAATAAAGAGTATACCATAAAATAATATAACTAAAAACAAACATATCTGTCATATCAGATGCTTTTTAGAACTTACAGACAGACTTGATCACAAAGCAAATCTGTTGTTTTCAAGAGACACAGCTACAACAAAATGATTCAGAAAGGTTGAAAATAAAAGGGTGGGCAAATGTATACTAGGCAAAGGCAAACCAAACAAAGAGAATTACGATCAATTGCAGACAAGGTTGAATTTGAAGCAAAATGCATTAAATGAAACTAAGAATGGCACAATGGCACTTTAATGCTAGGGCAAAAACAGAGTAGAGTACGGAGTGATCAAGAAGGCACACTGAGAAATACCCTTTGACCCAGCAATCCCATTACTAGGTATATACCCAAATGAATATAAATCATTCTGTTATAAAGATACATGCACACATGTGTTTACTGCAGCACTATTCACAATAGCAAAAACTTGGAACCAACCCAAGTGCCCATCAGTGATAGGCTGGATTAAAAAAAAATGTGGTACATACACACCATGGAATACTATGCAGCCATAAAAAGGAATGAGATCATGTCCTTTGCAGGGACATGGAGGAAGCTGGAAGCCATCATACTCAGCAAACTAACACAGGAACAGAAAACCAAAGACGGCATGTTCTCACTCATAAGTGGGAGCTGAACAATGAGAACACATGGACACAGTGAGGGGAACAACACACACTGGGGCCCGTTGAGGAGGCGGGAGGAGGGAGAGCATCAGGACCAATAGCTAATGCATGTGGGGCTTAATACCTAGGTGATGGGTTGATAGGTACAGCAAACCACCATGGCACACGTTTACCTATGTAACAAACCTGCACGTTCTGCACATGTATCCCAGAACCTAAAATAAAATAAAAATTTTTTTAAGGTGCATTGAAGATATTTAGCATAGAAAGCTTGTTGGAAGGGGAGCCTATTAAAAATATATCAGTTTTGAATACCTATATACCAGCCTGGTGAGGTGGCTCATGCCTATAATTCCAGCACTTTGGGAGACCAAGGAAGGAGGATCACATAAGCCCAGGAGTTCAAGACCAGCCTGGGCAACATAGTGAGACCTCACCTCTACAAAAAAGTTTTTTAAAAGACATGGTGGTACATAGCTGTAGTCTCAGCTACTCAGGAGGATAAGGCAGGAGGATCACCTGAGCCCCAGAGGTTGAAGTTGCAGTAAGTCATGATTATGCCACTGCACTCCAGCCTAGGCAACAGAGCAAGGCCTTGTCTTAAAAAAAAAAAAAAAAAAGTTGTGAATCTCTTATCCAAAATACTTTAGACCAGAAGTGTTTCAGACTTTGGATTTTTTTGAATTTTGGAATATTTGCATGTACATAATGACTTAGGGATGGGACCCAAGTCCAAACATGAAATTCACTGGTTTCGTATATACCTTATATACACCATCTGAAGGTAATTTTATACATTTTTTTTTTTTGAGACAGAATCTTGCTCTGCCGCCCGGGCTAGAGTGCAGTGGCATGTTCTCAGCTCACTGCAATCTCCACCTCCCAGGTTCAAGCGATTCTCCTGCCTCAGTCTCCCGAGTTTCTGGGATTACAGGTGCCCGCCACCGCACCCAGCTAATTTTTGTATTTTCTGGTAGAGATGGGGTTTCACCATCTTGGCCAGGCTGGTCTCAAACTCCTGACCTCATGATCCACCCACTTGGGCCTCCCAAAGTGCTGGGATTACAGGCATGAGCCACCGCGCCCAGCCTATACAACATTTTTAAAATAATTTTGTTCATGAAACAAAGTTTTGACTGCAACCCATCACATGAGGTCAGATGTGCGGTTTTCCACTTATGGCCTCATGTTGGCCCTCAAAAAGTTTTGGATTTTGGAACATTTCAGATTCAGACTTTTAGATTAGGGATGGTTTACCTGTATTGGCAATATAATCCAGTGTCACATTAAAAGAATTATATGCCAAAAATTGAAATATGCTTTAATATTAGAAAATCTATTAATATAATTTACTATGTTAACCTATCTAAGGAGAAGCAACATCTTATGATCATGTTCATCTCTGTAACTTCTGAAAAAGCATTTGATAAAATTCAACATCCAATTTTGTTTTGTAAAAACTCTAATAAAACAGAAACAGATAGCTATTCTTTAGCATAATACATTTCTTTTTCAATTCAAGAGTTAGTATTGTTCTTAATGGAAAAACACTAAAGACATTCCCGTGCAAGATAAGGAAGTTTAGTATCATCACCATTATTTGAAAGTATTCTGGGCCATGAAGCAGCAGGATAGTAATGATGACACTGCAGATGTTTCACTAATTGATGCAGAAGAGGAGACAACTAATAGACCAAAAAAATCCAAAAATCAGATATTCAGTGGTATCGTTTTCCACTTATTCTTTCAAGTCAGTGCAATCATTGTCTATCTTCTCTGTGAGTTACTCAGCAGCAGCTTTATTGCCTGTATGATGACGATTATCTTGTTGTTGTCATGTGACTTTTGGGCAGCAAAGAATATCACAGGTAGACTAATGGTTGGCCTATGTTGGTGGAGTCACATTGATGAAGATGGAAAGAACCATTGGGTGTTTGAATCTAGAAAGTCTTCCTCTCAAGATAATAAAACTGTGTCAGAAGCTGAATCAAGAATCTTTTGATTGGGACTTACAGTCTGTGCAGTGCTTTGGGTGATATTTGCCTTTAGTGCCTTGTTCTCCTTCAGAGTAAACTGGTTAGCAGTGGTTATCATGGGTATGGTGTTAGCAGATGCCAACCTATATGGTTACATCAGGTGTAAGGTAAGCAGCAGAAATAATTTAACCAACATGGCTACCTCGTATCTTGTAAAGCAGTTTTTAAGACGAAACACTGGAGATGATCGGAGAAGCTTCCTGAATAGAGAAAGCTTATGTGCTTTGTTACATTGGGGAACAACTGAACAGATTCTTGACTCTGAACCTTTTGGAGCTTATTTGATGTCTCAATGAGGAGGATTGGCTTTGTTTTTCCACTTAAAAACTATTTATAAAAAGGAAAAGTAGTTTTCGTATTGTTTTTATTTCCTTTCCAGCAGTTGGGAATGGAAAGTATGTTGGCAGTAGAAACATTGTCAAGATTTGTTCTGTAGTGTATGTACATGTTCCATAGGTATGCGCATGGTCATGTAATATCAATATATCCCAAATTAATGAAAGAGTTTATTTATATATATAAAATGGAGACCTTTGCATTTTGATCCATAGAACATAGGAGGATGTTCTTAGTTTATCTCAAAGCTCTATGTGTTTATATATTATTTCTGTAGAGTATTTTCAGAAGTAAGTTTTGCTTTCATGGTAAGAGTGAGTGATTTGACTTATGTATAAATGAGAAATAATTGTTAGATTTTAATATGCACTTCATGGAGAAATTTCTTAGACAAATGCAAGCAAGTGAAAACCAAATTAGGGCTAGTGGTATTAACTAGTTTCTAAAATGTTATTTTTATTTGCAAGAAGTCATTTACTTACAGCCCAGGTAATATGAATGGAATCATCATAGTTTATGTTTAAGGGATACCCAGAGATTCCTGCTGTTCTATTTATTTTACAGAAAAGATGGCCAGATTTTTCTTTAGAACTTCCTGAAAGCTCTTCAGTGGACCTTGAGCTAATAAAATCTATCTTTTACCACTAAAACAATAAAAATAAAAATAAAAGTATTCTAGATATTTTCACTGATGTAGTGATACAAGAAAAAGAAATTAGGGTATGAAATGAGAAAAGAGGAGATTAAATTGTTATTTGCGGATTATTTGATTATCCAGAAAGCCCAAGAGAATCCACTAGGAAATTATTTGAAACAACAAAATAATCCACAGCAAAATCAACACAGATATTTGTACTCTTTATATGTCTAAGAGCAACAAGTTAAAAGTTATAATGGAAGAAAATTTTTCATCACAATAACCAAAATGATCAAATACTTATGAATGAAATGAACAATAAATATGCAAGATTTATATGACTTAAAATACTATTGATATATTTACATTAATAACAATGTTATATGTCATAAATATATATAGTTTTCCTTTTGCCAATTAAAAAATTGTTCAATACTATTGAGAAACACAAAAAGAGACTTGAACAAATAAAAAGCCATTCGTTTTTGGGAAGACTCAGATGTCAGTTATCCCTAATGTACAAATGTAATGCAATTCCCAAAAATTATAAAATTTCCAACAGGAGAACTAGACATTCTGCTAGTAAAGTTCAAATTTTAAAAGAAAGAATATCCAGGGACTATTCCTATCAGATATTAAACAGATATTCAAAACGATGTGATACTGGAGATTGAAAAGACAGATTGTAATGGAATACAATTTAAAGTTCATTTTAAAAAATATATGTGGGAACTTATTGTGTAATAAAGATAGCATTTAAAATGAGTTGGGAAAAAGGCTATTAATAAATGTTTGGATCAGCTGGATAGCCATATGGGAAAAATAAAGCTAGATCCATACTCACAGCATCTACCAGCATAGATTCCTGATGGAGCAAAGTATAAAAATAAACTATACAAGTACTAGAACAGATTGTATTAGTCTGAGTACAATCAGGAAACAAACCACACAGTGATTTAAACAAGGAAAGTTTGTGTAAAAAGTTTTAATACAGGCTGGGCGTGTTCGTTCATGCCTGTAATCCTAGCACTTTGGGAGGCCAAGGAGGGAGGATTGCTTGAGGCCAGGTGTTCACAACCAGCCTGAGCAACATAGTGAGACCTCATCTCTACAAAAAATTTAAAAATAAAAAATTAGCCAGACATGGTGGCCTGCAACTGTAATCCTAGCTACTCAGGTGGCTGAGGCGAGGGGATCCCTTGAGCCCAGTGCCATGAGCTATGATTGCATCACTACTGCATTCTAGCCTGGGTGACAAAGCAAGATCCTATCTCAAAAAAAAAAAAAAAAAAAACTGAAATATAGCTTAACATATTAAACTATGATAATAGATTACCTATAAGATATAAGGGAATTTATATGGTACCCTAGGGCTAAGGGAGAGATCCTAAGGAAAGTCAAACTTGAAAGGGGGACTCCCTTCCCGAGGCTGGGGTTCACACCAAATTGCAGAATGTGTATTTGTAACCCACTGGATGGCAGAGTTCACTAGTTTGTCAAGGCTAAAGTTGGTCTGCAGTTCCTGGGAAAGCAGGAAGCTACTCTCCAGTGATAGGTGAGCTACAGTGGTGGCTGGGCTTACAGGCATGCAGAGAGAGTGTAGGCAGGATGCCCAGAATACGTATTCTCCATGTTGGAAGAGCAGTAGCATTGAGATGGCCACAGGAGACAAACTTCTCACGGGGAGGAACAAGTAAGCAAAGGGAATTAGGCATTAGTACAGGCAGGAGGCCTGAATCATATGGTGTCCATGTTGAAAGGGCTGCAGAAAGGCGATTACTAGGCCAGGCAGGGCTATGAAGTCACTGAAAGACTATGAATTCTGAATGCATGGATGGGTCACCATTAGGTGTCCCTATACCCCACAGCTGACCCACAGTATGCTGCATGTAACAATAGGAGAGCCTCTTTATGTCCCTCCAGTGCCCTTTACTAAGAAAACTTAACATTGTGCTCACTGTAAAAGAGAAATGCTTAAAGGAATTTATCACAGAGCATGTACTGAAGGATGAATTTGGAGTTGAGAGGCAATAAATTAATAATTAATACACAGACCATGGGGAGAAAATAATAGGAATGGCTTTTCTAAGCATAATATAAAACCAAAAAATCTAAAAATAAAAGATTAATAATATATAAAAACAGAAAATGTATGCTTGGAAAAGAACACACATGCAAATTCTAAAGATAAATAGCTATGAGGAAAAATATTTGCTTCTCATATCATGTAGAGTTAATTTTCTACATACATAGAAAACTCCTACAACTCAGTAAGAAAAAAACATTCAATAACTCAGTAGAAAATGAGGATGGATATACACAGTCAGTTTTCAGAAAAGAAAATATAAATGACATTGAGACATGAAAATACATCAACCTCATTCATAGTAAGAGAAACCCAAATATGCAGAGATGTCACTTTCCACCTATATGATTGGCAAAAATTTTCTGTGACACATTTTCATGAGAATTTGAAGAAATAAGCATGCTTATATGCCATTTGTCAGTGTATAAATCGACATTATAGAGGGCAATTTGGTGACAGTATCACAATTTACATATCTTTTAAAGTAGCAAATTCACTTCTAGGACCTTATCCTACATATATATTTACACATGTACAAAAATAACTTAAGTACAAGATTATTCATTTTAGCACTGTTTGCAGTAACAAAAGATTGGAAACAAACTGAATGTCTGTAAATAGGGGATTGGTTACATAAAATCACGGTTCATCCATTAATGGAATACTCTATAATGATGTGAAATGATTGCTCAAATACAATAATCAACAAAAGCAAGATACAGAAAAGTATTGCCATCACTTCTATTTAGGGAAGAAAAATGATAGAATTACATATCCTTTTGAATTTCAAACCCTATGAATGTATGTATTCAAAACACATAAATATTAAAAATACATTTATGCTGATAAAATACCAATTTATATATAGGGAGTCTTTGTAAGATTTGATTTTTTATAAAGGGAATTCTGATTTTCTTTTTAAATATTTTTAATCCCCTCCCTAAACTGCATTCTGGTTTCTTGACCTGACCTCCAATGAAACATCAATCTAAGTTATCCTAACTGCCTAGGGCCATATTATCTATCTATAAGATAACCCAAAAAAGTTCATGTATGAAAGCCCAGAAATAGAATTCTTGAAGATTTTGTCAAGCCAAGGCATTTACATGATGTCCAACAAATATTAGCCATACTCAAGTGTTCTAGGTCAATAATATATGTCTACTGATTCCTGGAGTTTACCCAATTATTACCAATTTTTTATCCCTTATTTCTCTAACTTGACTTTCTGATAACCAACTAGAATGTGCCACAGCTTTACAGCCTCTGAAATCCTCTTCACCTTTACTTTAATGCTGGCTTATGCTGATCTAGCACTAGCCTGCTTATGCCTTTGTGACCAATCCCTCCAACAATGATATGAGTGTCAGCCTATTTCAAGACAACTCTATAGATAGATGATACACAGAGAAAAGACTTAAATTTTACATAAATGAGATAATACTATGCCTGCTGATTCCATTATCTAATTTTTTTTAATTAACAGTATATTGTAGGCCAGGTGTGGTGGCTCACGCCTATAATCCCAACACTTCGGGAGGCAAGTTGGGAGGATCGCTTGAGCGCATGAGTTCGAGACCAGCCTGGGCAACATAGCAAGACCTTGTCTCTACTAAAATTTTAAAAATTAGCCAGGTGTGGTGGTTCATGCCTGTAGTCCCAGCTACTCCAGAGGCTAAGGAGAGAGAATCGCTTGAGCCTGGGAGTTTGAGGCTGCAGTGAATCATGATCACGCCACTGTACTCCAGCCTGGGTGACAGAGCGAGACCCTGTCTCAAAAAAAATTAATTAGTTTAATTAAATAAAACATAAGTTAAACCAGTTTCAACCTTAGCTGCACATTAGATTTGCCTGAGGAAGTTTTAAAATATATCAGTGCGTGGAGCCCACCTGATAAAATTTAAATGTCTGAGGGTATGTCTCAATGCCTCAAACTCTCTCTCTCTCTTTTTTTTTTTTTTTATAGACAGAGTCTGGCTCTGTTACTCAGTCTAGAGTACAGTGGCACAATCTCAGCTTACTGTAACCTCCACCTCCTGGGCTCAAGCCATTCTCCCACCTCAAGTCCCAAGTAGCTGGAACTACAGGCACGGGTCACCATGCCTGGCTAATTTTTATATTTTTTTTAGAGACGGGGTTTCACTATGTTGCACAGGCTGGTCTTGAACTCTTGAGCTCAAGCAGTCTGTCCACCTCGGCCTCCCATAGTGCTGGGATTACAGGCGTGAGCCACTGCACCCAGCCCTTAAACATTATTTTACTCTCAATTATTACTGTTTTTAGGTATGCATATTAGAGATGACATACAGTGGAATTTTTCAATCTAGTCCAATAATTTGTTTTTTAGCTGGTATATTTTAGGAAGTAAGTTTGTATTTATTGTAATTACTGACCTTATTATTATTAAGATTATTCTGATTATCTTACTTGGTGTTTACTATTTGTCCTGCCTTTTCTTTGCTTGCTTCTCCCATTTACTATCTGATTTTGGGTTTGTTTTTTTTTTTTCCACTCTATTTTTTTTTAAAGTGTATAATCTATTTATTTTCTTTTAGGGGTTGCCCTAAATTAATTGGTATCTCTACCCTTCACTAAACAATACCTTAGAATGCTTTAACTCCGATCATCTCCCTCTCATCGTGCATATTTTTGCCCCTGTATTTTACCCCCAAATTAGACATTACTGCTATTGTTTTATACAGCTAATATTTATTTCATTTTACTCATATATTTACCAATTTATTTGCTTACCCTTCCTTCTTGCATATCAGACCATTTCTCTGTGATCAGTTACCCTCTCTCTTCCTTGAATTATATCCTTTAAATCAGCACCATTTACTAGATATGTAATGTGAGCCACACATATAATACAAATTTTTCTATTAGCCACCTTTAAAAATAGAAAAAAAAAAAAAAAAAAAAGCAGGCAATGGCCGGGCGCGGTGGCTCACGCCTGTAATCCCAACACTTTGGGAGGCCAAGGCGGGCAGATCACCTGTCAGGAATTTGAGACCAGCCTGCCCAACATGGCGAAACCCCGTCTCTACTAAAAATACAAAAAAAGCCAGGCATGGTGGCAGCCACCTATAATCCCAGCTACTCAGGAGGCTGAGGCAGGATAATCGCTTGAACTCGGGAGGCGGGGTTGCAGTGAGCCAAGATCGTGCCACTGCACTCCAGCCTGGGCAACAAGAGCAAAACTCTGTCTCAAAAAATAAAATAAAAAATAAACAGGCAAAACAAATTTTAATATTTTATTTGTCCTGACATATCCAAAATATCATTTCAGTATGTAATCAATATAAAAATTTATTGAATTTTTTATATTGTCTTTTTTTTTAATTTTGAGATGGAGTCCCACTGTGTGGCCCAGGCTGGAGTGCAGTGGCATGATCTCAGCTCACTGCATCCTCTGCCTCCCAGGTCTAAGTGATTCTTATGCCTCAGTCTCCCGAGTAGCTGGGATTACAGGTGTGCACCACCACACCCGGCTCATTTTTGTATTTTTTTTTTTTTTTTTAGTAGATGTGGGGTTTCACCATGTTGGCCAGGCTGGTCTCGAACTCCTGACCTCAAGTGATCCACCCACCTCAGCCTCCCAAAGTGCCAGGATTACAGGCTTGAGCCACCGCCCCCAACCAATATTAAACTTTTTTATGTTTGTTTGTTTTTTGAGACGGAGTCTCGCTCTGTTTCCCAGGCTGGAGTGCAGTAGCGCGATCTCGGCTCACTGCAAGCTCTGCCTCCCGGGTTTACGCCATTCTCCTGCCTCAGCCTCCCGAGTAGCTGGGACTACAGGCACCCGCCACCATGCCCGGCTAATTTTTTTATTATTATTATTTTTTGTAGAGACGGGGTTTCACCTTGTTAGCCAGGATGGTCTCGATCTCCTGACCTCATGATCCGCCCACCTCGGCCTCCCAAAGTGCTAGGATTACAGGCGTGAGCCACCGCGCCCGGCCAATATTATCTTTTTTACTACTCTTCAAAGTCTTATGTGTATTTTACATGGACAACAAACCTTCAGTTAGAGTAGCCACGTCTCAGATAATAACCACAGGCGGCCAGTGGCTGCCATATTTGACAGAGGCCCGGCTGGATCAGTTGTTAATCTGTGCCTCTCATTTTGCCAGCTGGGAAAGTGCTGCTTTTCTGGTGCTTTTTTGTTTTTTGGGGTTTTTTTTGAGACGGAGCCTCGCTCTGTCGCCCAGGCTGGAGTGCAGTGGCGCGATCTCTGCTCACTGCAACCTCCACCTCCCGGGTTCATGCCATTCTCCTGCCTCAGCCTCCCGAGTAGGTGGGACTACAGGCGCCCGCCACTACGCCTGGCTAATTTTTTTTTTTTTTATTTTTAGTAGAGACGGGGTTTCACCATGTTAGCCAGGATGGTCTCTATCTCCTGACCTCGTGATCCGCCTGCCTCGGCCTCCCAAAGTGATTGCAGGCGTGAGCCACCGCGCCCGGCCTTTCTGGCGCATTTTTAAGGTGTGTTTCTCTATTCTGGAGCTGACTCCTAGAGCCCTCAAGCTGGATTTGAAGGAGAAGCTGTTTGGACAGCATGTTGCCGCGGAAGTGATTCTCAAGGCACTGACTGGCTTCAGAAGCAACAGAAATTCCTAGAAACAACTAATTCTTTCCTTACGTGGCTGAGCTGGCATAGGCAAGAATTTTGTCAGCCAAATTGTGGCTGAACGTCTTCACTCAAAAGGCCTGAAGAGTAACTCTCCACCTATTTGTACTAACTCTGTACTTCCCTCATGAGCAAAAGATAAAAAACTGTACCAGGCAGGAGAACCCAGCATTATCTTGTTCACAGGCCATTTGGACTGGTCTGGGCAAACTGCACTAACTCTGGCCTCTGCTTCTCTTTTCTTTGCATTGCAGTAGCCCCAGGCTCCACTGAGTTAAGACACACTTGAACCCAAATTTCCCAACTCCCAGTTTACATGGTAGTCACATTCTCCAATGAATGAATGCACTCAACATTCCCACAGAGCATTTGGTGTTAGGTGGGGGTTGTTCAGCAGGTTGTTTGGGCATGGGGTCATTTAATGCTCTCCACCTATGATGCAGCCTCAGCCTTGCCTCTGCATGTTGCAATGTAGATTAGAGGATTTCTTTTCTTCTAAACACCTTTTATTCCCTTTGTTCCTCTCATCTTTCGAGTCCTTGGCATTGCTTTCTTCAAAGAAAGCCTCAAATAACTGAACATTGACACTGTTTCTCCTTTTCAGATATTCCTTCCACATTTAATTTGTATTACATTATCTAGGAGGGTTCATTCTCATTTAAATGAATGTCGTCCTTGTCAAGGTTAATATTCCCACTATTAGGTGGGGACTGAAATAAGAAACAGAAACTTAACTGAACAAGGAAGTGAAAGTGAGTGTTTGCCACACAAACTGTAAGATAGAGAAGACTGCCAAAATCAGGAATAATTTTCTTATTTTTCACATTTTTTCGTAAATCTCTAGAAATATAGTAAAATAAATAAGGATGTATCTGGGGGAGTTTCCTGGTCACAACCTTTTTACATTGTGAGGTTGAGAGCTTGTTGCCTGGGTGTCTTTTTGTTCCAAGAATGTATCAGAATAAATGCTTTTCATGAGATGTCACCTAGGTCAACTCCTTCATTCATTCCGTCAGTACAAGGCATTGGTCTCGGGCACTGTGCAAGTCTTAATCTAGTTCCTTATTCTTCAATATGTCTGGTAATATTAAGTTGAGATTTTGCTTCACAGTGAGATGAACACTATGGATTAGTTAACGGTGAATGATAAATATTTATGTATCTTGTGTCTCTTATACCTTTAAAAAAGTCACATTTAACATGTCATTTGAGTTAGGAAAAAACTTCCTTGCATTTTAGCACCTATCTCTCTGCCAATTTCAACTTTGTATAGATAAAGTTTTGGAAAAACTTACCCACTGAATGGAGGTGAGAGTGCAGTTTCCTAGAGTTCTTCCCCAGGGAGCTCTGATCTTAAGTCTTTTAGAGCATGAAGAGCAGCATAGTGCTTCTGCTCCCTCAGAGCATCCTTTGAGCCTCCCCATCCCATTTCATCTTTTATGGTTGGTCTAGGACCAGTTACAGAAGTGGATTCATGGTAATGTGAGTGCATATTCCAGCTATTTTCATATTTGACAAGATGCATAAATTCCACCCCCAGGGTTGTCAACACAATCAGTCTGTTTCTAGACCACTACAAAAAGGTTTTTACCAAAAAGCCATCTTCATCTTTCCCAGAAACATAGACAGGGACCTCATAACTGAGATAGCTCTTGACTTTTGGTGGGTAGGAGGAAGGAGGGAAGACATTTAGCTGAAGGACCTGGAACCTGTGCCGTCTGATAGTCTTCAATAATAAGCACAGTGGTCTGTGGTGCAATGGACTGATCAACAAAACCTTAATCAATTACTTTACCTTTTTCCTGCCGATGAAGTACAGACGTGAAAATATGCATGAAGGCAGAGATGAGGGCCCATGGTTCTGCTATAGATGAAGACATTGTCACAAGAGTGGCAGAGGAAATGACGCTTTTCCCCAAAGACAAGAAAATCTACTCAGTCAAGAGCTGTAAGACTGAACAATGACAGCTAGATTTCCACTGAGCTCTTAACCAGATGGGATAAGAGGGATTTGGGAGGCTCAGCACACGAGGGACCTTGCCTTTCAGAGGCATTTTGAAGACTTCTTTGGGGTTTGGCACATTTGCACCTGTGAACTTTCGGGATATAGAAGTTTCTAAGAATTGGTTTTTGAAAAGACACTAATCTGTCAAGTGCACTTGTCATTTTGCAACATGACATCAATCCAGCTGTTAATTGCAGTTAAAGATAAACTATAAAATCCCCTTCACACTTATTGTTGCTGACTTTGACAGAAGTGCCTGGAAACAGCTGTGCAAGGGAGGCCTGAGGATCGAGGATTGTTTCTGACCCACAACACCCACACCTCAGAAGCTACTGTTGTGACTGAAGGGGTTCAAGGGCCCTGCTACAGTCTGAAGAGCATTAGGTTTTCACCTGCTAAAAACATTCTTCTGCTGTTTCTTTTTCTTCACACAGAGAGGGTTCACTGACTTGTATTTTCAGTTTAAATTGGTGGCACTTGACAGGTACAGGTGGTGTCTGGTGGGAGGACATGGCCCTGCACGCTGAGCACTCTTGGCCTGGGGTGAACTGTCTGCATGTGGGGTGGGAGCTCCATCTGAGGTCTCTGCAGAGCAGGGCAGACAGGTCCATTGCTGTGGCTGCTGATTACATCTGTGATCATGGAATTCCTTCACCCATCTCTCACTTGATATCACTTACCCACTTGCCTTCCTTGTACCACATCTTCTCCTGACCTTCACTTGCTACTAAATTCCCCCCAACCATATCATCATAGAAGCTAATCAGAATAAGACTGTAGCTTCAAATTTGAGTCCTTGGTTCCTAAGGTTAAACGTTTGCTGTTACCTTTAAAATATGGGTCAATCTCTTGCTTTACTCCAGAGAACCATTTGAAATTCACAGGACATGCACATTCTCCATAGTTGACATGTGCACAGACTAAGCAGTCAGTTTGCAGATTCGGCATTGCCAAAGAAGTGGGAGTATTAAACACTAGAAATGCTAAGAGTTTTCAAGGATTTGTATATTTATTATAATGTTTTTACTTCTGAACCTTCGATAATAGAAATATAGAACATTGCTTATTTTAAAACATGAGAAGGGCACAAAATGGAATAATTGCTTATTTTTTCCCAGACACTCTTAAAACAAATGGTATGAATTTTTTTAACTTTTATTTTAAGTTCAAGGGTGCATGTGCAGGTACATAAGTAAACTTGTGTCATGGGGGTTTGTTGTACAGATTATTTCATCATCCAGGTATTAAGCCTACTACCCATTAGTTATTTTTTCTGATCCTCTCCCTCCTCCCACACTCCACCCTCTGACAGGCCCCAGTGTGTGTTGTCCCTTTTTATGTGTCCATGTGTTCTCATCATTTAGCTCGCACTTATAAGTCAGAACATGCAGTATTTGGTTTTCTGTTCCTGCGTTAGCTTGGAATTTTTATTGTTAAATCCATAGTAATATGTCATCACAATTGTAGACACAAACAAGCTTAGTCCGAAGTTGTGGCTGGTTCTGGGTGTCATCTAATGACACCCTATATGACATCACCAGGCTGGACTGCCCTGATCACTGAGAAGTAAGGCTTAGATTCCAGCTATTTTGAATCATTCTGTGTCTGTCCTATAGTTGTAGTACAACTGCAGACACATAATTAGAACAATGGTGTAGCATTTTTGTATATAAAATGTAATAGAATGAATTTGTGACATCAAAATGCCTTGTAGGGTATCACATTTAGTCTTTTAAAATACCAAGGTGAGGCTTAAAATTTTTAGTACATATTCTCAAATTGGAGTTAAGTTACATTTCTTTTATAGCCTTTTGGGTATCTGGTCAAGAGAAAACAAGATTTTTCTCTGTTTATAATGATGCAATAAACTCAACCCATGTTGGCCACCAAATAAATAAAATAGGAATAAAAATTGATACTGAATGTTGTGTCATTCGATCAGTAATTATTTTATTTATTCACACAAACCTGAGCTAATTGAAAGAAGAGCCCAGCTTGTCCATGCCATTAAGAGGAATATTTCCAATTATTAAGAGAAACATTTCCAATTAAAGCTATGCTTAATGCCAATAATTATTTCTCAAAATTTGTATATACATGTTGTTTTAATAAATTGTATATGAATGATAATTCTAATAATAACTCAATCTAGAGTGCCCCTTAGAGCCTATGCTCATAGGAAACTTAGAACTCTTGCAAAATATAGCTGTTTTAGATGCAGAGAAGTATGATGGGATGATCAATAAAAGGTTGCCAAGCATAAAAATTCTTTTACATTATGATAAAACTCTCAGGGAAAGTGAAATGGAAATATGAGTTCAAGGAGAAAAAGGAACAATCTAAATTTCTATCTCTTGGGAAAAAAAGAGCTTGTTCATGTACTTTTAACACTGAATAATGGTGAGTATCAAATCACCATGGCATTTAGATTCAATTGGACTGTTTTGAAGAGTTATATTATAGTTTTATTTTTAAATGTTGATATTTAAAATATGCAGGAAGTTACATCGTTAGCAACCACTTATAAAGTTGGAATTTTAAAATATAGATGTTCACTTAAAAATGCATAAGGGGGTACATTGTTTCTCAGATTCTTTTAGTGGGTACATGAGAAGAAATGCTTAAAGCCTACTAGGCTACACCTGTGGTGTGATTTCTTCTAATTTCTTTCTCGGATAGTTTTCTTATTTTCCTTTCTAGATTACAAGTTTTCTTTGTGTAAGAATTATATGCAATTCCTTGTGTTTTCACCCCAAAGACTTGGGGAGAGAAGAATATATCAACTGTGGAGCTAAGCCCAGGAAGGTGTTGACTTAAGCAGTCTTTGTATTCTGGCAGGTTTACAGCTCATGCTCATGGATTTTATGTGCATTACAGATATCACTCAGTTCTGCTCTATGGTCAGGAAGGTGTCCCCATCCCAAAATATAATTCTTCCCCACCCCCCACCTGCTATTGATGCATGGAATCCCTTCAAATGATGTCACAAATCTTCAGTCCACATTTATCAAAATGCATATATCCTTAGGAGAAGTAACATTGACCTAGTATCAGATTAAATTAGTTGACTCCTAAGAGCAAGTTTTTATAAAGGTAGATGAGGAGAACCAAAAGGTCGCTTGTCTCGGTTTAACATGTTGGCTCCTTAAGCTGACTGCAGACTAACCCAAATATCTCTTCTTTACTGAAGTTATCCTAAAGAGCGTATTAGATAGGACGTATGAATTCTGAAGTGATCAACCACATCAAAATTCTCACTTCTGGGAAAACCTCATTTTTAAGTAGAGAAGCTTTTGGTGCCTAGACTGACTAAGAAATGAAGATGATGTCTAAGGTGAACACTGTCTGGCCTCCAGTTTGCAGGTCACCCCAAAGTAAAACTAAGCAGTCACACAACTGGATTTCCCTTTGTGTGAGTGAATGAGTTAAAACACTTCCTTTCATGTTTCTGGTAACTCTAAGTAATCAAAACCTTTATGGCTGCAAATTTTCCTTCTGCTAGTGTAGGGAAGATTTTGGTGCAGTGGCTAGAACACAATAGGAATTCAGTAGATGTTGGTCAAATAAATTTTCAGGAAGGGAAGGAACTTCTGAGGAATTATTTATAATAAATTTAGACTGCCAATTAATCTGAAACCTGGTCCCTAAAGACTTGTGTCTTTGATTCGTTTTTCTCTGCAGCAAGTGAAAGGGAACTTTGCTAGGTTGCAGACCTGCATCTCAGAACTCCGCATGTTACAGAGAGAAGGGTGTTTCAGATCACAAGGTGCTTCTCTGCGGCTGGCAGTAGAGGATGGGCTCCAGCAATTCAAACAATACAGCAGACATGTGACCACAAGGGCAGCTCTGACCTATACCTCCCTGGAGGTAAGTGATGCTGGCCTTTAGGACTCCAAGCTGTGTTCCGATTTCAGTCCATATAGGTCATTGTTTATCATCTTTACATTGTTCTATCTTTCATTCACTCTAGATGTAATATTCAAAGCAAGATTTTCAGCTCCCTACAGGCAGAGGACATGTTTCTCTTCTTCCTATAACCTGTACAGTTCTTAATGTAGAGATAGTTATAGAGAAGAGCTCTAAAAATACAGACTGAAGTGAATTATGAGGAAAAACTGAAATAAAAATAAAATCTGAATATGCCATCTGCCTCTGGATTTTTGGAAGTTGTAAAGAAAATGTTAAACTGCCTACATTGGTAGCTGTATTTATATTTACCTTGGTACTCTTAGGAATTTACAGTTGTTTTTAATCAAATCTTGGCATCAAATTGAGGAACTTTTCTCGGGATTAGCAAGTGTGCAAATACAAGAGTGCCAGACTGAGCCAATCTTAAAAATATAAATAAGGGCATGGCTGGATACTCCATTGGGTACATGAGTAAGTGTGAGTTAAGACAGTTTCGGTCTCTTGTAACCTCAGGGATCAAACAGACAGGACAAAAAATAATCGTGTGGGATTGCTGGTTTCCAATTCTTCATGTAAGGAGCTTGGAAGTTGCCACTCCATCCTAACAACTAGTAAAAAGCTTAACAAACTAAAAAATCAACAATATTTTTTAGATCCCTGAGAAGTGAGGTCACAGGGCAAACTGTTGCATCCAAAATGGGAGAGACAACCAGGCAAATACAGAGAATCACAACATACTGGAACAGAAACCTCCACAGGAACCAGTGCTAGAGTAGGAAACTGTCATTGACATTGCTACAGGCTAGGTGTAGACATGTCTAAAATTCTAGGAGAGGATGAGCATTGTGGCTCACACCTGTAATCCCAGCACTTTGAGAGGCCAAGGCAGGAAGATCACCTTGAGGCCAGGAGTTCAAGAGCAGCCTGGACAGCATAGCAAGACTCCATCTCCACAGAAAATAAAGATTAGCCAGGCTTGGTGGTGTGCACCTATAGTCCTAGCTACTTGAGAGGCTGGGGCAGGAAGATGGCTTGAGCCCAAGAGTTCAAAGTTGCACTGAGCTATGATCATACCACTCCACACTTTTGTGAGTTTTACCTCCAGGAGCTCAACCAAGTCCTCTTGTAAACATCGGGGGAAAATTCCCTCATGCCTCTGACAGGGAGAAGGAAAAATGAACCATTTTGAAATATACCAGAGCACTCTGTTATTAACAGGTATAATGAAACTACCCTAACAGGTAGTTACTCAGGAGAAACTAGTTAAACAGAACCTAACCCTTAACCTCCTGGGATTTTATCAGAGTCTAAATGACCTGGAAGAAGGGAAATACCAAACTCCAGCCAGCTGTATCCTTCAATGTAGCAGAAAGGAATACTCAACTTCAGCCCACTCTAGCCATCCTGTCCCACCTAAGTAGGGAGAGAAAAAACTGAGGAACACTTGTAAAGTTCACAGTCCAGAGGCATAAGTTCACTAAAAGACTGAGACCTAATCATACTTCCCCTCCCTCTATCCCTTACCACACATTACTAAAGGCCTGCTTATAGCAGTTCCTTTAGCCTGGAACATCATGTACAACTATGAAAAGCGTACTAAAAGACAAAAAAACACAGTTTGAAGAGACAGCAAGCATCAGAATTAGACATGGCAGAGACACTGGAATTCTCAGACCACAGAATTTAAAGCAACTATGATTAATATGCTAAGGGCTCTAATGGATAAAGCAGACGGAATGAAAGAACATATGGGCAATGTAAGCAGAAAGATGGAAATCCTAAGAAAAAATAAAAAAAGGTGCTAGAGATCAAAAACATTGTAATAGATGTGAAGAATGTCTGTGATGGGCTTATTTGTAGACCTATGGCTGAAGAAAGAATCTTTGAGTTTGAGGATGTATCAATAGAAATGTTCAAATCTGAAAAAGCAAAGAGAAAAAAAAACTGGAAAAAAAACCCAGAGCAGAATATTCAAGAACTGTGGGACAACTATAAAAGGTACGACTTACATGTAACGGGAATACCAGAAGGAAAAGAAAGAAAGAAACAGAAGAAACATTTGAATAATAATGACTGAGAATTTCTTAAAGTCAGACACCAACCCACAGATCCAGGAAGCTCAGAGAACACCATTAAACCACATGCTCCTGAACAACCAGTGGGTCAATGGAGAAATTAAAAATGAAGTTTAAAATCTTGAGTCAAATGAAAATGGATATACAATATACCAAAACTTATGAGATAGAGCAAAAGAGGGAAGTTTATAGCAATAAACGCCTACATCAAAAAAGAAGAAAGATATCAAATAAACAACCTAGCATTGCACCTCAAGGAACTAGAAGAACAAGAATAGACTAAACCCAAAATTACTAGAAGGAAAAAAAATAGTAATGATCAGAATAAAAATAAAAGAAATAGAGACTTAAAATAGTACAACACTTTGGGAAGCTACGGCAGGAGGATTGCTTGAGGCCAGGAGTTTGAGACCAGCCTTGGTAACATAGTGAGATCCCATCTCTACAAAAAATTTTTTAAATTACCCAGGTGTGGTGCACATACCTGTAGTCCTAGCTACTTTGGGAGGCCGAGGTGGAAAGATTGCTTGAGCCCAGGAGTTTGAGGCTGCAGTGAGCTATGATCACACCACTGCATTGCAGCCTGGGTGACAGAGCAAGACCTTGTCTCTTAAAAACAAACAAAAACATAAAAGTTCAATGAAAAAAGAACTGGTGGCCGGGCGCAGTGGCTCACACCTGTAATCCCAGCACTTTGGGAGGCCCAGGCGGGTAGATCACGAGGTCAGGCGATCGAGACCATCCTGGACACGGTGAAACCCCATCTCTACTAAAAAATACAAAAAATTAGCCAGGCGTGGTGGTGGGTGCCTGTAGTCCCAGCTACTTGGGAGGCTGAGGCAGGAGAATGGCGTGAACCTGGGAGGCGGAGCTTGCAGTGAGCCGAGATCGCGCCACTGCACTCCTGCCTGGGCGACAGAGTGAGACACTGTCTCAAAAAAAAAAAAAAAAAAAAAAAAAAAAACACTTTTTTGTTGTTGTTTTTTTTCTGTCTGTTTTTTGTTTGTTTGTTTTGAGATGGAGTTTTGCTCTTGTTGCCCAGGCTGGAGTGCAATGGCGTAATCTCGGCTCACCGCAACCTCCACCTCCCGTGTTCAAGCAATTCTCCTGCCTCAGCTTCCCGAATAGCTGGGATTACAGGCATGCGCCACCACGCCTGACTAATTTTGTATTTTTAGTAGAGATGGCGTTTCTCCATGTTGGTCAGGCTGGTCTTGAACTAAAAAGAACTGTTTTGTTTGAAAGGATAAACAAAATCACAAACTTTTGGCTAGACTAAGAAAAAAAGAGAGATGAGTCAAATAAATCAGAGATTAAAAAGGAGACATTACAACTGATACCACAAAATACAAAGGATTATTATAGACTATTTTGAAGAACTATATGTCAACAAATTGGAAAACTTAAAAGAAATGGATACATTCCTGTATATACACAATCTGCTAAGATTGAATCATGAAAAAATAGAAAGCCTAAACAGACCAACAGTGAGTAATGAGATTGAATCAGTAATAAAAAGTCTTCCGTTGAAGAAAAGCCCCAGACCTCATAGATTCACTGCTGAATTCTACCAAACATTTAAAGAAGAACTAATAGCAATTCTTCTTAACTACTCTACAAACTTGAAGTGGAGAGAATTCTTCCAGACTCATTCTACAAGGGCAGCATTACCCTGATACCAAAACCGGACAAGGGCACAACAATAAAAAAGAAAACTATAGGCCAATATCTCTGAAGAACATAGATGCAAAAACCCTTAAAATATTTGCAAACCAAATCCAATAGCACATCAAAAAGATAATCAAGAGGGATTACCATAATCAAGAGGGATTTGTCCCAGGGGTGCAAGGATGGTTCAACATATGCAAATCAATAAACATGACACATCACATTAACAGAATGAAGGACATAAACCATCTTCATGGATGCAGAAAGAGCATTCAATAAAATTCAACATCACTTCATGATAAAAACTCTTAACAAAATAGGTTCAGAAAGAGCATACCTCAACACAATGAAGACCATATATGACAAACCTACAGCTAACTCATACTGAATGAGGAAAAGTTGAAAGTTTTTCCTCTAAAATCTGGAACAAGTACCAGGTGCAGTAGCTCACGCCTGTAATCCCAGCACTTTGGGAGCCAAGGTAAGAGGATCACTTGAGGATCAAGACTGGCCTGGACAACATAGTGAGACCCTGCCACTACGAAAAAAACTTTTTGGAAAAACTAGCTGAGAGTGGTGGTGCATACCTGTAGTTCCAACTACCCAGGAGGCTAAGGCAAGAGGATCCCTTGAGCCCAGAAATTCAAGATTGCAGTGAGCTATGATCATACCACTGCATTCCAGCCTGGGCAACAGAGCAAGACCCTGACTCTTAAAATGAGGGAAACAATTTGTGACATTGGTCTGGGCAAGGATTTTTTTTAATAAGACCTCAAAAGCACAGGCAACAAAAGCAAAAATAGACAAATGGAATTTTATCAAACCAAAAAGCTTTTGCACACCAAAGGAAACAATCAAAAGATTGAAGTGGGCCAGGTGCAGTGGCTCACACCTGTAATTCCAGCACTTTGGAAGGCCAAGGCAGCAGGATCACTTGAGTCTAGGAGTTCCAGACCAGTCTGGTCAACATGGTGAGGCCTCCATCTCTACAAAAAAAAAAAATACAAAAATAAGCCAGGCATGGTGGCATGCATCTGTGGTTTCAGCTACATGGGAGGCTGAGGCAGAAGGATCACTTGAGCCTAGGAGGTCAAGGCTGCATGCAGTGAGCCATGGTTGAACCACTGCACTCCAACCTGGGCAACAGAGTGAGACCCTGTCTCAAAAAAAAAAATAGAGTGAAGTAAGAGCCTACAGAATGGAAGAAAATATTTGTAAACTATGCATCTGACAAGGGATTCATATCCGGAATATATAAGGAACTCAAACAACTCAACAGGGAAAAAATGAATAATCTGAAAGCTGAATAAACATTTCTCAAAAGAAGACATACAAATGGCCACAGGCAGGTGCAAAAATGCTCAACATCACTAATCAGAGAAATGCAAATCAAACCCACAATAAAATATTACCTCACCCCAGTTAGAATGGCTACTATATAAAAGATTTAAAAAATAACAAATATTGGTGAGGAGATGGAGAAGGGGACCCTCCTTACATTTTTGGTAAGAATGCAAATTAGTACAGCCACTATGGAGAACAATATGAAGGTTCCTCAAAAAATTAAAAGCAGAGCTACCATATAATCCAACAATCCCACTACTGGGTATATACCCAAAGGAAATGAAATCAGTGTGTTGGAGAGATATCTTCACTCCCAGGTTTATTGCAGCACTGTGCACAGTAGCCAAGATATGGAATCAACCTGAGTGTCTATCAATGGATAAATGGATTTTTAAAATGTGGTATTTATACACATTGGAATACCATTCCTTCATAAGAAAGAATAAAAGCCTGTTGTTTGTGACAACATGGATGAGTCTAGAGAACATTATATTAAGTGAAATAAGCCAGGCACAGAAGGACGAGTACTGCATGATCTCACTCATTTGTGGAATCTAAAAACGTTGATCTCATAGAAGTACAGAGTTGAATAGTGGTTATCAGAGGCTGAGGATAGGGGGGAAGGGTGCATGAGGAGAGGTTGGCCAATGGTGCAAAGTTACAATTAGGAGGAATAAGTTCTGGTGTTCTACTGTACAATAGCATGACTATAGTTAACAGTAATGTATATTTCAAAATAGCAGAGAGGATTTTGAATGTTCTCATCACAAAGAAATGAGAAGTGTTTGAAGTGATAGATATGCTAATTACCCTGATTTGATCATTACACAATGTATAAATGTATCAAAACATCACACTGTACCCGTAAATGTGTACAATTATTATGTGTCAATTAAAAACAAAATAAAACTTTAAAAAATGGACCAAAGACCTTATCAGATACCTCACCAAAGAAAGTACACAAATGGTAAACAAACATGAAAAGATGCTCCACATCATATGTCATCAGGGAAATGCAAATTAAAACAACAATGAAATACCACCACATACCTATTAAAATGGCTAAATTCCAGAACACTGACAACACCAAATGCTGGTGAGGATGTGGAGCAACAGGAACTCTCCTTCATTGCTGATGGGAATGTAGAATGGCACAGCCACTTTGAAAGATAGTTTGATGGTTTCTTACAAAACTAAACATACATTTACCATATAATCCAGAAATCATGCTTCTTGGTATTTACCCAAAGGAGTTGAAAACCTATCCACACAAAAATCCGCACTTGGGTATTTATGGCAGCTTTATTCGTAATTGCCAAAACTTGGAAGCAACCAAGATGTCCTTCAGCAGATGAATGGATAAATAAACTATGATTCATCCAGACAATGGATTATTATTCAGCACTAAAAAGAAATGAGCTATCAAGCTACAGAAAGATATGGAGGGACCTTAAATGCATATTACTAAGTGAAAGAAGCCAATTTGAAAAGGCTGCATATATATCCCCAACTATATGACATTCTGGAAAAGGCAAAACTATGGTGATATAGTAAAAAGATCAATGGTTGCCAAGGGTTGAGGAGAAGGAGGGATGAATAGATAGAGCAGAGAGGATTCTTAGGGTGGTGAAAAGGCTCAATATGATATTTATTATACTGATGGGTACATGTCATTATGCATTTGTCTAGACTCATAGAATGTACTACACCAAGAGTCAACCCTAATGTAATCTGTGGACTTTGGGTGATTATGATGTGTCAATATAGGTTCATCAATTGCAATGACTTTGGTGGAAGATACTGATAATGAGGGAGGCCATGTATATGTGGGACAAGGGGTATATGGGCTATCTCTGTACCTTCCTTTCGATTTTGCTGTGAACCTAAAACTTCCCTAAAAAATAATGTCTTTTAAAATAATAATAATAATAATAGTGCTTTAATCTACATCCCTCTTCATGGATCAAAAACATCTAAGTACAAATGAGAATTGCATATGTTTAATGATTACCGTCCAGTCTTTAAAAGTTCAAGAGGAAACTCCTAATAATAACATACAGTGGCCAGTCATGGTGGCTCACGCCTGTAATCCCAGCACTCTGGGAGGCCGGGGCGGGCGGATCACGAGGTCAGGAGTTCGAGACCAGCCTGACCAACATGGTGAAACCCCGTTCTACTAAAAATACAAAAAAAATTACCCGGGTGTGGTGGCACGTGCCTGTAATCCCAGCTATCCAGGAGGCTGAGGCAGGAGAATCACTTGACCCCGGAAGGCGGAGGTTGCAGTGAGCCAAGATTGCACCATTGCACTCCAGCCTGGGCGACAGAGCAAGACTCCGTCTCAAAAAAAAAGACTAAAACATACATATGGTTTCTCCAGTCACTTTCTAGGGTCAGCTCAGCCTGATTGGAAAGGTCCTGTGATAACCTGTCCCACAAGAATCTGTCAGATAAAATTTGATTTTAAGTTACAGCCAAATCCTTTTTGCACTAAACATAATAGCCACCACCACAGACTTATGCTGTATTTATCCTCCGGGTAGGAACTGTTATGTTCCTCACTCTGTACATCAGGGAGAATAGACACATTGATTCTTGGATTTATTTTCAGATTACTATTCTGACTTCTCAGCCTGGAAAAGAGGTGGTCAAACAGTTGGAGGAAGGGTTGAAAGATACAGACCTAGCCAGAGTCAGGAGGTTTCAGGTCGTTGAGGTCACAAAGGGAATCCTAGAGCACGTGGACTCAGCGTCTCCTGTTGAGGATACCAGCAATGATGGTAAGAATTTTTTAACAAGGTAAAAAGAATTGTAAGAATTTTAATGAAAATGATGAGTTAATGGGTGCAGCACACCAACATGGCACATGTATACATATGTAACAAACCTGCACGTTGTGCACATGTACCCTAAAACTTAAAATATAATAATAATAAAATTTTAAAAAAAGAATCTTAATGAGCAGTCTTTTACAAGTCAGAAAGATTATTTTCCATGGTCTTTTTGTGTTCTTAAATGATAAAAGAAGCCAGCAGATTTCACTGAGGTTCAGACAGATGTTTCTAGATGTTGGAGTTGAATTTTTTAATAATCATTTTATTTCAGAAACAATATATCCTAATAATGAAAACTAAAATTTTATGGGTATGAAAAGTAAAAATTCCTTTCTCCCCTAATCACTTTGAAGGGATTGGGCTATCCCTTCTAACATTCTTTTATATATATATATATATGCACACACACACACTCTCTTAATATTTTAATTAACACTCAATATTTTATAGATACATATATACACATACACAACTAATTTACTGAAACCTTTGTTCATGTGTGTTGGACAGCTGTGTCAGTGTTTATAGATCAGACTCGTTTTTTAATGGCTTTGTATTGTGTTGTTTTACCATAATTTGTTTAATCACTAATGTAAACAATTTGGTTTATTACATTTTAGTATTATAAACAGTGCTGTATGAACAGACTCATATGCAGGGCTGGCTTCATGGGCTAATGACCAGGGGAGTCACACAGGGTCCTAAGTACAGAAAGGCCCCCATCCTTGAGATTTAATGCCCTGTGGCTTCTGTCTTAAAATTCTTAATAATTTTATCTTTGAATTTGTGCAGTTTGATGGAACAGTGGAGCATACACCAGGAGTTTTGAGCCTTGGCTCACACATGCCCTGCCTCCTGCTTCCTTCCCACCACTCCATAGTGGAGACCTCACTCATTTGCCAGCTTACCAGCCATCCAGTGACCTCTGCTGGCCTCTGTTCCCCCGGCTGGGCAGAAGCCTAGACACCTGTGTCAAGGTCCAGCACACATTCCTTTTGTGTTGAGTTGCCCAGGCATCTTTGAGGGTCTGCACTTGCTTGGCAAGTATCTGGTGCCGCCTGAGGAAGTGTGACATTAATAGCAATTTTTTTTTTTTTTTTGAGATGGAGTCTCGCTCTGTTGCCCAGGCTGGAGTGCGGTGGCGCGATCTCGGCTCACTGCAAGCTCCGCCTCCCAGGTTCATGCCATTCTCCTGCCTCGGCCTCCTGAGTAGCTGGGATTACAGGCACCCGCCACCAAGCCCAGCTAATTTTTTTGTATTTTTAGTAGAGACAGGGTTTCACCGTGTTAGCCAGGATGGTCTCCGTCTCCTGATCTTGTGATCTGCCCGCCTCAGCCTCCCAAAGTGCTGGGATTACAGGTGTGAGCCTCCGCGCCCAGCAGCAAACTTTTAAAAACCATGTCATGATGAAAAAGATGAGTAAGTTCTAGATATCTGCTATACAACATTATACCTAGAAATAACAATACTGTACTACTGTACATGTAAAAATGTGTTAAAAGGTTAGATCTCATGCATGGTGTTCTTACCACAATTAAAAAACAACATCCACACACACATACATACAATGACATCTTAAGAAAGAGACTATGGAAAAAAGGAAAAGGAAAAAGTTTTATATTTTAGTATTGTTGATGGCAGTTTTTTCCTGCTTTTTGAACAAAGGGCTCTGCATTTTCATTTTGCTCTGAGCCCACAAATTATGTAGCCTTCCCTGTTTATGTGTATAACTGTGCATTTGTGAGGATGTTTTCTGTGGAATAAATTCCTAGAAATAAAGTTACTAGGAGGTAAAACAGTATATGCATTTTTGACAGTTATTGCCAAAAAACTCTCCAAAAAGATCATACCAATTCATACTTCCACCAATAGTAAATAAGACTTTCCTAGTAGGAATTATCCTTGTTTGTTTGTTTTTTTATTTTTGCTAACCCCATGGGGAAAAAAAAAAGTCTAGTTTTGACTTTCTTTCACCATGTTAGCCAGGCTGGTCTCGAACTGACCTTAGGTGATCCACCCGCCTCGGCCTCCCAAAGTGCTGGGATTACAGGTGTGAGCTACCATGCCTGGCCAGACTTTTATTCTTGAATTATCTCCTAGGATTTTTTTGGAGAGAAAGTGTGGAGTGGTCCTACGTAGTGATCTTTCCCCTTGTTCCAGTCACTCTGTACCTTAATGACATTTTCCTTGATATTTACGTACTGAAAAATATTCATGTTTATTACAAACAAATTAAAAATGCAAATAAGCACAAATAAGTAAATCTAAGTTACCCACAATCCTACACTTCCTAAAAGAAGAAATACTCAAACTGTGTCTTAGAGCAGGGATCTCCAACCCCCGGGCCATGGACTGGTACCATCTGTGGCCTGTTAGGAACTGGTGATCACACAGCAGGAGGGGAGGGAAGGGTGGTGGCAAGTGAGCATTACTGCCTGAGCTCCACCTCCTGTCAGATCAGCTGTGGCATTAGATCCTTATAGGAGAGCAAACCCTATTGTGAACTGTGCATGTGAGGGATCTAGATTGTGCACTCCTTATATGAGAATCTAACCCCTGATGAGCAGAGGTGGAACAGTTTCATCCCAAAACCATTCCAACCACACATCTGTGGAAAAATTGTCTTCCATGAAACCAGCCCGTCATGCCAAAAAGTTTGGGGACCACTGGCTTGGAAGACAAGTAGGAATTAGCTAAGCAGAGGAAAAGGAAAAGGGCCACTCAAAAAGGAGACCCAGAGACATGAGAAGCAAGATATGCCCAACTTTTGAGAAATGCCCATGCTTCCCTACACCAGAGCCTGTCAGGCAGAGGTGGGAGTGAGGCATAAAGGTAGGCAAGGGTTAGATGGAAATGGCCATCTATACCATGCTAAAACATTTGGATTTCATTCTAAGGCAGTGGAAATGTATGAAAATATTTTAGTCAGGAAGTCAAGTGGAGATCTCCAAATTATGGAGTTCAAGGGCTTTGGGACCAGTTTTAATTCATCCAACATTCAAGTTACAGTTCACCCTCCTGCAGTCCTTTTGGGCTGTACTGGCCTTTTTCATGGTTATGCATACATGGAAGTGGCCACTGTTCTGATACCATCGATTTCTTTCTGGTCGCGTGCAGATGACTTCACTCTTCCTCCCCCTCCCATCTCACCTCCCTCTAATTAGGTAGGAGGGAGGGTTGGTTACTAAGGGTGTGGTTCCTGTCAGATTCTGACACATGTGGATCCTTCCACCATCATGCAGCCACTAACATTGTTCTGGCAGGGGAGGGAAGGCAACCAGCCTTAGCCATGTGATTTGTGAGCTCTCACTGTGTGTCCTCCTGTCTCTTCACTGACTGTCCTTTCTATCTCCATCCCTGTACTCATAGCAGTCTTTTCCTCTAAATTCCCTCTTCTTCTCTCTGAATTCCTTCCTCTATTCTCTTCCAGCCAAACCCTACTCATTCCTTAAATCCTAATTCAGGTTCATTACTACTGTATTCATTTTCCTCTTCTTAGAACAACCACATCACTTCTTCTTAGAACAACGACATCACTTGTGGTCTCTACCACGTAATTTAGCACTTAATTATATAGCATGTAGAATCGTTCACCATTGCTTTATTGTGCAATAATTGTGTCTTCTCGCCTAAATTGTAAACTACTTGATATCTTTTCCCTCTGCATTAAACTGTAAGCACCTTGGCATTAGAAACTTGTCTTACTCATTTCTGTGTCCTGGTGTATATCCTACATTATCAGTATATATTTGTTGAGTGAATCAATGACTTTGATACCCATGGAGGCTACTCTTGGTCTGCCTAGCATCCTCTATATCCCCTTTCTCTGGTAACACCTCCACCTTCCTGGTCACAGAATGGGTCATGACCCAGGTTGAGGCAATCATAGTTCCCTAGGCCACCAGTCAGAGCCCTTCTCATTGGGTTCTCAAAATGAATCTGTGAGAGAGAAGCTCTTTTTCTCTCTTTGGCCAGTGACAGATCAGGCATGGACTATGTTCTTTTCTGCCTTCTGTGACTGTCACCAGAAAGAACTTGTTATGTCTCTAATTGCATAGAGCTTAGAGTACACTAAGGCTGCCTGATGCCTTTCTTTAGAATAGTTAGTGGCTAGCATTGTATAGAACAGCTTTTAAATGCAGGAAAGCAGCTTTCTACCTGTGTCAGTGCTGATGACTCTTCCAGTAACTTCCCATTTGCTTCTGAATAATGCATCCTTCCATAAATCGCTTGTAATTCCTCTTTGTGGGTTAAGTGTATATGACTCATTGCTCAAAATCTTCCTAGTTTGCCTGTGCTTTCCTCATAATTAATTGTTTTATTCCCTTAGTGTTTTACTTCATCTTGGTGTTGTTATCAAGACATTGGCAACAGCAGCTTCTCTCATTCTCAGAAGGATGTGTGCTCCAAAATTAGGTTGCCCAAGTCTAAATTGCAGTTTCTATAACTTTCTAGCTATGCAACTTTAGGCAAGGTATTTAGCCTCACTAAGCCTTAGTTATTAATTCCTACTCCATGCAGTAGTTGTGGGAATTAAATGAGATCATGTAAGTTCTCTATAAAAGTTAGCTATACTTATTATTAATATTTTTGAAAATTTTTGTATATGGATGGTTTGTTATATTTCTGAGATTTGTTTTTAATGGCCAGGTCTCAAGTGAACTGTCAGTTACCTGGAACTAAGACTGTGTCTTATATATCTTTCTATCACTAACGATTATCACTCCACTTGGCACACAGTAGATTCTCAATAAATGTTTTTTGACAAAACAAATGAATGATTGAAAAAAAAACAAATGATTTGTGTGAGTGATTGGGGTCAACCTCTGTGACATCGGCTAAAATAGTTAGGGATATGTCCCAAACAGCCATAACTTCCCTCGATAACTCATGAATATCATAAATTGATTCAAACACTTCTTAAATCTAGTTATAATTCTTTTACTCCAATAGCCATGATCATCAATTAAATACAAATTATCTATAGTCCACTTTTCAGAGAGAAATACATCAAAAGCAAATGTTGATATTGCAGATTCATTTATAAAATGAGAATGTGTCCTTCAATCAGTCTAAATGCTGCCTACTTTAGTACAGTTCTGCACAGTGAAAGCTAATTATCACAAAAATGACTTAAGGACCCTGCAAGATCCAGGATCACTGTAAAAGAATGAATTTAGAAATTAAGAAAGTAGACTCACATCTTAGAAAGTTCTTTTACAGGATCTAATATGAAAAGGTTAGCTTTAAATTACATTCACATTAGTTAAGGTTTTCTATAAATTTTAACCATATAGCCTATTATATATTTTCTTCTAACTGTATAAATGGGACTTCCTTTAATATGTTCCTGGTCTTTTTCATTTTATTCTTTAAAATTTTGCTGAAAGATCCTGTCCAGTGCTGTTTGTAGTAGCTTTTGCCTGGCTATTTTAAAATTTTTTATTATGCATTATACAAATGTAAACATTATAGAGGCATAATAGAGACAGTTCAAAATGACCCCAAATTCCAGCCTCCAGAGATAACTACCATCAACATTGTAAGACACATTCTACTGAATTGCCCTCCTTACACATGCATGTATACTGATATACATGTAATATTATTATTGATATTATTTACTTTGACAAAAAATGAGACTATACCATACCAACTGCTCTGCTTTTTTTTCATTTAGCTATTTATCTAGGATTTTTTCCGTATTGGCACATAGAGATCTAACACCTCCCTTTTCATAGCTATGAAGTATTCCAATGTATGAATTAATCATCATTTATTTAACTATCCTTTTGGGTTTTTACATTTTAGTCTAGAACTATGTAACCTTGAACAAGTTAATTTAACTCTTTATTCCACAAATTTCTCATTTATAAAATAGGGCTTTATAAAATAGCTTGTTTTATAAAGCTCATTTGTAAAATAATAGCTACTTTATGGGGTTTTTGTGATGATTAAATACAACTTGCATGGAAAGAAAGCACTTATAACAGTGCCTGGCACAAACAAATAAATGTCATCTACTGATATTAATAGTAGTAGAAGTCCTTCTTATATATGCCTTTTACTGAGAAAATTTCAAGCTCTAATAATTCGTATTTATTAAGAATATAAGACTATAATTTTTAATGTAAAATTTCTCATTTCACCACCCCATTGCACTTTTATTTTTGCACATTGCTGCTCAGTTGTTCACTCATGTTTATGTTACATAGTTATAATTCATGTATATAATTTTTTGTTTTCATGTAACATAATATTATAAAACTTTTTCCATAGTTCTCATAGCCTTTCTTTTCTGTTCATTCTCTATTTTGTTCCTCTTTCCTCTTTTCCTCTTGAAGGAGAACTAGGAACTGTCTGTTCAAGAAATAGAGATAAGAAGATACATACCTCTCACAGGGAAAGCCAGATGCTTTCTTTGTCCTTAAATGCCCTCTTTACATATAAGCCAACCCTACAACCCTAGAACAGATCCCTAATGCTGGATCTTCATCATAAATTTAGGATAGAGGAGAACCTGCCAATTCTAGCAACCAATGTTAACCCCATAGAAGAGCCATAAATCATGGGAATAATGCTGCTAGCTTTGTTTTTAAATAAATTCTGAGCCTTGAGGAAAAGATATGTGAACTAAAGCCAGTCTCTTAATATTCTAACATTTGTTTTTAGGTCATAATTACGGCAACATTTTACTGAATACTTACTGTTCAAATACTTTCTGTTCTAAATAGTTTCTACATATTATCTTATTTAATCCTTGTTTATCTAGATGAAAAAACTAAGGCATATTTTCTTGTCTATAATAACTTTCCCAGGGTTTTTCAGTTGAGATAGAAAAGGATTCACATCCAAGTAGTGTGCTCCAATGGCCCCATGCTTAACTCTTCTCTATACTGCTTCAGTTGAAAAGAACAATAGAGATCAACAGTTCAGGGCCAGGTGTGATGGCTCATACCTGTAACCCTAGCACTTTAAGAGGCTCAGAAGTTTGAGACCAGCCTGGGCAATATAACAAAACCCTCTCTCTACCAAAAAAGTTTAGGCACGCTGAGGAGGAAGTATCTCCTGAGCTCAGTAGTTTAAAGTTATAGTAAGCTATGATCGCATCAGTGCACTCCAGCCTGGGTGAGAGCAAGACTCCACCTCTTTAAAAAAAAAAAAAAATCCTGTCAGAGTTTTTAGATGAACTTGACAAGCTGATTCGTGTGTGTGTGTCTGTGTGTGTGTATTATATATAGAGAGAGAATATATATTCTAGAATATATGTATTCTATATTTTAGAAGTAAAGATACATATTAGGGCCAGGGGTTTGCCTTACCAGATGTTTAGATGGTTTATAAAGCTATTCTAATTAAGATAGTGTCATATTTACATAGGAATAGACAAATTGTCCAAACTGGAATGGATTAGAGAAGTCCAGAAACAGCCACATGAAAACTTGATATGTGGCTTGGCTGACATGGCAGAGCAGTGTGAAAAGGGTGGATTTAGCCATTAAGTCATATTGAAACTATCAATATTCCATATAGGAAAAAATATTCCTACCTCACACCATTTATAATAATGTTTTTAGATGGATTAAAGACTTCAATGTGAAAAGTAAAATGTAAAACTTTAAAAAAAAAAGCATAGGAGAAAATTTTCATGACAAGGGTTGGGGAAGAGGAAGAAGCATTTCCTAAATAAGACATAAAGTTTGCTAATCATAAAATAAAAGATTTTTGACAGAGTCTCTGTCACTCAAACTGGACTGCAGTCGCATGATCTCAGCTCACTGCAACCTCCACCTCCTGGGTTCAAGCAATTATCATGCCTCAGCCTCCCAACTAGCTGGGATTATAGGTGTGCATCACCATGCCCAGCTAATTTTTTGTATTTTTAGTAGAGACAGGGTTTCACCATGTTGGCCAGGTTGATCTCGAACTCCTGACCTCAGGTGATCCGCCCACCTCGGCCTACCAAAGTGCTAGGATTACAGGCATGAGCCACCGTGCCCAGCCCATATAATAAAAGATTGATAAGTATAACTACATTAAAATGAAGAATTTCTGTTCATCAAAGTATACATGAAAATGGCTGGGTGTGGTGGCTCATGCCTATAATCCTAGCACTTTGGGAGGCCAAGGCAGGAGGATCACTTGAGCCCAGGAGTTCAAGATCAGCCTGAACAACATAGTGAGACCTCATCTCTACAAAAAATAAACAAAATTAGCCAGGCATGGTGGCATGCACCTGCAGTCCCAGCTACTCAGGATGCTGAGACAGGAGACTTGAGCCCGGGCGGTCAAGGCCACAATAAATGAAGATCACACCACTGCACTCCAGCCTGGATGACAGAGCAAGACTCTGTCTCAAAAAAAAAAAAAAAAAAAAAGTTGATATACAGAATAAATATTACAAGGAATGTTTGGTGGAATATCATACATTTTTGAAAATGAATGGTCCACAGCTGTAAATAACAATGTGAATGCATCTTTTCAATATTGAGAAAAAAGCAGATAGAGGTGTATACTATATGATACTTATTTATAAAGCTCAAAACTAAAATTATAAAGTGTTATTTAAAGTAACAAAACTACTTTTATTTATTTATTTATTTATTTATTTATTTATTGACATGGAGTCTCGATCTGTCACCCAGGCTGGAGTGCGGTGGCGCAGTCTCGGCTCACCACAACCTCCGCCTCCCAGGCTCGAGCCATGCTCCTGCCTCAGCCTCCTGAGTAGCTGGGATTACAGGTGCACACCACCACACCCAGCTAATTTTTGTATTTTGAGTAGAGACAGGGTTTCACCATGTTGGCCAGGCTGGTCTTGAACTCCTGACCTCAAGTGATCTGTCCACCTTGGCCTCCCAAAGTGCTGGGATTACAGGTGTGAGCCAGCGCATCCAGCTACAAAACTACTTTTAAAAAGAAAGAAATTATAAAAATAAAAGTCAACGTGGCAAGATTTCTGGAGAAGATTAGGGAAAAGCATGCAGATATCTCAGGAGTATTGATGATGTTCTACATCTGAAGTTAAATAAAGGATTTGTGAGTGTTCACTTTTGTTGTTATGCTTCATAGCTTACATTTTTATTGCATGTATTTATTGGCATACAATAAAAGTTTTACAATAGTTTTGTGAAGAATGACTAAGTAATAAATATGTCAAAACTAAAATAGCCACTGAGATCAATAACTTTGGCATCCACAGGGCATCTGTGCAGGTTGACAGCAGTCTGCACTCACTGGGTATGTAAGTCATTCAGCCAATTACAAATCAACCTAATGATGCTGGCAACTAGTCTACATCTCTCAGTCATACACAAGGATATCAGGTTCCCTTTCTAAGTGCTCGCAAACCATCTGTTTAATATTTCCTCCTAGACTTTGCCAGGGATCAATGTCAAGCTCTTTTGGGAAGGTATTTTCTCCATATGTGTTCTCAGGAAACACCAAATGTTAACAACCCAAACATAGAAGATAAAGATTCATTGCTTCCTAAAGAATGCCAGAAAAAAGGGCTGGGGGTGGGGTGGGTAGCCTCTTCTATGCTTCAGTGCAATTGTCAGAACAGATACTGATTTTCTCCCTTTCAGTGTCTTAGAAAATAGACCAGAAAACACAGCTGTTCATTGTGTCTGCCTTTGATAACTGCATTAAAGTCATTTCCCTCTGACATTAAGACTAAATTAGAACCACTGTTGTATTTATTACCTAAAGATTTTTAACACAGAGAGACATTTGTTTATTTCATTAACAGAAGCCATGGTCTCAGAAAAATGGCAGATTTTTCTCTTTAAACTTGAGTTAAATAATTTTTTGAGTTCAGTAGAAAATCTAAAAGTATTTAAAAATTGAAATTTAAAAAATTTTTCCTTTCCTTCCTTTATTGGGGAATAATTTACATACCATAAGTTGCATCCATTCGAAGTATACAATTCAGTGAATTTTGACCGATGTATATGCCCACAAATCATCATCACGATCAATATACAGAACATTTCCCTCATCCTCAAAAAAGATTTTTCTTTCCCCTTTACACTCCATCCATCCCTCCAGCCCCAGGTAAGACCACTTAACTGCTTTTTGTCTGTAGGTTAGTCTGTATTTTGTGTAGGTGGAATCCTAAAGTACACACACCTTTTGTGTTTATATTTTTTAATTCAGATTTTGAGATTCAGCTATGTTGTTTATATCAGTAGTGCGTTTTCTTTTTATTGCTGAGTAGTGGTATATTGCATGAATGTGTCATATTTTGTTTAAACATTTATGTATTAATGGATATTTCTATTGTTTCCAGTTTTTGACTATTGTGAAGAAAGCTGCTATGAATGTCTGTACACAAATCTTTGTGTGGATATATGTTTTCATTTATCTTGGGTCTTACTGTTTGTTGTTGTTGTTGTTGTTGTTGTTGTTGTTCTTTTGAGATGGAGTCTCGCTCTTTTGCCCAGGCTTGAGTGCAGTGGCGTGATCTCGGCTCACTGCAAGCTCCACCTCCCAGGTTCACACCATTCTCCTACCTCAGCCTCCTGAGTAGCTGGGACTACAGGTGCCCGCCACCACGCCCGGCAAATTTTTTGTATTTTTAGTAGAGACAGGGTTTCACCATGTTAGCCAGGATGGTCTCTATCTCCTGACCTCATGATCCACCCACCTCAGCCTCCCAAAGTGCTGGGATAACAGGCGTGAGCCACCGCGCCCCGCCATCTTACTGTTTTTATGGTTCATCCTTTCCCATCCATTTACTTTCAACTCATTTATGTCTTTATACTTAAAGTCTCTCTCTTATAGACAGCATATAGCTGGGTCTTGCTTTATGTCTATTCTGATCATCTCTGGCTTTTATTTAGAATGTAGAGTCCATTAACATTTACCATACATATTCATATAGTTGGACTCAGGTCTACCATTTTATTTTCTGTTTGTCCTGTTTTTCATCTTTCTTCCTTGCTTTCCTGCTTTCTTTTGGATTATTTAAATATTTTTCAATTTCATGTTAATTTATCTATTGTCATTTAGCCATTCATCTTTGCATTTTTTCTGGTTTCTCTATGGATTACAGTATATATACCTAACTTTTTACAGTCTACTTAGAGTCAATATAATACCATTTAATATAAAATGTAGAAACTTCAGGATTACAATATTCACATAAAATGCAAAGACCTTGTGGGAATTAAAATGTATTTTAAAAACTCTTTTACAGCCTACTCAGAATTAATATATATAGTACCATTTCATGTAAAATATAGAAAACTTGCTATTAAGTCCATTTACTGCTCCCATTCACATACACTATCTTTCATGTTATAATTGTCATGTGTATTACATCTACATAAACTCCACAAGAAAAGTGTTGAAATCTTTGCTTTTAGCCTACAATCCCAGCACCTTGAGAGGCCAAGACAGGCAGATCACTTGAGCTCAGGAGTTCAAGAGCAGCCTGGGCAACATGATGAAACCCCATCTCTACAAAAAATACAAAAATTAGCCTGGCATGGTAGTGTGCACCTATAATCCCCGCTACTCGGGAGGCTGAGACAGGAGGATCACTTGAGCCTGGAAGGTCAAGGCTGCAGTGAGCCATGATCATGCCACTGCACTCCAGCCTGGGTGACAGAGTGAGACCCTGTCTCAAAAAAAAAATTGTTTTTGCCTTTAAGCAAACATGTATTTTAAAAAACTTAAGAGGGCCAGCCATGGTGGCTTATACCTGTAATCCCAGCACTGTGGGAGGCCAAGTGGGGAGGATTGCTTGAGCTCAGGAGTTTGAGACCAGCCTGGGCAGCATAGTGAGACTTCATCTACAAAAAAATCAAAAAATTAGCCAGGTGTGGTGGTGCACACCTGTAGTCCCAGCTACTTGGAAGGCTAAGGTGGGAGGATTGCTTGATGTTGTTCCACTGTCTTCTGGCCTTTCATGGTTTCTGATCAAAAGTTACAGTCTCTAACTCATTTTTCCCTGTATGTAAAGGATCATTTTTTCTAGCAATTTCAAGAAATTTATCTTATGTTTATTATTCAGCATCTTGACAATGATGTGTTTAGGTGTGAATTTCTTCTAATTCATCCTATTTGGGATTCCCTGAACCTCGTGAATCTGAAAATTGATTATCTTTTTTATTTTGAGATAGGGTCTCACTGTGTCACTCAGGCTGGAGTGCTGTAGCGTGATCACAATTCACCGCAGCCTCTCTACCTCCTGGGCTCAGATGATCCTCCCACTTTCGTCTCCCAAGTAGCTGGGACCACAGGCTCGTGCTACCACACCCAGCTAATTTTTGTAATTTTTTTTGTAGAGATGAAGTTTCACCATGTTGCCCAGGCTGGTCTCAAACTCCTGGGCTCAGGCAGTCCTCCCATCTTGGCCTCTGAAAATGCCAGGATTACAGGCATGAGTCACCATGCCCAGCCTGTAAATTTACATCTTAACCCAACTTGGGAAATTTTCTGCCATTTTTTTTAAATATTTTTTCGGCCTCATTCTTTCTCTCTATCTTTCTAGGACTTCAATTACCCAAATGTTAAATCTTTTTAAATTGTTCTGCACAGCCCAAGACTCTGTGACTTTTTGCTTGGTTGGTTGGTATTGTCCTATCTTTTCATTTTTTATGAACATATTTTCTATTCCTCATTGAGCAAATTCTAATTATGCCACTTCAAAATCCTTGCCTGATAAATCCAACATCTCTGTCATCTTGGGGTTTGCATCTGTTGACTTATATTTTCCTTTGAGACTGAGTCATAGTTTTCTGTCTCAGTGTGCCAAAACATTTGGGTTGTATTTTGTGAACATTGTGTTATAAAGACTCTGGATTCTATTATATTGCTCTGAAAAGTGTTGATTTTTCAGAAAATTAACTTTGTTAAACTCAAACTGCAACCTGTTGTGCCTGCAGTGAGCAGGGACTCAGATCTTAGTCTCAATCTTTAAGCCTAAACTATAAGCTGCTTTCAGTTCACCCCATATGTGTATAGTGCAAGGTCCAATCAGCTATTTACCTAGACTGAGTTTAAACACATAATTTAGGGCGCTCCGGCTCTGGCTCTCTCCTTTCATGGATTTCTTCCTCACTCTCTGGAGGTCCTGGTTGCCCCAGACTCCTTACCCTGGCAATGCTAGTGAAAGACAAAGGCTTTTCTTTCCAATTTTTAGCTGCCTTCACACTATTGTGACTGCAGCCACTCTTAGAAAGTGCAAAAACTGGGGAACTCATTCCTTGCTGGTTTACTTGGTTACTCCAAGTTTCAACTCCTCTCCAAAGTCTGTCTACTTTTGTTCATTCTGCAGAGCCTTCAGGTAGTTGATTTTTAAATATTGTTCAGGCCAGGCATGGTGGCTCACACCTGTAATCCCAGCTCTTTGGAAGGCTGAGGCAGGCAGATCACTTGAGGCCAGGAGTTCAAGACCAGCCTGGCAAACATGGTGAAACCTTGTCTCTACTAAAAATACAAAGCTTAGCCAGATGCAGTGGTGCACACCTGTAGTCCCAGCTACTCAGGAGGCTGAGGCATGAAAATCACTTGAGTCTGGAAGGTAGAAGTTGCACTGAGCCAAGATTGCACCACTGTACTCCAGCCTGAGTGACAGAATGAGACTCTGTCTCAAAAAATAAATAAATAAATGAATAAAATATTGTTCAGAGTTTATAGCTGTTTTTTACAAGAAAATCAGTTTGTTGGGTACTGGAACCTAACCAGACTGGAATTCCCTTATTTACTCTTTTTCAATTTGGTTCTTTCTTTTTACCTCCTTTTCTGCCTTCTCTTCAGCTCAATAAGCTCACGTTCTCCATCATATCTCTCACTCTCTCTCTTTAGGAGATTTTTGCTTAAAAGAAGTTCTTCTGATTAAATCTCACCTTTTCTCTCCTCATTCCCCATCCCCTAACACGTTTGACAGCACTGCTTTACTTGGCAAATGACTTGTGTTGCCACTACCCAATCTGGGGACAATCTGGCCACTTTCTATCTGAAATCAGCCCCATCATATACCCAGCACTAGAGCATTAGTTAGTACAGTGCAAGAATTGATTGGGACACAGCTATATACATATTCAAGGTCCAGAAATAGGCACGAATATAGATATTAATTTAGCATAGGATAAAGGAGACATCTCAAATCACTAAGGCAAAGATGAACTTGCTCAAAAAGTAATGCTGGGACAACTGGTTTAGCCATCTGGAAAAGATTCCAAATGGACCAGGGATCCAAATGTAAATAATAATATTAAAAGTATTAAAAGAAAACATTGGTGAATTTCTTTACAATCTCAGCATAGATAAAGGTCATCTAACTATGACTCAAAATCCAGGTACAATAAAGAAAGATTTATTTATTTAACTATATGAAAATAAAAATCTTTGGCATGGCAAAAAGTACCATAAACAATGTCAAAAGACAACTGAAAAACCAGGAGAAAGTATTTGCAATTTATGCCATGGGAGAAAAAAAAGACTAATATCTCTAATATATAAAGAACACTTTAAAACTGAGGAGTAAGAAAAAGACCAAAAACACTAGAGAAAAATGGAAAAAAGTCATAAACACATAATTCAAAAAAAGATTTTTAAATGGTCCTTAAACATGTGAAAATATGTTCAACCTCACCCATAATTAGAGAAATGATAATTAAGACTATACCAAAATATTATTTCCTACCTATTATTAGATTGGCAAAAGTTAAAAAGTATGACACCAATAGAAGTGGCATGTGTTTATTTTTAAACACAAAATTACCTATGTGTTTTACTTCTATCCCTAGAAGTCACCAGCCCCACTTCTAGGAATCTAATACCCTGAAGATACACCCCCAGATCTACAAAAATGCATGTATATACACAGAGTCGGTTGCAAAGCTATTATACAGTCTATCTAGGATTTTTTTAAGAATATGTCTTAGGTCTGGGCTCAGTGACTTATGCCTGTAATCCCAGCACTTTGGGAGGCCGAGGTGGGTGGATCACTTAGGTCAGTAGTTCGAGACCAGCCTGGCCAACATAGTGAAACCCCTTCTCTACTGAAAAAAAATAAAATAAAATAAAATAAAAAGTTAGCCAGGCGTGGTGGTGGGCGCCTGTAATCCCAGCTACTCAGAAGGCTGAGGCAGGACAATCACTTGAACCTGGGAGATGTAGGTTGCAGTGAGTTGAGATCACACCACTGCACTCCATCCTAGAGGACAGAGTGAGACTCTGTCTCAAAAAAATAAAAGAGTATGTCTTAGGACTTTCTTTGATTTGAGCGTCTTCTTTAGCTTTTCCTTACTCTACTTAGCTCCCCCAAGTAAGTCTTTTCTTTCATGGCTCCACTTACATTTATTTTCACCTCAAGGCAGCTCTTTCTTTCAGTTCCCTTAGGTGTAAGGAGTCAAAACTGCTTGGTGTGGTTCTTGGGTCATGTCAAAAGATTTAACGCCTTCCTAACTCTGCTTTCTTCTTAATTCAAACTTCTCCTAAATAACCCATTCCCCTGCTCCCTCCCCCACCACAGTGCCTATGACAATATTTCTTCCCAGCTTTTCAATTTTGCATTGCAATTTACATTAAATGCTTTTTGGTTTATAGAATATATGTATTAGTCCCTGTAGAAAAAGAAGACTTTTAAAATACCTTCTAAGTCTAATGTTTCTCACGTCAAAAAATACTTCAGACTTTGGAATATTTCAATCAATAGTGATCAATCTCTTTTGCATATAAGCTGCATTTTTCCAATAAAATGAAAATGAAGCCATTGAGACCCATAGATAAAATATATTTTCTTACAACTTAGATCTTTATTGAAGAGAAAATTTTCAGCAAAAGAAATGGCACTGGCTTTTAGTGAATAAAATGTTCATATCTACTACATAGACAGCTGGGAGGCGGCTTTATACTCTATCATCCCTTATAGTTGCATGGTGCTTTAAAGTCCACAAATTGCTTTCAGGAGTCAAGTGTCATTATTTCATTTTCAAGTAAACCCTTAGCCTAGGTATCACTATCATTCCCACTTTACAAATGGAGAAATTGAGCTTAAAGAGATGAAGTGACTGGCCTAAGGTCACAGAGAAAGTAAGCACCAGGCTGGCTAGTTTCTTCTGTTCAATATAACGTTTACTGAGCCCCTGTTGTATGTAAACACTGCGCTAGTGCTGTGGGTACAGAGGTAGATAAGGTGCTACAACTGGTGCCAGAGGCAGGTATACCCTGCCTTAACCAGGGCCCTTCTCTCCCGTACCTGCAATAACTTCTCTCTGGACTGTCTAGGGCAGAGCAAGTCACTCAGTTCAAAGTGGGATTGGCAATCCGGGAACACTTCCGTGGCTCCAGAGGTGAGGGGTGCAGTGCAGCTTCTCTCATAGGGCAGTCCCCACTTCTGCCCTCTTAGAAACACACAAGCCTAAGAAAAAGATTATAAAAAGGCTACTCTCCCAGCCAAAATAATTGCTCTCTAAACTTTTTCTTACCCAATTCATCTGTTTACTAAAGGCTGAAATACTACATTTGAAATTGTAGTATTTGGGACCTATCTTAGAGCTAAGGGAGTCTGCTATGGTCTGAATGTTGTATCCCGCCCCCGCCCCCCCTAAAATTCATCTTTGAAATCTAATCACCAAATAGATAGTATTAGGAGGTGGGGCCTTTGAATGGTGGATTAGGTCATGAGGGAGGGCAGAATCCTCCTGAATGGGATTAGTGCTTTTATAAAATGTTCCCTAAGGAGCTTGTCTGCCCCCTCCACCATATGAGGATACAGTGAGAAGGGGCCATTTATCAACCAAAAACAGGTCCTCCCCAGACATTGAATCTGCCAGCACCTTGATCTTGGACTTCCCAGCCTCCAAAACGGTGAGAAATATATTTCTGTTGCTTATAAGCCACTGGTTTGTGGTATTTTGTGATAGCAGCCCAAATAGAACCCACTATTCCCTAGTCAGAAATTATGTAAATCAAGTTTGTCCAACCTGCTTCCCGCAGGCTGCATGCAGCCCAGGACGGCTTTGAATGCAACCCAACAAAAATTCGTAAACTTTCTTAAAACATTATAAGATTTGTTTTTAAGCTCATCAGCTATCATCAGTGTTGATGCATTTTATGTGTGGCCCAAGACAATTCTTCCAATGTGGCCCAGGGAAGCCAAAAGATTGGACACCCATAATATAAATCATCCATTGTGAACCATTAGTTCTTTAGTTAACAGTCAATTATTTTTTTCAGCCTGCCTTAGACTATATTAGCTTGATGAGGGCAGGTGAATGGACAACTGCTAACAATAGAATTCCCTGGGTAGCTGACCAGAGCTGGGAAAGAGGCATGTCCACTACAGGCTGAAGGATCTCTGCTTGAGCTCTGCTCATGGAACTCCCAGATTCCTCTTCCCTCCTTCCCCACTGCCTGCCAGCACCACACAACAGGAAAGCATAAGCGGTAAAGCTGGGCTGGGACATGTGGCACCTTACACAAGCTGATAGCTTGGGCACACCTTCAAACAAATATTTTTAAAATGCTAATTCAGTAGTTGTTTAGAAGCTAAGAGCTACAAAGAAAAAGAGAAAGAAAAAGGAACTTGCTTTACTCTGCCCCACTCTTGCACAGTTCCTGAGCAATACCAAATTGCAATAATGGAACCCACCCTTCTTCAAAGCAAGTGTAGTGACCCCTGTTGATACATGAGTGTGCCACTTTGGGGGTCTTGTCCTTCACCCCAGCAGCTTATTAGCTAGTCCTCACTTCCTTCCTTATTCTGCTTTAGTCTTCTGGCTAATCCCCCAACACAAAAAGCTCATTCCCATCTCAAGACCTTTGAACTTGCTCATCTCTCTATAAGAAACAATCTTCGCACAAATGTTTTTATGACTCACTTCACGTCATTCAAGTTTCTGCCCAACTGTCAGCTTCTTAAAGAATACTTCCCTGGCCAGCCAAGCTAAAACTTCACATGCATGCACGCGCGCGCGTGCACACACACACGCCCCTTTATTTTTCTTCATAGTATCTATCATCTGAAATTGTATTCTGTTTTATTTGCTTGCTTATTATCTGTTCTCTCACTAGAATGTAAGCCACGAAAGTAGGCAATTTGTCTCTTTTCTTGATGACACCAATAAGTGCCTAGCTCATAAAAGACAGTAAACTAATAAGTGCTTGAATGACTAAATAAATGAATGACTAAGCAAATGAATGAATGACAACAGTTCTCTCTCTCTGAGAAGAGTTCTGGGATATAAATTTTCTCTATCTCATTACAGTTATGGTGATGTTTTGACCCTCTTACAGACTGGGGCTCCAGGAAGATAGTCACCACTAGGTCCATTCCTGCAGTCACCTCTCTGCCCTGAGTTCACATGTTGATAACCACTACCACCACCCCTGCCAACTCTTTTCAAGGGGCTTCTCCTTTTTCCTAGGGTCCAAGCATCACTTCCACAAATGAGGCAAATGAGCTTAGAAAGACAAGCTTGACTGCCTCACCGTTGTAAGCTGTTAGATTATTCTCATGTTGTGTTGATTTAAAGACAATGGTTGGATGATGCTGCACTGCTGTTCCTGACTAAGCTTTATCTGCTGTGATTACTTACCCTGGTTGTTAACATCCTATAGCTATCCTGTATTCAGAGAGTAGACAGCTAATTGTAAACCAACCCAGGCAGGCTAAGATACTGTGACTCTATAGTCTCTGTAGTGGTTCTTGACCTTTTTGGGGTCATAGAGCTCTTTTGAGAATCTGATAAAAGCTAGGGGCTTTCCCCCTTCCCCCACCCCACCAAAATACATCTATGCATGTACAGATGAATTGTATATAATTTCAAGGGGTTCTCAGAATGTCTGAAGCCCATCCATGACACCCAAGTACAGGCCTCATGAATGTCATTCGGAAAGGAACAGGTCAGGCCTAGAGGTTAGGGCCCTGTGAGACGGGGGAAGATGTGGAGGACTGGGCAAGAGCACCTTTTCCTGGGCCTCTACTTTCCTGGGCCTCTATATTTTATGTGAAGAGAGAAATACAGACATTGTATATGCACGTATGTATGTTAAAGTCTCCTATTTTAAACACACTTTAATTTTATAACCCTATTTTAAGGTTTCTTCTGAGAGGGTCTACTTCAGGTATTACCTAATCTTCAGTCATTTGGCTTTCTTAGTTTTTTCCCATTGTGGCCGCAGGAGGGCAGGGTAAGTTCAAAAACAATGTGAATGCTGGCTGCAGCTTGGGCTGCAGTGAACCAGGCCTTCCTCACTGCTTTAACTATCCAAACACTAAGGGCCACCGTTTCACTCCTGTAACCTTTCCATTTCATGCCATTGGTGTGACCCGTTCATCTAGTGCATGGGTACCCTGCTCCCCAGCCAGTGAGGGAGCTGTTTTTCAACGTCTGAGAAGTCTCCTCCCCGATCCCCAGATTTAGCACATTTAGTCGTATTTGTGAAGAACACAATACATACTAGTTGTTGGTGTTCAATGTATGGTAGTCGGGGGTAGAAAGCAGTGACCAAGGGAAAAAAAGCTTTAAAAAAGGAAAACATATGGCCAGGCGTGGTAGCTCACACCTGTAATCCCAGCACTCTGGGAGGCCAAGGCAGGTGGATCACGAGGTCAGGAGATCGAGACCATCCTGGCTAACACGGTGAAGCCCCATCTCTACTAAAAATACAAAAAATTAGCAAAGCATGGCAGCAGGCGCCTGTAGTCCCAGCTACTCGGGAGGCTGAGGCAGGAGAATGGCGTGAACCCGGGAGGTGGAGCTTGCAGTGAGCCGAGATCGCGCCACTGCACTCCAGCCTGGGGGACAGAGCGAGACTCCGTCTCAAAAGAAAAAAGAAAAAAAAAAAAGGAAAATATATTATTATCCTAAAAGAGTTCATTTTGTGGATGAGAGAAAAGGAAGAAAATTATATTTGTTGGACCTACTGGATGCCATTTATAGATAATCATCTCGCTTTGTAGTGCTTTACTAAGAAATATGTTGTACTATTCCACTTCGCCCAAAATCACATAGCTAACAAATTTTTTTTTTTTTTTTGAAATGGAGTTTCGCTCTTGTTGCCCAGGCTAGTGTGCAATGGCGCGATCTCAGTTCACTGCAACCTCCACCTCCCAGGTTCAAGCGATTCTCCTGCCTCAGCCTCCCAAGTAGCTGGGATTACAGGCATGCACCACCACACCTGGCTAATTTTTTGTATTTTTAGTGGAGACCGGGTTTCTCCATGTTGGTCAGGCTGGTCTCAAACTCCCGACTTTAGGTGATCTGCCCGCCTCAGCCTCCCAAAGTGCTGGGATTACAGGCGTGAGCCACCGTGCCCGGCTGCTAACAACTTTTAATTCTCAAGTCAAACCCTGGTCTTTCCATTAAGCCTTTCATAAACTCAGGAAAAGAGAAGAAAATCCTTTAAAAAAAAATAAATCAGCAGTGCGATTAATATTGCCCAAATGAAGCCCACAGATACCCAGGGATGGCAATTAAAGCTAGATAAGGGAGGATATAGTTAAGCATAACTTCTTGGACAAAGTCAGTCCTGAGTTGAATTCTGGAAGAGGTGCAGGCCATGGGCTAACATTAATGAAAGCACTAAGGAAGGAAGGAAGTCATGTGGCAAGGAGACTAACTTAGATGAAGCTCAAGAGTTACAGGAAAAAGTAATGAGAGCTGAGGAGGAGGGAGTCACTGTTCAACTCAGGCATTTGCTAAGCTTCAGCTCTATACAAGGCCCTGATAGGGAGGATAAAAGTGAAAAGAAACAATTCCCACCTTTTAATTTACATTTAAATGGGAGAGATCAAACGTATTCCCAAATAACAATAGTACTAAGGTAAAATGTAATGTGAACTATATTACAAATGTAAACCAAAAGCTATGGGACTATAATAATGGAAGGAATACAATAATGGCAGACTTCATGAAGGAGGTGACATTTGAACTCGGTCTTCAAGGATGGCAATATCTCAACAGGTAGTGATGAGGAGGAAATAGTCTGAGCCATCACAGAGGAAGGGAAGGGTAGGGTACTTGTAGAATAATGAGTAGTACCAAGTGATACAGGATGAGTGAGTGACAACAAGAAGGCAGTGTGTGCTCTTGAGCAAAGGAGGGATCTGATGAAACCATGTTTCAGAAAAAGTAACTGGTAGTAGTAATAATAAGTAATGGAGGGGAAGAAATGGAGTTTGCTAGGACAGTTAAGAAGCTACTGCCATAATCAGGGACAAGGAAATGAATTCCTAGAATGACAAAGAAAATGGAAAAAAAGTTTAGCCTCTAAAATGTTCTGGTTTACACATAAGTCTCTAGTTTGGATAATGTAAGTCTGCCCCCAAGAGGTGCTCACTCCCTTCTGAAACTGCAAAACTGAAAGCTCAAACCCGACACACAGCACCTCTGTGGAGATTATATGAGGACTTTTTCAAGAAATCAGTTCTGCTTCATGGCTCTTCCAAGAACATGTAGGTTAAGAAGTTAGAAAAGAATGTCAGAACATCGATGGGTGACAACAGGGAAGACTGCTGCCTGGCTGGCTGCCAGGAGGACCTAACCACATGACATTTTCCTTCATAGAGAGGCTGTGCTTCAAGCCTGGTTCTTTAGCTTCGCAGGATCAGAAAGTTAATTTTGCCAGCAAAACACGCACCTTCCTAAGCTCAAGACTAAAGGATAAGCCAGAATGTTTTAGAGGGAGAACCATAACCATAATCACAAAAAAGAGCAGAGACTTGACAAACACATCTCTGCAATTGGGACACATCACTGAGTCCACATGCCTTCTCTGAGCTGCACTTAAGATGGGCACTGCCAGCACGCATCGCTGTTCCCCTTCTCTGTGCTGCATTTCTGGCCAACCCTCTCCCCTTCCAATAGACACATTCATTCTTTAGATATGCCAATATAGGCTGGGCAAGGTGGCTCACACCTGCAATCCTAGCATTTTGGGAGGTCAAGGCAGATGGATTACTTGAGCTCAGGAGTTTGAGACCACCCTGAGCAACATGGTAAAACCCCATCTCTACAAAAAATACAAAAATTAGCCAGGTGTGGTGGCTCACACCTGTACTCCCAGCTACTTGGGAGGCCGAGGCAGGAGAGTCACTTGAGCCCAGGAGGTGAAGGTTGCAGAGAGCTGAGATCACACCACTGCACTCCAACATGGGTGACAGAGTGAGACCCCATCTCAAAAAAAATAAAATAAAAAAATAATAATAAAATATATATATATATATATATATATGGCAATAACATCAATAAGGCTACAGCCAAATCTTGCCTTGGACAATAAGCCATTCTGCCTTCTTAGGGTAACTTTTTCATTGGCCTCACCATTCTGGTTGATTTTATAGTTTAACTCTCTGAGGAAACCTTTATTTTCCTTACTTCCAGATTCTTGATGGGACATGGCTTTGCATTGCTCCCTCACATTGCCTGTGGTAGGAGTGTCTCATCATCCACCCTTTCCCTGGGGAGAAGAAAAGAAACACTTACTTCTTTTCCCAAAAATTCTGTTATTTCAACTCAGCAAGTTTATCTTCTCTACTTTTCTTAGCTCCTTTGCTCAATTCTGTTTCTTTTTCTTTTTTTTTTTTTTTTTGCAACTGAGACAGTGTCTCACTATGTTGCCCAGGTGGGTCTTGAACTTTTGGGCTCAAGCTGTCCTCCTGCCTCAGACTTCTAAGTAGCTGGGACTACAGGCATGAGCCACCATGCCTGGCCTCGGTTGCATTGCTTTAGTAGCCGCCACTTTATGCTTTAAGAACTGTTTTGCCTCACTGAAGAGAAGCTGCTGAGTCATTTTCATACTTGTTACTCAAATCAAAGTACAGGCTTCAGGCTTAGAAAAATTAAATTACTCCTTGTTTTGCCTGTGACAAAATAAAATGCACATTATTTTTTTAAAAGATATTTCTCTTTACTTGCAAGGAATGTTTTTTTGGCAATGACTTTATATATATCACAGTAGTACCCTAAAACATAATGAGGCAGATGAGAGTTTGGGGAAAAATGGTCAAGATTCATGTTGCTTTATAAACTCCATAAGGGCACAGAGTGTCAGATATATCTGATGGAATGAATGAAATAACTAACTAGTTAACAATGAATCCTCATAACTATTCATGGAAGATGGCAGAGTTTTTATCATTCTGGCCATAGAGAAATGCATTTGATGCCCCTTTTCAGCTGCAGGATAAGTTGTTAAATATGACATGAAGTCATTTTCACCACAGTTCCCCTGTGTTGGAACAAGTATGTTGGACTGAAGCCCCTTTGTTCCCTGTGGAAAGTCTGCCACCTCTGCAAACTTGTCCTCAGGAATGTCATTCTAGAAATAATCCAGCCTTCTCCCTGGGGTCTATGAGTCATACACAGAAGCTAATTCATTGGAGCAACTGGCTTTTCTTAGGCCCTTTGTAAAAGTATTTCAGAGATCCCTCCTGATGAAGCAAGGAAAGTAGAGTTCCCCCTCAGCTTCTTTCTAGTTCTTCCCTTATTTGCTCTGTGCTTCTTCCACCACCTCATATTTGGCTTTCACTGATGACCTTTACCTGCAGACCCAGGCCCCAATTCCTTAGCTAGTGTTGCCCGAAGCTGGAAGTACACCAGCAAAGCCTCATTACCCCACCTACCCAGCTCCATTCATTCAGATTTGGAATTAAATCACACTCTACCAGACCCTCCCCATCCTTTTTGCTGTTAACCACACTTGTGAGATACAGTATGCCAATGACTGATGCTCCAGGCTTGGTTCTCTACTATAAGGGGATACCCCAAAATTCATCTTTTTTCCTTTTAATTTTTTTAAATTAATTTTTTATAACAAGTAGTAATAGAACACATTTTCACTGTAAAATAACATGAAGCTGAAGTCCCCTTTGTTCAACTAAGTATTTAATTTGCATTGCTGTATAATTTTTGGTGGTTTTTATATTCTAGAATGTTTTGGGGTTGTTTGTTTGTTTGTTTTTACAGTGGATTTCTTTCTCCCATGTTTTATTTTTTATTTATTTTATTTATTTATTTATTTTTCTTTTGAGATGGAGTTGCCCAGGCTGGAATGCAGTGGCCTGATCTTGGTTCACTGTAGCCTCTGTCTCCCAGATTCAAGCAATTCTCGTGCCTCAGCCTTCCACGTAGCTGGAATTACAGGTGCCCGCCACCACACCTGGCTAATTTTTATATTTTTAGTAGAGACAGGATTTCACCATGTTGGCCAGGCTGGTCTTGAACTCCTCAGCTCAAGTGATCCACCCACCTCAGCCTCCCAAGGTGCTGGGATTACAGGTGTGAGCCACCATGCCCCACCTAGAATTTTTTTTAACACAAGAAATGCACAACTCCAATAAAATTCAAACAGTATAGAAGTATGAAGAGTAAAAAGGGAAAGTATCTCAGAACCCTGCCCTATTTCCACTTCCTGTCCACTGTTAACAGTTTGATGATAGCCTTCCAGAGCTTTGTAAAATGCATTTACATATATATATGTAGATAGTTTTATTTTTATATAAATGGGATCATGTTATATCTGTTCTACAGCTTCCTTTATTTACTTACTATCTCCTAGTTTTTCATGTCAGTACATTTAGCTTTGTTAACAAACACGTAATACTCCATAGTTTGAGTGTGTCATAATTTAAATATTCCCTATTGAGGGGATTTGAACTGCTTCCCGTTTGGGGTTTTTATTATTACAGCAATGCTATACCAAACATCTTTGCATATGCCTTTGTGTACTGCTCAAGAATGTCTCTAGGCTAGATGTCTAGAGATACAGTCAATGGATCAAAAAATAGGTGTGGAAGCTGGGCCAGTGACAAGTGCCTATAATCCCAGCTAATCCCAGCTACCTGTGAGGCTGAGACAAGAAGATTGCTTTGAGGCCAAGAGTTAGAGACCAGCCTGAGCAACATAGCGAGACCTCATCTCTAAAAAAAAGTTTTTTAAAAAATTAGTCAGTCGTGGTGGTGAGTGCTTGTAGTCCCAGCTACTCAGGAGGCTGAGGCAGGAAGATTGCTAGAGCCCAGGCATTTGGAGGCTGCAGTGAGCAATGATTGTGCATGTGAATAGCCACTGTACTTTAGCCTGGGTGACATAATGAGACCCCCGTCTCAAAAAAGAAAAGATGGATGTGTTCAAAATTTTATATTACTCAAAATTTACAATCTAAGTGAACACTTTATTTCCCTTTCTTTTGCAGAGAGTTCTATTCTGGGAACTGACATTGACCTTCAGACTATAGACAATGATATCGTCAGCATGGAGATTTTCTTCAAAGCCTGGCTACATAACAGTGGAACAGACCAAGAACAAATCCATCTTCTTCTTTCTTCACAGTGTTTCAGCAACATTTCCAGACCCAGAGATAATCCAAGTACATAATCCCCAAAAGATATTTAGGCTATGATTATTCTTATCTGGGATCAGGACTCTAGATTGGTGGTGAGTCAGTGGAATATAGCATCGTTGAGGTTTAGGGACTGGAAGAGGGTTGGATGAGGCTGTCCAATATAAGCGTGAGGAATAAGAAGAGAAGTTCTAAGAAGCAATCATAGTTAGAAAGCTGAACCTAATTAAGCCCAACCAGCAAGGGCCAGTTAGTTTAGGGGCAAAGTCTGAGACACCTCAATGACAGAGAATTGGCTAGACTACATAAGAACACAGTGGATCACATTTCTCAATATTCTCATTTTTAATGTGGTAAATATAATTGACATTATAGTTTGGAGCATGCTGCTACCTCAACAATATCAATACAGCCTGTGGCGAGAGGAAGAGAACCAAGGTTAAATAAAGATCTTCTCGCTAGGGAGGCAGCAAATGGGGGAAAACTAAAGAACCTACAGAGATACGCCCCAGGGAGGACAACCTGTGCCCAAGACCATGTTCACAAAGCAGTTCAGGCAATTACTGAAACCGAGAGATCAATCCAGTGTTCTGGTCATGCCAAAAATATCCTGGATAATGGATACTGTTCTGCCTGGCAATTATACTTCATTCCAGGTCCCACTAGATGACAGGAATAAGGCCATTTCCATTCTCCCATCTCCTCGGAAGGCTGGCTCAGGCGGGACCTGGGGTGGCTGGGCCTGCAGATAGATGGGCCCATCTATCAGTCTAATCAGCCACACTGAGGTTGGGAAAGCTGGGTCCTCAAAGACCAGCTCCAAAGAGAAATGACCAAAGTATATCTTCTTTAGGGGTGGGAATTTGTACCCATCTTTCTCATTGAACAGAATACTGGTAGTGGTAGTGGCTACAGAGATCATTGAGGGTTGAAGAATGGATTGAACATGACGTTTACCAAAGCCCTTCTCATAAGTTTTGACACGACTCACTGGGGTTACCGCCTCCTTTGAGAGCTCTTTCTTGGCCATTGGCAGTATATTTGAGTTTTTATATATGTTCCTTTTCTTCAGCTGTAATAGAACTCTTTATGACCATTGTTTCTTTAGGACAGGGGAGGGCTTTTTGGAGGTGTTACTACACAGGATTAAGGCTTCCCAAGACCCTTTCTGTCTAGGGATGGCCGTCAAGTCTCTTCCTCTCTCCCCCATTTCAACCTAGTGCCCAGAATGTCTTTGCCAACTTAACTTGATTTTAATCTGTCTTTTCTTTGTGTAAAATATTCTTCCCAGAACCTCCTTTCCACCTCTTTTGTCCAAGGCTGATAGTACCAATTTCTCCCTGTCCTATCCTCTGGACTTCACTTATCTGTTTTCCCTACTTAAGGCAGCTAGCAACTTTATATAGAAGCTAGTGTATAGCTAACATTATTAAGCCCTGCCTCTGTGCCAAGCACTAACTTCATTTCTTGCATTATCCCATTTTATCTTCACATAACACTATGAGGCAGATACTGTTACCATATGTCATTGAATCTAAGATGCTATCAATTGTAAGGTACACCACTATTTTATGTACCAGTAAGAAAGAAAACAGGCTAGGTGCAGTGGCTTACTCCTGTAATGCCAGCATTCTGGGAGGCAAAGGTGGGAGGATCCGTTGAAGCCAGGAATTAATGACAGCCTGTGTAACATAGACCTGTCTCTACAAAAAATAAAAATAAAAAATTAGCCAGGCACAGTGGTATGCACCTGTAGTCTCAGCTACTCAGGAGGCCGAGGCAAGAGGATCACTTGCACCCAGGAGTTCAAGGTTGCAGTGAGCTGTGATGGAGCCACTGCACTTCAGCCTGGGCAACAGAGTGAGACCCTATCTCTAAAAAAATGTTTTTAATAATAAAGATTTTTTTTTAAAAAAAAGAAAGAAGACATTGCCCGTTAAACATTACACAGCTCTTTCTTGTCACTTAGAAGTAGTATTTTACCTGTATCGAGAGAGCTCTTTTAGGTTAGAGTAGTAAGTAAGGACTTAGAGTGCCTGCCTGGCCAATGGCAATTGTAAGACACATACAGAGATGAAAAAAAATGTGTCTTAGAATCAATTAAATACAATATTACCCCCATTTTCCATATGAGAAAACTGAGACTTAGAGAAATTAAGCACACTTTCCCAGGGCTGCACAGAAAATTAGTAGCAGAGCTAGGATTTGAAGCCAGGCAACAGGGCCCACTCTTAACCCTTAGGATCAGAAATCTATATTTTGTACACTTGACACTCTCAGCCCAGACAATGTCAATAAACCCAGGTCTATCTTCCTCCAGAACCTGGGCCTTTATCTACTATATTAACCTGCCTCATGCTAAGCAATTCTGAACAAAGGGGCTAGAGATTCACTTCTTTCATTAGGAGGGCTGGTGCCCTCAGAGGCCAGGAACTCCTGTAACCAGCCTTTCTTCCACTATCACATGGCATTTGCCCATGGTGCTAATCAGAATTTCTCTAGCTTCCCCTCTGTCTTTCCAAAGCTTTCAGCACCAGGATCAGAGCCAGAATATTTAACTCCATCTATAATCATTTTTTCAGAAATCTGTAGGTCTTCGGGATGCACAGTGGAACTTATATCCAGACTGCAGTCAGCTTTTCTGCTGGGGAGGTCTTCACTGGAATCCAGATGTTTAGGCACAGCTGGAATGAGGTCTGGGGAAATTAGGCCTCTTCTAGGGTGGATGTGACCCACCTGAGATTTTAAACACAATAAAGATTATGCTGGCATTATTATTTTAAAAATTGATGTATTGCCACACATGTAGATTTCTGGAGTATGGCTCACTACAAAAAATGAAAGAAAACAAAACAAAAAACCCAAGCTTTCCTCCTCTAGACTCTTTGGGGTATGCATCTCAGATGTTCACTCTGACTCCTTCTTACAAGGTTCTCTATCTGATGCCAGCTGCTTCTTTGCCTAGGGCCCTTCACCCCGTCTTTAGGTGCTTCCCTTAGAAAGGCGTTCCTCTGACAGAGCACACAGTGAGTTACACATGAGTTTCTTTTCTTGTTCTTAGGTATGGTGTCTGCCACATCTGCATCTGGGCTCTGGGTGGGAGAAGCACACCTGGTTCTAGATTCAAGCCCAGCTAAAACAGCTTTCCCAGCTTTGGGACACTCTGCTGAGACCACAGTTTGGGTATTTCTTAACCCAGGCTGCAGTAAGAATCACATGGGGAACTTATAAAAAATACCAGTGTCTCAGGGTGGGGAACATCATACACCGGGGCCTGTCATGGGGTGGGGGTTTGGGGGAGGGATAGCATTAGGAGAAATACCTCATGTAAATGACGAGTTAATGGGTGCAGCAAACCAACATGGCACATGTATACATATGTAACAAACCTGCACATTGTGCACATGCACCCCAAAACTTAAAGTATAATAAAATACCAGTGTCTGGGCTTCACCCCCAGAGACCCTGATTCAGTTGGTCTGGGGTAGGGCCCAGACATCAGTATCTTTTTCAAGTTTCCTAGATCGGGGTCCCCAACCCCTGTGGCCTGTTAGGAACTGGATCAGCAGGAGGTGAGCAGCAGGTGAGCAAGCATTACCATCTGAGCTCCGCCTCCTGTCAGATCGGCTATGTCATTAGATTCTCATAGAAGCCCAAACCCTATTGTGAACTACACATGCAAGGGATCTAGGTTGTGCACTCCTTATGAGAATCTAACTAATGCCTGATGATCTGAGGTGGAACAGTACCATCCCCCACCACCCCATGGAAAAATTGTCTTTTATGAAACCAGTCGCTAATGCCAAAATGATTGAGGATTGCTGCCCTAGATGATTCTTACTGCAACCAGAATTGAAAACCTCTGCCAGATGAACACAGCTGTCCAGTCCTAAAGCCTCAGGACCGGAAATGGAGAAGTCAGGCACAGAGGAAATAAGAGGAAGCTGGAGTCCTAGGCAAAGTCCCTCCTACTGACTTCCTGTGCTCTGGGACATGTCAGGCTGAGGGCCGTCTCACCCAGAATGAATGTCTTATTCACAATGTCTAATGTGATAAGACCTAATGTCTAGGTCTTATTCACAGGGCCCAGGAGGGCCAGCTGGATCTAACATCTGTTCTGCCACTCTATTTTTTTCTATGTTGTTTTTTACCTCATATTGCAGTTAGTACAGTCATTTCACAAGTCACTAGCATCAACTACCAGCCTTCTCAGAAGTACTCAACATTTGTATATTCACAAGTTTGTTATCACTATTCAAGCCAGGTATACGTTTTATTGAAGAACTTTGTAATATCAAGGATTTAAGCTTGTGTAACAGATCATCATACACTATGGCATATGCAGTTACCTACTGGAGCAGAAGCTTAATGCAGAAGAGTAAAATACCTAGATGAGTAACTCCTACCTAGCCTAAGCATTCCTCAGAACTGTTGTCTGATGCCACTGTGATGCTCCAAGGCCCAGAAGGTCCTAAATTCATGTTTCTTTGGGGAATTAAAAAATAAGCTATTTCAGGAACTTATTCCTTTCCCCCCACTCTGAATGTCCCTGAACGAGCCCACAGAGAAACAGTAGCAGTCATCTGACTGCCTGACTTCTGCTTTACTGCTCTTCCTTCATCTGACCTGCACTGTTGCCAAAGCTTAGCCACAAGGAAGCAGCAGAAGCAAGATTTCCTTCTGTGATTGCCAAAGGGCCTCTGCATATTTTGGCATTAGCTACCTCCTCCACAGAGGATACATGTTCCTCAGACTGGATCACAAGCCAGATGTCTCACTATGAGACAACTGCTCAGCCAGCCCAGAAGTAAAACAAGTAAAGATCATGTCAGACTCTTGAAGATAAGTTAACTTTTATGTAGAGCGATAGAGATACTATAGCTTCCAGACCTGTTCTCCCTTTCCAAACCAGTCAGGCTTTCCTCTTTCCACTCTCCTGCCTCCTCCTATCCCTTGCTTGCCTGGTAGAGATGGAATGGGTAGCAGATGTTGTCTCTTAATGGCATAGCCTAAGGTAACTTATTACCCACAATCCTTCCTCCAATTGTAGTGTGTCTGAAATGTAATCTCCTTTTATTGTAGTGTGTCTGAAATGTGATCTCCAAGAGCGACTGCTCTGCCCATCCCTACTCGCTGGCACAGCTGACGGCTCCTTGAGAATGGATGACCCTAAAGGAGACTTCATCACACTCTACCAGATGGCTTCCCAGTCATCGGCCTCTCATTACAAGCTCCAAGTGATCAAGTATGGTCCAAGGGAACCTCCCCAATCCATGCAAATGCTATTCTTAGTGGTTCTGTGGCTAGGAACTCCAGAGATAGATGGTATCTCTTAAGTGTCAGGCAGGCAAGAGTCAGTTCCGAAGTAGCAGTTACAGCTATGGCATGAGGAAGCAAAGACAGGCTACTCAGCATGTGGAGGCCAAATGTGCAGATGGTGGGAGAAGCGCTGCAGTAGAACACTCTGAGGTCTGCATGAGGATTGTTTTTCTTTTGACTCATTAAAAAGGTGTTTATCCATTTAGTAAATGTTTATTGAATAGCTACTTTGTTTAGGCATCAAGACAGAGATCCAACCTTCAAGGAGTAAGTGGTACATAGGATCTACCCCTGCCCCCTCCCATTTCTCTAAGTACTAGAATTCCTTCTTCCAGGAGAACCAATTGTAGGATAGAATTAGCAGACTAGGCACGGTGGCTCATGCCTGTAATCCCAGCCACTCTGGGAAGCTGAGGCAGGAGGATCGCTTGAGCCCAAGAGTTCAAGGCTGCAGTGAGTTAATTGAACCACTGCACTCCAGCCTAGGTAACAGAGCAAGCCCTTATCTTGAAAGAAAAACAAAACAAAACAAAAAAACACAATGAATTAGCAATAATGGCAGAGTCTGCTTCAACTCTTCCCAGTTCCTACCACTGTGCCCATGCACAGGTTCCTGAACTTTGACAATCTTCTGTGTGCTAGATACTATGCTAGATGCTGGCCATACAAAGATGCATAGTTCACAGACACTAATTTAAAAGCTTTCACAGTACTGTCTTAGAGTTAAGCTGAATTGAAGTGGATCTAGGTGGAGGTTCTAGATATCACTAAGGAGTCTTTGACTGTAATTATCTCTTCCTAGGGCTTTAAAATCTAGCGGGCTCTGCGAGTCATTGACATATGGACTCCCGTTCATCCTCAGACCTACAAGCTGTTGGCAGCTGGACTGGGATGAGCTGGAGACAAATCAGCAACATTTCCATGCTTTGTGTCACAGCCTGCTGGTGAGTACCCATGTCCCCAGGTGAAAAAGAAGAATCGTTTTTAAAGTACCAACCACAGAAAAGCAGCTAACTAACTCTGCCCAATCCTAAATCTGCCTCAACCCTCAAGAAGACAGAAAAAACTGGAAATACTCTGAAATTTGGAGTAAATATGACTTGCCTTTTGTTGGTTTCATGCTATAGAGAATAATTCCTGAATTCAGTTATACAACACTAAACTTGAAAATCCCCGATTGGCAAGCTTAACATTTAAATGGCAACAGGGAATTTTCCGTACGTACCTGTATTTTAAAACCTACTTCCTTCCTAACACTGATAGACGTTATGGTTCATTTAAATGAAGAGCATTTAGTCTATGCCAGACATTGTGTCAAGCCCTAGATATATATTCTGTAGTGACCTAAAAGACATTACCTATGACCTTAAGAAACCCACTCTCCAATGGAAGAAACAGAAATGTATATATTCTTAATTATGAGAAGTTTATAAAGGAAAAGAAAAAGCTGCTATAAGAAAGCCTGTCTATAGAAGTGACATTTAAACTAAGACCTACAAGATAAGTGAGAATTAACCAGGTGAAGGGTGGCAGGCAGAGCATTCCAGGTGTAAGGAAAGGCATGTGCAAAGACCCTAAGGCTGGAAAGAGCTGAGAGAAAAATCAAGAACAGAAAAGCCATTGTGACTGAAACAGGGAGGAAGGGAGAGAGTGACAAAAGGTAGGGTTGGAGAGGTGAGCAGGGGTCAAATCATGCAAAGCTTTGTAGGCCAAATTAAGGATTTGGACTTAGGGAAACAAATCATGAGAAATAACATTATCTATTTCAGTTTTTAAAATATTACTTGGGCAGAAATTTGGAAATGAACTCGCAGAAGCAAAAATGGAAACATGAAAATGAGCTAGGAGGGTATTGCAGTAGACTAGTCAAGAGACCGTGGTGGTTTGAACTAGAACATTGGAAGTCAAGATGAGATGAGCAAACCAATTAGAGAAATATTTTAGAATCGCTTCTTGGCCTTTTAGCTATGACCAAGTGTAGAAATATTTTAGAGAGAAGATTGTCAGAACTTGGTTGAGAGATTGGATATAGGGAGTGAGAAAGAGGAAGTATCAAATAACTGCATGGTTTCTGACTTGAACAACTAGATGGATGTCATTCCCTGAAATGGAAAAAATAAAAGCAGTCACATGAAACTAACACAACACTTAGCAAAATTAAAACAACTGCAAATAGAATGCAAGGACAGATATAGAATAAAGGTTTGACTTAGTAGGATGATCAGGACAGCACAGCAATGCATCTCTTTCACTATCAGAAGCAGACTTCTTTTTTTCCTGTTTCGAAGCCCGCACTCCCTTTTAGGTCCACCCACTGAGTTCCTGTTTCCTGTCTGAAGAACACCCATCTCCTGTCTTTGCAGAGCAGAGACAACGGAGCCGTTGTAACTGTTAGTGCCCAACAGCTCAGTTTACTATTTACTCCACCCAGTTCCTCAGAATCTGAGATGATACATCACATGGGAGGAATTTCTCCCAGGTGGCTTCAATACATTCTTACAGTATTTGATATTTTAAACATACATTGACATTTTAATACACTGCTAGAGAGGATGTAAATTTTCCGGAAAATGATACCCTTTCCTTTTGCTGGGAATGTAGCCAAAGAAGACAGTCAGGAAAGGGATGAAGATATATGTACCAGCATGTTCATCTCGGTGTTATTTACAGTGGTGAAAAATTAGAAACAACTCAAATGTCCTAAGTAGGGGAAAAGTTATAGGAACTATAACCTGGTGTGGTGACTCACGTCTGTAATCCCAGCACTTTGGGAGCCCAAGGCAGGTGGATCACTTGAGGCCAGGAGTTCAAGACCAGCCTGGCCAACATGGTGAAATCCCACAGCTACTAAAAATACAAAAATTAGCCAGGCATAGTGGCACGCACCTCTAATCCCAGCTACTCAGGAGGCCGAGACATGAGAATCACTTGAACCCGGGAGGCAGAGGTTGCAGTGAGCCAAGATCGCACCACTGCACTCCAGCCTGGGCGACAGAGCAAGACCCTGTCTCAAAAAATAGTTATAATAGGCTGGGCACGGTGGCTCATACCTGTAATTCCAGCACTTTGGGAGGCCGAAGTGAGTGGATCACAAGGTCAGGTGTTCGAGACCAGCCTGGCCAACATGATGAAGCCCTGTCTCTACTAAAAATAAAATAAAATAAAAAATTAGCTGGGCGTGGTGGCAGATGCCTGTAATCCCAGCTACTTGGGAGGCTGAGGCAGGAGAATCGCTTGAACCTGGGAGGCGGAGGTTGCAGTGAGCCGAAATCGTGCCACTGCACTCCAGCCTGGGCAACAGTGTGAGACTCTGTCTCAAAAAAAAAATAGTAATAATAAGGATGGGAAAAAGTATTCCCTTCCATCCTGGCTTACATACACGAGATTAGAGTCTCCCTGCCACTAAACTCAGGGTTTGAGGATCTGTATTTATCTATCTGTCTATTTATTTATCAAATATTTACTCACCACTGTATGCCAAGCACTGTTGTAGAGATGAAGAGACCTTTTCTTTGTTAGTCTTCTGTCTTGGAAAAGGGCAGGGATGTAGTTGACCTGTCACTAGTAGATACCCATATTTTGGAGCATTTACTAAGTGGTAGTCACTTAACCAAGTGTTTTGCATACTTTACCTCATTTAATCCTCACAATAATCTGAAGTAGAGATTGTTATCCCAACTTTTGCAGATGGAGGAGGCTGAGGCCTAAAAAGACCAAGTAAGTTACCTAAGGTCACACAGCTACCAAAGTAGTCTTGTCAGAGTTTGAGGACCTAGCTCACACATGTAATCCCAACACTTTAGGAGGCCAAGGCAGAAGGATCACTTGTGCCCAGGAATTCAAGACTAGCCTGAGAAACAGAGTGAGACCCTGTCTCTATTAAAAATTAAGAAATTAGCCAGGAGCAATGACTCACACCTGTAGTCCCAGCTACTCGGGAGTCTGAGGTGGAAGGCTTGCCTGAGCCCAGGAGTTCAAGGCTGCAGTGACCCATGATCGCACCACTGCACTCTGGGCGACAGAGGGAGACACTGCTTAGGGGGGGTGGGAAAGAAAGAAAATTTAAAAAGAATTTGAACCTAGTTCTGTTGACTACAAAGCCCATGTTTTTAACTTCTTTGCTAAATTCCCTACTCTGGATGTAGCCAGATAAATACAGACTATAACACTGAAGCTAATTCTCCTTCACTTACACCCTATGCTTCTGTACTTCAGCGGAGTTGAACTCACTTAAAATGGCACAGTACTCATAACAACGGCTTACTCATCTTGTACTGCTGTTCTCTTTACTCCGTTTGGTCCACCTCATCTAGATTAAAGACCACTCTCCTATTCTGGAAAAGACAGCAGCAAAACAGTTTTCTTTCTTTTTTTTTTTTTTTTTGAGACGGAGTTTCGCTCTTGTTGCCCAGGCCTGGAGTGCAATGGCACAATCTTGGCTCATCACAACCTCCACCTCCTGGGTTCAAACAATTTTCCTGCCTCAGCCTCCCGAGTAGCTGGGATTACAGGCATGCACCACCACATCTGGCTAATTTTTTATTTTTAGTAGAGACGGGGTTTCTCCATGTTGGTCAGGCTGGTCGCAAACTCCCAACCTCAGTTGATCTGCCCACCTCAGCCTCCCAAAGTGTTGGGATTACAGGTGTGAGCCACCGTGCCTGGCCGCAAAACAGTGTTTAAATGCCTCTTCCTTCTTGTTTTTCACATGACATTTTCTCCAAGCAGCAAAAATCCTGAATGGCAGTATGTTATAGAGTACAAACTTTTCACAAACTTCAGCTCATTAATTCAACACAAATATTTTTAAGTGTGACGAGACTTATTTAGGGTTTTAACCTCCTAAGCCTATTTTTACAAGTTTGCCATGCTTCTTTAACTCCATCTTTGGTTTTTTATTCTTTCATATACCTTTTTCATATGTTCTTTTAAAATCTGATTTCAAGTCAGCTCCATATTTAACTCTCTTGCCTTCTGTTTTTCACTGTAATGTTCCCCTCCAGCCAACTTCTCATTCTAACTTCTGCCTTTCTGTTAATAGCAGCACCGCCATTGTCTAGTCACCCAGGCTTGAAACCTCAGTCACTTTCAGCCATCTCACCCTTTACACCTACTCCATCACTAAGTCATATCAATTTTCCACTCATAACATGAGTTGTAACTCTCCTTTACTTCCTGTTCCCACTGCTTGTCTCACCAAGACTTCTTCAGTAAACTCCTAACTGGCTTCCCTGCCTCCAATCTCTCTCTCTTCTGGTTTTCCCTGCACATTGGCACTAGCTTAATCTCCTTGAAGCATTCCCCTATCACATGTTTTTCTATGTATCAATACTCAATCACGTATTACACCTTGCCTATTCTATCCCTATAGCATCTGTTATCACTATCCTAATTCAAGCCCTTTTAACCTTTCCTTTAATACTGCAATAATCTCTCAACTTGTCTCAATGCTTTTTTAGTGCTTCCCATTCCTAGTCCATTTCACATAATGCCAACAGATTAATCTTTTGATTAATCTGATTCAGCACTGATTCTGCCACTACTCAGCTGAAAAATACTTTGTGGCTTACTATTGTTTATCCATAAAGTCCATATTCCTTAGCCTAATATTCAAGGTCCCACCTTATCTCCCATTATTCCCCTTCATGTACCATACACTCCAACCAAATTAATACAGAAACCTTAAATTTTTCCACCTTTGAGCCTTTGCTCATGTTGACCTTTCTCTCATCTCTGTGTGTTCAAATCCTACCCTATCCTGAAAGACCAAACTCAAATGGTACTTCTTGAATGGGAGCTCTCTAGTTTCTTCCACTTGTCATTAGACATTTGTATGCTGTTTCTTTTTGGAGAAAAACATATTTCAAATAGGTTTTTAAATATAGGATCCTATGTTTGAGATTAAAGTCTCAGATATAATTTGACTACCCAAACTCCAGATTGACATAGTGCCTTTTCTATCGCTTCCCCACTTTACTAACCAATTCCTAGGCTTTGGTCAAATTTAGGCCCAGAATAGAAATTCCCCCCTTTCTTACTTCTCTTTTTGGAGGAGTCAAGGCAAGGCAGTTTTCTAATATGTTGTAGTAAAATATAATTTGTGTTGTCCAGGAAAATCCTGGACTGTGGAATCAGACGGCCTTAGGTTCCTGACGCTTTTTTTATTTCCCGACTGTGTGAACTTAGGCAACTTGCTTACCCTCACTAAGTATTGGTGTATTCATCTATTTGTAACCCTAACAAATTTAATGGCCCCTACGTGGCTTAGTCTCTGCACAAATGGCATATATGGAAGCACTATCAGAGGCCCAAAAGTAAATTTTAAAGTGATTTGTGTATTCAAAGGACACCAAAAAGGATCTAGTTCATAACCCATAATGACATTTCTCAAATTTTCTTCCCCCACTCCTCAATTATCTCTAACCTGAAGCTGTTCCTAGAACCTTTCACACACACACACACACACACACACGCATGCACACACACACATACACACACACACACAAATTATCTCTACCTCCTCAGTCCCTGTTCTCTCTCAATCCTCTTCCTCCCTCTCTCAGCCATATATTATAAATTGACTTAGCCTCTCTGACATAATGTAGTCCTCCTCTCTCTCAGGTCCTGTCTCTTTCTACCTATTTAAAATACTAAGAAATAAAGCTGATAAGGCTTCTCCTTTAATCAATAGAAGTAGAGTGAGGGAGGGCTGGGCACAGTGACTCACACCTGTAATCCCAGCACTTTGGGAGGCAGAGGTGGGCAGATCAACTGAGGTTAGGAGTTCAAGACCAGCCTGGCCAACATGGCGAAACCTCATCTCTACTAAAAATACAAAAATTAGCTGGGGGTGGTGGCACATGCCTGTAGTCCCAGCTACTCGGGAGGCGCGAGAATCACTTGACCCCAAGAGGCAGAGGTTGCAGTGAGCCGAGATCGCGCCACTGCACTCCAGCCTGGGTGATAGAGTGAGACTCCATCTCAAAAAAAAAAAAAAAAAAAAAGTAGAGTGAGGGAGAAGGTGCATGACACACACATTAGTAACTCTTGTCCCATCACATATAAAATATAGACAATAAAATATACCTCATGTGGTTTTTAAGATGATTAAATATTGCGTGTGTAAAGCACCCAGCACATGTCTAACACATGATTTCCACATAGTGGTTGGTTAGCAGTTCTACAATTTCCATTTGTTTCATTTTTGTAGATTCTAATTCTCTGAAGAAATTCTCCATATTTTCATCTAATTTCTTAAATATACTAATCATGGTTATTTTAAGGTTCTTGTCACCTAACCCCAATACCTGGATCACTTATGGATTTGTTTCTATTGTCTCTTTTTTCTCTTGGTTTTCAGACATGTGGCACATGTCTTTTGTCACACCTGGCAATAACATATATAAATAAATTGTAGAGACTCCAGCTGGTGTTAGCTTTCTCTAGAGAGGGCTCACCCTTCCCACACTAGGCAGACAGAGTGGTGGCTGAGCATCCTGTTTCACTAGAAACTGTGCTGAGTCAAGGCTGGGCTGCAGTCCTGCTAATGCTCAGTCTATCCAGGGTTTGTTCCTGGCCCTCCAGAGTTTTCCACTGAAAGCCTGGTGTATTATGTATATCCCCTCCCTTTGGAAGGTCCCACCTCTAATCACTGGCTCCCAAGTCTGCTAAAACATTCTACTTTTTGGAAGCTTTCTCCTTAAGTGTTTTTGCCTTTTGCCCCATGGAGCCCTAATATTTGGCAAATGTGTTTGGGGGAAAATTGACTTGATTCCCATCCCTTCCCACCACCAAGTCTCCACCAAAAAATCTGCTAGTTTCTCTGTTCTCCTGAACTTGCCTCCACAGGTGGAAGTCTTGGATTCTCAGCTTCTCCAACCACCACTACCACCATGCCCTCTGTCCCAGAATCAACATATACTCCCAGGGTATAAGCAGCTGCAATAATTCCCTCATCTCTCCGGACTCTTCCTTCTCCAGAGGCTTAGCTACCTCTAGATCTCATTGCCTCAGCAACTCCTTACTGCCTTCCAACAAATTATCCAGCTTTTCCGATTGTTCTAGGCAGGAGAACCAGTCTGCCTCTGGCCACTGTAACCCACTTAGATGCAGAAGTAGATGTTTATTAAATGCTCATTTATTCCCCCTTTGCTATCTGTTCAGACATAACAGCACATCTTCTAAGTTCCCCTTAGCCAGTTGGCCGGCTTCACCATGTTTTCATTTTCAGGCTCCTGGATTTCCTTACAAGTGTGGGTATTGCTCAGTTTATTCAACCACTGCCTCTTCACTTGCCCTTAAGTCGTAGTGATTAGTGCCAACGCACCAGTCCTCGTCGACTATAAATGTTGTGTAACTTTTCAAATTACATTTTACACATACTCTAAGCCTTAGTCAATCACAGGCTTGTTATTTCATTCCCTGATTTTTCACTTGAAAATTGTTTCTGTCTTCCTCACAGATTATTTTGCTTTATTCAGGTATTTCACTTGCTTTTCCTCAGAAAATGATCACTTCATCAGATAGGCAAGACTTTTCCCAGTCTTTTCTGAAAAATATGTGTTGTCCACCACTCCCGTAAATGTCACTCTTAGATTAATACAGACCACAAGAAAGCTATGTGTTTTGGCAGCATTCTTTGGAGCTTTTATAGATCTATATCTAAGAATTATTCACGTATTTTTAATTTAACAAAGTTAAATAAACATTCATAATTAAATGTAGTTTTCATTTTGAAAAGTTAACACTTCATGGTGCTTACCATGTACCTGACACAGTTCTAAACACTTCACAGCTACTAACTTATTTTATCCCCATAACCATTCTATGAAGTAAGAATTATTATCCCTGTTTTACAGATGAGGAATTTGAGGCCCAGAGAGTAAATGGTAGAGTAGGGATTGAAAGGCTGGCTTCAGGCCCCAAACTCTACACCACTCTACAGCTACATGAAATTTATCAGCATATTGATTGCAGGAGTGCTCTGAAATATATTCACTACTCAATAAGAAGCCACAGACAGCTTCTCCCACATTTTATATCAGGAAAGGCTATGGGGCTCCCTTCTAGCAAAAGTGGATGGTTTGTATTTCTGTGAGCTTATCTAATCCTGGCTGTATTATTGCCCTACTTTTATTTTTCTTTTACCCAGTCCCCTTAATTATTTATTTTATCTTTTTATGCTGTTCCATTTTTCTAAACTGGCATAGCTGTTTTGTGGAATGTGGTAGGAAATAAATATATAAATAAAATTAATTTTTTCCAAGTCTTTATGAGATCAATCTATCCATTGCCAGGAAAATATCATTTCTATTACCAAATCTTGCTGTATAGTCCTAGTTATGTAGCTAGTGACTCACTTTCCACATCCTCATTTCAATTACAAAGTCATGTCTGTGTGAACTAGAAAAAGAAATGAAAATACCACCTAGGTCTTTCAGTTTCCTACTTAAAATGTCAGAGTCTCTGGAGACACATTCCAGAGCTTTACAGTCCATGTCTGCCCTAATTGGCCACAGAAGTTACAGGATTCAAGCCATGATGTGTTCAGCAGGAGTCTAAGTACACAGGCAATGAGCCAGTTGGGCTATAACTGGGTGGGGAGATGGAAAGTGCTTGGTTAAATAGGCAAAGACTCAAGACCAAGAATCCAAGCTGAGAGTGGGGTGATGGCAGGTCAGGAGCCATTCGAGAACAGAATGATGGAGGTTACAGTGTAGCATCTGGGCGGGTGGGGGGGATAGACAGGTGCTAGAACAGCAGCCTAGCGTGAGTCAGTGGGCTTCCTGTGACCTAGCTTTGTCTGTTTCTCTTGCTTCATCTTTCACCTACGCCCCTCGCATCTTCCCCCCAGTCACACTAATAAATGACTGAATGTTCTCCAAATATGCTGAACTGTTTCACACCTCCACACCTTTTTTCATGCTGTTCTCTTCCTTTTGCCTCTGTCTACCTGACAAATATCTACTCATTTTTTTCCAGATCCTGCTTAAATAATTTCGGTATGAAGCCTTTCTTGCCTCCACCACAGCCTATCCCCATTCATCTTTCTTGCCTTTCCACACCCATGTACTTGTTGCCACATCTATCTAGACCTTTTGCACCATAGCTCTCTGATATGAGAAATGTCACATTACTATATTTTTCTAAATCAAATTTAGAAAGCATTGGTTCCCAAGGGCCAGGATGTTGACACACGCAATATCTTCATGGGTGCCTCTACCCCTAGGATCATACCCAGAATCCAAAGAGCTTAACACAGTACAGAAAATGTGGAAAATGACCTTCTGGTCTTCAGCACACCTCCCAGGACAATAGTGAATAGAAGTAGCAAGAGCAGACATCTCTGCCTTGTTTCTGATGTTAGAGGCAGAGAATCCACTCTTTCACCACTACATATGAGGTTAGCTGTGGATTTTTTTATAGAGGTTTTTATCAGGTTGAGGAAGTTCCATTCTACTCCTAGTTTACTGAGCATTTTTATTATGTAAGGGTGTTGGATTTTGCCAAATGTTTGTGTGTGTGTGTGTGTGTGTGTGTGTGTGTGTGTGTGTGTGACGGCATCTCACTCTGTTGCCCAGGCTGGAGGGCAGTGGTGTGATTTCGGCTCACTGCAACCTCCGCCTCCTGGGTTCAAGTGATTCTCCTGCCTCAGCTTCCTGAGTAGCTGGGACTACAGGCACGTGCCACCACTCCCGGCTAATTTTTGTATTTTTTTAGTAGAGATGGGGTTTCACCATATTAGCCAGGCTGGTCTTGAACTCCTGACCTTGTGATCCACCCACCTCGGCCTCTCAAAGTGCTAGGATTACAGGTGTGAGCCACCACGCCCGGCTGCCAAATGTTTTTTCTCCATCTATTGAGATGATTATGTAGTTTTTGTTCTTTATTCTGTTAATATAGTATATTACATCAGTTGATTTGAGGGTATTAAACCAGCCTTAGGGATAAATCCTACTTTGTTGCAGTATATAATTCATTTTATATGTTGCTAAATTTGATTTGCTAATATGTAGTTAGGGTTTTTGTATCTATATTAATAAGAGATATTGATCTATAGTTTTCTTTTCTCATGATGTCATTGTTCTGGCATGGTTCTGTGTACCCACACCTAGTGCTTGGAACATAATAGGCGCTCAATAAATTCTTTTTTTTTTTTTGAGATGGAGTCCCGCTCTGTCGCCCAGGCTGGAGTGCAGTGGTGTGATCTCGGCTCACTGCAACCTCCACCTCCCGGGTTCAAGTGATTCTCCTGCCTCAGCCTCCTGAGTAGCTGGGATTACAGGCATACACCACCATGCCTGGCTAATGTTTTTGTATTTTTATTAGAGACCGGGTTTCACCATGTTGGCCAGACTGGTCTCAAACTCCTAACCTCAGTTGATCTGCCCGCCTCAGCTTCCCAAAGTGCTGGCATTACAGGCGTGAGCCACTGTGCCTGGCCTGAATAAATTCTTAATAGACAAAAAATTCACAAGTAAATGCACGAATCAATGTAAAAATAGAAGATTTAAAATAATACTAATAATCCAAATCCTGAGCCCCATCAGAAGTTACTTAAGCCAACTGAAATGGAGTCCCCTGAAACTTCCTGGTTTCTATCCCTTCCAGGCTTAAACAGGCCATGTCCTCAGAGCAGGGGCAGGTCCAACCCACAATCCACATACACACACACCATGATTTGTATACCATTTATTTCCAACATGATGGATTTTAAGCATCAAGCTGACTTTCCTGCACATTTGGATTTGTTCTTCAGGAAGACAGCACATCTCTAGATAGAAGCAAAATGCTAAGAAAGCATGAACTTCTGAAGGCACGCATAAAGCTCTTGGCACAGTACCTGGTGCCTGATAAGCATTCCTTTAAAGTTTGTAATTATGATTATGACTAATTTTCCCATGCCCAAATCATCTGTCCCACCCCCAAAACCTTCTAGTGAGGATGCATCATGCCTCCCGAATTATCAGTCAAGTCCTACCCCACAAAGAGGTCAGCAACCGCAGGAATGGTACATACCTGTTTTTCTTGGAGCTGTTAACAGGTTTCCTACCACTTGCTGTGCCTACCAGACCTCCTCAGAGCTCCGCACTGCACAGAATGATGACACTGCTTTAAAGTGCAGAGCCTCCCCTACACCCACCCCAGCATGTGTCCCGTGGGGTCTAACTCTCATGCTACAGCAAGTGTTTTCTGTCTCACTGTGTCACTTTCTATTTGTCTTCCACAAGACACTGATAATCCTCTTTCCTCTAAAAATCTTTTCCCCCTTTTTGCCTTTCCTCTTTTATTATTTGTCTCAACTTTTCATATAAGAGTAGCCAGAACTCATGTGTTTTCTTCTATCTTATGTAGCAGGGAGGTTGTTACGGTTTGTACCAGATGTAACTGAAGATCACCCCCAGTAAGAGGACACAGTTTGAGATGATTATGATAGTTCTAACTCCATATTTCCTGGAGTTTTGTGTTTTTTGTTGAAAAGCTACCACAAAAAAAATTGCCTCATTTTCATGGCTCATTTAAAAGGGTACATCTACAAAATCTTCTCAGAAGTCTGGTTGTCTCTTCTTCTTACCCATGCCCTAACCTCTGCCATCACCATGGCACATGGCAAAGTGCCACCCTCTGTTCCATAATAACCCATCATCCACAGAGGCACTGCCCCCAGAATCCTGACTCTTCTTGTCCTGTGATTGGCTGAGATGATCTCAAGGGCCCTGCACCCACCCACCTCTCCCTCTGCTCTTTCTTTATGTTTTTTTTTTTTTTTTTTTTTATGTTTTGAGACAGAGTTTCGCTCTTATTGCCCAGGCTGTAGTGCAATGGTGCAATCTCAGCTCACTGCAACCTCCACCTCCCAGGTACAAGCAATTCTCCTATCTCAGCCTCCCAAGTAGCTCGGATTACAGGCATGCGCCACCACGTCCAGCTAATTTTTTTGTATTTAGTAGAGATGGAGTTTCACCATGTTAGTCAGGCTGGTCGAGAACTCCTGACCTCAGGTGATCCACCCGCCTCAGCCTCCCAAAGTGCTGGATTACAGGTGTGTGCCACCGCTCCCGGCCCTGCTCTCTCTTTCTCCTCCCACTTTGCAGGCTGCTTTCACTGCCTTCTCTCTATCTGTCTGTCTATCTATCAATCATCTATCTATCTTTATTTATTTAATTTTTTGTAGAGTCTTGGTATGTTGCACAGACTGGTCTTGAACTCCTGGGTTCAAGCAGTCTTCCTGGCTTGGCCTCCCAAAGTGCTGGGATTACAGATGTGAGCCACCACATCTGGCCTTACTACCTTGTACCCTCTCTGGACATTCCAGGGATACTGCCCAGTCAGCCCATTCTAATCCCAGTTGTTAGCAAACAACCAGACTTTATTACCCTCAAAAGAAGAACTGAATTTCTACAACAGACAACACCCCATACAAGTCTTGGTTTCAAGACACTGCTTTTTTCTTTTTCCTTTTGAGACAGAGAGGGTCTCACTCTGTCACCCAGGCTGGAGTGCAGTGGTACAATCATGGCTCACTGAAGCCTTGATCTGCTAGGCTCAAGGAATCCTCCCACCTCACCCTCCTGAGTAGCTACGGGTACAGTCACGCACCATGGGCTTCAAGACTCTGTTTTTAAGAATTATAATTCTTAAAAGTCCACATGTATGCTGAATGTGGTAGGCCCCTCTGGGATGAACACCTACTTCAAGTTACAGGGAATTTCTTAACTTTTCTCTCCATTGTTGACCCTTTTATATACTCTCTCTGGCATATCTCAAACCAGGGAGGAAGAGTAGTACATTGTGATATTGATGATTCATGCAGGAAGTCCCTCCCTACCAGGGCCGAAGTTAAATGGCTCTGCCCTCCTCAGCACCCCTGGAAGTCAGGGAAACTTCAATTGGGACTGATCCTCAAACCATGCCATAGACTAAAGATGAACCAGTATTTCTGTATGTCCTTGTTTCAGAAAAGGGAATGGCTGCTGTTAGCCAAGGGGGAACCACCGGGCCCAGGACACAGCCAGAGAATTCCTGCCAGCACCTTCTATGTGATCATGCCGTCACACTCCCTCACACTGCTGGTAAAGGCGGTGGCCACGCGGGAACTGATGCTGCCCAGCACCTTCCCCCTGCTACCTGAGGACCCACATGATGATAGCCTTAAGAATGTGGAGGCAAGTGGAGCCCAGATCTCATGGGACAGATCTAGAAGCGAATGGAGTTTGAGAAAGGGATGAGGGAGAGGAGTGAGCCCATGAGGGAATGGATGCGGAGCTGAAGGAGTGTGGTAAGAGAGTAAGAAGAGAAAGCAAGGATAGGCAATTATGCCAGAAGAAGGAAGTAAACACTTAGATTATGGCAGCAGGGTAAGGAGTGAAATAGAATGGAGGGAAATGAGGTTTGAGAACAAAAAACTGGGAGAGAAAAGGGATATTGGCATCAGTGATGACTGGGAATTAGAGCCATCCTGGAGGACACACGACATGCACACGGACCTGAAATCTGAGGAATGGGTGGCTGTGAAGGAGAAAAGGGAGCATCACAGAGTGGAAACCTGATGTCAGGCCAGGGCACAGGGAGGCAGGGGAGGAAGCCACAACACCAGCAGGTCCAGCTCCTGGGGATGCACTGGACGCTTGTTTGGTTTGGTTTTGTCTTTGCGCAGACTGGTTCTCCTGCCCCCACCTCCTCCCCAGAGAGGAGATTGTGAAGTTAGACAAGGGAGAGCAGAACTTTGGGAGGGAAAGGAAAGAAGACACAGTGGAAAGCAGAAGAAAAAAGAAGGGAGAAGGGAATAAAAGGAGACCCAAAAAATCAGCCTTTGTATGGGTTTTCGTGTCTTTGTGTGTTTTTGTGCCCGAGTGTGTCTGTGGTTGGGTCTCTAAATTGGTGGCAGTGGGTGTAGATGCGCCTGTGCACATCTGTGTGCTGGTGTGTTCTTAGGGGTCTGTCTGCATTGCACGTGTGCATATGTGTATACCTGTGTTTGCGCTCATTTATGTTTGTTGAGAAAAGGCAGCCAATGTAGGTGCCCAAAATAGGAAGGGCTTCAAGATGAGATGTGATAGATGCAGATGCAGAGGAGCAAACAACTCTGAAAGCCATTTTTACCTCCTTCTTTTTCTTCTTCTCCTCCTCCTCCTCCTCCTCCTCCTCCTTCTCCTCCTCCTCCTTCTCCTCCTCCTCCTCCTTCTCCTCCTCCTCCTTCTCCTCCTCCTCCTTCTCCTCCTCCTCCTTCTCCTCCTCCTTCTCCTCCTCCTCCTTCTCCTCCTCCTCCTTCTCCTCCTCCTCCTTCTCCTTCTCCTCCTCCTCCTCCTCCTCCTCCTCCCCTCCTCCTCCACCTGTTTCTCCTCCTTCTCCTTTTCCTCTTCCTGGGATCTGGATTCTCTATATTTGCTCTGCTAGTCTCCCCAGGCTAAGAGTGGGAGGGCTGGCTCTGGGTAGGGAGAACTGGAACCACGTCGCTGCTGGCTCGCTAGCTTAAATGCAGCAAGGACAAGGCCTGGGATTGTGCTCTTGGCTTGGCGGCCACAGAGACACAGAGAGAGGTGGGCACAAGTGGCCATGGCCTGCTCAGTGTCTCACTTTGGGGCCAGTGGTTCCTGGCACAGGATGTTGTGGCCGGAAAACCTGACTGCACAGGAATGTTGTGCTCCTGTATCCCCTCCTCCCTTTCCATTCAGCTCAGCTCACCTCTAGGCTGAGAACTCCATGTACTCGCCTTGCAGGCTGTGAGCACCCTGCCCTGCAGGGTAGCCCACTGACACACCCTCCCTCCATGCTCACAGTGGATCCCTTGTAGCATTCATGTGCGCCGGCCCCCTCAGAACCCCTGGACATGCATCTTGGGGCCAGAGTGTTCAGTGTTCCTAACCACTTAGGGTTGTTCCTACTTCTCCTATCCATGCCTGGCCCTTACATCACAAGCACTGGACCTCAGGCCAGAACACCCAGGGGGACAGCATCTATTTCACAGCCTTCATGGCAGCCCTGGGGTTTCACACTTCCTCCAGCCCCTCACACTCCTGGATCGCTACCTGACATCTTGTGTTCTGTGATCTTAAGTTCCCTAGTGAGGCCCCTCCTCTCTTTTCCTCAGAGCATGCTGGACAGCCTGGAGCTGGAGCCCACCTACAACCCCTTGCATGTTCAAAGCCACCTGTACTCACACCTGAGCAGCATCTATGCCAAGCCTCAGGGGCGGCTCCACCCACACTGGGAGAGCCGAGCTCCGAGAAAGGTACCGCTCCCCTCCTTCCCTCCTCTTCCTTACTTCCCCTCCCTCCCCTTCATGCCCAGAGTCCTAGAAAACCCTCCTCCCCCATCCCAACACCGCCCCCATCCAAGGGAGTAGCCTTCCTCCAGGATCCACCCCTGGTGGAGGGGAAAATTAGAACCCTTACTGGGTAGGGAGGCCTGTTTGCTAGGGCATTTACATATAATAATGTTCAGGTGTTTTAATTGTAGTGTTTATGATAGCTCATTAAACAGACCATTGTCCCATTAAGCAAACTGGCTACACAGGAACTATAACCACAGTCCTCGTGAAAGAAAAGGCTGAAGGAAAGGTGGGAAAAGAAATGCCCAAGGGATGGGAAATTAATATTTATAGAGCACCAGTCATTTGCCAGGTTTTATGATAAGTGCTTGCTTATATGTTTTTCTCATTTAATCCTCACAGCATCCCTGCAAGGTAAGTGTTTGCTCATTTACAGATGAGGAAAGGAGGCTGACCAAGATTAGTAACTTGAGAGGACTCCCATGACTATCTGGGGTTGAAGACAGTTGGGGTTGAAGAGGGAAGAGTGATTGAGGATAGAGAAATATTTTTATGAAACCCGTGTTCTATATAATATTTGGGCTTCCTTTTGCCCTTATTAACTTTTTCTCAGTTTCTTAGTAACACAGCCTTTAGAAAAATTCTCATTTTAGGCCGGGCACGGTGGCTTATGCCTATAATTCCGGCACTTTGGAAGGCCGAGGCAGGTGGATCGCTTGAGCTCAGGAGTTTGAGACCAGCCTGGGCAACATGGCAAAACCTCGTCTCTACAAAAATACAAAAAAAATTAGCCAGGAGTGGTAGTGCACACTGTAGTCCCAGCTACTTGGGAGGCTAAGGTCGGGGGATTGCTTGAGCCCAGGAGGTCAAGGCTGCAGTGAGCCAAGATTGTGCCACTGCACTCCAGCTTGGGTAACAGAGCAAGATCCTGTCAAAAAAAAAAAAAATTCATTTTGTCTTAGCTAAAATTACAGAAGGACGTTTCCAAACCAGAGGTAGGAGCAGAGGCTACCACAAGTTAGCTGCTAGGCAAGCTGCCAGAGGTAGGACACCAGGCAAGGAGACAGGCACTGTGGAGGCTGGGCTTAAGGGACTCCAGATCACTGTCCTCGGCCTTGAGGCTGTCACTCCAGGGAATGAACTTAGGAAAGAGTTAGGACAGGAAGCCCAACAGAGAATGGGATAGGTGCTCAGAAACTCTGATCTTCAGAGAAGGCTCTGGTTGCTCTCTTTGCAGACTGGGCAGTTGCAGACCAACCGAGCTCGAGCTACTGTGGCCCCCCTGCCTATGACTCCTGTCCCAGGCAGAGCCTCCAAGATGCCAGCAGCCAGCAAATCTTCCTCAGATGCCTTCTTCCTGCCTTCAGAGTGGGAGAAGGATCCCTCAAGGCCCTAAGTCACCAGCACCAGAGCCCAGCTGCCCAGCTTAACCATATCCATGCTCAGGTTCACATAATGGCTATCTGTGGTCAGACTTGCTCTCTATCCGCCTGAGCCTCTGTGAGTGAGGGCTGACTGGGAAACAACAGCCTTCCTGTCCTGTTTCAGTGCTGTCCCACTCCTCAAGTCTGGAAGCGACACACCCGAGCCTGTCCTTTCTCCAGCAAGGACTTTCATTTTCTTTAGAATCATTTGCTACTGTTTACACAGGTGAAGATTAAACACCCAGTAAGCTTCTACCATTGTTAGGAGCATTCATAACTCAGAATTTCTTCTTGTAGCTCTGTGTAAGCAGGTGGATGAGGTCAGATCACCTTTGGTAAACTGGACCTCAGGAACAAGGATGAGGTTTTGAAAGCTCATAAAAGACAAGTAAGATTGAAATCCAAGCCTCATTTCAGAGCCTGTGCCCTTCCCACTACACCACCAGGCTTCAGCCTCCAAAGAGACAAGTGCTTGGTACCTACATGCAAAGTGTGTGTGCTGGGGGGTGGGAGGGCTGCCCAGAACAGGGGAGAGGATGGTGTAAAAAAAGACCTACTCCTTTCCTGTTACCCTCTCCCCACATGTACCAACCTTCCTGTTGCTCCCTCCATCCACAGAATAATAGCTACCATTTATAAAATGTTTACTCTGGGCTGGGAGCAGTGGCTCACACCTGTAATCCCAACACTTTGAGAGGCTGAGGTGGGATGATCACTTGAGGCCAGGAGTTCGAGACCAGCCTGAGCAACACTGTGAGACCCCCCCGCCATCTCTACATAAATAATAAAAACTTTTAAAAAAACACCCTGTGCTTCAGATTACACTAAATACTTATAATGTATCTAATTTCATACAAAAAGCCCTGTGAGGTAGAGCCCATTATAGCTTTTCCATTTTACAGAGGGGCACAGGGGAAACTGAGGGTTGCAGATGTTATCACCCAGGGCCACAGAGCTCACATCTAGCCCAGGGCAGCTTGACTTGACTCCCCAGGCACTGAACCGCCACACTTCTGTTCCCTTCCTGGGCCCCTTGCCTCTCCGTGACTCTCAACACATTCCTGGTTCTCCTCTTGATCCCCACCACACCCAACCCAACCACTGTGTCCCCTCTTTTTCTCTTCACACACATAAACTTCTTAAACCCAAGCTGACTTTAATGAGAATTTTAAAATTTTTAAATAGGTCTCTGGCAAAGAACAATGCAGGAGTAAGGATCCAGGCACAGTCCAACATCTCCCTGAGGCCTCCACACAGGCCCCTCAAACTGCACCCATTCTGACCATGCACCACTTTCCACAGACCTGGTCCCACAGCCGTCCCTTCATTTGGGGAAGTAGGGAAGGGATGGCTTTGGGGGATGCAGAGCCCATCCTCAGCCCTGCCATCTGCCCCACTTCTTAGGACTTCCTGGGATTGTCCTTCCCTTGACTCTCCCATCCCTCTGGTCCCCTGGTCTCACACAGCATGGCCCCTCCCACCCTCTGGCTTCTGCTGGTTCTAACCATCTTCTTTGATCCCTAGTGCCACCTCCCCATGGTCCCCCTTAGCCACCTCAGCCTTGCCGTCCTTCTCAGGTAGAGCCCTCTGACTTGACCCCAGTCTTGTCAGTCCCTACTCTAGAGAGCCCACAGTCCCAGCTCCCTGAGGCCCCGCTCTTCTGGACCTGGCTGTACAGGGCTGAGTTGTGGCTTTTGATGCCACTGCCAGTTGCAGTACCAGGTTCAGGGAAGGCTGGGCCCTGGGGCTTGGGAGCAAGGAGGGGCTTTGTGCTCCGAGGGGGTGGCACAGCGTAGTCATCAGTGGCAGGGTTGTAGGGGAGCTCATAGCCCTCCTCCTTCACCCGAGCTTGGCACCACCATGCATCCTTGGGCTCCCGAGGCAGATCATAAAGGCCCTGGGGAGGGACTGGGGCCAGGCCCTCAGGTTCATCATAGATGGGATCCTCTTTGGGGTCTGTCAGCTTGGCCTTCAGCAACTGCTGCTGCGCATGCTCATACAAGTCCCAATAGAGAGGTTTCTTCCGTTGTACTCCCTCTCCTGCCTGAGCAGACGTGCTGTCCAAGGGGTCTGAGTATAGGGAGTCCTGGGAAGGGCATGGAGCAATGCGCAGGGAGTCTAAGGGCTCAGCATACAGGGCTGGGGGACTGTCGAGGAGCTCTTGGGGGCCAGGTGGGGAAGGCAACTTCCCCTCTGCCACCTCCCCTTCATGGGAGTCAGCTCTGAGAACATCGTGCCCCTGTCCGGCCTTTCCCTGGGCCTTCTGCCGGTGGATGGCAGTCTCAACTGCCTGGAAGATGTCATTTCCCTGTGCCGTCTGGAAGGTGAAGGTTCCAGGGCCTGAGGGGCAGCGGCGGCCGGCCTCGAAAGAGAACATGACCTAAGGAGGGTAGAGGGGGAAACACATTACCAGGAGCCATCAGAGGAAGTGAGTCACACGCCTGCACTAGTTAGGGTATCTACAAAGAAGAGACCACCTGCGAACAGACGCGGGGTCACCGGGTAGGCAAGAAAGGGGGATCCAAAGGTCAGAGCTTCCCACTTTCTGTCCTGCCCCACCCCTCCCACAGCTGCCCAACCCAGGAAGCCCTCCCGGACAGCCCCTGCACCTTGTCCCGGCCATAGCGACGCAACAGAGTGTAGGGCCAGGACAGGAGTGGCTCCAGTATCTGACTCTGGGCCCCCACGGTCAGGAGAGTCAGCCTTTCAGCCTCCACCCTCAGCACGTAGGAGCCATGCAGGCCACAGCGCTCGGCGGCCTCAGTCCTCTGCACCGTTACCCAGAATTGGGATCCTGGAAGGCATACACGATTAGACAGCTGCGGGGGAGGGACGGGGGCAGCAGTGGGGACCCAGAGGACTCATGAGCATAGTGTCCAAGCACTCACTCGGAAGCCAGATCTCAGGGCCTTCCTACTTCTTACTTCCCCATGGGCCCCTGGGTATCCACCCACTTCCCAAAGGCCCTCGGCCCTCCTCCTCTTCACTCCATCCCTGCCCGGGCTTCTGAGGCGTCTACCTTCCCAGGTAGGGCTGTACAAGGAGTTCTCCAGCATCTCCAGGGCAGAAAGCTTAGGTGGGTTATCGGTAGGCGCCAGAGTCCAGCTGCCTTTCTGTAGTAGAGAGCATCGAGAAACCCGTAATTTCCTCAGCGGGGAGCGGGGGTCGGTCTGAGGCAGCCCCATTTCTCTGCCTCTGTAACTGCCCCCACCCCGCATCGCCGCAGCTCCTCACCGGAAAGGCGTTTCGGCACAGCGTCTGCACCCAGGCTGCACTGGACGGCGCGTCGGCCGCCAGCAGGTGCGAGCGCTGAGCAGTGTCCAGGCGGAAGGCAGTGGCGCCGGGCTCAGGGGGGGTCTCCACGGTGACGGGGGCCACACTCACACACTCAGCCAGACGGATCACTTTGCAGTCCAGGCGGCGCGAGCTCCCTCGGCCACCCCCAGAGCTCGACCCCTTATGGTCAAAGAACTCGAGCCGCGCTACGCCGTGGGGACTGGCCGGGTAGAGCACGGCCCAGGTCTTCCTCCACCTCTAGGGAGAGAGAGAGAGTGCTCGAGAGGGAGTGGCGTGCGCAGGCGGCCCGGGTCCCGACGGGGAAGGAGGTTGCGGCGCAAGTCGATTTGGGATCTGGGGCTTCCAAACGGGGTTGGGGGCGAAGTTTCCCAAGGACGATGCCACTCCGTCTCCCCAGGACCAGAACCCCTAGACTACAGACGCTTCCCGGGAGTGTGCAAAGCAACTTCACGGGAAAGTCACAGGCTCTCCAACTCCCGGCGCCGCTCTCCAGCCCGCTGCCCACCTCTCCCTGTTTCTGGGCTCTCTCACCCACTACTAGCCCGGATAAGGTTCGGCATCCATGCGCCAGACTACCTTGGTCCCAAAGCGCTGACTCTGCAAAAAAAGCGGCCCTTCCATCACTGCTCCGTCCATGGCCCCCGGCGGTTCCTTCCGCGCTTCCTGGCCCTGCGGCGGGAGGCGGGGCGGGAGGCGGGGCCGGGTTCCCTGGAGGAGTTTCCGCCCCTCCCCGGCCCCCGCCGGCAGCCGCTGGGGGGGTCGCGGTGGGGTGAGGGAGAGGAGCGAGAAGGAATGGTGGAGACCCCCGGATTAGCCGGGAGCTGCAGCACCCCAGGCCCCTACCCGCCGTCGTGGGGGCGCGCCAGTGGCTCCACCGAAAGTCCTCGGTTTTGGCGCGAGGGCCCTGGCCTCTGGGCGTGGTGGCTGCGCGTGACGTCATATGCCCAAGGTGACGTCAGAGTGAAAGCCATGACATCACCCCGAAAGCGCCCCGGGCACCGGAGAGACCCACACGGGCCTCCGGGGCTTTATTTACCCTGGCCGGGCCCGCCCCCAGCCCCGCCCGAGCCGGGCTGTTTAGACTCCGCTGGCCCGGGACTCGGAGGGAGGGCTGGGGTTGAACCGCTTCCCGCCACCACCGGGGCCGCCCCGCCGCCCGGCCGCCGCTTGCATGTCAGCTCCCTGACCGCAGAGGCCTGGCCTCCATGCCGCGGGAAGAGAAAGCTTCATTGAACGAGCCGGGAGGGCCAGGGAGGGGGAGGGGGCGCGGCAGTGGCCAGCTCCACGGGGAGGGAGGACCCAGAGGAGGAGAGGAGGGAACTGGCCGGGAGGAATGGAAGGAGAAGGCGGAATGTGGGAGGGCTCAGGGGGATGTGGGAGGGACGAACGGAGAAGGGGGAGAGAGGGGGGTCCAGTCTCCCCTGGCCGAGCATTTTTTTTTTTTTTTGGAAGTCCTAGGACTGATCTCCAGGACCAGCACTCTTCTCCCAGCCCTTAGGGTCCTGCTCGGCCAAGGTAGGGGGAGTCACGCTAACCGCAGAGGGAATGAGTAGGGGATGGAGAGGATGTGGAGGGACCAGGGAAAACGGGTGGTGTGGGATGGAGTCGAGGGGAAGCCACCCAACTGAGAGTTTGATTCTTGTCAAAGGGCAAGTGAGACAGAGTACACGGAGGAGGCACATACCGGAGGCGGGGGCTACGGGTGTTCGAACAGGGCCGCCAGGAGCGCCCTAAGGGAGGGGGCTCCTCCGGGAGGCGCTGCCCCTGGGTCCCCAACCCAGAACAAAGCTGCCTTGTTGGATTGATTGTTTGGGTTGGGGGAAGCATGTTGACGGGGGCTTGCTGTAGAGGGGCTGTTCTCAGCCCTAGGCAGAGAAGGCCTTGGCTGAGGAGCCATAGCGCCTGGCCTCCCGTTGCCCGGTGACAGGGATGGTGGTGTTGGCAGGAGGCTGGGACAACCCTACCCCATCCCCCGCCCAGCCTTGAGGCCTGGCCCTCCTGGGCCTCTTGACCCTGCAGGGCATCTGAGAGCCTGCGTGTTGGGGAGGGCGTGCAGCAGGTTCTCCAGGCGAGCTTTGGTGCCAGCCTTCCCTGCCTGGGAATCTGCTGGGTTAGGACTCTGGGCTCCCATTCAGGGGATCTGTGATCCCAGGGCCGCCTAGGGCCCCTTACGTGCCTCTCTGCACAATCAGTACAGCTGTCTGTCCTCCCTCTGAGTAAATGGGGTCATCTGGATCCCTCCCACGTCCGCCCCTTGGCTCTTGTCAATCCCTCTCCTTCTCACCCGCGGTGTGCTTGGTTCCCCTATACTGAGTGCTTAGTTCTTTGCCTATCACTTTCTATCCGTTGTCTCTCTCCTCTGTGTCTTTCTGGTTTTCTCTCTCTCATTCCCACAGTCTCCCTTCCTCTCACATCCTGTCTGTCTGGGTCTTCCTCTCTCTCTACGTGTCTCTTGCTCAGTCTCTATCTCTTTTTATTGACCCTTCTCTGACTCTCGATCTCTCATAGTTGTCTCTTATCTCTGGGTCTCTCAGGCTGTGCCTCTATGACCTGTGCCTCAGCCCTTATTTAATGTGTTTCTCTCCCTGTCTCTTGGTCCCTGGGGCTCTTTCTCTCCTGTTGTCTCTCGCTGTCTCTGTCTTACTCAGTGTCTGTTTTTCTTTCGTGACTTCTCCCTCTCTTTCTGACTCTGGGCCCCACTCAATCTGTTTCTCTCACGCACACTTTGTCTCTGGGGCACCCAGGCCTTCCCTGCCATGCGACCTGTCAGTGTCTGGCAGTGGAGCCCCTGGGGGCTGCTGCTGTGCCTGCTGTGCAGTTCGTGCTTGGGGTCTCCGTCCCCTTCCACGGGCCCTGAGAAGAAGGCCGGGAGCCAGGGGCTTCGGTTCCGGCTGGCTGGCTTCCCCAGGAAGCCCTACGAGGGCCGCGTGGAGATACAGCGAGCTGGTGAATGGGGCACCATCTGCGATGATGACTTCACGCTGCAGGCTGCCCACATCCTCTGCCGGGAGCTGGGCTTCACAGAGGCCACAGGCTGGACCCACAGTGCCAAATATGGCCCTGGAACAGGTGAGCAATGATCCAGGCATATCCTAGATATTTCCTATGTGTGGCCAAAGTGCAGGGAAAGGGAACACGAGGATGGCACAGCCATAGGGACACACGACACCAAGAACAGCCAGCATTGAGTAAATCCATGGATGACAAACCAAGCAACATAGTTACTTCCCAGAGCTGTGTGACCTTAGGCTAGTCAGTGCTTTCTCTGAGCCTCAGATGCCCTGTATGCAAAATGACTAGATGATGTCTAAGTTCTTTTCTGCTGCAAAAGTATGATCCTACAAAGCCATCCACAAAACAGCCCAGATACAGGTGAGCCCTGTACAAATAAAGTACAGTTAGTCTCATGGGACGCTAAGAGCAGGTAAATGATATCTGGATGTCCCAAAGTCACAAGGGGTCACAGACACTGCAGCTAACAAAATCAGGTTATGGGCCAGAGCTAAAACTAACAAGGTGGTACTGTCTAAGGACAAGTATAAAATCTAGGACAAGTATGAGTGTGGGTGGTGGAGGCTTAAGAGCAGTTCCCTAGGTGAGGCCTAGGACTGTGCCCATGGTATGAACCCACAGTGGGAATGATGGACAGAAGCAGGTGCAACCTGCAGCTGATTCCCCAGTTCCCACTGGCTAGACCACCTGTGGAATTAAGTGTCATTTGTAGATGCTGTGTTTTAAGAGGGACAGTAGAAAATGGAAATACTTTCAGAGGAGAGCTGCCTAGATGTGAAAGATTCAGAAGCCAAGTTTCAAGGAGGAATTGCTGAAGAATCAGGGGATTGATATGGAAAGTAAAAACCTTGCATAGCAATGGCGTAATGGTTGTTTTTAAATATGGGAAGGACAGTCGTGTGGCTGAAGGATTTTTCTGGTTGGCACCAAAGGAATGAATCAGATGTGGTAGGGGAAAGTCATGAAGAGTCACAAGGACTTTGATGGTTACACAGTCTGGTGGGGCAGGAGCTAGGTGTCTCCGCAACAACTGGGTAAGTCCTGTTGGGATGTGAATGAGATGTCCTTGAACATTGGCTAGGACAGATGACCTTTGAGGCTGCGCCCAATTCTGAGAGGAAGCCAGTGATACTCCACAGGGTTCAGGCCGGGCTCAGTGGCTCACGCCTATAATCCCAGCACTTTGGGAGGCTGAGGTGGGTGGATCACCTGAGGTCAGGAGTTCGAGACCAGCCTGGCCAACATGGTTGAAACCCTGTCTCTACTACAAATACAAAAATTAGCCAGGTATGGTGGCACATGCTTGTAGCCCCAGCTACTTGGGAGGCTAAGGCAGGAGAATTGCTTGAACCTGGGAGACAGAGGTTGCAGTGAGCTGAGATCATGCCACTGCATTTCAGCCTAGGCAACAGGGCAAGACTTCGTTTCAAAAAAAAAAAAAAAACAGGTTTCAGACAGAGAGAAGAACAAGGGGCTATATGGCAGCACAGACAGGGCGGGCACAAGAGAGAATGCAAGGATGTGAAGAAAGGATCTTAGACATCCAAGCCTCACAGATAGATCAAACTCCTAAGCCCCCACGTATTGGCTTTATGGTCTTAAGCAAGTTGCTCAGCTTCTCTAAACCCCAGTTTCTTTATATAAAACAGTGTTCTGGCAGCTCTGTTCTAAGAATGATCACATATGTGCACACCATGGCAGAGCACCTGGCACACAGTAGGTACCTGATTAATTGTAGCTATCAATGAATGGGTAGAGACTGATCAGAACTTCAGGGTTGATTCTTGGTTTTTTATTCACCGTATCAGGTTCTTGAGTATCCCCAGATCACACCAATTTTCCCTCAATCTTATGCCCCCTTCCTATTCCCTGCCAGGGTCCCCTGTCCCGTCTCCACCCCTTATCATACCAGAAAGATGGGATCATCATGGCCAAGTGGGAGGCCTCAGCACTCACTCTTCCCTACATCCCCATTACTCCCCCATCCTCCCTCCCCAAGCTTCTCTGTCCCTTCATCTCCCCTTCCACAGGCCGCATCTGGCTGGACAACTTGAGCTGCAGTGGGACCGAGCAGAGTGTGACTGAATGTGCCTCCCGGGGCTGGGGGAACAGTGACTGTACGCACGATGAGGATGCTGGGGTCATCTGCAAAGACCAGCGCCTCCCTGGCTTCTCGGACTCCAATGTCATTGAGGTCTGCATTTCCTAGACATACACACACACACTACCCAGGATAGCCGAGAGTACTGTGGGGTGGTTAGCGGAGACATTAGAAGGTAGTTACCCCTGGGGGATCATTTGGATTGGTGGGAGACTTGGAAAAGCAAATGATAGAGCTCCCAGATGCTGTAAAATCCAACAGGTTTTTAGCATTCACATTCAAGGGGCTAAACCTGGCATGAGCCTCTCCAGCTTCATCCCTAGTCACCCCTGGGGCACCTGGTGCTCTCCTTCTCCTCAAATGTTCCTGCTTTCCTGAGACATCTTCCTTCTGACTTTCTCCTCCTTCAAAGCCATTTCCTTTTTGAAGTGCTCCCTCCTGCTCCAGGCACAGGGAGGGCCTCCTTCCTAGTGCCCTGAATCCTCTCTGGGAGCACAGCACATCCCACGCGCTGCTGGCTGCAAGAGAGTCCACACCGCGGACTGCGGCCATCGTGGCCGCTCTCTCAGCGCCGCCTCGGGCCCATCCCGCCACTGGGTTTACAGCAGGCACACCAAGCAGGGTTCCTTAAGGGCGGCGGGACACATGAAAGGTGCCACTGGGATTCTTTCCCTGCTTGTGGCCCCGCCCCCAGGTAGAGCATCACCTGCAAGTGGAGGAGGTGCGAATTCGACCCGCCGTTGGGTGGGGCAGACGACCCCTGCCCGTGACGGAGGGGCTGGTGGAAGTCAGGCTTCCTGACGGCTGGTCGCAAGTGTGCGACAAAGGCTGGAGCGCCCACAACAGCCACGTGGTCTGCGGGATGCTGGGCTTCCCCAGCGAAAAGAGGGTCAACGCGGCCTTCTACAGGTGAGGGGCCGCGGGCGCCGGGCGGAGCAGGCCGGGATTGGGGTGCTCCCTGATGAATAGCCTTGGGAGACATCTGAGCAGGTCCGGGGCACGGGAGGACCCGGGGGTCGGGACGCGCGGGAAAATATGGAGGCCGTTGCAAAGCTGGAGAGTTGGGAAATCTTGTGGGACCACGAAAGGTGCCCCAAGGGAGTACCTGAAATGGGGACCAGCGAGGCTCCCGCTCTCTCGTGGCCGACGCCTGGGCGGGCAGGCGGATTCCTCGGCCCCGGGGCGCGCGCCGGCCTCGCGAGGCCACTCCCAGGCGCGGGGGCGATTCCAGCGCTGGCGCTGCCGGCCAGCGATTTCCGAGTTCAGTAAGGACGCGGCCGCCCCTGGGAGGCGGCGCCTGGGTGTGTCCCGCGCAGGCTGGGCGCCCAGGGTCCGGGGGCCCGGGGACGGCGGCGCGCGATGGCCGAAGGGCGCCAGGAGAGACCGCGCCAGTCTCTCTGCCCGGGCCGCCCCGGGGCGGGGCGCGTATGTGAACGCTCGAGCCCTCGGGGCTCCTGGAAGTCCTGGAAGTTTCCCAGGATCTCTTTTGGCGAGGCCCAACCTCTCCACCTGCGCTGGAGCCCTGGGGTCCAGTCCGGCTTCCAGGGAAACGCATCACCCTGGAAACTGCCTGTGCTTAACGTCTCCCTTCCCTGGAACATCTACTTTGATCTTTTTGAGAAACTGCCATTGACAGCCAGGCATTTATTTGGAAATCTTTACACCCTCTCACTGTAATCTATTTTGCGAGCCAAAAATCCTCCCTTTCTTCAGTGGTTCCCTAGATCAGTATTGCTGAAAGGCCTCTTGATGTCCGGATAGGTTTCCGCGGGCACACTACTTCAGATGGGGTCTGATGCCGCCAGCTACTGTAGAAATCCTCAACCCCGACTGAAGCGTGCTCGGATTACACTGTCTTCCTACTGCGGCAGCTTCCCACTGCTTATACTGAACTTGTCATCACTTAAAACCAGTTCAGGTCTTCCCTATGCTTCCTACTGATAGAGCAGCCTTTTCCAACCCAGGTATAGGTGACGTTTACCTATTACATTTGTTTTGATACATAATTTAGAAGCCATAAAAAAGCCATGATGATCCCATGAGATTATCTTGAGTCCTGATGTGACTTTCCATCTGTCATTTCCCCTCAGCCTCCTCTGCTGAACAGACATGGCAGCTTTGCCTTCTGGCTTCATCCAAATGGCTAAAAGTTGTTGTGGAAATGTTTAAAACCAAAGTCTAACTCTTCTTGCAAAATGTTCCTGTAGATTTTCATCAAGCTTCTAATCATCAGCTGTAAAATATGTTCCTTCCACCAACTGGGAAGAAACAGAACACTTCAATGATGTAACCAACATTTCACCTTATCTATCTATATATTTCTTATCTGTAATGAAATCATGGGAGATTCTGTTAGTTTTTGATAAAATCCAGATATGCTATGTTCACAGCCATTCTCCAGCCTTCCAATTTAGTAATCCTGTCAAAAAAGAAAATCATAGTAGTTTGAGTCTATTTTTACTGAAATCCTTTTAGGTCTCTAAGAATCACCTTATTTTTTCCTAAATGCTTACAAACTTCTATTTAATAATTTATTCTAGAATATTACTTATGTGTAGATTGAGGAATTGAGGAATCCTTTTTCTCCTTTTTTTTTTTTCTTTTGAAAGTCAGGATATTATCCAGTCTCCAGTCTTTTCTATACCTGCTCACACTTTCTTTGCCTTGGCTCTGAGGCTCATCTGAAATGTCTTTCAGTACTGAGGACTTTCGGTACTTTATCTGGCCTGGACACTCAAACCACTTTAAAACAAACGTGCTGTGCCTCTTTACTTTCATCCATCTTGGGGCTGCATTTCCTTCTCTGTGCTGCTTACCTTCCCTAATTTAAACCCCATGTTCTGAAAGATGCGTAGAATTTAGACATTTCCAGTGAAGAAGATAGCGTGAACAAAGGTGTAGAGATCCACTCACCCAATATTTATTTACTGAGATCTTACTATGTGCCAGGTACTGTTGTAGACACTACCCGTGGCTCATGCCTATAATCCCAGGACTTTGGGAGGCCACGGTGGAAGCATTATTTGAGCCCAAGAATTCGAGACCAGCCTGGGCAACATAATGAGACCCTGTCTCTACAGATAATTTTTTAAAAATAAAATTAGCTGAACATGGTGGTGCGTGCCTGTAGTCCCAGCTACTTGGGAGGCTGAGGTGGGAAGATTGCTTGAGCCCAGGAAGTCAAGGCTGCAGTGAGCTGTGATCATGCCACTACACTGCCTGGGTGGCAGAGCAAGACCCTGTCTCAAAAAATAAATTAACTAAGGCCGGGCACGGTGGCTCACACCTGTAATCCCAGCACTTTGGGAGGTCGAGGCGCGGATCACCTGAGGTCAGGAGTTCGAGACCAGCCTGACCAACATGGAGAAACCCCATCTCTACTAAAAATACAAAACTAGCCGGGTGTGGTGGCGCATGACTGTAATCCCAGCTACTCGGGAGGCTGAGGCGGGAGAATGGCTTGAACCCGGGAGGCGGAGGTTGCGGTGAGCTGAGATCGCGCCATTGCACTCCAGCCTGGGCAACAAGAGCGAAACTCCGTCTCAAATAAAAATAAAATAAAAATAAATTAAGTAAGTAAGTAAATAAATAAGTGGTGAAGGAAGGCCTCTTGGAGAAGGCATCATTTGAGAAAAGATTTAAAGGAGGTGAGGGCACAAGCTATGCAGACCTCTAGATAAACATTTCTAGGAAGAGGGATCAAAAATGAAAATATTCTGGGGTGTGTGTGTGCCTGTGTGTGTATGTAGTGGGTGATGGGATAAGGCCTCTCCTTCTCCTGGAGGCCACTGTGGCTGGAGCTGAGTGAAAAAGAAGAAAATGGTAGGAGATGCAGTGTAGGTGGTCTTCGGAAAAGAATGGGAAGCCAGATCCTGCGGGCCATCTGGGAGAGGATGGCTTTTGTTCTGTGGGAGATAAGGAACCACTGGAGGGCTTGGAGCAGAGGTGTGACATCGGGCTTCCATTTTTTTTTCAGTACTACTTTCACTGCTTTATTAGGAATAGATTGTAAGGGATGCAGTAGAAGCAAGAAGTCAGGTGGCTGGTTATGGGGTTATTGTCTTCTGAAAGCCACGTAAAGAAAGTGAAAGGTGATGGTGACCAGTGAAAGTGGTGAAAAATGATCAAGATTTACAGACAGTTGAAGGCAGAGCTATAGGACTTGCTGATGGATTCAGTGTGATGTGAGAGAGAGGAGTTAAGGCTCTCTCCAGGTTTTTGGCCTCAGCTAAGTAAGAAATTGGCCTCACCTGACAAGGAAAACAGTGAATGGAGCATGTTTTGTTGGGAGATGGGCTTGGGGGTGGAGGGTAGGAACTTGGTTTTAGACCTGTTAAATTTAAGATTCTTTAAGACATTGAAGTGGCGAGGCTAAGTTAGGTAATTTAATATAGGACTCTGGAGTTCAGTTGAGTAAAACATATAAAGTCCTGAAACTGGACAACATACCAAGGAAGTGAATGTAAATTTAAAAGACAGAGAGAGGCCCAGAGACTGAACCTTGGGGAGACTAAATATTTAAAAGTCAGAAGATAAGATGAATGCAAACAGTGAGGTGAGGTAGGAAGAAAACCAGGGGAGTGTGGTGGCCTGGGAGCCAAGTAAAGTGCTTCGAAGAGGAGAGAGTGACCAGCTAAGTCAGTGCTGCCCAGACCTAAAAACATGAGGACTGAGAAACAAATGCTGGATTTAGCAACAGTAAAGTCACTGTTGGCCCCAACAGAGATGATAATGAATGGTTTATATTTGGAAGACAGTAAGTTAGCAAGAGTAGGTTTATACTGAGAAATAGTGGAAGATCTGGATAAAGGGAGGCCAGAAAATGGAATGCTTTAGGTGCCAAATTGGAGAGTTTGGCCTTTGCCTTATAGAAAAATTACAAATAAAGGTATTTATATGGGACAAGAATAAAGCCAGTGTTTTTGAAAGTTTGCCTGATAGTAGTGGATGAGGAGAGGAGGGTCTTGATGCAGTAAGACCAGTCAGGAGTTTGTTCTAAAATTGAAGCTTATCAGGAGGGTAAAAACAAAGATGGAGGAAAATGAATAGATGTAGGATGACTGATAGAACATAGAGAATGAGAGAACAGACACCTAAAATGATTCCGATGCTGCCTGAGAGAAGGATGGTACCAGCAGCCATCTCTGGGCTTCAGGTTAATATGAACTAGCTTTAGAGATGGGCTGTCCTTGGAAAGTTTGAGACACAGGAATTGTCCCCAGGTATGCAAAGCTGAAATAAGTTTTAGGGATCAGGAATATTTGTTGGACATATCGGAATCTCATACTAAGTCTGGGATATAAAGGCTGGAGAAAGAGATACACTAAAGCACAGAGGCCATTCTTCGTGGGGAAAGAGATTGCGGGAGCCCTGGGAGATTCTGTGATGGGGCTATGATCTAGATCCTTCACAGGTCAGGCCCAGCAGAGGGAGCATTCTCACAGGTGATACAATTATTACAATTATGAAAGATAGGCAAGACAGTTGTAAACAACTCTCCCCTCCTTAGGGAAAAAAAATGGATCTGCTGGCTTTTAGAGGAAGTCAGTAAGATTTAGGGAATGAGAAAATCAAAACCTGATGTATTAATCATTTTTCAATTTGTTTTGGTAGTTCTACCCTAGAACATGTAAAAGTTGTAGAACTTTAGAATAAGAAAAGAATGTACAGATAATTGAACTATTTACTACTCTTTTACAGGTAATGAAATTGAGGCTCTAAGAGCTTCAGTGCTATTTAAGAAGTCACTCTTCTAGTTCATTTCAGCTTGACAGATGTTTATTGAACTCCTATTTGCCAAGTACTGTGCAAGGTGCTGAGAATACAAAGGTGAATAAATGACAAGAGAGGTTATTAGGCTGCAGATCATAGAAGACCTTATAGGCCATCATAAGGATTCAGGTCCTTATGATAAAAGGATTGGGAAGCCTTTGATGTTTGGATTGTTTGTTTGTTTGTTTTGTTTGTTTGTTTTTTTGAGAGGGAGTCTGGCTTGTTGCCCAGGCTGGAGTGCAGTGGCACAATCTCTGCTCACTGCAACCTCCACCTCCCTGGGTTCAAGTGATTCTTCTGCTTCAGCCTCCTGAGTGGCTAGGTCTACAGGTGCCCACCACGCCCAGCTAATTTTTGTATTTTTAGTAGAGACGAGGTTTCACCATGCTCGCCAGGCTGGTCTTGAACTCCTGACCTCAGGTGATCCGCCTACCTCGGCCTCCCAAAGTGCTGGGCTTACAGGCTTGAGCCACCGTGCCCGGCCATTGAAGTGTTTTAATGGGGAGGGCTATGAGATGGCATGATCAGGTTTGTGACTCCAAAAGATCATTTGAATCTATTTCTTTTTTTTCTTTTCTTTTCTTTTTTTTTTTTTTTTTTTTTTTGAGACAGAGCCTTGCTTTGTCACCCAGGCTGGAGTGTACTGGTGCAATCTTGGTTCACTGCAACCTCCGCCTCCTGGGTTCAAGCAATTCTCCTACCTCAGCCTCTCGAGTAGCTGGGATTACGGGCACGCGCCACCATGCCCAGCTAATTTGCTGATTTTTGGGTATTTTTAGTAAAGATGGGGTTTCTCCATGTTGCCCAGGCTGGTCTTGATCTCCTGACCTCAGGATCAGATCAAGTGATCTGCCTGTCCTGGCCTCCCAAAGTGCTGGGATTACAGCTATGAGCCACCACGCCCCGCCTTTGACTCTATTTCTGAGAATAATCAGGAGAGGAGCAAAAGATATGGATTGGAGAGATATTTAGAAGTAAAATTGACAGGACTTGGTTATTGATTGACTTTGGGATCCAAGAAAGGGAGAAGTCAGGATTGACCCCTAGGTTTCTGGAGTGGATTTTACTGAGATAATTATCTTTTTTTTTTGGACCTACATTACATTTCAGATTACTTTCAGATCTCTACCTAGAAACATCAAGAAGGCAATGAAATAGACAAGATTATGAATACACTAGGTGTGAATTAGACCATATAGAGGGCCCTATATGAAGTGAGAACAAAATGCCTAAGAAAGAGCTCCACAAATTTTAATGACCAGATAGGGGAGGAGCCTGCAGAGAAGACCAAGAAAGAGCAACCAGAATTAGGAGTAGGCGGCTCTAGGCACACTGCCTAGGAGTCAGCCCTGCTCCCTGGGGAGCCACTCTGGAAATTAATAATAATAATAAGCAGAATTAGGAATAAAACCAGGATATTGTAGTGTTATAGCAGCCAAGGAAAGAGAGGACAGTCAGATGTTGCAGAGAGGTCATTAAGATGAAGACTGAAAAATGTCTGCTGGATTTAACAAAATAGAAGTTTGCAGAGTGATAGGTAGGGAAAACCAGAGGAAGTGGGTTGAAAAATGAGTAAGAGGAGGCTGGGCATGGTGGCTCACACCTGTAATCCCAGCACTTTGGGAGGCCAAGGCAGGTGAATCACCTGAGATCAGGAGTTTGAGACCAGCCTGGCCAACATGATGAAACTCCGTCTCTACTAAAAATACAAAAATTAGCTGGCTGTGGTGGTGCGTGCCTGTAATCCCAGCTACCTGGGAGGCTGAGGCAGGAGAATTGCTGAGCCCAGGAGGCGGAGGTTGCAGTGAGCCAAGATTGCACCACTGCACTCCAGCCTGAGTGACAGATCGAGACTCTGTCTCAAAAAAAAAAAAAAAAAGTAGGAAGAGAGGATATAAAGATGATAAGTATGGACAGCTCTTGAGAAATGTTACTGTGAAGGGGAGGAGAGATAAGTAGAGGGTGTGTGTGTGTGTGTGTGTGTGCATGTGTAGGAGTGATTTGAATGTTTAAAAGGATTCAGTTGAGAAAAAGAAATGGTATGCAGGACTGAGAAAAATTGTAAGAGATGGAATTTAGAAACATTTAGGTACAGTAGACTTAGAGAAGAAAAATAGTTGAAAGGTATGAGAAGAGGATATGCAAATGTAGACAGGTTTTTGTTTTGGGTTTTTTCTTTGTTTGTTTGTTTGTTTGTTTGATTCCTTGTTTTTGAGACAGGGTCTCTCTATGTTGACCAGGCCAGAGTGCAGTGGCGCCATCATGGCTCACTGCAACCTCGACCTCTTGGGCTCAAGCGATCATCCCATCTCAGCCTCCTGAGTAGCTGGAACTACAGGCTCGAGCCACCACACCCGGCTAATTTTTAAATTTTTTGTAGAGACGAGGTCTCACTGTGTTGCCCAGGCTGGTCTCAAACTTCTGGGCTCAAGCAGTCCTCCTGCCTCAGCCTCCCAAAGTGCTGGGATTACAGGCGTAAGCCGCTGCCCCTGGCCTACATAGGTTTTTATGTTTGATGGCTGAAGGAAGGAACAAATGGTAGGTGGAAACAAACACATCTGTGAATGAAGAAATTTAAATCAAGACAAATAACAGCACTGGTCCTCAATGAGGACAAAGTCCTTAACATAACTTATATATAATTTTATATATAAAATATTTATAAGATAAAAGGGTCTAAACTCTTTTATATAAATATGAAATAAGATTACATATGTTTGTGTATATATATATATAAATAATACAAAGACCTGTTGATATAAGGTCCTTAAATAATTTAGAGAAGAGGTACTTCTAAATTTCTAGATAATACCAAAATGTTTTAGTACTACTCTGGAGATCAAGGTGAACTCTCCAGGTTGATTGGTGAAGAGGCCAAGTGTATTTCATTTTAGACATTTTAGACATGTTTGAGAAAAAGACATTTGGAGAAAAAATTTCACACCATATTTATAAGATGAAAGAGTCTAACTATTAGCAATGTCTCAGTAAAGGGACCTGAGAGTTGTATATTCTTTGCCAGGAATGTCCAACACTTTGGACACTTTGGCAAAGAGACCAACTAAGTACATCCTCAGGAAGAAGCTGAGGCAGAAAATATCAAACAGCTTCTGACTGGTTTAAAATATATACGTATATTTAAATCCCAAGGTGTCTTCACACATTAAACAGTCATCCCTCAGTAACCATGGGGGATTGGTTCTAGGATCTCCCAAGGATACCACAATTCAAAGATGCTCAAGTCCCTGATATAAAATGCTATAGTATTTGCATATAACCTATGCACATCCTCTGTATGCTTTAAATCATCTCTAGATTACTTATAATACCTAACATAATGTAAATGCTACATAAGTAGTTGTTATATTTTATTGCTTAGGGAATAATGACAAGAAAAAAAGTTGGTACGTGTTCAGTACAGATGGAGGTTGAATCTACAGATGCAGAGCCCATGGATATGGAAGGCCAGCTGTACTATGTTGAAATATGACTCCTCAAGAGAAACAGCGGAGCAGGAACATGTTCAAAGAAAGGACAACTAAGGCTGGGCTCAGTGGCTCATGCCTGTTATCCCAGCACTTTGGGAGGCCAAGGCAGGAGGATAGCTTGGGCTCAGAAGTTTGAGATGAGACCAGCCTGGACAACATAGTGAGACCCTGCTTCTAACAAATATTAGCCAGTCATGATGGTGCACACCTGTGGTCCCAGCGATTCAGAAGGCTGAGGTGGGAGAATCACTTGAGCCCAGGAGATAAGGCTGCAGTGAGCCATGGTTGCACCATGGCTCACTGCAGCCTGGGTGACAGAGTAACCCTGTCTCAAAGACCAAAAAAAAAAAAAAGGAAAAATTATTTATTTCCCTGGAAGTAAGTTTGGGAGATGAACTCAGTTTGTGAATGACCACAGCATATGGGATTGGAACTTCAGCAGGAAGGGTGGTGTCATTGTAAGGAGCCTGGCCTGTGTTCCCCAGTCAAACCAAGTTAACGCCCTTGGATATTCGGCCTTGGTTCTTGGTCCTGGTCCAGCGGCCTCAGGCCTGAACAATGCCAGAGTCTTTCTCAAAGAGAGCATCCAGGAAAAAAAGACACAGTAGCCTCCCTAGGCCTGACTCAGGCTAGTTCTGCCGCCTAGCCTGGTCAGTCTGGCAATCTTAACAATCCTAACGATGCTCCCCTTAGCCCTCCACTGAGGTTTAGCACTAACATCTGGACTCAGGAGTCCTTACTTGCCATCTGCCCTAGCTAATTTCTGAGGGTGCTGGCATGGGGGCACCGTCCTGAGTCCACGGCCTTCACTTCTGCTCACCCACCTGGTCATGTGCTGAAGAGGCCAAGCAGCTATGAAAGCTTGGGTCTCAGCCAGGTGCGGTGGCTCACGCCTGTAATCCCAACACTTTGGGAGGCCAAGACGGGTGGATCACAAGGTCAGGAGTTCGAGACCAGCCTAGCCAACATAGTGAAACCCCATCTCTACTAAAAATACAAAAAAAAGAAAAAAGAAAGCTCGGGTCTCAGGAGTGTCTGCTGTTATAATATCCTGCCACCAGGAAGCCTTCGGACTGCTAGAAGAGAAATCTTGCCCCTGGTCCTAGTTGCACCAGCTTTTCCACTTGGTTCTACACTAACCCTGACTACTGTTGTCTTATCCTCACAGAAAGTTGAGGAAGCGAGCGGCCAAGGTCTCAGCCCGACACCCCAAGCCCCTTGGAAGGTATGGGGCAAGAGCCCCGGGACCTCCTGCTCGCCCTGCGGCCCCAGGAGGTGGATGGATGGATGGCAGCCATCCATGTCCATCCCAGAACCCAAGCTGATGGATTAGGGATGTGAGGAAAATGGCTTTTCCTGCAGGGAGGTGAAGGGAGCAGGCATGGGGATGGGCAAGCTTTGATCTTAGGGAACACAAGGAGGAAGTAATGTAGGAGTGGCTGAGAAGCCTCCCATCTTTACACCTACCCCAAATAGCTTGGATTCCAGCCTCAGCCACCTTCATTCTTCCTCCTTCCTGCCCCCTCCATCACCTCCCTTAGTTCACCCACATTCCCATTCTCTCCCCTCTCCACCTTTCCTCTTCCCTTCTCCCCTTCCCAACTCCCCCACCTGGATTGACATCGCTAGATTTCCCATTACTGTTGCTGAATCCAGAGAGCAGCATGAGTTCCTGAAATGCAGTTCAATGGTGTTCAGCAGACGGTGGATGCGGAAAATCTTCATTTTTCCCATCCCCATGCTGCCCACAAAGGGTCTTTCCCAGAAACAGAAAAATAACCCTGTACCTTTCCTGCGCCACATATGTAACCACTACCTCTACCAACTTCCTTCTCCTTTTTGCGGACCAATCACCAAGCTTAAAGTCAAACCCAAACCCCGAGTGGTCAGGGGGCCACACAAGAGGTAAATAAAATTCAGGTTGGGTGGAAAGGAGAGGGAGCATGGAGTTACTCGGCTGTGGCCAGGGAGGGAGGGGGTCCAGGAGGCCTTTGTGGCTGAAAGAGCTGACCAAGAGGAGGAGCAGCAGCAGCTCTTAGAAATCACCTTCCAGGGCATTTACTGAAGTGTTACGCAAGACTGGTCCTTACCTTGGTCTCAGGAATGATGCTTGTCCTAGGATTTGTTTTTTCACTCACTGACTACCTCGTTCCACATGTTTACTTATCTTCCCCTGCTGAGTTCCAGGAGACAACATGGTGCTTTTCTCTTTCAGACGCCATACTTGCGTCTCCTGTAAGAGGTTACATTTGCCTAAAGGATCAGTGTTCCCAAATCAAATGCTTTATTTGATTAGTTGTTAAAAATAAGTGCTACCAGCTTACTCGAGATGGAGGGAAACTCAGCGTCCCCTTTGGAACCTTTACCAGGAATGCAGTCAGATTGACAGCCCCTGCCTCTCTGGCTCATTTTCCACAATTAGGCTCCCAGTTCCCTAATTTTCCTCCTGGGCTCCTTTAGAACTCGAAGTGGGAAGCTTCCAACCCCTGTAATTACATCTAACTTGTCTTCAAAAGGCAGTTTGCACATTAAAAGTCTCCCTGATAACTTCAAGAGGGACTGAAGTATCGATAATTCATCCCTTTCTCCCCTCCTGTTCTCAACAAGTTCTAGTCTCACCCAGTGGTCCCCTCATAGCCCTCATTCCCCAGCTTCTCTGGTGGTTTCAAAGGATCTCAGAAATTTGGGGATGTTCTTGTAGTGCCCTTCTAGCTTAGGGTCATCTTTGCCCAACATGGCCACACTCTAGCCTTCCCTGACCTGCACATTAAAGTACACACTGCCATTTTTATTTTGTTCATTGTAGACAACGGGAATGAGGATGTTTAGAAGATAGATGTATTTTTCCTGTGATGGGCTCCTTGACTTTTACTTTCAGCCAAACAGGACTGTGGGAGAGTGCCTGATCTCTTAGATCTTCAGGATCCATTTATCCTGAGCTTCCAAAGGTATTCTGTAAAGTCTCCAGGCTTCCTTTGTCTGTTTTGTGTATAAACTTTTCCTCCTCCTGTGTCTTCCTAGCCAATGGCTTCAAGTCATCATATTCCATCCTTCCTCTGACATCAAGTGATAGGGCACATTATTGCAATAATGCATGACTACATCAGCCTCACAGGCCCGTTCCACCAGCACCAGACCTCATTTTCTTCCCTTTCTCTGCGGGCAGAGTGTACTTCACTCTGGCACGTGCCTCACTGCAGCCTCTCATTCTACTGGTATCGATAAAGAAGTCCCCCCATTCTCTCAAACATCTCGGCAGCATTTCCAAGCCTTAGCATCTATAGTTCAGTCCCATTATCCTATTCAGATGGCTTTGGGACACTGTTACGTTGAAATTGCAGAAGCATGGACTGCCTTTTTAAAGACTTACACAGCACAGGTCCTGGGATGTCTTTGCCATTTTGTTGTTCACATCCATCTCCTTTCTCTGGTCATTTATTCCCTCAAACTTTGACCTGTCCTGCATTTATACATCTTCATTCTTGCATATGCCAGTCCCAGTTTTTCTTGCGTCTACCTGCTGGTCTGTTCTTGCTGCATCTGCCCCTCCTAATCTGTCCTGCAGAGTCTCTGGCCTCTGCGGAGCTATGGAGATGGGAGACTTCCTTAGTCCTTTGCATCCTGACTCATTCAGTTATTCCAGTCTCAGCATCACAGAAGGACTTGCTCGCCCTGGCTTTTCAGGCTTCCTGTGTCAGCCACTCCCTCCTGGCCATTTCTTCCAACTGGAAAGTCCTGGTTTCCCCTTCCCTGAGGCCTTAGCCTCAGCCTCCTTTAGGGCCAGCAGCCTGAAACCACTTGGAACAGTTTCTTCCAGGCAAGTCGAGACTAGCCATCCTTCTCTTAAGGTTGTTCTACTGCAGGAGGTCCCCAAGGCCCCTCCTATCTGGGTAGTTGAGGCTCCCTCAGCCTGGAAACTCAGCAATCCCCATGTATCTCCCGAGGGAAACATGGAAGGGGGAAGAAGAGGAGATAAATGGTCACAAAAGGGTGGGGGGCATGGTGGAGGCATGAAGTGGGAGGATGTTTGTGGGGCCAAGAGGCAGGAGCATTGTTTTACCCTACTGCACCTCACTCCTGTCCCCCTAGGCTGCTAGCCCAACGGCAGCAACACTCCTTTGGTCTGCATGGGGTGGCGTGCGTGGGCACGGAGGCCCACCTCTCCCTCTGTTCCCTGGAGTTCTATCGTGCCAATGACACCGCCAGGTGCCCTGGGGGGGGCCCTGCAGTGGTGAGCTGTGTGCCAGGCCCTGTCTACGCGGCATCCAGTGGCCAGAAGAAGCAACAACAGTCGAAGCCTCAGGGGGAGGTGTGTGAGACAGTGATTATGACCTTTCCCACCCCAGGTGGAGAACCCCTAGCCTGGCAACCCCAGACTAAGCACAGCCCTGACCTTTGAGGACAGAGAGGAGCCTTCCAGGGGGTGGGCCACAGACCTGATACCACCCACTCCCTTCCACCAAAGTCTCACTCATCTCCCAGGTCTGCTTAGCCCTCCGTGCAGATGTTGCCATTTGCCTCTGTTGGGCACTTCTCTCTTCTATAGGCCCGTGTCCGTCTAAAGGGCGGCGCCCACCCTGGAGAGGGCCGGGTAGAAGTCCTGAAGGCCAGCACATGGGGCACAGTCTGTGACCGCAAGTGGGACCTGCATGCAGCCAGCGTGGTGTGTCGGGAGCTGGGCTTCGGGAGTGCTCGAGAAGCTCTGAGTGGCGCTCGCATGGGGCAGGGTGAGGTGGCATGGAGGTGGGAGGGAGAGGGAAGGAGGTACATGCTCCTGGGGGGCATATTCCTTCGGAAGGTTAGGTGTCCCCTGGGCAGACAATATATGCTTAATTACAACTTCCTGATCTTTGCCATCTGGCCCTAGGCATGGGTGCTATCCACCTGAGTGAAGTTCGCTGCTCTGGACAGGAGCTCTCCCTCTGGAAGTGCCCCCACAAGAACATCACAGCTGAGGATTGTTCACATAGCCAGGATGCCGGGGTCCGGTGCAACCTACCTTACACTGGGGCAGAGACCAGGGTCAGTCATCCTCTCTACCTTGGTTGAGGTCTCTTTCATCCTATCCAGGTCTGGTCTCCAATCTACAGTCCAATGGCCCCCAGCCCATTGCCCCAGGCCCCTGCCCTCCTGCAGCTCCCACCTGACCCATCACTTGCTAGCCCATTATGTGCCTGAGTCACGCTTCAGCCACATCTGTTAGAGACTCCCACTACCTCACCCCAAAGCTTTCTCCAGCGCTTCCATTCTGTGTCACTACAGATCCGACTCAGTGGGGGCCGCAGCCAACATGAGGGGCGAGTCGAGGTGCAAATAGGGGGACCTGGGCCCCTTCGCTGGGGCCTCATCTGTGGGGATGACTGGGGGACCCTGGAGGCCATGGTGGCCTGTAGGCAACTGGGTCTGGGCTACGCCAACCACGGCCTGCAGGTGAGTGGGAAGGAAAGGGGAGCCGAGGCTGTTGTCTCAAAGCCTGTGTTTTGGGCAGAGGGCTGAGGAATGAGTCCCTTGGCCCAAGATGCTGGATCCTGGGCCTTACAGAAACATCTGCATATGTCCCCAGGAGACCTGGTACTGGGACTCTGGGAATATAACAGAGGTGGTGATGAGTGGAGTGCGCTGCACAGGGACTGAGCTGTCCCTGGATCAGTGTGCCCATCATGGCACCCACATCACCTGCAAGAGGACAGGGACCCGCTTCACTGCTGGAGTCATCTGTTCTGAGAGTGAGTGAAGGAGGGGGTGATGCATGCCAGGGAAGGGAGTGTCTGGGCCACCCGTTTGCAGGGAAAGGGGGCTGTAATCTGGAGGGGCACTTCTTCCCCATAAAAGAGCCAGTTTCGCCGGGTGCAGTGGCTCACGCCTGTAATCCCAGCACTTTAGGAGGCCAAGGCGGATGGATCACGAGGTCAGGAATTCAAGACCAGCCTGACCAAGATGGTGAAACCCTGTCTCTACTAAAACTACAAAAATTAGCCAGGCGCAGTGGCAGGCGCCTATAATCCCAGCTACTCGGGAGGCTGAGGCAGGAGAATCACTTGAACCCAGGTGGCAGAGGTTGCAGTGAGCCAAGATCACGCCGCTGCATTCCAGCCTCGGCAACAGAGTGAGACTCCATCTCAAACAAACAAACAAACAAAAACAAAAACAAAAAACTAGTCTTACACACTAGGGAGGGATGGAAGCACCCCTCTCTGTGAAGTCAGCAGTGACTTCTAACACCCCCTTCCTTTCTTGGTGCAGCTGCATCAGATCTGTTGCTGCACTCAGCACTGGTGCAGGAGACCGCCTACATCGAAGACCGGCCCCTGCATATGTTGTACTGTGCTGCGGAAGAGAACTGCCTGGCCAGCTCAGCCCGCTCAGCCAACTGGCCCTATGGTCACCGGCGTCTGCTCCGATTCTCCTCCCAGATCCACAACCTGGGACGAGCTGACTTCAGGCCCAAGGCTGGGCGCCACTCCTGGGTGTGGCACGAGTGCCATGGGTGAGAGGGTAGGGAGTCAAGTAGAAGGGCAAGACCACGGGGGATGGGGCAAACCTTCTGGGGGCAGAGAAGGAAACAGAAGTTCCCTTCTCCCCACAGGCATTACCACAGCATGGACATCTTCACTCACTATGATATCCTCACCCCAAATGGCACCAAGGTGGCTGAGGGCCACAAAGCTAGTTTCTGTCTCGAAGACACTGAGTGTCAGGAGGGTGAGTTGGGGACTGAAGTGAACCACATGGTATCCATTGCACAGCCTTTCCTTACACTGACATATGCCAATCCCTCCAGATGTCTCCAAGCGGTATGAGTGTGCCAACTTTGGAGAGCAAGGCATCACTGTGGGTTGCTGGGATCTCTACCGGCATGACATTGACTGTCAGTGGATTGACATCACGGATGTGAAGCCAGGAAACTACATTCTCCAGGTACCTGGAGTCTGGGGCTTCCAGATGGGTGAGTGGGGGGAGCGTTAAAGACACCTTTGAATTCGAGGATTGTCGCTGGGTTAAGTGGCCTTTTTCTCACTCACAGGTTGTCATCAACCCAAACTTTGAAGTAGCAGAGAGTGACTTTACCAACAATGCAATGAAATGTAACTGCAAATATGATGGACATAGAATCTGGGTGCACAACTGCCACATTGGTATTTGATGGGAAGAGCAACCCAGGAAGATTAGGGGATGGGAGGGAAAGACGTTCATTCTCTTTTCCATAGCTTGTTTCTCCATCTTCCCACCTTCCTGTAGAGCTCTCAGTCCCTCCACTTCTACCCACCCTTCTCCACAGTGCATCTATCTCCCTCCCTCTGTGCAGGGCGCCTCCCAAATTGCCTGTCCACTCTGCAGGTGATGCCTTCAGTGAAGAGGCCAACAGGAGGTTTGAACGCTACCCTGGCCAGACCAGCAACCAGATTATCTAAGTGCCACTGCCCTCTGCAAACCACCACTGGCCCCTAATGGCAGGGGTCTGAGGCTGCCATTACCTCAGGAGCTTACCAAGAAACCCATGTCAGCAACCGCACTCATCAGACCATGCACTATGGATGTGGAACTGTCAAGCAGAAGTTTTCACCCTCCTTCAGAGGCCAGCTGTCAGTATCTGTAGCCAAGCATGGGAATCTTTGCTCCCAGGCCCAGCACCGAGCAGAACAGACCAGAGCCCACCACACCACAAAGAGCAGCACCTGACTAACTGCCCACAAAAGATGGCAGCAGCTCATTTTCTTTAATAGGAGGTCAGGATGGTCAGCTCCAGTATCTCCCCTAAGTTTAGGGGGATACAGCTTTACCTCTAGCCTTTTGGTGGGGGAAAAGATCCAGCCCTCCCACCTCATTTTTTACTATAATATGTTGCTAGGTATAATTTTATTTTATATAAAAAGTGTTTCTGTGATTCTTCAGAGCCCAGGAGTCAGTGCTGGTGGTTGGAGGGACCTGCCCCCACTGGTTCATTTAACCCTCTGTCTCGGTGCCCTCAGAACCTCAGCCAGAAAGGCAAGGAGGAAATCAGAGCAGGAGCCTCATACTCTTGGTGATCTATTCATTCTGTGACCTCAGGGGTCACATATAAGGTCAGTGTTTCTCGTCCCCGCCGGATCTGCACTGCCAACTGGGATTGGGTTCGAACAGCTTCATAAACATCTTCAGCATTTTGTACCATCTGCTCCCCAATGGCCAAAATCACATCACCAGGCCGCAGACCAGCCCTATAGAGAAAAATGGACAGAGAGAAAGGAAGGAGTACAAAGCCTAGTTCAAGGACACATGCACACCTTGCCCATCCCCATATCACACTGCAGCCTCTCCCTCACCGGTGTGCAGGGGAGCCCAGGATGACTTTATGGATGAGTACACCATGCTGAACATCGGGAAAGCTTGGTTCTCGAAGCTGTAGTTCAGCAAGGATGCTGAAAGTACACAGATCACCCTATTAGCCAAACCCAGGCATTCTCCCCATCCTGAGTTCCACCTCAAGTCTCTCATCAACACATTGATAAATATATGGACAGGACATGGGCTAGGTACTACAAAATACAATGGCAACTCACTTTCTGTCTTCTAGCAATAAAGTGCAACATGTACATAAAAGATGTACACCACATGAGGGCACCAAATGACAAACAGTGTTAAATCAATAGCACTAATGTCATTCTAGAATACTAAGAGAAGCTTTAAGGGGAAAGAACTTAAGTTGAGCCTAAAAGGATGGATCTGATATTAACCATATAAAACAAGAACAGCATAAATAAAAAACATGGGAGTAGGAAATCAGGTTGGCTGAGTATTCATATAGGAAGGTATTACAGCCAGGTCTAGAAAGTTGATTTACAGACAGATGGAAAATGGCCCTTAAATGCCAAGTTAATGGATTGAAGGCTTGAAATCAAAGCAGTAACAGGATGAAATCAATCTGGTGACAGGTGTACAAAGTGGAGTGGGATAAGAAAGTCAAGATGATGAAGGGAGACAGCTCTTGTGATTATTTCAAGTGTGACACAGTTCATCTTAGATAAAGACAGAAATGAGAACAAAGCTCAATAGAGGTGCCCCCCTCTGATTACACTGGTCACATTACATGTCACTGTCCCTAAAGCTCATACCTGGGACTCAGGGTCAGCATCATCACCCCAATGTAGCGCCGCTGGGACCCACTGATTCCGGAGGAGGAATCTGTGACAGAGGGACAAATGAGCCCCACCCAGCTACATCCTTCCTTCCCTGCCCTCTTCTCCCAGTAGACCACCCTCCAGGAAGTCCCACTGAATGCCCTTCCCCTATTTCCACCACATTAAAGGAACCCGTTTCCCCATAAGGCAGGCTCACTCTTCTTTTCCCCACGATGCAGAAACTCTCGAAGACGATCAGAAGGGATGGCAAAGGAGATTCCAGCTGTGACCTTCATGGTGTTCACTCCAATCACCTCCCCATCCTGCAGGGATACAGCCCCCAGTTCCCTAGCCTAAACAAATAGTAGGGGATGGGGGCACCCGAACAAAAGTACCAGCAAGTGTTGGGGAGATCTGGTTGGATATTGAGAGATAGCCAACAAAGAACTGCTCAGAAACTTGACCAAACATCCTTGAATTAGGGGAAACCTACCCTTCCCACACTGACCTGGGGCAGGGATTCTTGGAAGGAAGGATGTCTCACTCACCAGGTTAACCAGGGGACCTCCAGAGTTTCCAAACTGTAGGACAAGGAGAAAACATGAAAGAGATCTGGGGATTCTAAGTCTGGGGGCATACCAGGATGTAGGTACTTTCTCCAAATTCTCTTCTTTCTCAGCCCATGAATAAGTGGCCACATTTTTGCAGCCTAAGCTCTATATAGGCTCATCCACCATATATCAGTTGGTGCTTGTACCACACAGCCTCTCCCCCCTCCCCCATCATTTGTCATTTCTCTCCTATCAGGACGCACATCAATAGCTGCATCAGTTTGAATGTATTCCACATTGGTTTGGGGGAGTCCCAGGTCTCTGGCTGGACGCTGAGCAGAGCTAACAATGCCGGATGTGATCGTGTTCTGCAGTGCAAAGGGACTTCCCATGGCAACAACAAACTCCCCTTGCCGGACATCAGCTGAGCGTCCCAGAGGCAGCGTGGGGAGAGGCTCCTAAGGGAGAATGGGTAAAAGAGACCTGTCATCTGAAGATGCGAGCAAATAAGCAGCTCCAACCAGACCTGGCCTACCCCAGCCCCCACCTTAGTCTGAATCCTCAGCGTTGCGATGTCTGCCACGGGATCCACAGCTGTGACCACGGCCTCATACGTGTCGCCGCTTAGCAGTCTCACACGGACTCTGCGCCGATCAGCCACCACATGGGCGTTGGTGACAATGAGCCCATCGGCAGCCACCACGAATCCTGAGCCGTTCGAGATAGGGACCTCGCGGCCCAAGAAAGGGTGCCTGAAATGGAGGGAAAGCACAGATAAGAGGAGGCTCTGACCCCTCCTACCCGCCCGCCCTCCAGCCTGTGGCTTCAGTGCCTCCCGGTCTACCCCCACCATTACCGGTCCAGGATCTCGATATAGACCACGGCAGGTGCTGTCTTCTCCACCACATCTGCGATGAAGTTGTACTGACTCCGGGGAGAAGCGGGCGGCGGGCTAGGGACGGCGGCGAGGACGGCCGGAGGACCCCGACCCCCGCCCCACAACAACAACAGCACTGCCCCCCCAGCGCCCAGCGCCACCGCCAGCCACGCGCGCGAACGGGTTCCAGAGTTCTCTGAGGCCTCCCGGGTCCTGGTATCTGGGGTCACCGCAGTCAGTTGTGCCCGGGGACCCGGGGTCCCAGACGTCAGGCATGCTCGGGGTTCAGTGACCCCAACAGACAACCGGGCCCAGAGACTGGGGGTCCCATAAGTCACTCGGGCCCGGGGGTCAGAAGTTCCTGACGTCAGCAGGGCCCGGAGGTCAGGGGTCAAACGGGGTCTCCTCCCCCAGCGAATGCCCCCCAAAGCCCGCCATGCCCGAAGGCTCCAGCCTGCACCCCGCCCCGCCCTCGGCGCAGCCATCAGCTCCGCCTTGGCTGCCTCCTCGCCCGCCCTACTCAGAGGCGGCACCCAGGACGCGAGCAGGCGGACAGTAGGACGCGGGGCACGCCGGTACCTGAAGTCCTTCAGAAGTGCACGCCGGGACCAGGATTCCGGGAGGCCGACTCCTCCCTGCCCCACGAATGCCGGGAATTGTGGTCTCCGCCGGACGCGAGTTGTGAGACGGCCCAAGGGGCCGCGGGGTATGCTGGGACCGCTAGCCCTTCCGGCGCGCCTCAGGACTTCGGGTCCCCTCACCCCGGGCGGATGCCCAAAGACTCCGCCTTCCCAAGAGCCCCTGCGGCCGGGCGCGAAAATGGCGGCGGCGGCGACGGCCGGGCGCTCCTGAAGCAGCAGTTATGGAGCTTCCCTCAGGGCCGGGGCCGGAGCGGCTCTTTGACTCGCACCGGTAAGAGACCCGGCGGGAAGAGACCGATCCCCGCGTGCTCTCGGCCTTCGGCGCCTGACCACTTCGCCTCTCGCCCCCAGGCTTCCGGGTGACTGCTTCCTACTGCTCGTGCTGCTGCTCTACGCGCCAGTCGGGTTCTGCCTCCTCGTCCTGCGCCTCTTTCTCGGGATCCACGTCTTCCTGGTCAGCTGCGCGCTGCCAGACAGCGTCCTTCGCAGGTTCCGACGCGGGCGTTCGGGGAGTGTCAGAGCTGGGTCTGGCCCGAGGCCACACAGTCACCACCTCCTGTGTCCCCAGATTCGTAGTGCGGACCATGTGTGCGGTGCTAGGGCTCGTGGCCCGGCAGGAGGACTCCGGACTCCGGGATCACAGTGTCAGGGTCCTCATTTCCAACCATGTGACACCTTTCGACCACAACATAGTCAATTTGCTTACCACCTGTAGCACCGTGAGTGAGAGCGAGGCCGAGAGCGCCACGGGGCGGTTCCCTGGGGCCCAGCTGAAGGCCCCCCTGTCCCCACTCGCGTTCCCCATGGAGGATACTGAGCCTTACCCCTAACCCCGATCCTCTACCCAACATGTCAGTTTTTTTTTTCATTTTCCTCAATATTTTTCTTCTTGCTTTCTCTTCTCCTGGTTCCCAGCCTCTACTCAATAGTCCCCCCAGCTTTGTGTGCTGGTCTCGGGGCTTCATGGAGATGAATGGGCGGGGGGAGTTGGTGGAGTCACTCAAGAGATTCTGTGCTTCCACGAGGCTTCCCCCCACTCCTCTGCTGCTATTCCCTGAGGAAGAGGCCACCAATGGCCGGGAGGGGCTCCTGCGCTTCAGGTGGGTTTAGCACAGGTATGGGGCGCCAGCTGGGTAGGTGGTCAAGCTTGTGGGCCCTTGAGTTTTTACAACTTTCTTCGGCCCTTAGACCCCATCATCTCCAGTTCATTTCCTTTCTGTCCACTTTAAGTTCTTTCTCCTGAATCCCTTCATTCTTCAATTATGTGCTTGTAGAGTTTGACAGTTGCCTGTTATAAGGCAGGTGTGAGCTGCTGACTAGGCTGGCTGGATTCCCATCCTACTTTCTCCTTCCTCTTCTAGTTCCTGGCCATTTTCTATCCAAGATGTGGTACAACCTCTTACCCTGCAAGTTCAGAGACCCCTGGTCTCTGTGGTGAGTGTGTGTTGAACAGGGAATCTCTGGGGCTTGAAGGGGAAATTTCCCATCCCTGGCCCTGGCTTAGGCCTCATCTCATGCCCTCCCCTCAGACGGTGTCAGATGCCTCCTGGGTCTCAGAACTGCTGTGGTCACTTTTCGTCCCTTTCACGGTGTATCAAGTAAGGTATTAACTGTCCTCACATTTTGGTCGCTGGGGAGAGGCTCACCTCAAGGTCAAGGAATTAGTGGCCTCTGCCCTGTCCATTTGTAGATCTTTATATCAAGGTTCTACCACAGAGGCAACACAAAGTATTTACAGTATTTACTATTTTCCCACCCACCATGCAAAGAGGTACCAAAGTGGGGAATGGTGACAGCCTCTACCCTGGGTGCCCACAACATAGCCCTGGATTGTTTCTTTGCAGGTGGCTTCGTCCTGTTCATCGCCAACTAGGGGAAGCGAATGAGGAGTTTGCACTCCGTGTACAACAGGTGGTCGGGTGCACAGACAGGGTGGAGGCGGGGTCCCTGCTTAGGAGGAGAGGGAGGAAAGCTTGAGATCTTGACACTTCCAGTCTTCCAATTCTCCCTAGCTGGTGGCCAAGGAATTGGGCCAGACAGGGACACGGCTCACTCCAGCTGACAAAGCAGAGCACATGAAGCGACAAAGACACCCCAGATTGCGCCCCCAGTCAGGTATGTGGTCTCTATACATTACAGCTTTTGGGGTTTTTTTTTTTCGGCCTACTGTGATTCCTCCCCTATTTCTGTGCTAGTTAGCCTCTCCTTCTAGTTCTCTACTTACCAGAATTTCTTTTTTCTTTTTTTCCTTTTTCCACAGCCCAGTCTTCTTTCCCTCCCTCCCCTGGTCCTTCTCCTGATGTGCAACTGGCAACTCTGGCTCAGAGAGTCAAGGAAGTTTTGCCCCATGTGCCATTGGGTGTCATCCAGAGAGACCTGGGTATGGGAAAGGGTGGCCCCACACTGGGAGATGGGCACAGGGAGGAAAAGTGGGTTGTGAAGGAAGAAAGTAAGTAGGGAGTGGACTCCCTTCTCTTTTCTCCCCAGCCAAGACTGGCTGTGTAGACTTGACTATCACTAATCTGCTTGAGGGGGCCGTAGCTTTCATGCCTGAAGACATCACCAAGGGAACTCAGTCCCTACCCACAGCCTCTGCCTCCAAGGTGAGACCCAGGAAATGGTCAGATCCAAGTGTTGGGGTGAGTTGGGGGCAGGCTATGTACTCCCTTATCCCTGACCTTTCTTTTTTGATCCTGAGACCCTAGCATAGTGCCTCTCTTGCAAAGTAGGCATTCGATGCGTGTTTAATGATGATGACTCCGCAAGCCCTCTGACATTGTGATCACCTCAGTTTCCCAGCTCTGGCCCGGTGACCCCTCAGCCAACAGCCCTAACATTTGCCAAGTCTTCCTGGGCCCGGCAGGAGAGCCTGCAGGAGCGCAAGCAAGCACTATATGAATACGCAAGAAGGTGAGGGGGTTAGAGGACAATTAATAGGATGTGGCAAATTGGAGAATGGAATTATGGAGCTACTACGGCAAAGCCTGAATAATATCTCTCCCTATGTCCCACAGGAGATTCACAGAGAGACGAGCCCAGGAGGCTGACTGAGCTCAAAGGAACAGGATGGCACCCAGAGCCGCAGGACGGAGACTGGGGGCAGCCCTCACCCAACTCACAACAGGCTGGATGGGTGGGTGGTAAAAAGGGAAGGATGAGGCTCCCCCAATGTCACATTAAATTCATGGTTTTCATTCAAGGCATCTGTTGTCTCTCTCGGTCTCAAAAGCCCTGTGAGTGGGTTCCTTATTCCTTGGCTGCGGGGGATGGGGGTGAGAGTCTTCTCGTACATTTGAAGGGGGTAGTCAGACTGCAACTGTCTAAAATCACCTCCTCATGCCAAGTGATGAGTGATAAATTAAGGAAGTGTAACTGAACTGAAGACCCAGCTTGGGTGATCAGCCCAGGTTTTGGAGGAAGCTGCTGCAAAACTACAAGTCCCAGCATGCCTTTCACAAGCACACTACACATCATCTATAGAGTTCACACATGCTCAGTGTGGTAGCTGGAGCCTGTTTTCCATAGGTTCCTGACTAGGTTAAATAAGGTGGAGCAAATAGCCCCACCCCAAAAGCAGGCTTCAGGATTTGAAGTTTGAGCCCATCCCTGAGGTAGAGCCGGAATTTACCTTTGTACTTCACACGGTCAGGGTTGGTGGTGACTACGTGGGTCTGGAGCTGACTGCCGTCCTGACACGTCCTAGAGCTGCAAGCAGGTTTGAATCCAGGATCCCTGTGACTCTGCTGTTCCTCTCCCCACCCCCTATATTCTTTATCCTTTTCCCTTCAGGACTTTCCCACAGGTTACTAGGTCTCACATAATTTCTACTGCCCTTGAGGACCCCTGCCTAAGTAAGATTTCTACTACCTGCCAACGGGGTAATAGTCTCAGGTAGATTTCTACTACCTGACTATAGGGACTGTCGACTAACTCTCAGTAGCCCTTTATCAAAATACCTAGCACTGTTTCCTGGCAGGAAATGCTGGGAAGGGTGGGCCCCAGAGCATGATCAACTGAAGGTAGAGGTTAAGGATCAGGGCTGAGGTGGGAAGATGGTGTCGGTCACCAAATATGACCTTACTGGCTGCTCTGCCTTCTGCAGGTCCTGCCAGAGAGCCACCATGACCTCTCAGCCTCTCAGGCTAGCAGAAGAGTATGGCCCAAGTCCTGGGGAGTCTGAACTGGCTGTGAACCCCTTTGATGGGCTTCCCTTCTCTTCCCGCTACTATGAGCTGCTGAAGCAGCGCCAAGCCTTGCCCATCTGGGCTGCTCGCTTTACCTTCTTGGAGCAGTTGGAGAGTAACCCCACTGGAGTGGTGCTGGTGTCTGGGGAGCCTGGTTCTGGCAAGAGCACCCAGGTGTGGTGGGGGTTGTGGGGGCAGGCAGATTCTGGGAGTGGACAAAGGGAGGACAAAGGGAGGACAAAGGGAAAGTGGCCTTTCCCTGGGCAAGGGGGGACTGGGCTGCGTGGGGTCATGAGGAAGGTGAACGAAGAGAGATGGGATGGGTTAGGTTGGCCCTGGAGGCTGGTGAAAGACCAGGGGACTCCCCAAATAAGGAAAGATTAAAGTGGCCATAGTTCCCTGAGCACTTCTGACTGAAGTCCTACATCTTCCTCACTGGCTCTCCTTCCCTACTTCTATCCCAGATCCCTCAGTGGTGTGCAGAGTTTGCGCTGGCCAGAGGGTTCCAGAAAGGACAGGTTACTGTTACTCAGCCCTACCCTCTTGCAGCCCGGAGCCTGGCTCTGCGGGTTGCTGATGAGATGGACCTGACCCTGGGTCATGAGGTTGGATACAGCATCCCCCAGGAGGACTGCACGGGGCCCAACACCCTGCTCAGGTGGGGGCCTCTGCAGGCCTTACCCGAATATAATTCCCCTTATTCAGTAGAAACAAACCCATTCCTCTGGCATCTCACCATACCCTCCCTTAGCCCAACTCACTCTTTTTTATTTTATTTATTTTGGAGAAAGGGTCTCACTCTGTCACCCAGGCTGGAGTGCAGTGGTGCAATCACAACTCACTGCAGCCTCAACCTCCCGGGCTCAAGTGATCCTCCCACCTCAGCCTCCCAAGTAACTGGGAATACAGGCGCGCACCTCCACGCCTGGCTAATTTTTATATTTTTTGCCATGTTGCCCAGGCTGGTCTCAAACTCCTGGGCTCAAGTGATCCACCCACCTCGGTCTCCCAAAGTGTAAGGACTACAGGCATGAGCCACCGTGCCTGGCCCCAACTCACTCTAAATTGTGTGTGGTGCAATGGCTAAAATAAGCCCTTGAATCCCAGCCAGGGGCCTCAGACATTCAGCCTCACCCTCATCAGAAAAATTTCACTTCCCAGCTGGCGTATACCTTGTGAACAAAGTGTTCTCAGCGGGGTTGTGGGGTGACAGTTATGGGTCCATAGGCTCAGGAAGTCACAGCATATTTTTCTGACCTTCAATATCAAAATATACGTCCCTTGGGGAGAAGATTCCCTGAGCTTGTGGGGCTGGTCAGTGTCCACACTGATTCCTCTGCCCACTACCAATGTCAACAGGTTCTGCTGGGACAGGCTGCTTCTGCAGGAGGTGGCCTCGACCCGAGGCACTGGAGCCTGGGGCGTGCTGGTACTAGATGAGGCTCAGGAGCGGTCGGTGGCATCAGATTCACTCCAGGGGCTACTGCAAGATGCCAGGCTGGAAAAACTTCCGGGGGACCTCAGAGTGGTTGTGGTTACTGACCCAGCCCTTGAACCTAAGCTCCGAGCTTTCTGGGGCAATCCTCCTATTGTGCATATACCCAGAGAGCCTGGTGAGAGACCTTCCCCCATCTACTGGGACACCATCCCACCTGATCGGGTGGAAGCTGCCTGCCAAGCAGTGCTTGAATTGTGTCGGAAGGAGCTTCCAGGAGATGTGCTAGTGTTCCTGCCCAGTGAGGAGGTAAAAAACAAAACAAAACAAAAAAAACAGCCTGCAAAATGAGCCTGCAAAAGGAGGTACTCATCATCATCTTCCAGTCCTGAGGAATGGGAATGGGAGCAATGCCTCTTAGGAACAGTAGAGTTGCAGTATTTACTCTCCGTTGGGGTCCCAGAGAAAAACTTGAGGATTTCAGGGTAAAGAGGTTTACCACTCACTTTTTTATTCCCTTTAATGCAGAGATTTGTGATTCAGTGAACCCCTGAAATTATAAAACCTTCAACTTTATGAGTAATTTGCATTTTCTCAGAGTGAAGGGCCATAACTTTCAACAGTCTTTCAAAGGGATCTGTGACCCCAAAAAACGTGAGAACTGCCCTAATGCCCCACCCACCCTTCTTCTCAGGAAATTTCCCTGTGCTGTGAATCCTTGTCCAGGGAGGTAGAGTCCTTGCTTCTCCAAGGGCTTCCACCACGAGTACTGCCCCTTCACCCAGACTGTGGACGAGCCGTTCAGGCTGTGTATGAGGACATGGATGCCCGAAAGGTTGTGGTCACTCACTGGCTGGCTGACTTCTCCTTCTCCCTCCCTTCCATCCAACATGTCATCGACTCAGGACTGGAGCTCCGAAGTGTGAGTGAGAGAGAGAGATAGCGGTGGGGTAGTAAAGACAGAAATGGCCCACTCTGATCTGTCTTGGCCTTGGTTGGGGGACGGGCAACAGGTTTACAATCCTAGGATCCGAGCAGAATTCCAAGTGTTGAGGCCAATCAGCAAGTGTCAGGCAGAGGCAAGACGATTGCGAGCAAGAGGGTTCCCACCAGGTAAGAGCCTTTGCCCTCACTGAAATAAAAAACCCAAGAGTCACCAACATGCAAGCCCTGAGAAATCTACAGTGGTCTTCTTTCCCAGGTCTTTTTCCCCTCAGGATCCTGCCTCTGCCTGTATCCTAAGTCCTTCTTAGAACTAGAAGCTCCACCATTGCCACAACCCAGGGTGTGTGAGGAGAATCTGAGCTCCCTGGTGTTACTACTAAAAAGGAGACAGATTGCAGAGCCAGGGGAGTGTCACTTCCTGGACCAGCCTGGTGAGCACCTCTCCTGCCCAAGCACTGCCATCTGACCACCCAGTTCTGAAACTTCATATCCTGTAAGCCCTGTTTCCTCACCAGCTCCAGAAGCACTGATGCAAGCCCTGGAAGATTTAGACTATCTGGCAGCCCTGGATGATGATGGGGACCTGTCAGATCTGGGTGTCATACTATCAGAATTCCCTCTGGCCCCTGAGCTGGCCAAAGCCCTGCTGGCCTCATGCGAGTTTGACTGTGTGGACGAGATGCTCACCCTGGCTGCCATGCTCACAGGTATAAATCGCTGCTGTAAATCCATAGCTCTTGAAACCACTTCAGCCCTTCCTCTTGGGTTTTGGTGCTCCTGAGGCTAGCCCTTTCCTCTCTGCTCCAGTTGCCACCCCTCACAATGCCTAAAGAACCAGGCTTAGTCACCCATCTCCCTCTTGTCTCTTTAGCCTTTTTTCTCTGCTGGTTCTTGCCCTCAGCATGCTTAAATCTCTCCTAATCTGTTATTGCTAAAACTCACACACCCCTCTTCCTCAACCCTATCCTCCCCTTCAGCTATGCAGCATGATTTCTATCCTGTTCTAACTGGTGTATTGCTCACCCACTGCACTCCAGCTTCAGGTCTACCATGCCAGTGAAACAGCTTTCAACTCACCAGTGACCTTCCAGGTACCTAATCCAGTGGATACTTTTGAACCCTTATTCATGACCTTCTTTTGACACTTGAGATTGCTGACCGCTCCACCTTGAAACTGCCTCCTCCCTAGGCCTCTGTAACGCTGCTCCTCATGGATTTCATCCTACGTCTCTGGTCATCCCCTTTATCTTTTCCTTGAGCTCTTTGTCCTCTTCTTATCCATTGTAAATTGGTCCTCAGGGTTCTATTCTTGCCTCTTTTGTCTTCTATTCCCTGAACTCTCTGAGCAAGTTTATCCACACCCATGGTTTGAAGTGCTACCTTTAGCCTTAAAATTTCCAAACCTTGTGCCGTGTATCTCTCACCCAATACCATTCTTCGAATCTGAGAGACAGAGAGAGAGCAAGGGAGAGACGCATGGGGAGAGGGGGAGAGAGGGAGAGGGAAAGAGGGGGAGAGAGGGAGAGGGAAAGAGGGGGAGAGGGGGAGAGAGGGAGAGGGAAAGAGAGGGAGAGAGAGAGAGCATACTCCAACTCCTGATGAACGTTTCTTTTTTTCTTTTTCTTTTTTTTTTTTTTCAGACAAAGTCTCACTCTGTCACCCAGGCTGGAGTGCAATGGCATGATCTCAGCTCACTGCAACCTCTGTCTGCCTGGTTCAAGCAATTCTCATGCCTCAGCCTCCCAAGTAGCTGGGACTACAGGCACGCACCACCATGCCCAGCTGATTCTTGTATTTTTAGTAGAGACGGGTTTTTGCCATGTTGGCCAAGCTGGTCTCAAAGTCCTGACCTCAGGTGATCCATCCACCTCAGCCTCCCAAACTGCTGGGATTACAGGCCTGAGCCTCGGCACCCAGCCCCTGATGGACATTTCTACCAGAATAGTTAACAGTACCTCAGCTCAGAACTGAACTCAAATGCTCTATTAAACCACTCCCTCACCACCATCACCACAAAATCTTTTCCTCTCTCTAGAGTCTTAGATTCAGATAATACTATTATCTCTGCTGCTCTGCTACCATCACTCTAGACCAGTCTTTCTCCAGGTTATTTCACTTTTATCTCCTAAATGTAAATATATATATAAATATATTCATCTGTCCTTCTCCATATTCACTTCCAGTGAATACGGTAGGTAGGATCTGCCAATGGTAGGTCCTCCTCATTGCTCAGCTGGTTTTCCTCAGTAGCCTCCTAACTAGTAATGTGAACTTTTTCAGACACATGGACTCTCTTACTTAAAAACTCTTCTTCAGCCAGGCGTGGTGGCTTGTGCCTGTAATCTCAGCACTTTGGGAGGCTGAGATGGGAGGATCACATGAGGTCAGGAGTTTGAGACCAGCCTGGGCAACATAGGAGAGACCCTGTCTCTACAAAAACAAAAAATTAGCCAGGTGTGGTGGCATATGCCTGTAGTCTCAGCTACTGAAGAGACTGAGGTAGGAGGATCATTTAAGCCTGGGAGGTTGAGGCTGCAACGGGCCATGATCACGCCACTTCACTCCAGCCTGGGCAAGAGAGTGAGACCCTGTCTCAAATAAACAAACAACAACAACAAAAAAAACCCCACAACTCTTCCTCTACAGCTACTCTTTACCTTAAAGACAGTTCCTTTCCTCAGTACTCCAGCCTCTCATGACCTTACCTATACCTACCTCTCCAGCTTTATCTCCTGCCATTCTGCCACGTCATTTCATTCCCTCCACCCATACCAGATGGCTTGCAGTTCCCCAAATATGCTATATTATTAACTTACGTGCCATGCTGTTGCCACAGTCTAAAACATACTCCCTGCCCCGTCTCCACTCGGCTAATTCCTACTCAAATTTCAAATACTAGCCCAAGGGTCCTCATCGTTTTCTCTTACATCACTCACATCCTCACCACCTAAAGCCTGGATTAGGTATCCTCCTCTTTGTTTCCACAGTACCATATACAAACACCTATCATGCTTATCAAGTCTGCTTACCTGTTGGTCTCTCCCACCAGACTTGAAGCTCCTTGATGGCAGAGACTGTATTTCATTTACTTATCCTCAATGTTTAATAAAGTGCATAGCACCTAGAAGTTATCTATGTCTTTTGAATAAAGTTCCCAAAGGGACACTTCTGCCTTTTCAGCATTCTACCTGTACTACTATCCCTTCCCATTTCCCAAATGGCAGATTCTACCTTCCACTCTTCTGCCTCCAGCTGCCCCTGGGTTTACCCGTCCTCCACTCAGTGCAGAAGAAGCTGCCCTGCGTCGGGCCCTGGAACACACGGATGGTGACCACAGTTCTCTGATCCAGGTGTATGAAGCCTTTATACAAAGTGAGTTCTGCATCCTTTTATAGAATCCCAGATTTTCCAAAGAGGGGAAATTTTATGCAGCCAGCTGACAGATCTCTATGCTCAGAAAGAGGAGGCCCTTTGGCTAAGGGTTGGGTTATTTCAGGGGTCTCAAGGACTTTAGTTTAGCTGGTCCCTTTCCTCTCCTAGGTGGAGCAGATGAGGCTTGGTGCCAGGCTCGAGGTCTGAATTGGGCAGCATTGTGCCAAGCCCATAAACTTCGGGGAGAACTCCTAGAACTCATGCAACGAATTGAACTTCCCTTGTCCCTACCAGCCTTTGGCTCTGAGCAGAATCGCAGAGACCTTCAGAAAGCACTGGTGTCAGGATACTTTCTCAAGGTTAGAGGAAAGGGTGGGGGTGAGGGTGATCAAAGGAGCAAAAGGCAAAGAGAACAAATATTGGTAAGCCACTTTGAAATCAGGGTCCAGGTGGCCATTCAAAAGATTCTTTAGAACCAGAAAGGACTTTTCCCTTGAGGATTTGAGGTACAAGGGGCTATGGTAAATGCCATGAGGTATAGTAGAGACCAGACAACACCTAGAGGTAATGCTTTACTTTTCATGCTCTCATCACCCTTACTCTTTCTCAATCCCCTTTTATTTTTTTCTACTGCCTGCCTCTTCCCTTTTATTTATTCCGTCAATATTTCTGCCTTTCAATAAGGTGGCCAGAGACACAGACGGGACTGGAAATTACCTTCTCCTAACCCATAAGCATGTGGCCCAGCTCTCCTCATACTGCTGCTACCGAAGCCGCAGAGCTCCTGCCAGACCCCCACCATGGGTGCTCTACCACAATTTCACCATATCCAAAGACAACTGCCTTTCCATTGTTTCTGAGATTCAACCACAGATGTGAGTTCCCTGACATCCCTCCTATACTGCCTATTCCTCTCCCTGGGGCCAAAATTATGGCTGGGGAGTTAGAGAGACAGAGGAAGGGATCTTAGTGGTTAGTAAAAACATGATCTGAGGAGACAGGATTTGTGGAAGGGCTGGTGAGAAGTTTAAAAGTCTGCATTATAAGAGAAGATGCACTTTTGGAGACCTAGGCAGGAGGAGTCCTTGAGGCTAGGAGTTTGAAACCACCCTGTAGTCCCAGCTACTTGGGAGATTGAGGTGGGAGGATTACTTGAGTCTAAGGCTAAGGATTACGGGAGTCTAAGGCTACAGTGAGTTATGATCATGCCACTGAACTCCAGCCCAGGTAACAGAGCGAGACCCTGTCTCTAAAAAGAGAGAGACAGAGAGAGAGAAGATGCAGATCATCTAATTATGACTCTCTCTATTAGGCTGGTGGAATTGGCCCCTCCATACTTCCTGAGTAACTTGCCTCCCAGTGAGAGCAGAGACCTTCTGAACCAGCTAAGGGAAGGAATGGCAGATTCTACAGCAGGGAGCAAATCATCCTCAGCCCAGGAGTTCAGAGATCCCTGTGTCCTGCAGTGACCTGCCTGCCTATGGAATGGAGCTGGGTTCATCTCATCACATTAGATTATCCCTCAGGGTGACACCAAAGCACCCAGACAGATTTAGAAGCCCAAAGTTTAGGGTCAAATGTAAACCCTGGAACCTGAGTCCCAAGAAATGGTAGACTGGGAATGGAAAGAATGGGGTAAACCACAGTCTACATAGGGAAGGACTCTTTCCTTAGCCTTCTCTTATTGATTGGAGAGGGACTGACATGCTCCTCATTCTCTTAACTTTGCCAAACCCATTCTTGTACTCCCTTGTGATCTATAAAAGATTTTTCTATGATGCCAAGTTTTAGTTTGGTCCTGCAGTGCCATATACAACATCCATAAATCAGTGATGATATTACAGTAAATAACCAGGGCCAGCTCCTCCAACTATATAGTCTCTAGCCTCTTCCCATCTCCAATCAGGCCTTCATGCTATGATCGACATAGTTGTCACTAGCACAGACATGAGTTGTCTGGCTACAGTTGGTCTCTAGCCTGGCCTCTCTTCCCTCTGTCACAGTGCACCAGCCTCCAGGGGACAAAGGATGGGGGTGCTAGAGGAATCAGACAAATTCTTCCCTTTCTTCCTCATACAGCTTAAATCCAATTCCTTTTTAAACCTTAAGGCTAATGCAACCATCCCCTAACTAGACTTTCTATTAACAAGCTTCCCAGCAGCCCAGACACACCCACAAGGGGAAGTCTTTCTAACAACTTCAGAGACATCATGCTTTCCTTTCTTTCTTCCTAGGTTCTCCTTCCTTCCCTTCCCCTTTTGTGCCCTCGGAATTTTTTTTTTTTTTTTTTTTTAGACGGAGTCTCGCTCTGTCACCCAGGCTGGAGTGCAGCGGTGCAATCTCAGCTCACTGCAACCTCCACCTCCCGGGTTCAAGCGATCCTCCTGCCTCAGCCTCCTGAGTAACTGGGACTACAGGCATGTGCCACCATGCCTGGCTAATTTTTGTATTTTTAGTCAAGACAGGGTTTCACCGTGTTAGCCAGGATGGTCTCGATCTCCTGACCTTGTGATCCTCCCGCCTCGGCCCAAAGTGCTGGGATTACAGGCGTGAGCCACCGTGCCCTGCCTGCCCTTGGACTATTGACTTAGGTATTCTCCATCATCTTGCACATTGCAAAGGTGGTTGTCGAATTTGGTGGAAAGGTTTAGTCCTTAGAACTCTGCTTTTCTCCTCAAGAGTTCCCTCCCTCAGAGATTCTATCTGTTCTCATTCATTCTATCTAGGTCCACCTCTATGTGGATGTCAGCTGATCTCCCTCAAAGGCACTTCTCCAGGATTTATTCTCTCTAGGTATAACATTTAGTTTTGCCTATACAGTTAATTTTGCTCCAGTCTTCCCAATTTCCCTTTCATCATCCACAGCACCATTGATTTCCTGATGCTGCACATTTCCAGTCTTGGAATTACCTTTGATTCTTCTTAAGCTTGTCACTTCCAAATTATTTTCCAAATTCTCTTCACCCTAACTCCACTGGGCCCATTAACTTTGTCCACTGTTTCCTCCTCTCCCTTCTCTGTCCCTATGTGACACCGGAGCCAGATTTTCTCTTTCGTTGGGTGTGTAAGTATCCGACTCGCCTCCTGCCCGGGCGTGTTGCCGGAGGATGTGGCCAGCAGGCTGAACACACATGACAACGTGAGGCTCAAAGTCAGGAAGGAATCCTTAGCGATTATTTTACAGTTGAGGGATGAGATGCCCGGGGTGGACAACCCTCTGGTTTCGGTCACAATCAGCCAGCCTCTCGCGCTCCAGCACCCCCTCTATTGCTTCGCCGTGGTCGGTGTCTTCTTTCCTTCACACCTTTGGTACAGACCCAGCCGGCACCGCGCGCAACGCCGCTAGAGCCCCTCAGAGCCCCAGCTCCCGACCACCCGCCGGAGAATTTCGAGTCCCTCAGGAAAGCAGCTCCCATTGGCCAGCCCGGCCCCCTCCCCGCACCTCATTGGCTACTGTCCTGCAGGTCCCGCCCTCTCGGCGCCTCAGGTTCCAGCGAGGGCGTAACGGCAGTGAAGTGAAAAATGGCGGGAAAGGCCGCCTCTGAGCTGGCCGTGCATCTGCGCAACGCTGGCTTGGGAGCCGGCCGGTGGTGGAGGAGCCCTCGACGACAGCCTCAAGGCCTGCCGCTCCTCACGCGCCCGGCTGCCACTAGACCATGGACGCAGGCAGCCGCGCGCTCCACCGCTCCGGGCCCGGCGCTCCACGCCGATCGGACGGGCGTCGCTCACACCACCGAGGCGAGCCCGGACACTGAAGCCACTTTGTTGTCCTCGGCCCAGGGCTGCAGGTTCTGCAGCGCGAAGAGCGACGAGTTGTGCAGGCAGAGAGGGTCCGGGGGCAGCGGCGGCCGCAGCGGCCGTGGCAACGCGTCCTGCTGCAGATGCAGGAGCAGCCGGCCCGCGCGGTGCCGCTCGGCCTCGCGCTCCTCCGCCGTCTGGCGCCTAAGGGAGGGAGACGCGGGGTCAGCGGGGCGCCCGCCGCGTCGCTTCTCACCAGGCCCTGCTCGGGAACCCCAGTCCGCCCTCGCCCGCGCCGCGCCTCACCGCCACTTGGTGCGTCGGTTCTGGAACCACGTTTTGACCTGTGCGTCGGTCATGCGCAAGGCCTTGGCCAGCGCCGCCCTCTCCGCAGAGGCCAGGTACTTCTGGCGCAGGAAGCGCCGCTCCAACTCCAGCACCTGTGAGCGGGAGAAGGACGTGCGCGGCTTCTTCCGCTTCGGAGGGGTCCGGTTTTGGTAGGGGTGGCCTATGCGGCGCGTCCCAGAGAAGGGCGAGAGCGCAGCTACCGGGAGGAAGAAAGACCAGGGCAGGATTTGCAGGGTGGCCCGAGGTGCCACTGAGAAGGCCGCGCGGCTGTCCAGGCCGCAGAACTCCCGCGCCCTGTCCTTACCCGGGCCCTAAGCATCAGCCGAGCCCTATAGCCAAGAAAGGCCCTTCCCCTGGGATGCGAGGGAGACGTCCCCTGTAACTTCACCCTCCCCTCCCCACGCGTGGACAGTGGGACTACAGAGGAGGGCGCGGGCACCGACGGCAGCTCCCTCCCCATCACCTCTCGGAGGCAGGACCCAGAGATTTGAGTTGGGGGAGGATCCCCTGGGAGGATCTAGTGGGAGGTGTGAAAGGGGTCCTTGAGTTGGAGCAGAAAGCTAAGAAATGAGGAGACGGGGTCAGAGTCGGGCGTGACGCTGGAGGGGTCAGACAACCTCACCCGTGAGCCGGTCCTTGGCAAAGCGGCGGCCGCTGTCCATCCAGGGGAAGGTGAGTCCCGCTAGGCCTCCGGCGCCGCCCAAACCCGAGGGCCCAGGCACTGCAGGCGCCCCCCCAGCGGGCGGCGGCACAGGCAGCGGGCGGTGCGCAGGGACGCGGATCACGCCGCCTGGGCCCACTCCGGAGCTGCCGGGCAGCGGGGCAAGTGAGCCGGCGGGACCGTAGCCCGAGGCTCCGTGGTATCCACCCGAGAACGCCCCATTCTCCCCATGACCCTGGCCCCCGCGACCCAGGCCTAGACCGCCCCCTGGGGTTTCGGGGCCGCTCAGGATCTGATCGATGCCGAAGCTGATTGGCTCGTGGTGTGGGAGGTTGTGTGGACCCAGCATCCCCGGCTCCATCGGTCTGGGCCGAGGAGAACCGCCGGAGGTTCGGTGGTTGGGGAGGATGCCTCAGGCAGCGCCAGAAGCCCAGCGGCGGCGCGCTCCGGAGAGTGGCCTCAGGGGCCCGCGGGGCTGGCCAAGGCAGGGCGCCGGGGTCCCCGAAACAGCAGCATCCCTGTGCACCCGGAGCAGCCGCGCCCGTGCCAGCCGCTGCCGGGCGTCAGCGCAGGGACTTGCATCCCGGGGGAGCACGGCCAGCTGGGGCCCCTGGAGCTTCCTTGCTGGCTCTTAAGCGCAAATAGACGCTGGGCTGCCGGCGCCGCTGCCCAAGTCCCGGGTGGAGAGGGTTGGCCAGCTCCGGCTGGGGCAGTGACTGACGGATCGGCCCGGGTGGGTAGTGGGGGCTGGGGGTAGGGCAGGGGCGGGGCCCAGCAGTTAAAGGGGAAGGGACGCCTGTTTGCGCCAAGCGCAGGGGGAAGGCTGGCTGGCGGAGATGTGCGGGGAGGGGGACAGGGGGCCAGGGTGTTAGGAGCCAGGCTCAGCGCGGGAGGGGCCCGAGCATGGGCCGCTGAGTCAGCGGAGATGCTCACCGCGCCTCCATCCTTGCTGGCCTCCGCCTTTGGGCGGCCTCCGCCTTTGGGCTGCCTCCGCCTCACCGGCTTCCTCCGCAGGTGCCTCCTCCCCCAGCCCCCACTCTTCGCCTCTCGATGGATCCTTCTGGCCAACTCCCGGATTCGTTGTGGTCCCCGCCTAAATGCTCTCGAAGACCAAATCTCGTTGTGGTTTCCCGGCTGCGTAAGAAGCGGCTGGGGAACGGCGCCCGGTGAGCTGCAGGCCCAGGAAGAGAACAGGTGTGGGAAGGGGACGGCAGGGGCTAAGGGCGGGGAACGGCCGCTTTGGGCTGGCGATCGTGGTGCGCCTTCTGGCCTCTCCTGTAGGTCCCCCCAGCCCTGTTCATGCGCACCGGTAATTGGTGTCCTGTGTTTCCTAGAATTTCGATTTTCCAAAATCCGTGTAAAACGGACCATGGCTCAACCCGGGCCAAATCAGGCCGGCGGGTTCTTGGGGCTGGCACTTACCCCCGGACCCCAAGTGCAGGGAGTCCTCAATGCAGGACTCTGCCCCTCCATTCTGTGCCTAGGAAGTCTGTTCTCACACTCTTCCTCCTCAACGGCGGGAGGGCGAAATCTCGCCACGGGGGACACGTGGGACCTCACTGAGGCCTTGGTTGGATCCTGGCCGCCTTGTTTCCCATAAACATTTTACCCCACCCAAACTCAAAAAATGGCCTGGAGCTGTCAGAGAAGGGAGGTGGGGAAAGACCTAAGCCGCTTGGTGACCTTGTGACCTCTGGCCATGAATCCAGGAGCCGGGAGTGCGTGAACTCTGCGTCCTTCCCGGGGATGGGACCCCCGCGGGCGGGCCCCTGAGCCTTAGACCCGCCCCCGCCGCCGCCCTGCCCGGTGCAGGCCGCGGTAATCGGGTTAGCTGGGCCGGAATTACATTACCTTCCCCGGCCCGCCCCGGCCCCCGGGGGGGCCCTGGCGCCTCTGAGCCGGTGAGACTGGGCTCAGAGAGGGGGGCGCTTCTACCATCCTGCGGTGGCGGTGGCGGGTGGGCACCAACGAGCAGCTCAGCCTACCTCTGACACGTGGTGGCCAAAGGACCTTACCCTGCTGTGCCAGCCCTCTACCCTCGTCCCGAGCCCACCCCGCTGTTCAGCTCCATCCTGCTGGTTCCCGTGTGAACCGAAATGCTTTGTAAGTCTACTAGCTGGATCTCCCTGGGAGCACTGATCTTCAAACTGATTCTCCAGGATCCCCTGGGAAAGACTCTGCCCCCTCCTTTCTCCCCAGCAGATGGGCTGGCAGCCTGGCGCCTGGGGCAGGGTGAAGGGGTCTTTTCTCCCCTGGGAACCAGGAATGATATTTGGGCATCTGGGCAGAAAGATAAAGAAGAGAAAGAAGGGTGAGCTCTGTCCACCAGCCCTTCAGTGTTCTCTGAAGCCTTATATCTAGAGGAGGTGAACCATAAATGGGACAGAGGGCAGTGGGAGGAATAGTGGGCATTAATATGTGTCAACCTGCCAGGCGCGGTGGCTCACGCCTGTAATACCAGCACTTTGGGAGGCCGAGGCGGGTGGATCACGAGGTCAGGAGATTGAGACCATCCTGGCTAACACGGTGAAACCCATCTCTACTAAAAATACAAAAATTAGCTGGGCGTGGTGGCGGGTGCCTGTAGTCCCAGCTACTTGGGAGGCTGAGGCAGGAGAATGGCATGAACCCGGGAGGTGGAGCTTGCAGTGAGCCGAGATCGCGCCACTGCACTCCAGCCTGGGCAACACAGCAAGACTCTGTCTGAAAAAAAAAAAAAAGTGTCAACCTCCCCCACCTTGACCACTCTACTATCCAATTTGTCCAGCCCCTCCTCAGCCCTGCTAACAGCCCGTTCTGAAAGAGGGTGGGGGCTCCTACCAATTTAGCAGATGTATTTTCATCTTGATGGAGAAGACAGACATTATCACCTCCCGTCTCTTTACAGAAACCCATGCACTTTTCTCAGCAGTAGAGAGGGCTACAAGGAAGCATGAACCTGTTTAGTCCAAATCTTCAGGCCGGGAGCAGTGGCTCATGCCTGTAATCCCACCACTTTGGAATGCCAAGAGGGGACGGATCACCTGATGTCAGGAGTTCAAGACCAGCCTGGCCAACATGGTGAAACCCCGTCTCTATTAAAAATACAAAAAAATTAGCTGGGCATGTTGGCAGGTGCCTGTAATCTCAGCTACTGGGGAGGCTGAGGCAGGAGAATCACTTGAACCAGGGAGGCAGAGGTTTCAGTGAGCGGAGATCACCACTGCATTCCAGTCTGGGGAAACAGAGCAAGACTCCATCTCAAAAAAAACAAACAAACAAACAACAACAAAAAAAACTTCCTTGGTACCAAGGGCTGGATTCCTCCAGATGGGAGCAGGAAACCTAGGGAGACAGCAAAGAAATATAATCTCTGAAGAGGGCTGGTGTGCAGGTTAGGAGTTTGCTAGTCCCATTCTCTGCTCTGAAGGTTGAGTCTGGGGGCAGGGGGGCAGGGTAACCAGTGTGTCTCCAGCCAACCTAAATAAATCCTCCTTGAATGAATCAGTGAGTGAATCAACAAATGAAAAAAAGGCAACATCATGCAGACCCGTACACCCCTGCCGTTTGAGTTCAGCACAGATGGTACTGCCACCCAGGGACTGTCCAACTAATCCTTTAAGGAGAATGGTCACAAACTCAGTAGTTCATACAAGTGTTCTGGAGAGTTTTTAAAATATTTTAGTGCCCCACTTCAAGAACAGATGGCATCCAGTTACGTCACCCAGACCACAGTCCTAGGACTTTCTCTTTTTTTAAGAGACAGAGTCTCGCTATGATGCCCAGGCTGGCTGGCTGGCCTCAAACTCCTGGGCTCAGACAATCCTCCCACTTTGACCCCCTGAGTATCTAGAGTTACAGGTGTGCACCACCACCCCAACCTGGCTTGAAATGTCCTTTCTTGCCTCCTTGTCTCTGATTCACGGGGAAAGGATGGTTCCTGCTGGTTTATATTCAAGATTGGCTAGGCGCGGTGGCTCATGCCTGTAATCCTAGCACTTTGGGAGGCCTAGGTGGGTGGATCACGAGGTCAGCAGATTGAGACCATCCTGGCTGACACGGTGAAACCCCGTGTCTACTAAAACTACAAAAAATTAGCCGGGCTTGGTGGCGGGCACCCGTAGTCCCAGCTACTCGGGATGCTGAGGCAGGAGAATGGCGTGAACCCGGGAGGCGGAGCTGGCAGTGAGCCGAGATCGCGCCACTGCACTCTAGCCTGGGTGACAAAGCGAGACTCCATCTCAAAAAAAAAAAAAAAAAAAAAAGACGAAGATAGAGGTGCTGGAATGAGTGCCCCCTCATACACACTGCTTTGGATCTGTCTCACCATGTCCTGTGTGTCCGTGGCTCTCATCAACTTAGTCTTTCCTACCCCTCAGCTGTCTCAGATCTTTATCATCTGGACAAAATCTTTGCCTGAGTCTTCAAGAGAGATCATGCTTTTCCTTTCCTTTTTACTTCATGCCTACTGCCTCCATTTCATCATGATTTATTCTTGTTTTAACTCAGTGCAAGCTGCCTTCATTATAGTAACCCTTTCTCAGAGAGCTCCAGTGTTCAGTATCCCTCCTCCAGGACTTCCCTGGCATGTTTTACTTTGTTGGTCATCAATTATTTTTTGAAGTGTCCCTTCTTTTTGCTTCTGTAATATCTTATTCCACATCTTTGGACTTTCGTAGTCACTGCTTATGTTTTTCCTCCACTGATTTTCCTTCTTCCACTGAAGACTGTGAGGATTCTTCAGAGCTCAGACTTAAGCTTTCTTTTTTCTTTTCTTTTTTTTTTTTTTTTAAGACATGGGATCTCACTCTGTCGCTCAGGCTGGAGTGCAGTAGCATTATCACGGTTCACTGCTGCCTCAACCTCCCAGGCTCGAGCAATCTTCCTAACTCAGCCTCCCAAGTAGCTGGGACTACAGGTATGCGCCACCATGCCAGGCTAATTTTTGTACTTTTTGTAGTGACGGAGTCCCACCATGTTGCCCAGGCTGGTCTCCAACTCCTGGGCTCAAGTATCCACCTGCCTCAGCCTCCCAAAGTGCTGGAATTACAGGCATTAGCCACTGCACCAGGCCTTAAGCTTTCTTTATCTCTTCATCTGCTCAAGTTTCACCCATTCCAAAAGTCCCAACTCTCATATCCAGCCAGATAACTCTGAGACCTCCATCCCTTGTTCTGACACTCCAGCCCCACCGCTCACTCTCCTAGCCTTCTGACAAGCTCCCCCTGCTTCCCTGCAGCCACCTTAAGTCCAGCAGGCTGGAGGACATGCTTCCCTCCAAAGCTCTTCATTCACCCTCTTACCCAGGCCTACCAAGCCAGGTTCCTGGCTACTTCCTCCTATTATACTTTCCTTTGAACTGTTTCAGATACAGCCCTTCCTTTCCATTGCCATTGCTAAAACCCTAATCGAGGCTGTCATCACCACCACTTGGATTCATTCATGTATTCATCCAGAAAAGTTTTATTGAACACCAACTATGCACCTGGCACTGGAGCTATATCTGTGAACACAACAGAGGAAAAAAAATCCTTGCCACTGAGAAGCTTATAGTCTAGTGGAAAAGGCAGATGAAAAACTAGGAAATATGTTTTCTAGAAAATATTTTCTGAAAATAACTAGAAAATATAATATATATTAGAAATGTATATTAAATAATAATAAATGATAGAATGCTAATAAGTGCTAACCAGAAAAAAAAGAGCAAGGAAGTGAAAGGGTGGGTGAGTTGTTATTCATCTAGAGTGATTACAGCAGCCTCATGAGTAAAGACCTGAAAGAAGGAGGGAGCCATTTTGGATACCTAAGCATTTCAAGTTGGGGACACAGTGGAAGGATATCCTGGTGTATCTGAAGAGACTATGCAGGCCCTTGCACACCACTCTGAGACTTTGACTTTCATTCTGATTGAAAAGGGAAGCTCTCAACAGGTTTTAAACGTAAAAAAGGAACAACCTAATTTTTCAACTTTATTTTTAATAGCTTTCTTGAAGTATAATGGACATATAAACTGCAAATATTTGAAGTGTACAATTTGATAAGTTTTGACATATGTATATACCCATGATACCATCATCACCATAAAAATAATAAACATATCCACATCTCAAAAATTGTCCTTTGTCCTTTGTGTTTCATGTTTTATCAGAATCACTAGCTCTGAGAAACAGCACTCAACTGTGATGTTGAGAACAGGCGAAGGGGGACTCAAGGAAAACAGTCAAGAGGCCACTACAGAGGACAGATGATAGTGGCTCGGACCAGGGAAGTAGGTAAACAGGGGCTGTAACGAATAATTGATTAATCACTAATCTCATAACTTCTTGCTGCATATTCACTTCAATTCACTCTGAAGAGAAATGAACAAAAATGTCGCTTTCACAGGATAACCTCCCTTCAAAAAAGTCCGCTAGCTCCCAATTGCCCTCAGGCTAAAAATCGCAACTCTTTATGGCCCTGCTTTTTCTATTACCACTCTCAAATCTACATCTTGACCTTCCTGTCCTCTGGTCATTCCCCTCCACGTCCTTTCTATTTCACCACACTTCCACCCCCTCCCCCAAGTCTAAATTGTGCCCAAAGTCCCACTTTCTCCAGAAAGCCTTTTTTGAGGTCTCCATTGGAATCTCTCCCTTCTCGTATCTCCAGTTGCATTTGATGTTAATACCTCATAGCAAATTTATCCCTTTTTAAGTACCCAGAGCCGGCGGTGTAGAGCTCTCGAGCGAGCACCCCGCGTAGTCCCCAAGTGCGGGACTGGGCCTATGCTACTACAGGCGCTCGCTGCCTAAGCCTGTCTGTGTGTGGCAGTGTCCTAGTCGTCCTCCCCTCCTCCTTCGGCATCTGCTCTGCATTAGTCTGTCCCAGGCCTCCGCAGGCGCCGATGATTAAATCATCATCATTAACCAGGGCCTGCCCCCCCCATCCCCGGCAGCAGGGGGGAGAATGGGGGAATAAGATCACTACCAAGTCCCTGGGGGTCTCTCACTCCCCATCCCCCGGCACCCTCTCCGAGACTCTGCAAAGCCCAAGAAACTCCCTCCGTGAAGCCGGGAGAAGACCCGCCATCTGGACGAAGCTCCGCTACGCGGACGCCGACAGGGCGGCATTACGAGGAGAGGACCCAGGAGGGGCTTCTTCAGCAGGGTCGTCGTCACAGAAGACCGACGACCCTGAGCGGGTAGCGGGCACAGACTGCCAGGCCTTTGGGGGTAGGAGGGGGCAGTCTTTCGCAGGCTCCGAAAGTTAGTCTTGAGGTCGCGTAGGGCCTATTATGATGATTTCTACAGGAGGTTGAAGAGATAAGACCCTTCCCTGTGCTCCCCCCCCCCCACTCCTTAATTACGGATTGAGCAGGGGAGGGGCCGGTGGGGCTCAGGTGAGCACACAGGGAGAAAGGGACGTGGGCGGGGCCTTACAGAGGGTGAGCGAATCCGAAAAGACCTAGAACCTCGTTGCTGGGAGACAAGTCCCGCCCTGCAGGCGGCACCGGAAGTGGCCGGCTGGGATCAGCCTTTAAGATGGCGTCTCCTCAGGGGGGCCAGATTGCGATCGCGATGAGGCTTCGGAACCAGCTCCAGTCAGTGTACAAGATGGACCCGCTACGGAACGAGGTGCAAGGGCGGCAGGGTTACTGCTGTGGTCGGCCAGCGGTGCGAATTGGGGCGGGCTAAAGGACGGGCGGTGGCTGGCCGGGCGCCCAGTGCGCCTGCGCAGAGACAGAGTGCCCAGTGCGCCTGCGTGGTTGCGATCGGGTTGCCAAACTCCGGTTAGGACGCCTGCGCGTTGTGTCGCCGACGTTGTGTAGTCTCCCCTGGGAAAGGAGGGTCAGGCGAGTCCACGTGAGGGAAGCCCCCGCTGTGCGCGGAGCCCTCTGCTGGGCGGAGGGGGAGTGCCAGCCCCCAGGAGCTAATCCCCGGCTGATGGCGCAGGGCGCGGGGCTTGGCCGTCTAGTGTGATGAAGGAGGCGACCCCCAAGGTGGGAAGGCGCACGGGTTGGGGTTTGAGGGTGGATGATTGGTGACGGAGGGTGTATCTTCAGGAGGAGGTTCGAGTGAAGATCAAAGACTTGAATGAACACATTGTTTGCTGCCTATGCGCCGGCTACTTCGTGGATGCCACCACCATCACAGAGTGTCTTCATACTTGTGAGTGCCTTGGAGACTGCCTAGTTCTTCCAGTCCCTAGTCTTCACCAAGCTGACTGCCAGCTTCTGTGCGGCCTGCCTCACGCATCCAGGCACCCCACCCAGCCCATGAATCCAGTTTCCAGAGGGCCTGAGAATCTGCTTTTCTTTTCCTGCAGTCTGCAAGAGTTGTATTGTGAAGTACCTCCAAACTAGCAAGTACTGCCCCATGTGCAACATTAAGATCCACGAGACACAGCCACTGCTCAACCTCAAACTGGACCGGGTCATGCAGGACATCGTGTATAAGCTGGTGCCTGGCTTGCAAGACAGTGAGTCACCAACCTGACTTTGAGGGGCCTCTTGAGGACTAATTGCTGAGTGGCAGCTTGAGGTGACGGGTTTGGTAGGACTCACGTAGGCAGAAGGCCAAAGATGAGGGAAGGACAAAAAGTGAGGAAGGGCTAATACTTTATTCTTTTTTTTCTTTTTTTGAGACGGAGTCTTGCCCAGGCTGGAGTGCAGTGGCGCAATCTCAGCTCACTGCAAGCTCCACCTCCTGGATTCATGCCATTCTCCTGCCTCAGCCTCCTGAGTAGCTGGGACTACAGGCGCCCACCACCATGCCCAGCTAATTTTTTATATTTTTTAGTAGAGACGGGGTTTCACCATGTTAGCCAGGATGGCCTCAATCTCCTGACTTCATGATCTGCCCACCTCTGCCTCCCAAAGTGCTGGGATTACAGGCGTGAGCCACCGCGCCCGGCCCCGAAGGGCTAATACTTTATTCTCATACTTCACCTTCTTCTAGGTGAAGAGAAACGGATTCGGGAATTCTACCAGTCCCGAGGTTTGGACCGGGTCACCCAGCCCACTGGGGAAGGTATGTCCTTGGCCGCGGGACAGTAAAGACCCCAGAGCATTCTTCTTGCCCAGTTTTGCTCTCTGGGGAAAGAGGAGTATGGAATGTGTGCCACCAGCCACCTCACTACCCTATCTTTCTCAGAGCCAGCACTGAGCAACCTCGGCCTCCCCTTCAGCAGCTTTGACCACTCTAAAGCCCACTACTATCGCTATGATGAGCAGTTGAACCTGTGCCTGGAGCGGCTGAGGTGAGGAGAAGGTCAGGGGTTGCAGGAGGTGACAGTGCCAATGACCCAGAGCCAGGGAGGGTCTAGGGGAGAGGCTGAGCAGTGAGTGAGTGCCTATCCCCTTGAAGAGAGTATATCATGGCTCTGGGTGGGGAAGAGGAGGAAAGATAGGATTCCCTAACCTGTGTCTATTTCCCCCCAGTTCTGGCAAAGACAAGAATAAAAGCGTCCTGCAGGTGAGAAGGGCTGAGGGGAGGGCCTCTCTAAGGAGACTCACCTCCCATGGTCCTTCCCTCACACACCTTGCCCTCTTCCCTCCCCTCCCTGCTCCCAGAACAAGTATGTCCGATGTTCTGTTAGAGCTGAGGTACGCCATCTCCGGAGGGTCCTGTGTCACCGCTTGATGCTAAACCCTCAGCATGTGAGTAGTCCCACAGTAGGTTTCTTGAGGGGGAGAAGGGGCTAAGAAAGGAGGGACAGAGTCTAGGGTGGACCAGGGTAGTTTTTGACCTGCCAGAAAGTTCCTAAAATTATGCCCCCATCTCCCTCCTAGGTGCAGCTCCTTTTTGACAATGAAGTTCTCCCTGATCACATGACAATGAAGCAGATATGGCTCTCCCGCTGGTTCGGCAAGGTAAGCCAGGCCACCCTCCCTGGGATCACACCCCCTTCAGACTCCCCCCAACCATCCTACAGTCCTCAGGGGAAGGGTGGGCTGAGGGGCCCTTTGAATAATATAAGAACATTCCCCACTGACTACTACTTCCTCATTCTCTCCTTAGCCATCCCCTTTGCTTTTACAATACAGTGTGAAAGAGAAGAGGAGGTAGGGGCCAAGCCCCCACCCCATCCCACTCCCCTTCCCTCCCCAGATATTTATGTGAAATGAACTGCAGCTTTATTTTTTGAAATAAAAACTTTTAAAAAGCACCTCTCTTCTGCCTTATTCTTCCTGCCTCACACTCATGCTGTGTCCTGCCTTCTTCAAAAATCCTCTGAGTTTCATTGTGAAGAAGGGCCTGTCCTCTATGGCCATGGGCCCTCAATGTCTTGCCAAAGGAGAAGGGTAGAGGATCCCTATATGTGTGAAACCAGGCCTCCCACACCACTCTTTTTGGTGATGGGAAGGTTTCCTGGAGGGGAGCTCTCAGCTGTCTTTGTATGCTGCAGCATACAGTGCGGGTGCGGGCCTCTTAGGAGGTTTCCTAATTCAGCGGTGGTGAGAAGGCTAGAGTTGGACAGTGGCTGCTGCAGGATTGAACAAGTGTGATTTTTTAAAGAAAAATCCAAAGAATTGCATTATAGTTTTATAACTTGGGGGATGGGGACAAAAAGGAGGGAGAAGTCTAAAAAACAAATGGAGTGGGGCCACAGGAATTGTCAGAAATGGAGGCTTAGGCTGTCCATACAGGATTCAGCAAGTACTTGGGGACTGCGACTAGAAGAAGCCAGGGTGGGGAATAAGTAGCTGAGGAGGAGAGGGAGCTGATGTGGAGGAGAGCAAGGGCAACTTCAAGGAACAAAAGGGAAGCTGCAAGGCACCAGCTCCATTAATTCAGCAAACATTCCTTGTCTGTATGCCATGCCAGGGTCCTTGTTCTATGGTTCTCTCAGTGGGGTAGCTAGAAACTTGCCCAACAGACAGGAACAGACAGAAGCCAAAGCAAAGAATTCCTGAAGGTAGCCGGCCTGCTGCCAAACCTGGGACAAACTGTATGGAGGCGCAGCGTGTGTAGCCAGAACCCGAGTTAAAACCTAGGTCCCACCCTGGCCGGTCTGACTCCACGGCTTCTAGGGGTTGGTTGTGCGAAGCTGTTGAGGGCTGAAGGCGCTAACCATCAAAGATGGAGGTCGGGTGGCAGAAGATGGGGTGGGAGGCAGAGAGTGAGTACAGCGAAGGCGGCCTCAACTGGATAAGAAAACTCCAGACTTGCGGGAAAGGCCTGAGCTCGCATTGGACGCTCTGGGGTGCCACAGTCGGACACTGTTTCCGGGAGACCTCCGCCTCTCCGCGCGGATGAAGAGGCTGCAGACGCCGAAGAAGAGCTCGAGTGCGTGGGGCACTGATGGGGATCGGGGTGGGCACACAGCAGACGGCCTGGGTACGCTTCTTTCCTGACATGGTCTCCAAGGTTAGCAAAGCTTCCAAACGTTTCCAGGCCTCCAGCCTGGAATGCCTCTCCCCCCGCTCCCCGACCTCTTCCAGGAACACCCCAGCTCAGGGCTCCCCACTCCCCTTCCTGCGAATTGAAGCTCTGTGGGCTTTGCGGTCCGGGCGGGCGAGTACCTGGCGGCCGGGGCTGTTCTCCAGGAGTTTCTGCGCGAAAAGTTTCCTAGGAGTGACGGGATGGCGTGGGCTCAGGGGAGAGTAGAAACGCTCCCGGGGGCTTTGCAGGGACCGAGCAGCTGCGGGAGCTGGGGAGCAGTCTGACTGGGACTCCCTGGAAGGCCCTGCCATTGGGGCTGGGCGGCAGCTCGGCGTCGAAAAAGCCGGGTCTGAAGATTAATGTGCCGAGGCCGGAGACCCTGAGGACCAAGTCACGGGACTTGCCCTTGGTGACTCACGCCTTGAGGCCGAGCAGCGCGGAAGGCGCTCAGGCCGGATCTGGGGTGGGGCCCAGCCGAGCCTTGGTCTTGTCTGTCAGCAGCGGCAGCTGCACTGCGTCTCCCAAGGTGGCTGAAGCTGGCCAGCTGCGGGCTCCGCGCCGCTCGTCCCGGGTCTATGGGTCCATTCCCCACGCCCACCCGGACCCCGGGGTCACTCGGGTCTCCGTCTGTGCCAGGGAGGGAGAATCACGCCCAGGGTCCTCTCTGGCTTCGCGCGACTGAGAACGCGCCCGGACGCGGCGCGGCGCTCCTGAGTCAAAGGAGAGGTGGCGGCAGGACCACCCCAGGGCGCCGTCTGCACCCCCGGACGCACTCGGCCGTGCTGCGCTTCCGGGACAAGGCGTCGGTTCTCGCCTGAGGGCCAAACCTTGCCCCTGCCCACCTTCCTCACCCCCGCCATTTCCAGGACTCACATCCAAAGGCGACAGCACCAGGATTTGCTCCCGCCTTTGGCACAGAGGAGGACGGGTCCCTCTCTCAGCCTGGCCAGTCTTTCCCAGGGCTTGATGGGAAAAAGGACTTCCCTAGAAGTGAGTCTTGGGGAGTTGGGGGGAGAAAAGTGTCGAGGAGGGCGTCGGAGTTTCCCACCGCTGGCTGCTTCCCGGCCCGCACGCCCGGGAGGGTGGCGGTGGGCGCGCAGAGATCTTTGCAAAACAGCGTCCAGGGCGGAAAACAACTCACAGGCCTGCCGCCCCCAAAGTCACGAAACTAAGATATAAGGACCGGTTCACTCCGCAGTAGCGCTTTCTGAAAGAGAAAACAATCCCAGAAGTGTGCGGGACGGACGGAAGCCCCGCCTCACGCTCCTCCGCCTGGACTTTGCTCCCTGAACTCCCACTGCCCTCTCACTCCGGTTCACGGACGTTTCCTAAGGGTGGGGAGGAGGGGAGCAAGCTCTTCGCTGAGATTGTCCTTGTCCACCTCCCCAAGGGGGTTATTCCGAGGGTCCTCCAACCCTGCTACACATTCACAGAATTCAGTGGAATGTCCGGGCCGGCAATCCGAGACTAAAGGTCGTTTATTGAGCAGGCCTCCGTGCCACCAGTGGGGAACGGGGTCGAGCGGGGGCGGCCCGGGGTGGAGGAACCCGCCGATGGGGTGTGTGGGTGCAAGATAAGGTGGGGGTAGGGCTGAGGGGTGAGAATGGGAAATCTGAAAGGGGAGGTGTGAGGAAGCATCCTTAAGCGGGAATGGGGTGCCTTCCCAAGACAGCGAATTTGGAATGTGGGGATCTCTACAAGGGGAGGGAGCGCAGGGCCCCGAAATGTCTGAATGGACAATCAAAGGAATCTGAGAAGGTGGGAAACACAAGAGACTGCCTGAAAAGGAAAACCGTTGGCCCCGCGGGGCCAGCGGTGAAGGCTGGCCTCCGTGCATCTCTTGAGAAGGATCGTGAACAGGGAGGGTTCTACCCGCGGGTGGGAAGAGGCGAGCACCCAGGAGCTTCTGTGCTTCCAAGCTGGGGTGGGGGGTAACCTATAGGACAGCCGAGTGAGTGTCCCCTCCCCAACCCAGAACAAGTTTTAATCTCTTAATCTTCCTCATTAATCACTCACCCTCCTACCCCTCTCTGTGGATCCGATTTCGCCCCAGCTCGAGTTCCAGTACTGAGAAAAGTCCCCTTCTGTGGCCCCACGATCCCCTGGACTAGTCCCTGGCCGCTTTGACGACCTTAGAGGGGCCTCTGCTGTCCTGGGCCTCCTCCCTTTGCTACTCTCCACTTCCATCTCCTCCCCCAAACTCATGTTTAGGAGCTGTCCAATCCCAGTACCTGAGCCCAGCTGCAGAGGGGAGAACTAGGCGGGAGAGATGGAAGGGGCTGTGAGGCACAGGCCCATCAGCAGAGCTCCACACTCCTCACAGACACACGTAAGTAATTGAGAGCAGAGGTAGAGACAGACACAAAAGCCACATAGAGGATGCATGAGTGAAGGTTGCAGCATCTGCTTGGTGATATGCCTGGGATGCAGTGGGGCAGTTCCTGCTGCCTCCAGAGAGCTGCTTTATTGCACATTAAGTGAAACCACTAGGATGGTTTCCAGGGCTGAGGCCTGTAGCCCGAAGATCTCTCCAGGCCCTCCCCTGCCCCTCACCATTAATAACCATTTAACAACGTCCTGAGGCAGCTCAGCTTTCCACCATGGCCTGGCTCTGCTCTTTGATCCAGCAGTGGCCCATCAGCCTTTAAGTGTGTTGCTCAGCTTTCCAGGAGGGCATTATGTGAATGTTGCGGGTGGGGGAGGGGGGTTGTTGGAGTGAGCCCTTTACCAAGAAGACCCTATCAAGGTGCCTTCCCATCTTTGTCAAGGAGTCTTTGGCCCAGGTGCCTTGGATCTCCTAAGCCCTGTTTAGGGAACCCCAATTGCATGCAGCAGTTGCCCCAGGGAATAGACAGGTGGACACTGCACAGATGGTGGGAGATGCAGGGGTCTACAAGGAAAGTGACATAATGGACAGTCCAGGAGGGACTGGCCTGGTTTTTCCTGACACTGTTTTAAAAAGCTAGAAGCACATCAGTTTCTGACTTCCCTGGGCAGCAAAGCAGCAAGCTCCTCAGGAGTGGCAGGGCTTCCCTGCTCTAAGGTGTGAATCCTCCAGCTGTTTGGGGTGGAATGTAGGAACAAAACCCATACCCTGCTGGGCCTCAACTGCTGAGGCCCCACTGTCCCTGAGCTGCCTTCTTCCTACAAAGGAGGGCTGTGGGTGCTTACCCAGGTATGAGCCCAGAACCAGAATAAGTGTGGCAGATAAAAAGGGCCCAGATTAAATAGGAATGAGTATACCAGGCCTCACAGTTAGTACCTGGGTTGTCAGGAATGTCCCAAGATCCAGCTGGGTCCGTGAAGTCTGCCCTTCAAGTCTCTCTTCTATGGGGAGTGACCCCTCTCTGGTCAGGGCACCTTGCTCCCCTTGGCAGTTTCTGAGCCTCTGCAGGCTGGGGAAACCATACATACCTGAACTATGGGAGCTTAATAAAAAGAAGATAAAGACAGACAAAATCGACTGATTTTGCCAGTCCTCACTGACAAAGACCCCTCCTGGGCAGTTGCACCAGCTGGGAGTTCCCTGGGTCTTCTCTCCTGCGGCCCGGGTCTCCCGGCAGCTTCTCTGTGTGTTCTGATTTCGTCAGGTGGGGCAGCCTCGGGTCCATTCACCTGTGCTTGCTTCTTCGTGGCATCCCCACTATTCCCAGTTGCAGTCGCTCCGCCAGGCCAGGTCCTCCCAAGTGTTGCGCCCCCGACCCATGCAGCACTAATCACTTCCAGCCGTCAGGACCAGAAACAACGTTTCTCAGGGGTGGGGTGGGGAAGAGGGAGCCAGGTTAGGAGACTGAGGTCCTAGCTGGGATCAGAGATCCCAGCACAGTCAGCCCTGATAGCCTTCCTCAGAACTTTGCAAATCCCCAGCCGCTGGGGCCAGAGAAGGCAATTTTATCGTCTACTAGTTTATGAGCCGGAGCGGCGGCTAGGCGGGGAGTCGGCGGCATACAGCGTCTGGAGGTATGGCCCGGCCTGACTGTGCACGGTGCAGCGCCCCGCAGCGCGGAGCAGCCCCGTGGCCCTGCTCTGGTGGGTAGTTTGGTCGGCTTCTGCTCTCCGCGCCTGCCCCAGCCTGTAGAAATACCCTCCCCGGACATCTAGGAGCTCCAGATCCACCGCGGCCCGGGGTGGAGAGGTGGGGGCGCAGGAGGAGGGGCACACGGGACTCGGGCCCAGAGCCGGGGGCGGGTCCGAGGCTGGGGGCCCGGATTGGGAGCCGAGCACTGGGGCCCAGGCGTTTGCGGAGCCTAGCGCAACGGACAGCCGGACCGCCCCAGCCCGGCCGACCATGAACTCGGGACGCGAGCCCCGAACACCCCGGACACTCTTAAGCATCGCAGACATCCTAGCCCCGCGCATGGTCCCCCGAGCACCCTCTGCGCCGCAGCTTCCAGAGTCGGGTCCGGGTCCAACGTCGCCGCTGTGCGCGCTGGAGGAGCTGACTAGTAAAACTTTCCGCGGACTTGACGCGCGCGCTCTGCAGCCCTCTGAAGGTATAGAGCCGGCAAGGTCGCGGACTCTGACTTAGCCTTTTCCTCACCTCTCTCCTCCTGGTTCCCCGTCTCAAACCTTTGTCCCAGCCCAGGCCACCCACCCTAATCCTCCCCTGTCCTCAGCCCACGTGCCAGGACTCGCACCTGCGACTTCTCACCTCTCCTCCGTTAGTCCCTAGGTTCCGCGGCGGCTCCGGAAGGCCGCCAGTGCCAAGGGAAAAGGGCAGACCGTCGCCAACTGAGCGACCTGTTGCTCTGTTCCTTGTAGGCGGGGCAATCGCGATAGAGAAAGGCAGGAGAGAAAGAGACAAAAGGCTTCAGCCGCAGGCGGTAAACGAGTGAGCCTGCAAAGGCGGCACAGAAAGCGCTGGAGAGTCGAGTCTTTCCGGGTGACCAAGCTCCGCTCCAAGCCACTCTCTTCTCGAGGGGAGTCAAGGAGCAGAAAGCCCTTGGCGCAGCACTGGGCGCGGGATTCCGCACTCTGCCTTTTCTCGCTCTCTGTACCTCATTATCTCCCTTTGGGGCCGGAGGAGCGGGCTCTGGTGTCACTAAGGAACTGTAAACCGAATGCCCGACCCGATCCATGGAAGGGCATGATCTAAGTCCTGTTACCACCACCACGCTGGGTCGGCTGCCCTGACTCTTACTCGCCTCTGATGTCACCCTCAACTTATAGCCTGCTCAGCCTGAGGCTCCTAAAAGCCTCAAAGGCTCCACCCCAGAAGGTTTGACCCTGCACCTCTGAATCATCCCTCCCTTCCTTCACTTCCTTGCCCCTACAATATGCCCTCAGCCTGCTGCCTTTCGCACCCCTGTGGCCAGCCCGCTTTGCGCCCCATATCCCCACCTGGGCCTGACTCCCGATAAGGGATCACAGTTCTGGTCTCCGTCCGCCTTCCTGGCTCTCCCTCTACTTCCCCCACCGCCACCGGCCCGACCCCACCCCCAACTTTTCTTTCCAGGCCCAGCCTGATTCCCGGAGGCTGGAAACTGACCCCCTCCCTATCCCTACAGGGCGGGCAGGTCCGGACGCGCTGGGCCCTGGTCCCTTCGGCCGCAAACGGCGCAAGTCACGCACTGCGTTCACCGCGCAACAGGTGCTGGAGCTGGAGCGGCGCTTCGTCTTCCAGAAGTACCTGGCGCCGTCCGAGCGAGACGGGCTAGCTACGCGACTCGGCCTGGCCAACGCGCAGGTGGTCACTTGGTTCCAGAACCGGCGAGCCAAGCTCAAGCGCGATGTGGAGGAGATGCGCGCCGACGTCGCCTCGCTACGCGCGTTGTCCCCGGAAGTCCTGTGCAGCTTAGCACTGCCCGAAGGCGCTCCAGATCCCGGCCTCTGCCTCGGCCCTGCCGGCCCTGACTCCCGGCCCCACCTGTCAGACGAGGAGATACAGGTGGACGATTGAAGACAAAGCCGCCGCCAATCCTGGGCTCTGGGGCCCTGGACTCCTCACCTCGCGCTCTGCCTCTGGCCAGAGTTCCAGGGTGGAGGAAGGAGGTCCACTTGGGCCTCTTCCGGCCCACAGTCCAGACGCTCACCTTTCCCGGTTTTTTTGTAAGTTTGTTTTGTTGTCTGAGACAGGGCCTCGCTCTGTCGCCCAGGCTGGAGTGCCGTGGAGCGATCACCGCTCACTGCAGTCGCGACCTCCTGGGCTCAAGCGATCCTCCTGCCTCAACCTCCCGACTAGCTGGCATTACAGGCGTGCAGCACCACCCCAGGCTAATTTAAAAAACTTTTTTTTTTAGAGAGGAGGTCCCGCTATGTTGTCCAGGCTACTTTCCCAATATTTGAGAATAAAGTCGAGACTCTGCCGCACCATGCCTCTATCCAGACGCCCGCCAGAAGCAAGAAACAGTAAAATCTGTAAAGTGCTATGGGGAGTCCGCACTTGGCACTGTGCCAGGGCTTTCAATGCAATGTTTCCTTTAGCCCTTATAGCAACCCTTTAAGGTAGGTAATAATTACACCATTTTTACAAAGTCAGAACCCTGAGGTCAGGTTTTGGACCCAGCATCCAGCCAGCCTTCAGAGCTGATGCTTATCAGTCTACCAAGGGGAAGTCACCGGGCCTGAGTGAAAGACAGTGGGGCCTTGGCCCACCTACTGTCTGCCTGGGAGACCTTGATTCTAATCCCTAGGTTGGCCCCAGAGTGATGACATTGTTTCCCCACCTGTTAATGGGTTCCTGACCCTTTCCCCATCCTGCCAAAAGAACCCTCCGCTGGGACACAGGCAAATAGACGGGTGCCCAGAGAGGCCACACCCCTACCTGGAAGACCTCTGCCAGGCCCCTGGGCCAGAAATTTTACCACTAGGATGGTGGCAGCAGCCAGAGGGTGGAAAGGCTTGGCCTGCTGGGGCGAAGCTTGGAGTAGTGGCCTTGCCTGGTAGGGATTCCAGCCTAACTCAGCCAGTGGACATTTCTGACATTCATTTATTCCACTGGTGATAATCACCCTCCTGCAGTGTGAGGGGAGAGGAGGGGGAACGCTCAGTAGTTGCAGGCCTTCCCCTCCCCAGTGGTCCCAGCCAATCTTCAGATCAAGCTCAGTTGTCTTTCCTGCTTCCCTTCTCTCCTGTCAGTCCTCTGGCTCTCTTCAGACTTTCTCCTGCCTCTGCCTAAGTGTGACAACCCTACTTTCAAGGAAGTTCCATGGGTTCAACGGGGGTCAGCTAGGGCCTTAGTTGCAGGTGGAGGGCCCAAGAGAGAATATTCCTTGGAAAGTGAACAAGGCTGGAAGGCAGAAGGGAATCTGGCATTTTCAGACAGTACCACTTATTAAGCAGTTCCAAGTGCTTTGCAGGTATTAATCCTTAAAATAACCCAACAGGACAGAGACTTTTCTTTCCATTTTAAGGATGAGACTGAATTACAGAACCCTGAGGAAACTTGGCCAGGTCACAGTTTGTAAGTGGTGGCACAGGGACTGAGCTGTTTGCTTGTCCGACTCAGGAGCCCATGCTCTTGGTCTCTATAAAGGTGACTGAGCCTAAAGGAAAGAAGCAAAGGATTTACAGAGAAAGGGGAGGAGAAAGGGCCACAGGTAGGGACTTAGGCATTGTACTTTAGAGCATGGTCCCTGGAGGTTTTAGAGAAGAGAGACAAGAGACCATTGTTTAGGGTAGGCCAATCTGGCTGTGGGCGCAGGTTGGATCAGAGACTGGTAGAGACCTGAAAAAGGGAGTATATATCTGGCCACTGCAAAAGGTAACAGCAGAGAGAACTCAGGGCCAGACTTGAGGTGGGGCTGGGAGGTGGTCACAGAAGAGGAATCTGCGATTGCCCCAGGGATCAAGGATTGCATGAGTCAATGACAACCTAGCAAATGTGGGCAACTGGAAGAAAAATGGCAACATGGAAACAGACAGTGACCACTGGTGTGGAGCTAAGAATCTGTCAGCCATTATGCATATGCAAAAAAATAATTCTTTGCAACTGCATTGCCCCTTCAGTACTCCCTTCTAAATACTGCCTCTCTGGAACATTTCCAGTAGGGTGATCAACTCTTTCCCATCTGCCCAGCATTTTCCAAGTTTTGGCATTGAAAGTCCCTCACTCCAGAACATCCCTCAGTTCCAGGAAAACCAGGATGGTTGGTCACTCTACTTTCCAGTCCTGGGAACTCAGAACTCAGGCTGTTGGGTCAGACCCCTATTAATTAGGAGGGTGAAAATGGGGCAAAGTGTCAGGAGTCACGTGACTCTTGGAGAAGCTACAAGTCCAGGGCAGGCTAAGGTACTGGGGAGGGAACATTTACTTGAGAAGCTAGAACAAGGAGCCAGCTCAGCTGGAAGGCAAAAATACCATTGAGTAGTGGTGGGTGGCCTTTGAGAGGTCAGGAGCCCTACAGACATCCCAAAAGCATGCAGGTCCCTGCTCAAAAACAGGAAAGCCAGATGGGCAGGCCTCTTATGGAACCACTGTAATATAATCACCCCTTGGACAAACACAACCACCTATGCCCATCCTGCTCCCCAACCAGGGGTGAGCAAAGAACTCTCAGGGCAAATCCTTCTAGTTAGGAAGGTAGGGTCCAGTCAAATTAACTGGCTGAGTCATAACCTCTCTCCCCATTGAGGTTTCCCAAATTCTAGCCCAGCTAGCACTGCCACCTCTTATACTGAAGACTTGGACAACAAAACTCAAACCTGTCCCACCAAAATGGCCTCTGGATGGAGGTCTGCTCCGCTAAGCCCCGCCCTTGAACAGTGTGTATCAGGATCACTTGGTAGGTTTATTGAAACACAAATTGCTGGGCCCTGCTCCCATGGTTTCTGATGTAGGTCACTGCAGGGGGCCTGAGAAATTGCATTTCTTTTTTTTTTTTTTTTGAGAGTTTTGCTCGTTACCCAGGCTGGAATGCAATGGCGCAATCTCGGCTCACCGCAACCTCCGCCTCCCAGGTTCAAGCGATTCTCCTGCCTCAGCCTCCCGAGTAGCTGGGATTACAGGCATGTGACACCACACCTGGCTAATTTTGTATTTTTAGCAGAGGAGGCGTTTCTCCATGTTGGTCAGGCTGGTCTCAAACTCCTGACCTCAGGTGATCCACCCATCTTGGCCTCCCAAAGTGCTGAGATTACAGGCGTGAGCCACCGTGCCCAGCCTGAGAAATTGCATTTCTAGTAAGTTCCTGGATGATGCTGATGCTGCTAGCCTAGAAAGCACACTTTGAGAATCCAGTCCCAGAACTCTGGATTTTGTGAATTTCAGCACCAATTCACCCACACTCCTCTCTTCCTATTGTGGGAAGCATGACTATGTAGGACAGTTGCAGACAAAAAGTGGTTTATTTAGCACCCACTATGTACCAGGCACTTGGGAGGTATTTTCTCACACTTTCGCTTTCCATCCTCACAATATCCCTTATGAGGTAGGGACTACCCTCATTTTTACAGGTGAGGGAACTGAGGCTTAGATGTTGACAGACCCATCCAAGGTGACCCAGCTGGTAATGGTAGACTTCATCCTGCTACACAGTATTTAAGGGGCCTAAACCATAAACAATTTTTAAAAATTTGGGAAAGTCACACATAAAGGAGATGTTTCAATACCTTCTCTCTCCAGGTATGAACAGTATTGAGCAAGACCCACAGGGCAGCAATAATCATTTATCCTGATGAAAGGTTCCTCTGTGAAAGGTAAGGGGGTTGGGGGAGACCTAAAGCCTTCTGCAGACCCACATTTAAATGAGCTGACAGTCCCAGCAGGACTACAGAGGAACCAGCTAGGGGAAGCTGCCAGGATCTTAGACGTGAAATTAAAAGGAGATCATGCTTCTTACCCAGGAAGTGGGGAATTCAGTTGACCCTTGAAAAAACTGAATAAATTAACATGGGGAAAGGCTAATTACCATGCCCAGTGCTGGGGTGGAGAAACAGAGTGGCCAAGGTTGTAGCAGCTTGGGCACCTGCTGAGGCCCCATTCAGCGGGAGAGCCACCAGTTGGGAGTGTGGACATGTATGGCCCTACCAGCTCTAAGCAGGAGCTGGTAAGGGACTTCCCAAATGCAAACCCTTGGTGAATATTCTAGCAGTGAGAGGAGGTGAGCACCAGACCACTGGACAAGAGAGGTCAGAGTCATACATAGCAATCTGGACAGGAAATGGCATGAGGAGCTGTGAGTAATCTGGGGGCTATGGCTAGAAAAACAGGGCACGAGCTGGGGCTGAGAAGAGGTGAGCATCCATCAAGCTGAAAGGTGGGACTCAAGCCCCCTCAGCACTGTGACCCCGTTCCTGTACACCAAGCTCTAGTTGGTGAATGAGGTCCCCTGGACCAAGAGGAAGAGAAAGGCCCAGATGCTTTCTCACTGTCTCTGCTATAGCCTAAAAACCTGAACTTTTCTATAGTTCCCTTCTTGAGCCTTGGTGGGTTTTATTTTTCCTTACTGCCTCCAGAAGAAGCTTGAGAACCAAAGGATGTTTCAGTGGATGTGGGGCTCCTTTCTCTCATCAGAAGCTTCCCCATGGCAAGAGGAATGACTGCCAGGGCATCATTAACTATGGATCTAGAGAATAAGGTCTCAAAATATGCAGTGAACTGTCACCACACTATGTCCCCCACCAAGGGATATATACATGGCCCTGCCCTATGAGGGACCGGTGCCCCCTCATCTGGCCTGAGACAGATGCTGGAGCCCAAGTCCCAGGATGTCCCAGCCCTTTGAAGGGTCCTGGGGCTTGAGAGGATGGGGCCTTCTACTCTGAGTCTGGGAGAGGGGCTGGTTGGGGTGGCTTCGGTGACATGAAGGATAATGCAAGAGTGGAGACAGGCCAGGGGACCTCAAAGCAGTGCTTCGAGGGCACCTGAGGGAAGGTAGGCCTGAGGGTGCCAGCTCAGCATGGGGAAGTGGCTGGAGGGCCCCAGGTGACAGAGGTGGTGCACAGATTCCTCCTCGCTGACCCTGCTGAGAAGGGAGAGAGAAGGGCACCAGATCCTTCTTTTAAGCAGGAGAGCCCATGCCTCTCATTCCACCCATCCTTCCCCGCCCCCTCCTTAGCCACCTGAGGCTTGGTATTGCAGTCCCAGCCAATTCTCCCTGATACCCGCCTCAGCATGACAGTGTGCCTGGCCCCCTTACCAGTGTGAGGTGGAGAAGGCAAGAGCGGAGCTCTCGGGCTGCGTCAGGCTGGGACCCACCTCTCAGAGTTTCCTGAAACACAGCAGCTGCCTCTCTGAAGCGCTTTGGTCCCAGAGGGATCAGAAAGAAAAGATTAGGTGTCAAGGTGCTTAAAAGTACCCTTTCTAAAACTGGCCCCTGCTCCTAGTACCACAACCATTGTGACACTTTGGTACTAGAAGCTTATCTAGAAAGTCAACATAGACCCTCTCCCCACTCCATCCCACTCAAATCTCTCCTGTTTCCAGCCCCAGACCTATTACCTGTAGTCCCATCAAGGCCTTGCCCAGGCGGAAGAGGCCCCGGGGCCAGCCAGGCCGTAGGGTAAGGGCCACCTGGGCATCAGCCAGGGCCCACGCTGGCTGACCCAACCGCTCATGGCAGAAGGAACGATTTCCAAATAACCTGATAAAGACAGAAGGTGGCCAAAGGTCTGAGTCCTCAACACTCTGCCCTGCCCTGGCCAAGCCCCCACCTACCGGTGGTCCTGGGGGTTGAGCTTCAAGGCCTGGGTGAAGAGGACCACGGCCTCATGGTAGAAACCATTTTGAGCAAAGCTGGTACCCAACTCTGGAAAGGAAAGAGGGTGAGAAGGTTCAGATGGGGCTACCCCAGGGAGGGTGGGGTGAGGACGGAGAGAGAAAGGATCTCACTTGCCAGTTCCTGGCTCTGTTGTAAGGCAGCTGCCAGCAGTCCCGGAGATGCCTGGGGATAGGGTGCAAAGTCAAGCAGGTCTTGAGGTCTCAGCCTCCCCAAATCCTTCTCCTTTGTTTAAACAGGTAACACTGCAATTAGCATTACCCAACTCATGTAATCCTCATGACAGCCCTACAAGATGGTATCAGCCCTATCTTCCTAGACAGGAAACCACCCGGGGTCATGGTGACAGTGATGGGGCCTGACTGTAGGTCTCTTGACCCTAGAGCCAGAGAACTCCCACTGGACCCTGTGTCAATCCTTAGACCCTGTGCCTCCCCAGCAGCTCCTTGTGCCCCTTCCACGGTTCCAGCTGAATAAGGTTCTTCAGCCACCTCACCTGTACCTTTGGACTCTGCTGGGGCCTCTCCTCTCTTGGAGGGCTCTCTTCCTCTTGACCCATCTTCTGGAGGGCCAGACCCCTGCCTTGGGGCTCCTGGTTCAGTCCCTTCTCTCTGCGGGCACTGAGGGGCCAATCCCCAACCTTGCGCAAAGCCAGAGACACAAAAGTGCTAGATAGATCCAGTGAGTCCTGTGAACAAAATGGAAAGTTAGGGAGGGGGTGGGGATGAAGTACATTCTGGAGGAGGAGGAGGAAAATGAGCAGAGACCAAGAAGGGAAAAAAGGGGCTCTCACCTCTTCTTCACCACACTGTCCCTGAACTGGGTTTCCAGGGCTGGATGGGGGGCTCTCATCTCCATCTGAGGTAGTGCTGGCCTGGAAGAAAGATAGACAGGTACAGAGTTGGGATCACCTTGAGCTGCCTGCTTTCTTGGCCCTCACCTTCCTGGCACTTGGTGCTCTTAGTACCTGCCCTAGATACTCACCTTGGGCTCCCCACAGTACTGCTCCAAACGCTCCTGTCGCTTCCGTTCCTTTTGACGCTGCAATAGTAATGGTAACAATGATGTATTTTGAACACTTACTGTATGTCGTGTGCTGGGCTAAGATTTCGCATTCCATCTTTGCAGCTCTATGAGACAGGCATCATTATTATCCTCATTTTGCAGGTGAAAAAGCAGACAAGAGAGGCACCAGCAAGAGGCCTCATGTAAGGAGGCAGATTCCTACCTAGGCAGCACAGTAGGATTCCAGAACCACTGCACCAGATGGCCTGTGAGAGACCCCCCAGTCCCTGGGCCCCTTGTGTCCTCCTGGCAAGAGAGTCCACTGCAGGCCATCTTGAGCTCTCTCCTGTTCCCACAAAGTTTCCTCTTTCCCTCTCCCAAATCCCTTTGGCTCCCCTGCACCCTCCAGCCATGCTCTAGCCACCTTCTTCTTGAGTCGCTTTTTCTCTGCTTTCTGTTTCATGCGCTCCTCCTCAGCCACCAGCTCCTCAGCCAGGCGATTGGCTTCCTGAAGGACGAAGGGCAGGTGACAGAAAAAGAGAGAAACAGGGAAATGGAGAGCAAACATGAAAGGGGGCAGGCAGTATAGAAGGATCTTGAAAGGTACCAATTAGGGGAGAATATAGGGATGGGGATACAGGGATTGAAAGAACCCTGGGGGACGGCAAAGCCCTCTCCTGAGAATCTCACCTCTTCTGTCACCAGGAGCTTCTGGGGCATGGCCACCTGAAGCAGGCTGTCTGAGACACTGGGGAAGGTGGCAGAGGCAGAGGGGCTTTGAGGGCAGGGCTCAGACTCTTGGGGAGGATACAGGAAGGACTTGCGGAGACCACAGTAGGTGCCCAGTCCCTCAGCCCCCTTGCCCCTGTCACTCTGTCCAGTTGATTTCCCTTCATCATCCAAGTGGCCCAGGAGGTAATCTGTCAGGAGGGAGAAAGAGACAGGAAAGAAAGGACATGAGAGCGGGGTGCATCTGAGGGTCAGCCCTCCCAGGGTACCAGCCTCGATCCCTGGGCCCGGTCCCTGCACTCCCCACCATGGTGCCACAGCTGCAGCCGCCCGCTGCTCCCATCCACATGGATCCGGTGCAGGCCCTGGGGATCACTCTCCACAAGCCGTCGAAGAAAATCCACTATGTCCTGGGAGGGGAGGGGAGGGGAGGGGAGGCTGGTGTTGGGGGCAGTTCCTGGAGAGAGCAAGGGCTTCGCTGGCTTGATCTCTCCACCATGGCAGCCACCAACCAGCTATCCAGCCCAGAGACTCTCACTGGCTCTGACCTCTCCCTCCTCAGCACCGCAAAATCTGCTGCCCCCAGCTATTGTAGTGAATCACCTCCCCTCGCTGCTTTCCTGCCTTCCCAAGGGTTGAGTATGGTATTCAACCTGGCCTCCTCTACCATCCAGGATCTTCTCTCCTCAACCTGAGTTAGCCACACTGAGGCCCCTGGAATGAAGCCCTCCCACCTGCTCTTCCAGCTAGGCCCCCTGTCATATCTGCAGTATGAACAGCTCCACATAACCCACCCTGAGGCTAGCTCACACCTAAACAAGTACAGCAGCTCCTGGCTGGCCGCTCCTCTGCACCTCATCTGTTTCTCCACAAAACTAAGCTCTAAGAAATTACTTCCCTACTCAGGGACATCCAATAATCCCCCACTGCCAAGGCCATAGGCAGAGTTGAACCTAATTCCTCAGCCTACGATTCAGAGCCTTCCAAAAGGCTCCCAGGCTGACCTTTCCAGCCCTCCTTTTAATCCTCCCCTGCTTCACTGCTGTCCTCCCTCCCACCACCAGGCTCCCTCCAGCCTTGGGGCCTTCCCCCAGCTGCTCTCCAATCCCTCCTAACTCTTGAGCTTCTTTCTCACATCTTGCCTCACCTTCAAGGTCCAGTTCAAATTCTATCTCCCTTCAAAGCCTTCCCAGACCCTTTCATCTCCAATTATCTCTGCCTCCTCCAACTAACCTGCAACCACATTATCTGTGTTACACAATTTAGAAACTTGTTATTGATTGCTTTCTATTGCTCTCCTCATTGGCCAGGCAGCATGGAATTCCAAAGGGCATTGTGCTGGAGTGGAGCCACTTGCATCTGAGGTTATTTTTTCTTTTGAGGTGGATTCTTGCTCTGTCACCCAGGCTGGAGTGCAGTGGTATGATCTCAACTCACTGCAACCTCTGCCTCCCGTGTTCAAGCGATTCTCCTGCCTCACCCTCCCAAGTAGCTGGGATTACAGGCACACGCCACAATACCATTTGTATTTTTAGTAGAGAGGCGGTTTCACCATGTTGGCCAAGTTGTCTTGAACTCTTGACCTCAAGTGATCCACCCGCCTCAGCCTCCCAAAGTGCTGGGATTGCAGGTGTGAGCCCCTGTGCCCGGCCGACTATTTTTTGTTTGTTTCTGAGACAGGGTCTTGCTGTGTTGCCCAGGCTAGACCCAAACACCTAGGCTCAAGCGATCCTCCTGCCTGAGCCTCCTGAGTAGATGGGACTTCAGGTTTGCACCATCATGTCCAGCTTGTCCAAATTTTCACTCTGACACTACCTGCCTGTTTGATTCTGGAGAAGTCATTTAACTTCTTTGGACCTCTCCCTCATTCACAAAATAAGGCAAGACTCTTTAAGGCCTGGCCCACACATTCTGTGGTCCTGATGGGAGTCATTTCCTCAGGGAGTATAAGCTTCAAAGACAGGAATGATCACATTCCTATTTGCCTAATCAGGCCTAAACAGAGCAGGACTGACTGAGACGCTTAGAAGCCAATGATCTTTTGGACTTATTGAGTTAGAAGCCACAAACTTAGAAACTCCAGCGTGCTAAAAAAAAATCTGTAGGCAGGACTTCAGATGACTAAGGTATATTCAATTTTCTAAACAATTTTAGATCCAAGGCTTCCCTCAGAAGATAGTCCTGGCTTAACAGCATCTCCAATACTGCTAGGCACTTTCATCAGTCTTATACTTAAAATTCAATTTCCTGGTGGGTTTGTGTCACCTTCCTAACTGCAACATAAGCATAAATAATGAGCCAGGTGTGGTGCGGACGCCTATAGTCCCAGCTACTCGGGAGGCTGAAATCGAAGGACTGTTTGAGCCCAGGAGTTCAAGGCTGCAGTGAACTATGATCATGCCACTGCACTGAAGCCTGGGTAACAGAGGGAGACCCTGTCTCGATAAATAAATATGGCTGGGCATGGTGGCTCACGCCTGTAATCCCAGCACTTTGGGAGGCCAAGACGGGTGGGTCACTTGAGGCCAAGAGTTTTAGACCAGCCTGGCCAACATGGCGAAACCCCATCTATACTAAAGATACAAAAATTAGCTGGGCATGGTGGCACATGCCTGTAGTCCCAGCTACTCAGGAGGCTGAGGCACGAGAATTGCTCGAACTTGGGAGGCAGATGTTGCAGTAGCCAAGATCACACCACTGCACACCAGCCTGGGTGACAGAGTGAGACTCTGTCTCATAAAAATAAATAAATTAATTAATTAATAATAAATAAATAAAGCATGCTCTCTGCCCCATGTCAGGCAGCCTCCTCAGGATGTGCCACTCAAATATATACTGTATTTCTTCTCTCTTCCTCCTCAAACCAGTGTAGTCATCATTAAAAATAAAAAATAAAAATAAATTTAAAAAAATAAAAAGCCGGGTGCAGTGGCTCACACCTGTAATCCCAGCAATTCGGGAGGCCAAGGCAAGCAGATCACTTGAGGTCAGGAGTTCGAGACCAGCCTGACCAACATGGTGAAACCCGTCTCTACTAAAAATACAAAAATTAAGCAGGTGTGGTGGCACGCATCTGTAATCCCAGCTACTTGGGAGGCTGAGGTAGGAGAATTGCTTGAAACTGGGAAGTGGAGGTTGTGGTGAGCCGAGATCTCGCCACTGCACTCCAGCCTGGGCAACAGAGCGAGACTACGTCTCAAAAAAACAAACAAACAGGTACTTCCTTGACCTTCTACTACCTGTCCCCAAACCACAGTCTGTGCTGCTCTCTGAATTCACTACATGGCCACTACATATGATCTGGTCCCCCAATATCATTGTGAATCTTCTCCTATCTTGTTACCCTCCTCCAGCCACAGCAGTGTCCTTGGAAGTTCCCACAACATACCAACTGTGCTCCCATCTTAGGGCTTTGCACTTTACTTTGCCTAGAATGCTTTTTCCCCAGTGAACAGCTCACTCCTTCGTCCTTTTTAGATCTCTATGTAAATGTCACTTTCTCAGAGAGGCCTTCTCTGAACACTCCTTTTTTTTTTTTTTTGAGGTGGAGTTTCGCCCTTGTTGCCCAGGCTGGAGTGCAATGGCATGAACTTGGCTCACCGCAACCTCCGCCTCCAGGGTTCAAGTGATTCTCCTGCCTCGGCCTCCAGAGTAGCTGGGATTACAGGCATGCACCACCATGCCCAGCTAATTTTGTATCTTTTAGTAGAAACGGGGTTTCTTCATGTTGGTCAGGCTGGTCTCAAACTCCTGACCTCAGGTGATCCATGTGCCTCAGCCTCCCAAAGTGCTGGGATTACAGGCGTGAGCCACCACACTTGGCCTGACCACTACTTTTAGAAGGAGAAACTTCCCAACTCCACTCAGCACTCCCTATCCTCCTTCTTGCTTTTTCTTTGTACTTCTCATGTTTGACATACTATGTTGTTTATTTATTTGGTCACTGGTTGCCCTCATTAGATGCTCCTAATTTGTTGAACAGAAAGATTTTGGTCTGTTTGATTTACTGCTGTTTCTCAGTACCTACAACAGTATCTAGTACATAGGTGGTATTGTGTGTGTGCTGAGTAAACAGAGATTGGTGAGGAGGCTATTCCAATAGAGACAGAGCCAGGAACTGTGTGTGAAGAAACATGTGTGACACAGTGAGTGTGAACTTTTTTTTTTTTTGAGACGGAGTCTAACCCTGTCTCCAGGCTGGAATGCAATGGCGCAACCTTGGCTCACTGCAACCTCCATCTCCTGGGTTCAAGCAATTCCCTTGCCTCAGCCTCCCAAGTAGCTGGGACTATAGGCGCCCACCACCATGCCCAGCTAATTTTTTGTATTTTAGTAGAGACGGTGTTTCACCATGTTGGCCAGGATGGTCTCCATCTCCTGACCTCATGATCCGCCTGCATCAACCTCCCAAAGTGCTAGGATTACAGGTGTGAGCCACTGCGCCTGGCCGTGAGTGTAGACTTTATCTTGTCAGTGATAGCAGTGGACTTGATCTGGGGAATGAAACAATCAAATGAAATAGTGCTGAGACGGCCAGGCATGGTGGCTCAAGCCTGTAATCCCAGCACTTTGGGAAGTCAAGGAGGGTGGATCACCTGAGGTCTGGAGTTTGAGATCAGCATGACCAACATGGAGAAACGCAATCTGTACAAAAATACAAAATTGGGCCAGGTGCGGTGGCTCACGCCTGTAATCCCAGCATTTTGGGAGGCTGAGGTGGGCGGATCACAAGGTCAGGAGATCGAGACCAGCCTGGCTAACATGGTGAAACCCTGTCTCTACTAAAAATACAAAAAATTAGCCAGGCGTGGTGGCAGGCGCCTGTAGTCCCAGCTACTCGGGAGGCTGAGGCAGGAGAATCACTTGAACCCGGGAAGCAGAGGTTGCGGTGAGCCAAGATCACACCATTGCACTCCAGCCTGGGCAACGGGAGCAAAACTCCATCTCAAAAAAAAAAAAAAAAAAGAAATACTGCTCAGGGGAAGATGAGGCTATGGATGTAATGTTTAGTTCAGGCCAGATACAAGGAGTCTTGATATAAGGGAATGGCAGCAAGACCAGGAACGGAAATGAGGGGCTTCTGTCAAGAGACATTTAGAAGTAGATTTTAGTGGCCGGCATGGTGGCTCATGCCTGTAACCCCAGCACTTTGGGAGGCCGAGATGGGTAGATCACAAGGTGAGGAGTTTGAGACCAGCCTGGCCAATATGGTGAAACCCCTCTCTACTAAAAATACAAAAATTAGCTGGGCGTGGTGGTGGGTGTCTGCCATCTTAGCTACTCAGTAGGCTGTGGCAGGAAAATTGCCTGAATCCGGGAGGAGGAGGTTGCAGTGAGTAGAGATGGCGCCACTGCACTCCAGCCTGGGCGACAGTGTGAGACTCTGTCTCAAAAAAAAAAAAAAAAAAAAGTAAATTTTAGTGACTAACTAAATGTTTGAGGTAAAAGAAAGGGATATAAAATGATTATCAGATTTCCAGATTAAACAACTAGATGAAAGTTTGTGTTATTAACCAAAATTGGGATTAGAAGAAAAGCAACCAATTTACAAACATGATAAATTAATTTAACAAAAGTTAATTAAATTAACTTTTGGGTTTGAGTTTGAGATTCTAGGGAGTATAGCGCCTCAATGCTTCCAAATCTGATCCTGTCCCTCCTTCGAAAACCCTGCTGTCTACCGGGCATGGTGGCTCACACCTGCAATCCCAGCACTCTGGGAGGCCAAGGCGGGCGGATCACGAGGTCAAGAGATCGAGACCATGCTGGCCAACATGGTGAAACCCAGTCTCTACTAAAAATACAAAAATTAGCTGGGACTGGTGGCATGTGCCTGTAGTCCCAGCTACTCAGGAGGCTGAGGCAGAAGAATTGCTTGAACCAGAGAGGCGGAGGTTGCAGTGAGCCAAGATCACACCACTGCACTCCAGCCTGGGCGACAGAGTGAGACTCCATCTTAAAAAAAAACAAAAAACAAAAAAACTCTGTTGCCTACTTGAGAACATCCAAACCCCTGTGCTAAGTCAAAGCCTTTCAAGCCATCTGCTGCCTTCTCTCCCACCCCATCTTTTACTGTTCCAACCAGATTCTCTACTCTGGTCTCACTTTGGTAAAGTTCTCTCAACTTTTCCTTGTTTTACTGTCTTTGCTCACACTGTCCCCTCCATCTATAAAAAGATATTTTTTCATTTTTTTTTTGAAATGGAGTCTCCCTCTGTTGCCCAGGCTGGAGTGCAGTGGTGTGATCTTGGCTCACTGCAACCTCTGCCTCCCGGGTTCAAGCGATTCTCCTGCCTCAGTAACCCCAGTGACTGGGATTACAGGCGCACACCACCACGCCCAGCTAGTTTTTCGTATTTTTGGTAGAGATGGCGTTTCACCATGTTGGCCAGGCTGGTCTCGAACTCCCGACCTCAAGTGATCCGCCCCCCTAGGCCTCCCAAAGTGCTGAGATTACAGGTGTGAGCCACTGGGCCCAGCTTTTTTTTTTTTTTAGACAGAGTCTCACCGTTCCCCAGGCTGGAGTGCAGTGGCACGATCATGGTTCACTGAAACCTTGACCTCCCGCGCTCAAGAGATCCCCCACCCACCACGCGGGCTAAATTTTTTAAAAACATTTTTGTAGAGATGGGGTCTCACTATGTTGCCCAGGCTGGTCTCTAACTCCTGGGCTCAAGCAATCCTCCCGTCTCAGCCTCCCAAAGTGTTGAGATTACAGGCACAAGCCACCGCGCCCGGCCTCCATCTTTTCCCAAGGAACTCGTACCCACTCCCTAATCCTCAACTCAGAGACCCTTGTCTGCTCAATTCTACCCACTTCGAGCATCTGTTACATCAGGATCATCCTCCTGATCCCCTGCCCCTCACTTGCCTAAGATCCTCAAGGGCATGGCCGGAGACTACAACTCCCCAAAGCCTCCAGAGCCCCGTCTGGCGCCCATCCGTCGCGGGTTTCTGCACAGCTGACTTCAAAGAGGCGTGACCAAAATGAGCAGGACTGGGGGAAACTGAGGGTCGCTTTTACCTCTTCGCCGTAATCCTCTGGACCGAATTCCTTGCAAAGTTTGGGTGCAGCAGCGACCTCCAGTGGGCAGCTGGGCCGTAGAGAGCAGTCTACAGGAAAGGAAGGCGGAGCCTCGTCAGCGGGCTCGGGACAGATGGGCTAGAGTCCTCCCCACTCTACCCTCGACTCTCCGCCCTCTGCATAAAATCCTACTCGAAACGTTCAGACCACAGGTGGACCCAAGAGGGGCTGCCTCTGCCCTCCTAGACCCCCACTGGTCTTGTCATACCGCTCACCTAGCTTGATCCGCCCCACAGTCTTTGGAATCGGCGCCATCGCATCTACAGTGACCCGGAAATGAAAGGTAGTCTAGTATTTGATACCAGCCAAAGGGCGGGGTGGGACAGAGTGGGCGGCCATGTTTGTTAGGGGCAGAAGCCTCCCATTACGGAGCACGAGAGAGTCCATGAAGGTCCCCGCGACTCCCGGACTGGAGAAAACGGCTCTTGCGATGGGGCGAAGTCCGAGCTGCGGCGGGCGTTGGTCCGTGCAGGGAAGTGGGAATCGTTAGGTTCGTTCTGGACCCGCCGCCCCATGGCCCAGGCGTCTCGCTCAGGTAGCCTGCCTCCACTCGTTATCGTGCCCCCGCTGAGGGCGCAACCCGGGGGCACTGGGGAGGAGCAGTGGGAGAGAAGTCGAACGGGCGGTCTTCGCTGGGAGGTTCACTGCTGGCCGAGCGGAACTTCTGGAGGGACGCCGTGGTGGCCGACGCCGGCGGATGTGAGCGAGGACTACGAGGCTGATGCTGCGGCCTGGAGGCGGGGGCCCGCAGGTGGCGGCCCGATCCCTCCCGCGCTGCAGCGTCTCCGGGCGGTGTTGCTGCGGCTGCATCGCGAGCGGGAGCAGCTCCTCCAGGCCCGAGACTGCGCCTACCACCTACAGTCGGCTGTGCGACTCATGAAGACCCTGAGTCCTGGCTCGCCATCCGGCGGCCCTAGCCCCTTGCCCCAGTGGTGCCGCGACCTGCAGCTGCACCCTTCCCAAGGGGCGGTTCTGCGAATCGGCCCTGGGGAGACTCTCGAGCCGCTGCTGCTAGCGCGCCCCATCGGACTAGCCGCCCAGTGCCTGGAGGCTGTCATCGAGATGCAGCTTCGCGCTCTCGGCCGGGAGCCCGCCAGCCCGGGCCTGTCGTCCCAACTCGCCGAGCTGCTCTTTGCACTTCCCGCCTACCACACACTACAGAGAAAAGCCTTGAGCCACGTCCCAGGGGCCGCACGTCCTTTCCCCACGTCCCGTGTGCTCCGCCTCTTGACGGGGGAGCGGGGTTGCCAGGTGGCAAGTCGGCTGGACGAGGCGCTCCAAGGATCGGCGTTGAGGGACCAGCTCCGCAGGCGGTGCCAAGAGGAGGGGGATCTGCTACCAGGGCTGCTGGGCCTGGTCGGGGGCGTGGCGGGTTCAGCCAGCTGTGGACTAGGGCTCGGAGGGGCTGGGGCCTTGTGGAGCCAATACTGGACCCTGCTGTGGGCAGCCTGTGCTCAGAGTCTGGACCTAAATCTGGGACCCTGGAGGGACCCCAGGGCAACAGCGCAACAGCTGAGTCAGGCACTGGGTCAGGGTGAGTGATGGGCTTGGGTGGGCGTTTGGGAAGGCTGGGGTCTCTTCCTTCCCCTTGGCCAACTCACTGACCTGCCATCCTGAAGGCAAAAGCAGGCCCTTTAGAAAGAACACCCCTGGGTTCAGACTATAGCTTCTGAGCTTTCAAGGCAAAGTCTTGCTTTCCACCCCAGTCCCGAGTCTTGGAGGAAGCATGCCTTCTTGCCTCATCATTGAGTGGGCAGGGGTTGTGGAAAGTGAGACCTTGTTTTCAGGCCCCAGAGTCATTTCTCCCACTAGCATCCCTGCCTCAGGAGTGTGAGAAGGAGCTGGCATCTTTGTGTCACAGACTACTTCATCAGTCGCTTATCTGGAGCTGGGACCAAGGTGAGAAGGAAGGGGCACTGGGGGTGACATAAGTCCCAGGTTACCGCTTCCCCACCACACTATACTCTCTCATCCTCAGGTTTCTGCCAGGCCTTGGGATCAGCTCTTGGGGGTCAGAGCAGCCTTCCCACATCCTCTGGCACTGCTGAACTTTTGCAGCAGCTCTTTCCTCCTCTCTTGGATGCCCTTCGAGAGCCCAGGTTACGACGGATTTTCTGCCAGCCTGCAGGTGAGACGAGGGGCTGGGGCTGGGGACACAGAGCAGTTGAGGATATCTCTTTTCTTTCACTCTGTTCTGAAATCTGCCTCTTCCCAAAGGTACTCCATGACCCCTAAGATACTCACTCTGCTGCTCAAATCCCCAGATCCTGCGCCTGTCGCCCTAGGTCTCTGTACCCTTCAGACCACCTTGCTCTGGTTCCTGGGCAGAGCTCAGCAGTACTTGGCAGCATGGGACCCAGCTTCCTTCCTGCTCCTGATCCAAAAGGACTTACCTGTGAGTGGCTGGGGAGTAGGGAGGGGAGCAGCCTGAGCTAGGCTGAGCCCTCACTCCCTGTTTCCACCCAAAGCCTCTGTTGCATGAGGCAGAAGCTTTGTATAGCCTGGCCTCAGAGGAAAGCTTAGCTCTGGAAGTGGAGCAGCAGCTGGGCCTGGAGATCCAGAAGCTGACTGCACAGATCCAGGTGAGAACAGGGGCCTCAACAGTGGCAGTGTAAGACCCTATGTTCTGTGCCAAGTATCGGGGGTGGGAAGAGTAGAACATCTCAGTAACTTGGAATCTCCTTGGAGTCTCTGCTAAATGTATCTTTTTTTGCTCTGTTCATTTTTTGTTCTCTTTAACTTTTTTTTTTTTTTTTTTTTGAGACAGGGTCTCACTTTGTCACCCAGGCTGGAGTGCAGTGGCACAATCTCAGCTCACTGCAGCCTCTACCTTCTGGGCTTAAACGGTCCTCCCACCTCAGCCTCCCTAGTAGCTGAGACTACAAGCTCGTGCCACCACACGTGTCTAACTTTTGAATTTTTTTAGTAGAGACAGGGTTTCACCATGTTGCCCAATCTGGTCTCGGACCCTTGAGCTCAAGTGATCCATCCACCTTGGTCTCCCAAAGTGCTGGGATTACAGGCATGCGCCACCATGCCTGGCCCCTTTAACATTTTACTATGGAAAATTTCAAACATGTACAAATGTAGAGAGAGGTGTATAATGGACTCCCATATGTCTGTCACCAAGCATTTAACAATTATCAACTCATGGTCAATTTCATCTGTGTATCCCCTACCCTCTCCCCAGTAATGCCAGACTCTCGTTTTTGATGGCAACAGTGGATCATTGCCTCGATTCATTATTTCATTAGAGGTTGTAAAGTGGTAACATTTCAATTCTCATCATTCCTACTTCATTTATGAGTTGGATTACTCCTATGAAGAAAAACTTGCCTTCATTAATGATTTGGTTACTCTTAGGTATATTTTAGAGAGAAAATTCAGGATAAATGATTGCATCTTTCTCTTTACTTACCAGTTATCGGCACATTTCTCCTCTCTTAAAAGTTTAATTTGTATTTTTATTAATGCTTTGGGAGGCCAAGGCAAGAGCATTGCTTGAGGCCAGGAGTTCGAGACCACCAGGGGCAACATAGCGAGACCACCCTAGGCAACACAGACTCCCATCTCTCCAAAAATTAAAAAATTTAGCTGAGCATGGTGGCATGCGCCTGTACTCCCAGCTACTTGGGAGGCTGAGGCAAGAGGATCGTTTGAGCCCAGGAGGTCAAGGCTGCAGTAAGCTGTGATAGCCACTGCATTCCAGCCAGCCTAGGCAATACAGTGAGAGACCCTGTCTCAAAAAATAAAATAGTGCATGTCTATAGTTTAAAAAGTGAAATAGAATATTATTTTATAAAACTAATGAAAAAACAGCACTTTGTTTGCCCTCACTCACCTCTGATTTCTATTTCACAGTAGTAACCTTCATCCATGTTTGCCTGTTTCTCCTAACATTTTCTTATATGTTTATGAATAAAGCCATTATACTTTTTCTTCCCCATTTTGCACATTTATCTATTCCTATGTGGAAGATGTCTGGTTTTTTGTTTTCCTGCTCAGTTTTCTCCTCTTTGCCCCGAATAGGGGTGTGGCTGTAGAGTTCAGTCCTTAACTCTCTGCTTTTCTCTCAGTATTCCTGCTTACCCACAGTGTCTTGCTGCTGTGAACTCCCGGGTTCAGTCTTTCTGGCTCCCAGAGTTCTTTTTTTTTTTCTAAGATGGGGTCTCACTGTCACCCAGGCTGGAGTGCAGTTATGTGATCTTGGCTCACTGCAACCTCCACCTCCTGGGCTCAAGCAATCCTCCCACCTCAGCCTCCTGAGTAGCTGGAACCACAGGTGGAAGCCACAATGCCCAGCTACTTTTTTTTTTTTTTTTTTTGAGAAGGTGTCTCACTCTGTCACCCAGGCTGGAGTGCAGTGGCGTGATCTCTACTCACTGCAACCTCCACCTCTCAGGTTCAAGTGATTCTCCTGCCTCAGCCTCCTGAGTGGCTGGGATTACAGGCGCCTGCCACCACGCCCAGCTAGTTTTTGTATTTTTAGTAGAGATGGGTTTCACCATGTTGGCCAGGCTGGTCTGGAACCCTTGACCTCAGGTGATCCACCCACCTCAGCCTCCCAAAGTGCTGGGATTATAGGTGTGAGCCACCACACCCGGCCAATGCCCAGCTACTTAAAAAAATTTTTTTTTTTGTAGAGACAAGGTTTTGCCATGTTGCCCAGGCTGGTCTTGAACCCTTTTTAAAAATCTTTTTAAAAAACTTTTTTGGGAGGCCAAGGTGGGTGGATCGCCTGAGGTCAGGAGTTCAAGACCAGCCTGCCCAACGTGGTGAAACCCCGTCTCTACTAAAAATACAAAAAAGTAGCCGGTATGGTGGCAGGTGCCTGTAATCCTAGCTACTTCTGAGGCTGAGGCAGGAGAATCGCTTGAACCTAGGAGGCGGAAGTTGCAGTGAGCCGAGATAGCGCCATTGCACTCCAGCCTGGGCAACAAGAACAAAAATTCTGTCTCAAAAAAAAAACAGAAAACAAAAAAATTTTTTGTCCAGGTGCAGTGGCTCACACCTGTAATCCCAGCACTTTGGGAAACCGAGGCAGGTGGATCATCTGAGGTTAGGAGATCAAGACCGGCCTGGCCAACATGGTGAAACCCTGTCTCTTCTAAAAATACAAAAATTAGCTGGACATTGTGGTGTACACCTGTAATCCCAGCTACTCGGGAGGCTGAGGCAGGAGAATCACTTGAATCCGGGAGGCGGAGGTTCCAGTGAGTCGAGAGCGTGCCATTGCATTCCAGCCTGGGCAACAGAGTGAGACTCAAAAAAAAAAAAGTATATATATATATTTTATTTATATTATATCTATATATATTTTATTTATATTATATCTATTTATATATATATATATTTTTTTTTTAATTAGAAGTTTGGCTCGTGACATAGCCCTCAGGAGATCTGAGAACATGTGCCCTGTTCTTGAACTCTTGAGCTCAAGCAATCCACCGCCTTGGCCTCCCAAAGTTCTGGGATTACAGGCATGAGCCTCCACACCCAGCCTGGCTCCCAGAGTTCTAGTTAAACATCTGCATTTGCCTGTTGGGCATTTCTACCTCAGTTTACTGCTGTCTACTTAAACTCAACATGCCCCAGAGCAGGCTCATCATGAGTACTGCACACAGTGACGGTCATAGAGCCCTGAGGAAGGAAGGCTATAGTGGGCATGTGGTTAAAGAACGCTCCATACATGGCCTATGGCTGGAGATGGTGGCTGGGAAGCCTCAGAGGAGTGGCTGGGGTTACTGGAAGTGGGCAGTTTGTAGATCCTTGTGGGGGTAGCAGAGAGGTGGCCTTACCAGAGCAGAGGTTCCTTTTGTGGGTATGTTCACTGGGGTTGGGTGTGGGGTAGGGTAGTAAGCAATTTGGCATCAAATTGTGGAGGGCATGAACACCAGCCCCAACAATTTGCGCTTTACCTCATAAGTGAGGGGGTGACATTTTAAGAGCAGAAGGGTGTAATCCCAGCATTTCGGGAGGCCGAGATGGGTGGATAACTTGAGGTCAGGAGTTTGTGACCAGCCTGGCCAACATGGTAAAACCCCATCTCTACTAAAAATACAAAAATTAGCCAGGCATGGTGACGGGTGCCTGTAATCCCAGCTGCTCAGAGGCTGAGGCATGAGAATCGGTTGAACCCAGGAGGCAGAGGTTGCAGTGATCTGAGATTGCGCAACTGCACTCCAGCCTGGGCAATAAGAGCGAAACTTGGTCTCAAAAAAAAAAAAAGAGGCATTGTGAGTTTTCTTCCTGTTTGGACTATAAGATCCCAGTGGGTGGGGGAGAGACTGTCACACACTCTGCACCTTGTATTCCCTCAGTGTTGAGTACAGAGGCTCCTAACAAAAGTCCGTTGACAAAAGGGCAATTTCCTTGACATAAATAAGGGAGGAGAAGGGGGCTTGCATTTACTGGAGAAGAGAGGAAGATTTTGGATTTAGACAGGTTGTCAGATGTGCCAGGAGCCATATGGGCTCCACTCCATGTCTGGCCGCCCCCAGGTCTATCCTGTCTTCAGGCTCCCTGGCATCTACCATTTCTTTACAGAGCAGCTGCCATTAACCACATTTACTGGGGTTCCTCTCCCTCAAGATGGGCTGTAGAGCAGAAACCAGCTTTATTGCTGTGTTCTCTCCCTCCAAAAACAACCTATCAAACCAAAGAAACAAACCCAGCATATAGGCCTTTTCTTGCTTTATGGGTTATATTGCTCTGGAGTGGGCTGTGAAGAATAATAATATATAATAATGCCTTTCAATGTAAGGACATTCCAAAACTTCCTGAGTCTCAGAACATTCAAATAGTCATTGCTTCTGGTTTACATACAGTTCTTGTCTTCCTTTTGTAGGTGATAACCAAAAGATCATTGTAGGCTGGGTGTAGTGGCTTAGTGGCTCACATCTGTAATCCCAGCACTTTGGCAGGCAGAGGCAGGCCGATCACCTGAGATCAGGAGTTTGAGACCAGCCTGACCAACATGGCAAAACCTTGTCTTTACTAAAAATACAAAAATTAGCTGGGTGTGGTGGTGCACTCCTGTAGTCCCACCTACTTGGGAGCCTGAGGCAGGAGAATCACTTGAACCCGGGAGGCAGAGGTTGCAGTGAGCCGAGATCACGCCACTGCACTCCAGTCTGGGCGACACAGCAAGACTCTGCCTCAAAAATAAAAGGTCGTTGTAATTCCCCTTTCTTCCCTCAATTTCTGCCCATTGCAGATCATACAATCCCTCTTTCTGGCATATGCTCTGTGTGTGTGTGTGTGTGTGTGTGTGTGTGTGTGTGTGTGTGTGTGTGTGTGTGTGTGTTGCGGGGGTGGGGGCAGGGTATGTCTTTCTTTTTCCTTAAAGCTCTTGTATAGTAAAATTAACCTCAAGGATTTTCCATCTTTTGAACCAAGCTGGGGAGAGCAAGGTAATCCTAGGGCAATTGTTCATAATTTGGGTCCAGACCTCTTGGAAAACCCAATGACAACTATGGCATTGCTCCTCAAAAAATGGCCAGGCATACACAACTATGCAACAATTCTGGGGTTTTATGGATGTCAAGTTGGACATAGAGCTCCTTAGATATAGAGGATCATCATAATTTGACAAGCCCCTTTTACTTTCTCCCTATCCCTACAGCTCCTGCCTGAAGAGTCACTAAGTGTCTTTTCTCAAGAATGTCATAAACAAGCCATGCAAGGTTTCAAGCTCTACATGCCACGGGGTCGGTACTGGCGGCTTCGTCTCTGTCCTGGTAACTCCTCATCCCAGCTTCTCCTTCCAGAGTTCCAAGGGGGTAATAGTGTCTCAGCCCTTCCAAATTCCGGTTCCCCTCCACTGTCTCCATCCTTGTCCTCAGCTTCTGTACCCTTCCCTCCTGAAATCCTACCCTCTTCTCCCAAACACTCCATTTAGGGGTTCAATGGATCTCCACAGCCTTATATTCTGTCTTCTCTATTCCAGAACCTCCCAGTGCTCCTAGTGAGTATGCTGGTTTAGTGGTCCGCACCGTACTGGAGCCTGTGTTGCAAGGATTGCAAGGGTTGCCACCTCAAGCCCAGGCCCCTGCCCTTGGTCAGGCTCTGACGGCCATCGTGGGTGCCTGGCTTGACCACATTCTTACCCATGGGATTCGGTTCAGGTCAGGAGTAAAGGTGGAAGTGGCAGGGGGTGAATGGAACTGGGAAAAGGAAGGGGATAAGTGGGAGAGGCAGGAGGGTCAAGTGGCCATACTGTACCTCTGCCTTCAGCCTGCAGGGAGCGCTGCAGCTCAAACAAGACTTTGGAGTGGTCAGGGAGTTGCTGGAAGAGGAGCAGTGGAGCCTGTCCCCTGATCTCCGCCAGACCCTGCTCATGCTCAGCATCTTCCAGCAGCTGGATGGGGCCCTGCTGTGTCTGTTGCAGCAGCCCCTGCCCAAGTCTCAAGTCCACAGGAGGCCCCCCTGTTGCTGTGAGTTACTCCCCTTCGCTCACTGCTTTGTGTGTCCCAAACCCTATTCTCACCATTAATCTGGCTTCAGTATATCCCCAGCAGCCACCTACCTTCCACTCCTGCCTTACCAGGTGCTTGTCAGGAGGTCCAGACCACGAAATTGCCCAGCAGCTGCCTCAATAGCCTGGAGAGCTTGGAGCCCCCGCTCCAGCCTGGAACATCTCCAGCCCAGACAGGTCAGCTGCAAAGCACACTAGGAGGAAGGGGACCTAGCCCGGAGGGCTACCTGGTGGGAAATCAGCAGGCCTGGCTTGCCCTCAGGCAACACCAGCGACCCCGTTGGCACCTGCCGTTTTTTTCCTGCCTGGGAACCAGTCCTGAATCCTAAGGAGCCTGGGACCAGGAGCCAGAAAGTTAAGAGCTCCCCATCTCTAGCTGGAAAATCCAGACATTTGGAATTGCATATTAAGGAAGCCCAGAACTGGAAGCTTGGAGGAAAGCATACTGGAGAATAAGCTACAAAGAGCCTGGGCTTAAGAATCCAAGATTAGGGGCTGGGCGAGGTGGCTCACGCCTGTAATCCAGCACTTTGGGAGACCGAGGCAGGCGGATCATGAGGTCAGGAGATCAAGACCATCCTGGCTAACACGGTGAAACCCTGTTTCCACTAAAAATACAAAAAATTAGCCGGGCGTGGTGGCGGGTGCCTGTAGTCCCAGCTACTCGGGAGGCTGAGGCAGGAGAATGGTGTGAACCTGGGAGGCGGAGCTTGCAGTGAGCTGAGATCCAGCCACAGCACTCCAGCCTGGGTGACAGAGCAAGACTCTGTCTCAAAAAAAAAAAAAAAAAAAATCCAAGATTAGGCAGGGCATGGTGGCTCACACCTATAATCCCAGCACTTTGGGAGGCTGAGGCAGGCGGATCACCTGAGGTCGGGAGTTCCAGACCAGCCTGACCAACATGGAGAAACCCCGTCTCTACTAAAAATACAAAATTAGCCAGGTGTGGTGGCGCATGCCTGTAATCCCAGCTACTCAGGAGGCTGAGGCAGGAGAATCGCTTGAACCTAGGAGGCGAAGGTTGCGGAGAGCCGAGATTGTGCCATTGCACTCCAGCCTGGGCAACAAGGGCAAAACTTCGTCTCAAAAAAAAAAAAAAAAAAAAAAAAAATCCAAGATCACTCCAGCACCTGGAATCCAGAGTAAAGAGCAAGACCATAGCCTGGAACCTGAAGGTCAGACCCTTGGGAGGTTCAGGCCTAGTTCTCCATCACTGAAGATATCTCAGGGATAAAGAGTTGAGTGCTCGGCCAGGTGAGGGGGCTCACGCCTGCTCACGCCTGTAATCCCAGCACTTTGGGAGGCCTAGAGGGGCGGATCACGAGGTCCGATCAAGACCATCCTGGCTAACGCGGTGAAACCCCGCCTCTACTAAAAATACAAAAAATTAGCCGGGCGTGGTGGCACGCGCCTGTAGTCCCAGCTACTCAGGAGGCTGAGGCATGAGAATCGCTTGAACCCGGGAGGCAGAGATTGCAGTGAGCCGAGATCGCGCCACTGCACTCCTGCCTGGGCAACAAGAGCAAAACTTCGTCTCAAAAAAAGAAAACTGGCTAGAATGCACTTCAACTTAAGTCCTGGGAGCTACGCTAATTCATGGAGAACCACAGAGGTTTAATAGGCATTTCTATACCTGGATCAGCCCCAAGGACAGTATTACCCTGTACTGCCCTTCCTATTACTATTTTCAGTCATTTACTAATATTGGGCTGTAGTACTTTCACGTTTAAGCTTTGGCTATTCAGAGCTCACTACGTTTAATCTTCAGTTACCTGAATGGTGTTTACCTTCTGGTGTGGATCATCCCGGCTTGTGTTAGTGCTCTCTCTTTGGAAGAAGCCAGGATTTAAGATCGAGTTAGCCTAGATGTGGCCCAGCAGGGTACAGAAGGGGAAAGGCTGCAGAAAACGGGCGTATTTTCGTGCAAAGAGGTTTTTGCGCCATTTATTTATGGTTTTCACCGTCGTATGAGAGGACTATTCATGATAGGCTGTATTTGCTGACAGCCTACTTTGGGCTCCCCCATGCGTTGTGCCGAAACCACCTCTTTCTTTCCTGCCTTCCTCCGCCTGGGCTAGGAAGCCCAGAGCTGCGGTTCGCAGGCCTGCTAAGCAGCCGGCGGCCGGAAGTCTATCCCGCAGAAGCGCAGCCATTCACGGCCTCACGCAATGCGACACTTCCGCCTGCACGAGTTCTTCCGGGGCGGAGGTCACCATGGCAGCTGCCTTGGCTCGGCTTGGTCTGCGGCCTGTCAAACAGGTTCGGGTTCAGTTCTGTCCCTTCGAGAAAAACGTGGAATCGACGAGGTACGAAGGGGAAGTGGGTAGAAGCGGGAAGTGGTGCGCCTTCCTTCAGCCGGGGCTTTAAGCCCTCAGCTTGGCGCTCCTCTGTTTTTCCACCGTAGGACCTTCCTGCAGACGGTGAGCAGTGAGAAGGTCCGCTCCACTAATCTCAACTGCTCAGTGATTGCGGACGTGAGGCATGACGGCTCCGAGCCCTGCGTGGACGTGCTGTTCGGTGGGCTTGGTGGAGACGGGCAGGAGGGAACAGCGAGCAGCCCGCGCGCCCCTAAGCCCCAGCACTGCGGTCCCTCCCTGTCTCACTCGTTTGTTTCTTCCCCAGGAGACGGGCATCGCCTGATTATGCGCGGCGCTCATCTCACCGCTCTGGAAATGCTCACCGCCTTCGCCTCCCACATCCGGGCCAGGGACGCGGCGGGCAGCGGGGACAAGCCGGGCGCTGATACTGGTCGCTGACAGCGCCAAAGAGACCAACAAGATGATTTTAGCGTGGACTAGGACACTTAACCTAAGAAGAGTTTCACTTAATCATTCAAATCACTATCTGAAGGGTCACGGAGCGCAAAATAAAGTTTAAAACCCTGCTACCACAATGTTTCTGGAACAAGACTAGATCAGAGAGGTGTCTGGATGAACCTGAATTTATTTCACTTTCTTACTATCACTCACTGCTTAACCCTTTTGAATTTGGCTTCTGGCTTCTCCTACCACTCACTCAAGGTACCTCTTTTTTTTTTTTTTTTTTTTTTTTTTTTTTTTTGACTGGTCTGTTTCTGTCGCTCAGGCTGGAGTGCAGTGGCATGATTCTAGCTCACTGTAACCTGGGCTTAGCCGAACCTCCCAAGTAGCTGGGAAGTTGGGACTACAGGCACGCCCCACGCGCCACCACGTTTAGTTAATTTTTAAATTTTTTTGTAGAGAAGGGTTTTCACTATGTTTCCCAGGCTGGTCTTGAAGTTCTGGGCTCAAGTGATCCTCCCACCTTGGCTTCCCAAAGTGTTGGGCGTGAGCTACTGTGCCCAGCCCTCTTACTTTTACCAAATCTTGTGTGAAAGAACACTGATAGGCTGAGCGTGGTGGCTCACATCTGTAATCGCAGCACTTTAGGAGGCCGAGTCAGGCAGATCACCTGCTTGGAGAAACCCCACCTCTACTAGAAAATACAAAAAAATTAGCTGGGTGTGGTGGCACAAGCCTGTAATCCCAGCTACTCGGGAGGCCGAGCGAGGCAAGAGAATCGCTGGAATCCAGGAGGTGAAGGTTGAAGTAGGCTGAGGTCACACCACTGCACTCCAGCCTGAGCAAGAGTGAGACTCTGTCTCAAAAAAAAAAAAAAAACAAAAACACTAACAGAGTGCTGTTTTTTCAGCTCTCATCGTTGTATCCCAGTTCCATCTTTTTTTTTTTTTTTTTTTTTTTTTTAAATAGAGGTGGGGTTTTGTCCTGTTGCACGGGCTGGTCTCTAACTCTTGGACACAAGTGATCCTCCTGCCTCGGCCTCCCAAAGTGCTGGGTTCACAGGCGTGAGCCACCAACGCCTGGCCGCATCTACAACTCTTGTTTTTGAGATAGAGTCTCACTCTGTCACCCAGACTGGAGTGCAGTGGCGTGACCTTGGCTCACTGCAGCCTCCGCCTCCCGGGTTCCAGTGATTCTCCTGCTTCAGCCTCCTGGGTGGCTGGGATTACAGGCATGTGCCACCACGCCTGGCTGATTTTTGTATTTTCAGTAGAGATGGGGCTTTGCCATGTCAGCCAGGCTGTCCTCAAACTCCTGATCCGCCCCCTCGGCTTCCCAAAGTGCTGGGATTACAGGCATGAGCCACTGTGCCCGGCCTGCAACTCTTAATTCACCCATTTGTGGAACTTCTCTCCCTCTTGGGTCCTTTTTCTTTTGAACCACACAGGTGTTCTACCTTCATTCTTTTTCTTCTCTATTTTTTTCTGGGGCATCTCATCCTCTTTCACAACTTGAATTACACCTTCTGGGGTTAAACTATTTCTGTTTGGTTCTAATCCCAACTTCTATGCTATAATCAGGTTACCTGCTACCAATTTCCTCCAAATCCCACCAACTCTCTTTGTATAAAATAGAATTGATAATCTTACATACACATATACTTGCCTCTCTTCCCTGACTTACCCATTCCTTTTTAAAAACAGGCACTTCATCTACTCAGCCACCTGGGCTGGAAACCAGTGTTCTCTAGTTCTGTTCCTTTCCATTCTCTGCATATCTGGTCACTCAGTTCAGAATATTCTGTCTTTTAAAAAAGTGCCTGAAAGTTGGGCAAGGTGGCTCATACTTGTAGTCCCACCTACTCAGAAGGCTGAGACAGGAGGATCCTTTTGAGCCTAAGAGTTCAAGGCTAGAGTGAGCTGTGGTTGCACCACTACACTCTAGCCTGGTGACAGAGCAAGACACTGTCTCAAAAACAAAACAAAACTTCTGAAGTGATCTCTCCATTCCCATTCACTCTATTCATCATTATTGCATTCTGCTACCCAGTCTATTTCCTAAATATTTTTGCTGCCACTTAATTTTATCCTTCCAAAACATGCGATGGGTTTTATCTCTCACTACTCCCTGTTTAAGAAAACAGTGCCGGCCGGGCATGGTGCCTCATGCCTGTAATCCCAGCACTTTGGGATTTGGCCGAGGTGGGTGGATCATGAGGTCAGGAGTTCGAGACCAGCCCAACCAACATGGTGAAACCTCATCTCTTAAAAATACAAAAATTAGCCGGGCGTGGTGGCAGTTGCCTGTAATCCCAGCTACTCAGGAGGCTGAGGCAGGAGAACTGCTTGAACCCAAGAGGTGGAGGTTACAGTGAGCCGATACTGCACCACTGCACTCCAGCCTGGGTGACAGAGCAAGACTCCGTCTCAAAAAAAGAAAAAACATTGCCTAAACTGTTTTTCATACTTCCTCAACACTCATTAGTGTGGACCATGCAATCAATTTAGGGAGTTAAACCATTCTTTTTTTTTTTTTTTAGATAGGGTTTCGCTCTTGTTGCCCAGGCTGGAGTGCAATGGCACAATCTCAGCTCATTGCAACCTCCGCATCCCGGGTTCAAGCAATTCTCCTGCCTCAACCTCACAAGTAGCTGGGATAACAGGCATGCACCACCATGCCTAATTTTGTACTTTTAGTAGAGGGGGTTTCTCCATGTTGGTCAGGCTGGTCTCGAACTCCTGGCCTCAGGTGATCTACCCACCTCGGCCTCCCAAAGTGCTGGTATTACAGGCATGAGCCACCGCACCCAGCCTAAACCATTCTTAAAAAAATAATAATAATAAAATAAAATAAAAAAAGTAGGCCGGGTGGAGTGGCTCATGCCTGTAATCCCAGCACTTTGGGAGGCTTTGGCGGGCAGATCACTTGAGGTTGGGAGTTAGAGACCAGCCAGGCCAATATGATGAAACGCTGTCTCTACTAAAAATAAAAAAATAAAAAATAGCTGGGTGTGGTGGCAGGCACCTGTAATCTCAGCTACTCAGAAGGCTGAGACAGGAGAATCACTTGAACCCAGGAGGTGGAGGCTGCGCTGAGTGGAGATCATGCCACTGCACTCCAGCTCGGTTGATGGAGTGAGACTCTGTCTCAAAAAAAAAAAAAAAGTAGAATAGAATAAAAATTATCAGACTGAGGCTGAGTTTAATGGCTCATGCCTGTAATCCCATCACTTTGAGAGGCCGACGTGGGCGGAATCACCTGAGGTCAGGAGTTCAAGACCAACCTGACCAACATGGTGAAACCCCATCTCTACTAAAAATACAAAAAATTAGCCGGGTGTGGTGGCGGGCACCTGTAATCCCAGCCACTTGGGAGGCTGAGGCAGGAGAATTGCTTGAACCCGGGAAGTGGAGGTTGCAGTAAGCCGATAGCACCATTGCACTCTAACCTGGTTGACAAGAGCAAGGCTCCATCTCAAAAAAAAAAAAAAAAAAAATCAGACTGCATGGCACTTAGAATAGGAAGTTTAAAGAGATTAAGTCATGCTTTGTCACCCAGGCTGGAGTGCAGTGGCACAATCGTAGCTCACTGCACCCTCCATCTCCTGGGCTCAAGCAGTCCTCCCGCCTCAGCCTCCCAAGCAGCTGGAATTACAGGCGTGAGCCACCATGCCTGGCCTAATTTTTTTTTTTTTTTTTTGAGATGGAGTCTTGCTCTGTTGCCCAGGCTGGAGTGCAGTGGAGCACGATTTTAGCTCACTGCAATCTCTGTCTCCTGGGTTCAAGCGATTTCCAGCTAATTTTTGTATTTTCAGTAGAGACAGAGTTTCACCATGTTGGCCAGGCTGGTCAGGAACTCCTGACCTCAAGTAATCCACCCTCCTTGGCCTCCCGAAGTGCTAGGATTACAAGAGTAAGCCACCGTGCCCAGCCCTAATTTTTTTTTTTTTTTTTTTTTGAGACGGAGTCTTGCTCTGTCGCCGATGGTGCCATCTCAGCTCACTGCAACCTCTGCCTCCCGGGTTCAAGTGATTATCCTGCCTCAGCCTCCTAAGTAGCTGGGATTACAGGCGCGTGCCACCATGCCCAGCTAATTTTTGTGTTTTTAGTAGAGGCGGGGTTTCACCATGTTGGCCAGGCTGGTCTTGAACTCCTAACCTCAGGTGATCCACCGCCTCAGCCTTCCAAGGTGCTGGGATTACAGGCGTGAGCCACCACACCCGGCCAACCCTAATTTTTAAATTTTTTGTAGATGGGGGGGTCTCCTCATCTTGTCCAGGCTGGTCTAGAACTCCTGAACTCAAGTGATTCTCCTGCCTTGGCCTCCTAAAGTGCTGTGATTACAGACGTGAGCCACCACACCCAGCTAAAAGTATTCTTTTAGGTAACTTGTTTTAAATAAGTTGTGTGTGTATGTGTATCTGCACATACTGGGTTGCACTATGGAATTATTTCTTATTGTGAGTTGTAGGAAAATGGTTGAAAGCCACTGCTTTAGACACCTTCACAATGCTCAGCTAGGTAACAAAAGATCTGTAGACAGTGGCCTGCTGTGTACTTTGCCAGATACATTTCCCACGACCCTCCTACAGCAGCATTACTATACCTTTTCCCGGTCTAAAAGGGTGCTATCTTCAAAGGACCGTTTTTCCCCTCCCCCTTTAAAAAAGAAAGCTAGGAGGAGGCAGTATAGTGTTGTAATGAGCCAGACTGCTTGGGGTTGAGATCCTAGCTTTGTTTTTATGTAGCTGTATGACTTTAGACAAATTATTTAATCTATCAGTGCTTATTTCATTTGTAAAATGAAAATAATAGTACTTTTCTCATAGGACTGTTAAGGAGATTAAATGAATTAATATCTGTAAAGTACCTAAAACATTGCTGGGAGTGTAGTAACTGCTGTTATCTAAGAGGCCTTATTTATTCTTTTTTTTTTTTTTTTTTTTTTTTGAGACAAGAGTTTCGCTCTTGTTGCCCAGGCTGGAGTGCAATGGCACAATCTTGGCTCACTGCAATCTCTGCCTCCCGGGTTCAAGTGATTCTCCTGCCTCAGTGTCACGAGTAGCTGGGATTACAGGCATGCACCACCATGCCCAGATAATTTTGTATTTTTTAGTAGAGACGGGGTTTCTCCATGTCGGTCAGGCTGGTCTCGAACTCCCAGCCTCAGGTGATCCGCCCGCCTTTGCCTCCCAAAGTGCTGGGACTACAGGCTTGAGCCACTGCGCCTGCCCTAAGAGGCCTTATTCTAAAGTCAAAAGAACAACCTGGATTTGAGTTCCCCAGCTCCATAATTAACTGGCTGTTATTTTGGGTCAGTCTTAACTACTCTCCTCATCTGTAAAAATGGGGGTGGTCTGGCCAGGCGCGGTGGCTCACGCCTGTAATCCCAGCACTTTGGGAGGCCGAGGTGGGTGGATCACCTGAGGTCAGGAGTTCGAGACCAGCCTGGCAAACCTGGTGAAACTCCATCTCTACTAAAAATACAAAAATTAGCTGGGCGTGGTGGTGGGCACCTGTAATCCCAGCTACTCGTGAGGCTGAGGCAGGAGAATCACTTGAACCCTGGAGGCAGAGGTTGCAGTGAGCCGAGATCATGCCATTGCACTCCAGCCTGGTGACAGAGCGAGACTCCGTCTCAAAAAAAAAAAAAAAAAAAAAATGGGTATGGTTCAACATGCATTGAGTGCTGGCATTGTGCTTCTAGACTGTGAACTTGAGGTTGGGGCCATTTTCTCTGAGTCCCCAGCACCTTGCATAATGCGATATAGGGTGTACAATAAACATGTGTTGAATTTATAAATATTTAGCATCTGCCTTATGCCTATAATTGATTAGTACTGTGATACAAAGATGAAAAATGAAACAGGTATGTAATAAGTGCTACAATAAGGATGTCGACAAATGCAACGGTAGCAAGAAAGACAAAAACAGGACTAACCATTGGGTTTGGTCAGATGATTTCATAAGCAAAAAGTCTACCACTAGTGGAGAGTGGGGCCACCAGTCAGATTATAGTGAAATATAAGTGGTCGTGTTGCATAAAGCATCAGTCTCTCTCTCTCTCTCTCTCTCTCCCTCCGTCCCTCCCTCCCTCCCTCCATCTCTCTCTCTCTCTCTCTTTCTTTTTTTTTGAAACAGTTTCACTCTTGTTGCCCAAGCTGGAGTGCAATGGCGCAATATCGGCTCACTGCAACCTCCGCCTCCCAGGTTCAAGCAATTCTCCTGCCTCAGCCTCCCGAATAGCTGGGATTACAGGCACCCACCACCACACCCGGCTAATTTTTGTATTTTTAGTAGAGATGGGGTTTCACCAAGTTGACCAGGCTGGTCTCCAACTCCTCATGTCTGGTGATCCACCTGCCTCGGCCTCCCAAAGTGCTGGGATTACAGATGTGCGCCTCGGTGCCTGGCCACATCAGTCTTTTTTTTTTTTTTTTGAGACGAAGTCTCGCTCTGTCGCCCAGGCTGGAGTGCAGTGGCACAATCTCGGCTCACTGCAACCTCCGCCTCCCGGGTTCAAACGATTCTCATGCCTCAGCCCAACGTTAGATTGGTTTTTCCGAGCCTGTGAACTCCATGGGGTCGCCAGATAAACGCAATCCCGGTGGACCAACGCCCAGGACAGACGCTACGTACCAACCCTGTGTCAAGCCGCAGGCAGCGGTTCCGGACTCTGGGACTTAACCTAACGTGGCGGGGCGGGACTTCCGGCGGGAGGCGGAGGCGGAGGCGCAGGCGCTGGCTGGCAGGTGTCGCTAACCGGACGGTGGTCGCCAGGGCGAGAGGCGGGAGCCGGAGAGGTGAGGCAGGACCCGGGCTCCACTGCCGCCTCTCCGAGCTCTTGTGACGCGGACCTCAGTGCCAGGATGGCTCGGGGCGAGCGGCGGCGCCGCGCAGTGCCGGCAGAGGGAGTGCGGACAGCCGAGAGGGCGGCTCGGGGAGGCCCCGGGCGACGGGACGGCCGGGGCGGCGGGCCGCGTAGCACGGCTGGAGGAGTGGCTCTGGCCGTCGTGGTCCTGTCTTTGGCCCTGGGTATGTCGGGGCGCTGGGTGCTGGCGTGGTACCGTGCGCGGCGGGCGGTCACGCTGCACTCCGCGCCTCCTGTGTTGCCTGCCGACTCCTCCAGCCCCGCCGTGGCCCCGGACCTCTTCTGGGGAACCTACCGCCCTCACGTCTACTTCGGCATGAAGACCCGCAGCCCGAAGCCCCTCCTCACCGGTAACCGGGCCCCAGGGCGGGCAGGCAGGCGGACTCCTAATCTGGGCGCCCCAGCTTGAAGCGAGAGCAAGGGTGGGAAGGAATGGATCAGGAGAGTTATGAAGAGGGATGACCCGGAGACCCGGAGGGACAGGTCCCCTGCTCTTTGACTTACGTGGCCATTCTACCCCCAGGACTGATGTGGGCGCAGCAGGGCACCACCCCGGGGACTCCTAAGCTCAGGCACACGTGTGAGCAGGGGGACGGTGTGGGTCCCTATGGCTGGGAGTTCCACGACGGCCTCTCCTTCGGGCGCCAACACATCCAGGATGGGGCCTTAAGGCTCACCACTGAGTTCGTCAAGAGGCCTGGGGGTCAGCACGGAGGGGACTGGAGCTGGAGAGTGACTGTAGAGCCTCAGGTCAGGGCCTCAGGACACCCTTTTCTCAGCCCAGACCCCCTCCATCCTTCCCTTGCTGCCAGCAAATGCAGCATGAAGTGGGCTCTGGCTGCCTGGCTTAAATCCTGCCTTAAACAACTGCCTGTATAACCATTTCTATTTACCATCTCTAAGCCTTGATTTCCTTGCTTGTAAAATGTACAATGTAGATAATAATAGCACTTAACTCACAGGACTGTAAGAATTAAATGAAAAAGAGGCTGGGCGCGGTGGCTCACGCCTGTAATCCCAGTACTTTGGGAGGCCGAGGCTGGCGGATCACCTGAGGTCAGGAGTTCCAGACCAGCCTGACCAAAATGGAGAAACACCGTCTCTACTGAAAATATAAAATTAGCCGGGCGTGGTGGCGCATGCCTGTGATCCAAGCTACTTGGGAGGCTGAGGCAGGAGAATTGCTTGAACCAGGGAGGTGGAGGTTGCGCTGAGCCGAGATCGTGCCATTGCACTCCAGCCTGGGCAACAAGAGCAAAACTCCATCTCAAGAAAAAAAAAAAAGCCAGGCGCGGTGGCTCACGCCTGTAATCCCAGCACTTTGGGAGGCTGAGGCGGGCGGATCATGAGGTCAGGAGATGGAGACCATCCTGGCTAACACGGTGAAACCCGGTCTCTACTAAAAATACAAAAAATTAGCTGGGCGTGGTGGCGGGCGCCTATTGTCGCAGCTACTCGGGAGGCTGAGGCAGGAGAATGGCGTGAACCTGGGAGGCGGAGCTTGCAGTGAGCTGAGATCGCGCCACTGCACTCCAGCCTGGGCGACAGAGCGAGACTCCGCCTCAAAAAAAAAAAAAAAAAAAAAGAATTAAATGAAATCAACTGTGTAGAGTTCTTAGTGTAGGACATAGTACAAAAGTATACTGTTATCTCCCAGGGCACCCAGTGCAAGGCTCTTTATCTCATCCCGCTTGGGTGTACCTGGTTACCCTCAGTGACCCTCATTACTGCCAGACGTATGTTGTTTACATTACCCCTGCCTACTGTTCCTTTCCCTCACTAAGGCTGATTCTCAAGAGGGAATTCAAGAGAGAATGCCAATCTAACACTGTTCTTTTCTGTCCTCGTTGGTCACTCAGGACTCAGGTACTTCTGCCCTCCCTTTGGTCTCCCTGTTCTTCTATGTGGTGACAGATGGCAAGGAAGTCCTACTACCAGAGGTTGGGGCCAAGGGGCAGTTGAAGTTTATCAGTGGGCACACCAGTGAACTTGGTGACTTCCGCTTTACACTTTTGCCACCAACCAGTCCAGGGGATACAGCCCCCAAGTATGGCAGGTAACTGGGGGAAAAGAATGTTGGGGGATGGAAGGGGTGGTTATTCCCATTTTCACCAGTCTCCATGTCCCCTGCCTGAGACCTCCCAACCTGACTCCTGAACACTTTGTATTTCTCTTTATAATGCCCACTGCCTTCTCTTGAATAATATTTCCTATTTATCTTCTCCCCTTCAAGCTACAATGTCTTCTGGACCTCCAACCCAGGACTGCCCCTGCTGACAGAGATGGTAAAGAGTCGCCTAAATAGCTGGTTTCAGCATCGGCCCCCAGGGGCCCCCCCTGAACGCTACCTCGGCTTGCCAGGATCCCTGAAGTGGGAGGACAGAGGTCCAAGTGGGCAAGGGCAGGGGCAGTTCTTGATACAGCAGGTGACCCTGAAAATTCCCATTTCCATAGAGTTTGTGTTTGAATCAGGCAGTGCCCAGGCAGGAGGAAATCAAGCCCTGCCAAGACTGGCAGGCAGTCTACTGACCCAGGCCCTGGAGAGCCATGCTGAAGGCTTTAGAGAGCGCTTTGAGAAGACCTTCCAGCTGAAGGAGAAGGGCCTGAGCTCTGGCGAGCAGGTTTTGGGTCAGGCTGCCCTCAGCGGCCTCCTTGGTGGAATTGGCTACTTCTACGGACAAGGGCTGGTATTGCCAGACATCGGGGTGGAAGGGTCTGAGCAGAAGGTGGACCCAGCCCTCTTTCCACCCGTACCTCTTTTTACAGCAGTGCCCTCCCGGTCATTCTTCCCACGAGGCTTCCTTTGGGATGAAGGCTTTCACCAGCTGGTGGTTCAGCGGTGGGATCCCTCCCTCACCCGGGAAGCCCTTGGCCACTGGCTGGGGCTGCTAAATGCTGATGGCTGGATTGGGAGGGAGCAGATACTGGGGGATGAGGCCCGAGCCCGGGTGCCTCCAGAATTCCTAGTACAACGAGCAGTCCACGCCAACCCCCCAACCCTACTTTTGCCTGTAGCCCATATGCTAGAGGTTGGTGACCCTGACGACTTGGCTTTCCTCCGAAAGGCCTTGCCCCGCCTGCATGCCTGGTTTTCCTGGCTCCATCAGAGCCAGGCAGGCCCACTGCCACTATCTTACCGCTGGCGGGGACGGGACCCTGCCTTACCAACCTTACTGAACCCCAAGACCCTACCCTCTGGGCTGGATGACTACCCCCGGGCTTCACACCCTTCAGTAACCGAGCGGCACCTGGACCTGCGATGTTGGGTGGCACTGGGTGCCCGTGTGCTGACGCGGCTGGCAGAGCATCTGGGTGAGGCTGAGGTAGCTGCTGAGCTGGGCCCACTGGCTGCCTCACTGGAGGCAGCAGAGAGCCTGGATGAGCTGCACTGGGCCCCAGAGCTAGGAGTCTTTGCAGACTTTGGGAACCACACAAAAGCAGTACAGCTGAAGCCCAGGCCCCCTCAGGGGCTCGTTCGGGTGGTGGGTCGGCCCCAACCTCAACTGCAGTATGTAGATGCTCTTGGCTATGTCAGTCTTTTTCCCTTGCTGCTGCGACTGCTGGACCCCACCTCATCCCGCCTTGGGCCCCTGCTGGACATTCTAGCCGACAGCCGCCATCTCTGGAGCCCCTTTGGTTTACGCTCCCTTGCAGCCTCCAGCTCCTTTTATGGCCAGCGCAATTCAGAGCATGATCCCCCCTACTGGCGGGGTGCTGTGTGGCTCAATGTCAACTACCTGGCTTTGGGAGCACTCCACCACTATGGGCATCTGGAGGGTCCTCACCAGGCTCGGGCTGCCAAACTCCACGGTGAGCTCCGTGCCAACGTGGTAGGCAATGTATGGCGCCAGTACCAGGCTACAGGCTTTCTTTGGGAGCAGTACAGTGACCGCGATGGGCGAGGCATGGGCTGCCGCCCTTTCCACGGCTGGACCAGCCTTGTCTTACTGGCCATGGCTGAAGACTACTGAAGGGAGGGAGAGGAGGGGAGCCAAGACACTCATGCCACTCTGGCTCTGAAGGGACAAAGGCTTCTGGCTTTTGCCCCCAGCCCCTTGGATACCAGTAATTCAAACCTTCCTCATTTCATCTCAGGTGTCTCCTTGCTGTCATCCCACATAGCCCTGGGGTGAATGTGAATCCAGAGTCTATTTTTCTAAATAAATTGGAAAAAACATTTTGAACTCTATTGCTTTTGCCAGATTTGCCTCACCAAGAGGCCTTAGGTCAGTCCAGGCCTCAGCACTGTCTGCTGTCCTCAGGGAAGGTGGGGTCAAGTGGCCATAACCTGTCCCCTTCAAACCCAGTCAGGTCAAGTGCAATGCAGTGAGTTGAGCTTTAGTCCACCCAAATCCACAAGTAGCTGGTTCACATCTCTTTAATGAGATCAAAGGCTCCTGTGTATGTCCTGCGGGGGTAAAGCTAGCACAGTCCCCCAATACTGCCCCTCTCCAGCCCTTTCAGGCAGATTCTAGGTAGGCAGGGAGGGGCCAAAGGAACGCAAGGAGTTGGGACTAGGGCTGTTTCTGGTGGGCAAGTAACCCATCCACCCTCTCAAAACTACTTATGGGATGTCCCCTTCACTGGAAGACAGCCCCATGGGAAAGATCTGCGGTACAGACTCTGGGGGTAGTGCACACGGGGAGTAGTCCTCCAGATCTGGCAGGGTGGCACTAACCCTCACCTCCTTGACTGGCTCACCCTCACCGGAGGCAGGACAAGGGCAGAGCTCAATACCGGAGTCGCCAGTTAAACGGCGATAGCGGCAGGAGGGGGGTGTGGAGGCAGGGGTCACCCCTGCCCCGGGCTCACCCTCCTGATGAGGGGGGGCACTCTGGTGGGAGGAAACACCTTCCACATTTGTTCCTTCAAAGTGGGCAGGGCAGCTGGATGAGGAGGAACAGCAGGTTTGTTCACTGGAAGCAGTCAAGGGGCGGCCTGGGGCCACAGTATAAGGGGGGGGTGGTGTGCCTGGGCGGTGAACCACATCCTCGTAGGCTGGGGGCTTGAAGGTGCTGAGGAAGCCTGCAGGGGAGAAAATTGGCATGATTGGTTGAAGACAACCAGGTATAGGGTGCTAGTTTTTATATTAGGGAAAAATACTTTGAAATGTGTGGAAAAGGGAATGTGAGACGATTTGGGGTTCTGGTTTGGGGAGGGCCACTGGTAGCTGACCCAGGGCATCAAGTCACTCACGAAGGTCAAGCAGTGAACCGGTAGGGAAAGGACCAGCCCCATGGCATGCCCCATGATAGGCCAACAAGTTGATTTCACGCTGCCGCTGCTGTTGTTGCAGCCTGAGTTTAGCTCGTCGGTGGCGGAAGGCGCAACAGCAGCTAAAGAGGATGAGGACAGTCCAGAGCAGCCAGAACCCTGCAAGAGGCAAGGAGGGAGCAACTCAGGCATCTTTCATGCAGAGAAGGGGCCCTGAAGGCCGAAATTCTGAGGTCCAAGGGAGGGTGGACACAGGGACCTGGAAATAGCCCTCTTGGAGACTTACACCAGAGCTCATAGTAGTAGGTGCAGCAGCCAGTCTCCCCGCAGCAGTGACCACTCTCACAGAGGTAGGGCTGGTTGTTCACTCCTGGGCACAGCTCTCGAAGCTGCGGGCAAGGAGGCACTTAGAACTAAGGGGGATTCCAGCCCAGGGCACTGTCCACCCCCACCTCCTGCATGCACATACACAATCCCACCCTGTGAACCAAGTTCAGCTTGGAGAGATGGGGGAAGTGGAGGATGCTGAGAGGAGTGTTGAAATATCTGAAGGGCTGTCAACGTGGAAGAGGATTTGGAATAGCAAGAATCAGTCTAGAGAACAAGACAAAAGTGTGGACATACAAAGAGGGAGATTTCAGCTCTGCATATATGAGACTTCCTTCACACTCAAGCCTCACTCTCCCCAACCCCCCTACCCCCATCCCCTCGGTGCTTTCTGTTAAGGGAGTGTTTTGGCAGAAGCCAGAAGACAGTCTGAGATAATCTCAGTCTCAGACAACGGGTAGCGGTAGGTCATTTCCAAAGCAAGTTGCTTTCATTATCCTGCGCGGTTCACTACCCCCCACCCGCAACTGGATCTTTCCACCCCTGGGCCTCAGGCTCCCTAGGATAGAGGAGGGGCAGTGTGAGACCCAGAGCAGTGCTCCCAACCAGATGGGATTGCTGTGGATGATAAAGGATGGCATCCAGGGCGCGAGTCTGGGTTCCAGCTCTTCTCCAAATTGCTCCCTCAAGAGAAGACGCTGCCGGACTCTGTTGTGACAATAGGCACATAGAAAAAGATCACAAATAACTGTTGCAAGACAGAGGGAGCCTCCCTGGGACCTCACTATGCCTCTGGTCACTGGAGAGCCACCGCAAGCTTCCACTGCAGCCATGGGATGGGTTCTATGAGGCTACAGGCAAAGTCAGCTGCATCTACGTTACAAAGTTTAGACAAAGAGTGGAAGAGACATGTTTAGGAACTTCACAGTACCTTTGGCTCCGTGAGTTCCTCCCCCACCCCCAAAAGGAAGGGACAAGGAAAGGGGAAAGAGACAAATGGCTGTCGTGATAGGTTTTGGAGCTATTGGGATACCTGCTGTTGCGGCGCCCGAAGTGCCCCCCAGGCCTCCTCGCTGCCGTTCCCGCTGCTGGCCCGAGCCATACCTCCACCTACAGCCCCCTGAGGACCACAGCCTCCTCTACCGCCAGCCGCCCCGCCCCTGCCACCTCTGCTGCCACCGCCATGGTCCCTGCCCGGCCCATCTTCGCTGAGGCCACCATCACTCCGCGGCCGGAGCTTCCATCCGGGCAGAACTCCACCAACTAGGACTCAGATTGCTCTGCCCTACCAATCATCATCGTCCCTTGACGGACGGGCCAATAGGAACAGATCAGAGGTTTCTCCCTGTGACCAATCCACAGCAGCGCCTCCGCCGCTCACCCAGACAACAAGAGCTTGTACAGACAAAGAGTAGGTGAAGGTTCGACCCACGGCCCTGACTGACAGCGGCAATAGCCAATACAGACAACAGAACAGGCTCTGGCATATCAACCAACGAACAGCCGCCCCGAAGAGCAAGGTTGCCGCTGATTGGCTTGCGGTATGTTTTCGGAATGACGCCAAAGGCCGAAGCACGCCAGGTAATCCCGGCTGGAAGAGGCGGAGTCCCAAAAGTCGGTCCGCTGGTTTGCAGCCTGGTTTTTTGCGGTGGTTTCCAAGCCCCAGGCATCGACGCAAGCTCCGACAGGGGCAAAATACGTGTATACCGGAGACTGGTCTGCCCACAACATCCCACTCCCCCAGTTCTGTACAAGCCGAAGCACCGGATGTAATTTAATAGGGTGGGGAAGATACTCAAGAGCGGGCATGGGACGGGGCGCAGAGTCCGGGTTAAGGGCCTTACGTAGCCAAAAGGGGGGATCCAGGACCCTCGGGCCCCCCCAGCCGCATCTGCAGGTTGATGCGGTAGCACTGAAGACTACAGAGTGCCTGGCCTGTGCGGGAGCAAGCGTAGCGGCGCGGATGGGGACAGCCGGGGACAGAGCAGCGCGGCGGCGGGCCTGAGGGGGATGGCCGCTGAGACACTGCCGTGGGGGCGGGGACGCCAGGTGGGAAGGAAAGGGTGGAACCCTGTGCTCCGCTGCAGTAGCGCACCATGGGGGCCGGAGCCGCAGCCCGCCCTCCCCGCCGCTCGCCCCGTGCGCCCCCCCGGCCTCCCCGCCCACTGGTCGCCGCAGTCTTGGTGAGGCGCTCGATAGTCTGGTTCTTGTGCTCTTCTGCCCGCCGCGCCGCCTGGAGCCGCCGCTTCCGCGCCCGCTCCTCGCGCTTCAGCAGCATCTCCTCTGTGAGGGCGGGAGGTGGGCAGCCCTCAGCTACAGGCAGCGGCAGCATAGGGGAAGGTTGACTCCGCGCCTTCTGGAGCAGAGCTCGCTAGGGAGAGACAGAGACGGGGTGCTGTCTGAAAATGGAGGAAGATGGAGAGGCGAGGTCGGCCAGATCGGGGGAGGGGAAAGAAGGGACATGGAAGGCAGGGTCTTGAGCAGTGCAGGCCTTCGGAGGCGGGATATTAATTAATGAGCACCCTCTCCAGGACACCTTCCATAGGTTCCTCTTCATAAATACTGCCTCCTCCCAGATCTCCTGACATTTAGCTTTAGGTCCTTATCTCTCAAGGGGAGAAGCATCAGTAATGTTACCTGCCTGACCTGTGCACCAAAACTGTACCAGCTTTCCCAGAGGTCTGTTGTTATTTTTAATCTTATCTCAATAGAGAGTATCAGGTGGATAACTGCTCAAGCCAAAATCCCAGGCTTAGCCTTGATATATTTTCTCTCCATTCCCCTCCCCACAAGTATCTACTTCCAAAATATAGCCATAATTCATCTGATTTTCTCCATCTCCACCACTTTCGTCTTGGTTAAAGCAACCACTGCCTCTCAGCTGATTACTTCAACAGCTTCCTAGTTGTTCTCCATACTTCTATCTCTTGTCTCCACGAAGATTCATTCTCTACAAAGATGCCAAAGTAATCTATTGAAATGTAAACCAAGTATGTCACTTCTCTGCGTACAGCCCTTCAGTGGCTTGTCCACTTTTTCTTCTCCTTTGCTAGACATGTTCCAGTCTCAAGGTCTGTGCGCCTGCTGGTCTCTGCTCAAAAGCTCTTCTGGTATTGCAAATGTTATCTCTTCAAAGAAGCCTTCTCTAACTACCCTAATGTCTCTCTTCCATCATTTCTATCTGTTTGTTTACGCCACTTTCTATTTCATCACCCTTTTCTTTTTGTCATAAACCATATAGCTTTTTGAAATTATTTACTTATTTACTTCCCAGCCCCCCAACACACACACTAGAATACTAGCTCCAGGAGAACAGAAACTTTGTCTTTTCTCTACTATCGATATCCCCAATGCCACGCAAAGTGCGTGGGTCGTGGAGAGTTCTCAATACTGTATACATTTGGTGAGTGAATAAACAATGAACCAACATACCTGTCGAGCAGTAAGCAGCCGCTCATTGATCTCCTTCTTGAGGTCTCCATTGTCATCCAGCTCCCCCTTCTCCAGGGCATCCAGCCACCTCTGTTCCTCCTCTTCCTCCTGACCCCCTAACCCTCCTGATAGGTCCCGAAGTGGAGAGGGAGAGAGATTACTGTCTTCATCTGGGAAGGAAGTTGGAGAAAGAAAAACAGAATTGTTCAGATGGGGCACCCTAATTTGGCTGAGTTAATACTGGGACATGGAAAATCCTAACCCATTTCAGAACCAACCTTCTTTCTTTAGGCGGGTATAATAAGAAACCCAGTTTCCCCACCTCCAGATCCTCACCCAGCCAGGCACGGTACTGCTCAAGGGGGACTCCTTCCATAGGTTCCTCTTCATTATCCACAACCATAAGGGGAGAGGGTGAGCGAGGCCCCTCTGGGATCACAGTGAAGGTAGGAACACTGCAGAGAAGCAACACTACTCTTTAAAATGAGCAAGCGTCTCCTCCTCCTACTCCGTAGCTACACCCAACTTTCCCCACCCTCTTAGACTCTTGCTGCCTAAATCTGGACCCTGAAGTCACAGTGTCCATTCGGTCTTCTAGAAAGCCCAGTCGGCTTCTAACTACTATCTCTGCTCCTAAAGTTCCCCTTATAAAACTATGACCCTCTTGGCCTCACCTCTTGGTCCCCAGGACTTGTCCCCCAAGCTTGATTTTGAGTTTGAGCTGAGGCTTGGCAGGGGACGGCTGCGTGGGCCCGGCGTCTTCTTCCTGATGGTGTTTCTTCTTGTGTTTCTTCTTGTGCTTCTTGTGTTTTTTCTTGTGCACTCCATGGCCATGGGCACCCGCCAGGCTCAACTCCAGGGCTTCTCCTGTGGAAGGAAAGCCTGTCGACAGTGTTTGGCCGGAGGGTGGCAGGGGAAGCCCTGAATAACCTAAGCCCCTACTGGATCCCACCCTTCCCGCAGTACTCGCTGTTACCATAACAACAGCACCGCCTTTCTCCTTGCCACCTGTGGCCGAAGTACCCTGGACTCTCCGAGGAGCAAGAACGGGACTTCTTTTCTAACACGACCTAAATTGCTTGATCTATTCGCGCTTACCCGGCTCAGGGGCCTCCATAGCCCCAGAGGTGCTCCCACGCCGCCACAGCTTACTCATGAGGTCCTGCGAGGAAAGGGGACTAGAAATGGTTGGGACACACGCAGACACGCCTTTTCCGCCCCGCGGAAAAACTGGAGCCAGCAAAACAACCAGTTACTTCCGGTTCATGGCAACCATCCTTGTGCGGGGCACGCTTCGCGTCCAAAATCGTCCCTGAGAAACGAGGATCCTTCCAACGAACGTTCCGGTCCCTCTGAGGTCGGGACAGCCCAAATGGGCAGGGCTTTCCCCTGGCTCCGCCTCCCCACGCTAGCTTTCAGAACTCAGCGCGGATGAGTCAATTATTGAACACAAGTTTGGTGAATGTATACACTAGACCAAGTGCGGGAAGCTAGTCTAAGAGGATGCAAAGATGAATATGAACACCGCCCCTGTCCTTGAGGAACTCACAGTTGGGTGGAGGAATACATAAACTATATTGATGACAAAATGGCCGAAATGGTTAAACAGCACGAGTGCCCTAAGAGCAGATGCAGTTTAGGTATTTAAACTTCAATTTTCATAAGTAGGGAAATGAATAAATGAATTACGGTGCAGCTGTACAATGCGGAACACCATATTGCTAAGAAAAGTTGAGTTGTAAGTAATTAATGAGATTGACACAGAATTTAAACAATCTAAGTGTCCTGATGAATTGGTGTATCCATACAGTGGGATGTTAAGCAGCTTGGAAAAGAAATGAGGCGCCCCAGAAGGCTATCTAGGAAATTGGTAAGAGTCATTTGCTGATGAGCATCTAGAGAACAAGGGTGGATGGCGACCTATTTTTTTATGATTATACCCTCTTGTGCCTTTTGAATTTTGTATAAAACGTGTATATTTTACCTCATTTTAAAAAAGACATAAAAACAGGTAGGTTTGTATGTGCTGATACACGAAATAAGAAAAGTAAATTTCCCATCCTGGCTAATACGATGAAACCCCGTCTCTACTAAAAATACAAAAAAAAAAAAAAAAATTAGCCGGCGTGATGGCACGCGCCTGTAGTCCCAGCTACTCGGGAGGCTGAGGCAGGAGAATCGCTTGAACCCGGGAGGTGGAGGTCGCAGTGAGCCGAGATCGCGCCACTGCACTCCAGCCTGGTCGACAGAGCGGGACTCCGTCTCAAAAAAAAGAAAAAAAAAAAAAAGTAAATTTCAAGATTATGTGATCTGATTTTTAAAAGCATAATATACTAGCAAATACATAGAAAAAATTGAGGAATGTATACCTGTTAATGTTGGTTAACTGTAGAAGTTGGGGTTGAGGAACTTTCACTATTTAGGTATGTAATGTATTTTCTTACAGCCAATATATATCACGTTTATAATTAGAAAATAACACCTATATACATATATCTAAATATATATGAGTGTCTGAGCAAGGTAACAGCAGTGAAAAGTCTCTTACATTTCAGTGATAAAATTATCAAGAATCAATGAGCAATTATATTGGGGAATCCAGGATTAAGTCATGTAGTATGTGATTATGAAAAGGGATTTTGGAGTCAGACAAGCCTATTATCAAATCCCAGTTTCACCATTTATTAGCTATGCAACCTTGGGCCTAAAATTATTTAAGCTCTCTGAACCTGAGAATCCAGCTCTATAAGATGGAATACAGTAGGATCCACCGCTATGAGGGCTCTTTCAAGGAATAAAGGAAATCAAGAACTCATGATACTTAGGGTGGCAGCAGGCACAGGCACAGGCACATAGTAGATGCTTCAGTAAGCAAATAATAATAACTGACTCATAGGTTTCTAGCCTAAGTATTTAGCGGGAAGGTGGTATTTTCAGTAAGGAAGATAACATAGGAAGAGAAGCAAGTTAAGAAGGGAATTATTTAGTTTTGCCCAAGGCGACTTTGAAGTGCCTGTGGGAATGCCTGGGTGGAGGTGGAATAGCTGAGAGGAGAAACCAAGGATGAAAGTGTGAGTGGGGATGTCATCAGCGTAATACTGGAGGCCCCCAAGTGATGGGAGTAGATGAGACACCCAGAAAGAGTAAGTAGATAAGAGGAAAAGAACCAGGAACAGAACCAAGTGAGCACCTGTCCTGCACAGCCAGGCAGAGGGGCCAGACAGGGTTGAGAAGGTCAGGAAAGGCAGAAAGTATCAAGGGACTAAGGCTGTGATCAGCTGGGTACAGTCCTTCAGAGGGTAGGCTGAGCTCCAAGAAGAGGATGGATTTTATCACAGTGTGAAGGCAATACTCTTTTATCACCAGGAGTTACAGTGAGGGATCACTTGCAATTCATATTTGTAGAATACGTTAGAGTTTATAACCTGCCTATATATTCCTTCTCTCCCTTGGCCCCCACAGCATCTCCATAAGGGAGATACCATTGTTTCCATCTTATAAATGAGGAAACTGAGGCTCAGAAAAAGAAATGTTTTTGCCAAAGTCACAAAGTTAGGGAGTGGCAGAGCCAGACTCAAACAGAGGCTTCCTGACACCTGGCCCAGTGGTGTTTCCTCTGCATCATGATGCCCAGCAGGGAGGAAGTGGCAACAGTAAGTGACAACTGGCTTCATTATTTTGTTTGTTTTTAGTTTTGCTTTGTTTAGAGTGAGAGAGATTTGAGCATGTTTGTAGGCTGAGAGGCACTCTTCTTTCTGAAAGACTTCTTAGTCGTATTTTAAAAAATTATTTTGAAATAACTTCAAACAGAAAAATTGCAAGATGAATACAAAGAACTCTCTCTAATAAAGTTTTTGTTTCGTTTTGTTTTTGAGACAGGGTCTAGCTCTGTCTCCCAGGCTGGAATGCAGTGGCGCAAACACGGCTCACTGCAGCCTCAAACTCCCAGGCTTGAGTGATCCTCCCACCTCAGCCTCCCAAGTAGCTGGGACTACAGCTACACACCACCAAGCTTAGCTAATTCTTTTTTTTTTTTTTTTTTTTTTTTTTTTTTTTTTGTAGGGACAAGGTTTGGCCATGTTGCCCAGGCTGGTCTCAAACTCCTGAGCTCAAACGATCCTTCTGCCTCAGCCTCCCAAAGTGCTGGGATTACAGGTGTGAGTCACAGTGCCGGGCCAAAACTTTCTTATCTCCTTAAACATTCCATGTGTTTCAGGTTAACATGGAATGCCCGACATGGTTGGCGGGTGGGGCAGATTCTGAAATTTTTTTTTTTTTTTTTTTTGAGACGGAGTCTCGCTCTGTCACCCAGGCTGGAGTGTCGTGGTGCGATCTCGGCTCACTGCAAGCTCTGCCTCCCAGGTTCACGCCATTCTCTTGCCTCAGCCTCCCGAGTAGCTGGGACTACAGGCGCCCTCTACCACGCCTGGCTAATTTTTTGTATTTTTAGTAGAGACAAGGTTTCACTGTGTTACCCCAGATGGTCTTGATCTCCTGACCTTGTGATATGCCCGCCTCAGCCTCCCAAAGTGCTGGGATTACAGGTGTGAGCCACCGCGCCCGGCGAGATTCTGAAATTGTTAATATTTATCTGTGTTTATGCCCATTATCATTGTCAGTGAAAAGAGTCAAACTCTAAAATATTTGAAGAGATTTATTCAGAGCCAAATATGAGTGACCAATGGCCTGTGACACACCCCTCAAGAGATCCTGAGAACATGTGCCCAAAGTGGTCTGACTACAACTTGATTTTATACATTTTAGGGAGACATAAGACATCAATCAATACATGTAAGATGTACGTTGGTTTGGTCTGGAAAGGCAGGACAACTGGAAGATGGGGGCTTCCAGGTATTGTGTAGATGCAAAGGTTTTCTGATTGGCAATTGGTTGAAAGAGTTAAATTATTGGCTGGCTGTGGTGGCTCACACCTCTAATCCCAGCACTTTGGGAGGCCGAGGCGGGTGGATCACCTGAGGCCAGGAGTTTGAGACCAGCCTGGCCAACATGGTGAAACCCCATCTCAACTAAAAATACAAAAATTAGCTGGACATGGTGGCACATACCTGTAACCCCAGCTACTAGAGAGGCTGAGACAAGAGAATTGCTTGAACCCAGGAGGCAGAGTTTGCCGTGAGCTGACATCGAGCCATTGGACTCCAGCCTGGGCAAAAAGAGCAAAACTCCATCTCAAAAAAAGAAAAAAAAAGCGTTAAATTATTGTCTAGAGACTTGGAATCAATAGAAAGGAATGTCTGGTTGAGATAAGGGGTTGTGGAGACCAAGATTTTATCATTCAAGTGAAGCATCCAGGTAGCCAACTTCACAGAGAATACACTGTAAATGTTTCTTATCAGACTTAAAGAGTCTGTTATATCAGTAATTGCAAAAGGGAGGAGGGTATAACAAGGCATGTCCAGCTCCCCCTTTCCCATCATGGCCCATACTAGTTTTTCAGGTTAACATGGAATGGCCCAACATGGTTGGGGGACTCAGAATTTTATTTTTGGTTTACATCATTATTCTTTTTCTGATCAACATGATAGCAAGTTGCAGACATGATGTCATTTCACCCCTAAATCATGCAGTGTGTACTTCCCTCAAACAAGCACAGTTTTCTATAAGCTTTGTGCAACTGTCCCAATCAGGAAATTAACCTGATACATCATTAATCCAGACCCCATTCAAATTTCACCAACTGTGAAATACCTCCTTTTTCTTTTCTTTTTTTTGACACGGAGCCTTGCTCTGTTGCCCAGGCTGGAGTGCAGTGGCACAATCTCGGCTCACTGCAACCTCCACCTCCTGGGATCAAGCAATTCTCTGCCTCAGTCTCCTAAGTAGCTGGAATTACAGGCTCCTACTACCACCCCTAGCTAATTTTTGTATTTTTAGTACAGATGAGGTTTCACCGTGTTGGCCAGGCTGGTCTTGAACTCCTGACCTTGTGATCCACCTGCCTCAGCCTCCCAAAGCGCTGAGATCACAGGCATGAGCCACCGCGCCTGGCCTCGTTTTTTTTTTTTTTTTTTTTGAGACGTAGTTTTGCTCTTGTTGCCCAGGCTGGAGTGCAATGGTGCAATCTCCGCTCACCGCAACCTCCGCCTTGCGAGTTCAAGCAATTCTACTGCCTCAGCCTCCCAAGTAGCTGGGATTACAGGCATGCGCTAATTTTGTATTTTTAGTAGAGATGGGGTTTCTCCTTGTTGGTCAGGCTGGTCTCGAACTCCCAACATGATCTACCCACCTCGGCCTCCCAAAGTGCTGGGATTAAAGGCGTGAGCCACTGTGCCTGGTCCTCCTTTTTGTTTTTATCCAGGATCCAAATTTAGGATCATTTATTACATTTTTAAATTAAGTCTCTTTAATCTGTTTTAATCTGGAACATTTCTTCACTTTTACCCGGTCTTTCATGACCTTGACAAATTTAAAGGGTAGAAGTCTTTAATTCTATAGGATGCCCATCAATGTGGGTCTGTCTGGTGTTTCCTCAGGTCTATATTTATACATTGATTGATTGATTGAGACAGAGTCTTGCACTGTCACCCAGGCTGGAGTGCAGTGGTGTGATCTCGGCTCACTACAATCTCTGCTGCCCGGGTTCAAGCAATTCTTGGGCCTCAGCATCCTGAGTAGCTGGAACTACAGGTGTGCACCACCACGCCCAGCTAATTTTTGTATTTTTTGGTAGAAATGGGGTTTTGCCATGTTGGTCAGGCTGGTCTTGAACTCTTGGCTTCAAGTGATCTGCCCACTTCGGCCTCCCAAAGTGCTGGGATTACACTATGAGCCGCCACGCCTGGCCTAGACTTATAAATTCTTGGCAAGAACACCACACACACAAAAAATTGATTTCTTTTTTTTTTTTTTTTTTGAGACAGGGTCTCATTGTGTTGCCCAGGCTGGTCTTGAACTTCTGGGCTCAAGCGATTCTCCTGCCTCAGCCTCCCAAAGTGCTGGGATTACAGACGTGAGCCACCATGCCCGGCCCACAAAAACATTATGCTCTGTTCTTCTCAGTGTGTCACACTGGGAGGCTCATGATGTCAGCCTTTCCCACCACTGATGCTATTAACCTTGATCACCTGGTCAAGGTGCTGTCTGCCAATTTCCTCCACTGTAATGTCACCATTTTTGTCTTTCCAAATAATAAGTATTTTCTGGGAAATACTCTGCAACTACCCTAATATCCCATTCCCCGTCAAACCTCCACCCACCAGGCTTTGTATCCATTGATGACTACTGTATGAATCAACTCCAGTATAATAATTGCCAAATGGTGATCTATTCCCATTATTGCAGTTACACGTATTAGTTAGCATTCTACTGTAAGAGCTTTCTCTTCTCCTCATATTTATTTACAGATATATTTATTTGTTTCAGCATGGATTCCAGTTTTAATCAGTGGGTTGTAACCCATTGCTGTCATTACTTATTATGATGCTCAATTTTTAGAGGGGGACAGAGTCTTGCTCTGTTGCAGTGGTCCAATCATAGCTCCCTGCAACCTTGAGCTGCTGGCCTCAAGTGATCCTCCCACCTCAGCCTCCTGAGTAGCTGGGATTACAGGGATGTGCCACCCTGCCCAACTAATTAAAAAAAATTTTTTTTTCTGAGATGGAATCTCGCTCTGTTGCCAGGCTGGAGCGCAGTGGCGCAATAATCCTGGCTCACTGCAACCTCCACCTCCCAGGTTCAAGCGATTCTCCTGCCTCAGCCTCCTGAGTAGCTGGGACTACAGGCATGCACCACCATACCCAGCTAATTTTCAGATTTTTAGTAGAGACGGGGTTTCACTATGTTGGCTAGGATGGTCTCAATCTCTTGACCTCATGATCCACCCGCCTCGGCCTCTCAAAGTGCTGGGATTACAGGCATGAGTCACCCCTCCCAGCCTTTTTTTCTTTTTTTTTTTGAGACACAGTCTCACTCTGTCACCCAGGCTCGAGTATAATGGCATGATCTCGGCTCACTGCAACCTCCACCTCCTGGGTTCAAGCAATTCTCCTGCCTCAGCCTCCCAAGTAGCTGGGATCAGAGGTGCCTGCCACCACACCTGGCTATTTTTTTTGTATTTTTAGTAAAGACGGGGTTTCACCATGTTAGCCAGACTGGTCTTGAACTCCTGGCCTCAAGTGATCCACCTGCCTCAGCCTCCCAAAGTGTTGGGATTACAGGCGTGAGCCACCATGCTAGGTGGCTAATCTTGTACTTTCCCTGGAAAGAAGTGAGACTCAAATTTCCCTGGATAAAATATTTTTATTTCCCTGGATAAAATGTTTTGGGGCTCATCTCATACTTTCACTGGATAAGAAGCGAGACTCAAAGGAGGCCAGGCAGCACAAACTTATGGCTGAGGTTATGCCAAGGCCACACTGAAGTCAGGCGGCTTGAACATGCTGATGAGGATTTTCTGCTGGCACCACTACCCCCTTCTCAGGTACTGCAGGTACAGTGAGTGTATATCATGAACTCTGGCTGGGTCTTGTCTGCACTCCCTCAATATTCAAAGTCCAGTTGGGAACATTCCAGTTAGTTGGGTTAGGCCAAGTGCCTACCTTTAGGCTGTGAAAAAGTGGGAAGAAGGATAAATGTTCTCCAACTGCCATAAAGGGGCTAGAGCTCATTCTGTCAATACTGTCCACAGTAGGGAACTGTGCAGAAATAGAAGATGATTTGAACCCTAGGTGACCCACAGCCCCTTTCCCACATATCTACTTCATAGCTGGGGAGATATAGATACAGACATAAACAAAAAGATAAAGTTGGGAAGACTGTGCACCAAACCAGTGGCATGTTGGTAAATGTTTAACAAAAGCTCCCCAGGGGGGAAAAAAACCAGGCTGGATTTGTTATGTTCACCTATTTCTGTTGTGTAAGGACTCCCACCATGGCCAATTTCAAATGAGACATCACTGAATACAGAGTTGGAAAGAGATGTGCATTGTCATGTCATTTATATAGCATTCCCTCCATACAGATACTAAAGATGTAAACTACTCAAGACGTCGTCGTAAAATGCAGTAAAATAATTAGGAAGTGATGAGTTTTGAATATTTGTCACCTTTGCTTTAATAAAATTGATTTAGTTATATGTTTATGTAATTTAATTTAATTTTTTTTTTTGGAGATAGTGTTTCACTCTTGTTGCCCAGGCTAGAGTGCAATGGTGAGATCTCGGCTCACTGCAACCTCTGCCTCCCGGGTTCAAGAGATTCTTCTGCCTCAGCCTCCCGAGTAGCTGGGATTACAGGCATGTGCCACCACACCGGCTAATTTTGTATTTTTAGTAGAGACAGGGTTTCACCATGTTGGCCAGGCTGGTCTTGAACTCCTGACCTCAGGTGATCCACTGCCTCAGCCTCCCAAACTGCTGGGATTACAGGTGTAAGCCACCATGCCCAGCCTTAATTTAATTTTGTTTTGTTTTGAAACGGAGACTCGCTTTGTCCCCCAGGCTGGAGTGCAGTGACCTGATCTCGGCCCACTGTAACCTCTGCCTCCCGGGTTCAAGCAATTCTCCTGCCTCAGCCTCCTAAGTAGCGCCCAGCTGATTTTTGTATTTTTGGTAGAGACAGAGTTTCACTATGTTGGTCAGGCTGGTGTCAAACTCCTGACCTCGTGATCCACCCGCCTTGGCCTCCCAAAGTGCTGGGATTGCAGGCGTGAGCCGCTGTGCCCAGCCCGTAATTTAATTTTTAATTAAGGCAATGTTTAGCAACTGGCATGCCCAATTCCAGAAAAGTCATCAACACGAACCGCTGGTGTGAGCTTCAGCACTTGAATGCACCAAACTGTCTCAGTGTTTTCTTCTGGAAGTGGAATAATTGAGGGTGGGGAAGGCATACTTTTATTCATTTTTTTCATTATTTACATTATTTAAAAAACAGTGGCATTTATAGTGTTTAGAAAACTGTACACGTACTTTCAAATATTTTTCAAATGAAATTTAATTTAAAAAATAAGTCTGGCCTGGCGCGGTGGCTCATGCCTGTAATCCTAGCACTTTGGGAGGCTGAGGCGGGCAGATCACGAGGTCAGGAGTTCGAGACCAGATTGAACAACATGGTGAAACCCCATCTGTACTAAAAATACAAAAATTAGCCAGGCGTGGTGGTGGGCGCCTGTAATCCCAGCTACTCAGGAGGCGGAGGCAGGAGAATCGCATGAACCTGGGAGGCAGAGGTTGCAGTGAGCCGAGATTGCGCCACTGCACTCCAGCCTGGGTGATAGAGCTAGACTCCATCTCAAAAATAAAAATAAAAATAAAAATAAATGCATGCATACATACATACATAAATCCATAGAAATTTTGACCCTTATCTCTCCTCCCTCAGTTGAGTGCAGTGTTAGTTGGCTTCCCTGACTCCAGTCACAACTCCTCCAACTGACTAATGGAAAAGGCTGCCAAATTACGATCTCTAAAGTTAATTCTGGGAGGAGGAACAGTGGTCACGCCTGTAATCCCAGAACTTTGGGAGGCTGAGGCAGGAGGATCACTTAAGGCCAGGAGTTCAAGACTAGCCTGTACGATGCTGTCTCTACAAAAAAATTTAAAAATTAGCCTCGCATGGTGGTGCACGCCTTTAGTCCTAGCTACTCAGGAGGCTGAGACAGGAGGATTGCTTGAGCCCAGGAGTTCAAGGCTGCAGTGTATTATCATGGCACCACTTTGCTCTAGCTGGGTAACAGAGTGATATATATTATATAAATATATATATATAATATAATATAATATAATCCTGATCATGTCCCTCCTTCCCAAAAATCTTCAGCCACATTGAGTACAAACTCTCAGGCAGGATTTGAGCTCAACCTCCTTTTTGAAGATCCTCCATTCCTCTGCCTCCTTCCTGGGTCTCAGGCCAGGGGTTTTCAAACCCGTCCACAGAGCTTGTGTTCACTGGGGGAGCAGGGAGCAGCTGAGCACCTGTGGGTAGACAAGGCATGAGGCTCTAGCACCTGCTCCCATCATAGCAGCTCTGATTTGATTTCACACATTTCAGGTAAGATTTCATTAAAAAAAAAAGGTTCTGTTGCTTAAAAACAAACATTTGAAATGAACTATCTTAGTCCAACAGGATGGCACATCTCAGTCAAGGACTCTCAAATCTGTTTGCTTCTCTTTTATTTACTTCAACTGATGTTTATTGATCACTTGCTATGTCCCAGGCACTGGGGATAAGACAGACTGCCCCTCCCTAGAAGGCTTACAGTTCAGAGGAGTGATGATGAATATTTGAATAAATTAAGGAACAATATCTTTCCCTTTCTTTCCCCTCACACGTCTTTTGTGGTTAATCTCAGATGCCATGGACTTTATAAATCTTTTGATCTGCCTTTCCTACTGACCAGAAGAACTCCCTTCTCCATATAAAATTTTGTGTGTGGAGGATGTTGGTTGTTTTTCCTGTTCATTTTCCATTCTCTCACCTTCTGGTGGTAGTGGTTGGAACATTCTTTGGGGAACAACCCTCCCCCACCTTCTCCCTCCCAGTTCACTGGGTTCTGGTTAGTCTCCAGGAGTGGGCAAGTGACCCCAAGCCTGGCCAGCTGGCACCTAGAACCTCCTTAGCCACAGCAATTGGTTCAGATCTGGCCACCGTCTGACTCCAATGATTGGTTTGGGATGGATGAATGATCACAAATGTCTCACAGCGAATCCCAGACGTGTAGGAGCCTCAGGAAACAGATGCTCTCTTTTCAGCTGAATTTAAGCCTGAAAAGATATAGACCCAGAATTTTGGGCAGCAATTTCGTTACACTGTGGAGAGTGAAGCCAACGTGGAGGAAAGTAGAGCCAAGTGATGGGAAGAGACTGGATATTCCTGACACTCAATGAGTGGGTTAAGCCACATCTAAAGCTTGACCCCTGGCTCATTTGTTTGTATTGGCTCAGTTCCAGGAGCCGATGCATTTCCCCTTTTGCTTTAGTACTTTTCAGTCAGCTTTTCCAAAAGAATGTTGAAATGATTTGCCATAGCAAAACATTTCTAATCTGGACTCTCTAAGAGCTCAAGACTGGTATGTCTCTGGGTCCAGCCAGCCTGCCATGTAGGAGTCTCACCCTTTCTCAAGTTCTGTGTTCTGAAGCCTTCAGGAGATCTGTTTATGTGTGATCAGCAAGTTAATCCTTTGCCATTTCCTTCTCTTCCACTGGGCTTTCCCCAGAGGGGGCAAGAAGGGAACCCTGTTTTTTGTTTGTTTGTTTGTTTGTTTGAGACAGAGTCTCGCTCTGTCGCCCAGGCTGGAGTGCAGTGGCACGATCTCGGCTCAGTGCAAGCTCCGCCTCCCAGGTTCAGGGCATTCTCCTGCCTCAGCCTCCTGAGTAGCTGGGACTACAGGCGCCCGCCACCATGCCCGGCTAATTTTTTTGTATATTTAGTAGAGACGGGTTTTCACCGTGTTAGCCAGGATGGTTTCGATCTCCTGACCTCGTGATCTGCCCCCCTTGGTCTCCCAAAGTGCTGGGATTACAGGCGTGAGCCACCGCGCCTAGCGGGAACCCTGTTTTTATGGAAGCAGGGAGTGGTAAGTCCAGCCGGGCAAGTCCAGCCATCCAGCAAAGCAGCTGATTATATCTATATCTATCTATATCTATATCTATATCTATATCTATATCTATATCTATATCTATATCTATATCTATATCTATCTATATCTATATCTATCTATAGATAGATAATATTGGCCAGGCGTGGGCCACGCCTGAAATCCCAGCACTTTGGGAGACCAAGGCGGGTGTATCGCCTGAGGTCAAGAGTTTGAGACCAGCCTTACCAACATGGTGTAACCCCATCTCTACTAAAAATACAAAAATTAGCCAGATATGGTGGCAGACGCCTGTAATCCCAGCTACTCCGGAGGCTGAGGCAGGAGAATCGATTGAACCCAGGAGGCAGAGGTTGCAGTGAGTCGAGATCATGCCATTGCACTCCAGCCTGGGTGACAGAGTGAGACTCTGTCTTAAAAAAAAAAAATTAAAATAAATAAATAAATAAATAAATAAAAATAAAAAATTATACATATTTGTAATGCTTTTTAAGAGATGGGGTCCCACTATGTTGCCCAGGCTGGACTTGAACTTTCGGGCTCAAGCAATCCTCCCACCTTAGCCTCCCGAGTAGCTGGGACTACAGGTGTGCACCACCATGCCAGGCCAATTTGTGTGTGTGTGTGCGTGTGTGTGTGTGTTTTGTTGAGACAGGGTTTCATGTTGCCCAGGCTGGTCTCCAACTCCTGAGCTCAAGAGCGATCAGTCCCCCTTGGCCTCCCAAAGTGCTAGGATTACAGGCTTGAGCCACTGCACCCAGCCATCTTTTTTTTAGACGTAGTTTCGCTCTTGTTTCCAAGGGTGGAGTGCAATGGTGGGGTCTCAGCTCACCACAACCTCTGCTTCCCGGGTTTAAGCGATTCTCCTGCCTCAGCCTCTCAAGTAGTTGGGATTACCGGCATGTGCCACCATGGCCGGCTAAATTTTGTATTTTTAGTAGAGATGGGGTTTCTCCATGTTGGTCAGGCTGGTCTCGAACTCCCAACCTCAGGTGATCCACCCTCCTAGGCCTCCCAAAGTGCTGCGATTACAGGCGTGAGCCACCGCGCGCAGCTGCTCTTTATGACTGCAAATATGGGGCACTTGCCTTGTGCCAGGCACTATGCTGGGCATTTTACCCTCATTCTTATAGGTAATCCTCATAGCAACTTGAGGAGTGGAGATAATTACAGTATTCCCACTGAACAAATGAGAAAACTGAAGCTCAGAAAGGCCAGTGACTGGACCAAGTTAATGATTGCACGGTTAGTTAGTGACAGAGCTGGGGTTTCACGACGTGTTTAAGCACCGCCCCATCAGTTGTGGCCACTAGGCTTAGGCGGATAGCCTCGCAGAGGAGCCTAGGTGGGGAGGGGGACGAAGAAGGAACATTTGGGACTGTGGGATGTTGAAATGGTCTCTTCGGAGGCTGCCGGGATTGAAACTGGGCAAGGTCCCAGGGCCCGAGTAGAGCCAGAGCGTGCTACGCGGCGATCCCTGAGCCACGGGGTTTTCAGCGCCCGGGAAGCCAGGCTTGCCAGGTTGGGGCGGCTGGCGGGGCAGGGCTTCTCGGTCCGTCCCAAGTCCAGGTAGGCGCTCGCGACCCGCGCGGGCAGGGAGAACGCGCTCCCACAGTGCTCGCGAGGTGCAGTGCGCCCCTGGGGGCTCCGGGGCCGTCGGGCCAGGTCGGCTTGGCGCCCAGGGACTGGCCGGACGGGCTGGGCCTTTGGCGGGGGTGGAAGAGGAGGTTGCCGCGCCCTGCCCGGCCCAGGTGTCGTCTCCGGGGGCGGGGTTTGGAGCCCCGCAGCGGGAGATTCCCGGCCGGACTGGCGGACGAGCGTCGAGAGACAGAAGCCGAGGAGAGGAGGCTAAGCCGGGCGGCGCGGGGAGCGCACTGAGCAGGCAAAGTCGCAGGGCCGCCAGCATGTTCTCCCGAAACCACCGGAGCCGGGTCACCGTGGCCAGGGGCTCCGCCCTGGAGATGGAGTTCAAACGCGGCCGCTTCCGACTCAGCCTCTTCAGCGACCTGCCCGAGGTGAGAGACTCGCGTCCCTGCCTTCCCCTTCCGCGGCTCCCGGGGGCAGCCCCAGCCACCTCGGCCTCCTTCCCTCGCCCGCGTGCACGCCGAGGGGCGGAGACGCACGGTCTGGGTACAAACCCGACGGAGTTGTTGACTTAAAAAGTAAGGTGTGGACGGTCTGCATTTTCATCGGATCCATGCTGCCCATTCCGCGGCCTGGTTAGGATTATCTGCCTGAGCCTGGAAAAAGCCCGGGTTGGTCTCAATTTGTAGGGCCCCAGCTCGACTCCTAAAATGTGCCTGAACCCCAAAATGTCTTGGGCATCCCCGGGCCAAGGGCGGTGGGCAGCTAGGCGGGCCCCAAGCGCTCGGACTCTTGGCCTGGGCTCCCGCTTGTTCCCCAGTCGCCAGCCCCATCCCACAACCTGTCGCAGCCATCTGGGCCAGCCTCTGTCATCAACCCCGACTTTAGGCCGGGGCCGCTCGCTTCCCCGAAGCCCAATTCAAAGGCTCCTCTATGCCCCTGCAGGGCTTTTAACTCCTTGGGGTTACTTCCCACACGCAAAATTTCCGCCTCCTTTTCTGGGGCCTAAGAGGAGTCCAGCCCCTAGGCTGAGCGTTTCCCCCGTCCGCCGTCCACGCGTTAACCTGTTGGATCCCCACCTGTAACGCCCTAAGGGCTAGGGCGGGGCTGAAGGTGTGTGGTTGAGCGGGGACTGAGAGGGCGAATAGCTACCCCGAAGACTCTTCTGTCCCCAAGGTCAGACTCACACTCGCCCAAGGAGAGCCCAGTTCCAAGCCTTCCCTTCCGGGTCTGGAAAGGGTTAAGTGAGGTGGGCCTTCCTTCCGCCCCCTCTACCTCCCGGCTGGGATTCCAGGCCTGGCTTCTGCCCTTTCCCTCCAGCCTGCCCAGAACAAAGAGGCTCTTTCACACCCTTGTCCCGGCGTCCCGGGCCTTCTCTGACTCAGAAGCTAGTGGACCTGGGGAGAGGGGGCCTTTGTCGCGTCCCCTTGCCCCCAAGCGACTGGGCCCGAGGAACCCGCGTGGGGCCAGCGTGGGGGAGTAAGGGGCGAGGCCCGGGACCAGGGGGAGGGGCCTGTGAGCTGGGGCCGCCCCTGGGATTAGCCCGGCCTTCGGGGACAGCTCGGAGGAGCTGGGGCGGAGCCGCAGGGCCTGGCGGCCGCCGAGTGAAGTGTGACTCCGTGGGCCTGGCGTGGAGGCGGGGGCGCTAGGCTGCAGCTGGCTCGGAATCGGGGCTGGTTTCCTGTCTGGAAGGGAAGGGGCCTGCAGAAGGGAGCGGGGACAGCAGCAGACAGGCACACCCCTGCCTTCCTCTCTCCCTCTCCTCCCTTCTCTGGAAAAGCGAGGTAATTGTGAGCCCAGGGTGGAGCGGGCTGGATGGGGGCCCTGAGTTGGAAGGGGTGGCCCTAGGGCTGGGCTGCTTTGCCAACTCACCCCTTTGTCCCATTCCCTGGGCTCACTCTCCCCTGAGGTCCTCACCTGTGTGGCTCTTTTTCCCAACTTTCTCAAACTAAGCTGGAACCCCTCTCGGGAAGCTCCAACCTCCTGCAAACCCCATGACTCTAGAACCTGCATGAGGCGTCGTTTCCCTGCCCCCTTCCAGTTGTGCCTGCCCCTCACTGCCCTCTCCGCACACAGATTCCCTGTCCACCAGGCCAGGGATGTGGGCGGGGGCTGGGGAGCGGCCAGAGTCGGAATGAAAGGGCCTTTTTCTTCCACAGCTGGGAGAACAGCTGCCACCAAAGCGAGACTGGACACTCTGTGCCTAGAGCCCCCTCTGCAGCTGGCCTTTCCTCCTGGGACCCCACTTATCCTCACTTCGCTTTCTTTTTCTTCCCTGCCTGGCTCCCGGCAGGGCCCCGGAGCAGCAGTGGGCGAGGAAAATTTGTCACAGCAGCCAGAGGGGTTTAACAGGAGTGCAGAGGGATAAGGGCAGCTTCTGCCCTCTGCCCAAGAGCTGGCCACCTCTTTAAAGACTGAGGGAACAGTGGGAGGAGGAACTGTGGGACAGTGTGGTACCTATCTGTCCCCCCTCTGGAGGGGTTGACAAGGGAAAGGGCACCGGGGGGCACAGAGATGCAGGACAGATTGCACATCCTGGAGGACCTGAATATGCTCTACATTCGGCAGATGGCACTCAGCCTGGAGGTAATCCCCCGACCCTTGGAGTACACACCTCCTTCACTTGCATCCCAGCCCCAATCTCTGCCCTGCCCATTCCTGCTACAGCATGGTGGGGAGAGCCAGGCCTGCTTAAAGTGGGAAGAGGGACAGGTGGTTCCCTATGCCTTGTGTTGGGTGCAGTGTGTGGACCCAGGCTCAGTTCTGCCCATCATAGTCTTATGTTTGCAGCAGGGTCTTTACACCTATTTCAGGAAGCTCTGTGGGTGAGTGTAAATGTCTGTTCTGGGGACAAGGGTTCCTTTTAGGCATGGGAAGAAGAGAGGAGTTCAATGTGAGAGAGGTTTACAGAAAGGATGTAGCCTTGCTAGAGAAGAGAAGGACTCTGGGCTATGAGTAAGGATTCTGCTGGCCCTTGAGACAGCAAGGTGCTGTTTATTCGTGTATTTGTTTTTTTCAATTCTTTACAGAGACGAGGTCTCACTATATTGCCCAGGCTGGTCCTGGCTCAAGTGATCTCCCTACCTCGACCTCCCAAAATGCCGAGATTACAGGCGTGAGCCACTGCACCTTGCGCTATGTATTATTAAACACATGTAAATTTTATGTACTATCTGCCAAGCTCTTTTCGACCATAGGATACCTCAGTGAATAAGACAAGAAAGTTCCATTGTAGTGGGAGAACAGAAATATACATACGAACACATAAATAATATCACATAAAGAAATTATGATGAAAATGGGGATGTAATGAAAATCAGATGAGGGAGGCAATGTTAGATGTGGAGGTCAGGGGAAGCCTCTGTTGGGAGATCTTTGAGCTAAGCCCAGGAGGATTTGGAGATATGTGAAGACTGGAGGAAGGGCAAAGGCCCTGATATGAGGATGAGGGTAATATATTTGTGGGAAAGAGAGAGCCAGTGTGGCTGGAATATAGTAGTTGGGGTGGAGCTGATGGGCAGGGGCCAGATCATGCAGGGCCTTGAAGGCCATGATAAGGCACCTGGATTTCACCTTAAGTGTGATGTTGGGCCATGGAAGGGTTTTAAGCAAGGGAATGACTCATGCCATGTTTTTAAATGATGGCTGCTATGGAGAATAGGCTGGTGGGAAGTTGAGGGTAGGGTTGGGGGTGGAGGGTTGGCAAGAGAGTTCGCAAATGTCCACCAGGTGGGAGGCTGTTTCACTCCCACTTCAGGTGGGAGTGAACCTGGTGGTGTGAATTAAAATGCTCATGGTGGAGAAAGGGAGTAGATTTCAAATGGTGGTGGTAGGTCTGACAGGATTTGCTGATGGATTGGATGGGAGGGCAAAGAAAGAGAACTCCAGGATGATTCCCAGGTATGTGGCTAAGCAACTGGGTGGTGTGGCTGTTTACGGAGATGGGGAAGATGGAGGAAGTTGTGGAAGTGACTGCCTGGACCAGGCAGGGGCTGCTGCTGAGAGGTCAGAGGCAGGACTGCAAAGAGTCTAGATCAGGAATGGCAGGATATTGTATGTGCTGTCCCCCCTCAAGCCCTGCCCCCACTCCCTGGATCATAGTAGATGTTACTGGTCAATTTTGGCACTCTTTATCAACGAGCCCAGACCTGGCCTCAGAATCTTTCTCAGGACCGTCTTGGCATAAACTGTGCAGGTTGTGTCCTTCACACAGGTGCCAGCCAGAGGTGAGAGTCCTGGTCTGGTTTCAGCGGCATCAGGAGGGAGCACGTTTATCTAATTTGTTTGCCTGGAGAGGGTCAGCTTTTTCTAATTTGTGGAAAGGTGTCCAGTGAACTCGTTGGGACTCTACCTAATTATCCTCCATCAGTGCATGAGATAAAACCTATTTGCCATTCATAGTCCTCTGCACTGTCCACATCAGTTACATATGGCTATTTAAATCTTACTTTTAGTTCATTAAAATAAAACAAAACATTAATTCCTTAGTTGCTGTAGCCATATTTCAAGTGCTAGATGGCTACTGAACATTTCCATCACCGCAGAAGGTTTTATTGGACAGAGCTGGTCTAGGTATGTAAATGTTTAAATTCTGCATCCTACCCTCCTCCAAAAAATGTAAATTTTCTCTGTGGAAGGCCTGTTCAAGTTCTGGGGCAGAGGAGATGCTTAGTTTCACTTTGGTCACTCTCCTTTAGGAGAGTGGCTGAGGGTGCTGTGTTCTTTCTCAACCAAGTTCAGCAGGTCCTCAAAAGAGAGACCCATTGATGTTTCAGGGAATGGCAAAAGAGATAGTCGTGGAAGAGTAAATCCAAGAAGACTTTCTGGAGGAAGTGACTCAAGTTGCAAGTAAAGGGGGCTTATTTTAAAATATGTGCTAGGCCCAGGTAGAGATGAGACTTTCCCATATAATTCTCAAACAATGCTACGAAGGAGGTGGAATACTCCCCATTTTACAAACTCAGGTTCCAGGGGTCAAATTCTGTGGGCTTGTCAAGTCCCTAAACCAGGATTTGTACTTAGCCCTGGTGGAGATTCTGAAGGGAAAAAAGGGTAGTGAGAAGCAGAGCAGGAAGTCAGAGACTTAAGAGAGTGGGAGGGGTGGAAGGGATATCAACAGGGGGCCTAATGTGTGTGGGGCCCATGACTCATCCTCTAGCCCCTTGGGATCTGACCCGGGTCCAGCTGACACCCAGCTCTGCGCTCTTTCCCAGGGGAAATGCTGCCCGCTTGGGGAGAGGGTGTGTTTGGGTGGGGAGGGGGCAACAAGGAACTATCCCTGGGTTGGGGAAACGCTAGAAGCACAAGGGTCCAGATCCTGAGCCAGGATTCCCAGTTCCTCTGCCTGAAAGGGTGGGAGCCAGTTTCCTAGGGCGCTCCCGGCCTTGGGCCTTGGGAGAGTGGATTTGGGGCTGGAGATCAGTAGGGAAATAGAGGAGGTGTCTGGACTCGTGGTCCCACTCATCCATGCTGGGCCCAGTGACCTCCCTAGGGCCCCAGCTCTCCCAATTTATACACTATTCGCCCTCCATACTCTCAGGCAAGGGGTCACCTTGGAGGGCAAACGCTACGCGGGAGGGGCCTCCCGGAGCTGGAGCACGTCGTGAAGGCCAGGAGCCTTTTCCAGGGCGGCGCGGGCGCACTCCTGGAGGTCCGGTCCCGCCGCGATGGAGTCTCGGTGGAGGCACCGCCTTGAGCCAAGCCCAGCCAGGTGCCCGGAGGGACCTCCAGCGCCCTGGTACCCCTCAGTTGCTCTCGCGGCAATTGGGAGCTGATGTCACCGGCGTCCTGAGCGCTGCAGCTGGAGGCGGTGCAGCTATGCTGGCGCCCTGGCTCCTCCGATTTCCCGCGGCCCTCGGACCCAGCCGGCTCCCCAGGCCAGTGCAGCTCTCTGGACCTCGCGCGCCTCTGCGCGCCTCTCGCAATGGAGCGGGCTGGGGAAGGATCCGTGAGTGCTGGGACTGGGATGAGACTAGCCAAGATGGGGGTTGAGGACACCTCCGTGTCCCCCTCCTGCCAGGCTCACCCATTTGGGATGTTTGTGGCTGAAGCTGGGTGCAGACTGGGGTGGGGGTTGTCGGGCAGCGCAGAACCCTGGTGCAGACAAAACTAGACTGGGAGGACCTATGTAGTCTGAAAGGGCTTCCTGGTGAGGGGCTTTGGGAAAGGGTTGGCTTATTACAGAAGGAAAACGGGTGGATGGTGATGGGGGAAGGTGATAAAAGTCCGGCCTAGCACAGTGGCCCAGAAAATAGCCAAGGAAGCATCTGTAGGCAGGCAGGACAAGGCTTTTTAGAAGAGGGAATTTAGGGTGTTCGGGTCTGAGAGACTTGAAGGCTGGAGCCACTAGGGACAGATGCAAGGGCACAGTGTATGGAGGAGAGCTGGTGTGAGGAAAAAGACAGGTTTGGAGTGGTCACATTAGTTCCCCTGTTTCAAATGGATGGCTCGACTTGTCTCCTGAACCAATCTGTACACTGTGATAGAGTTAGTCTTCCAACTCCTCTCTGAAGCTTTCCTTGATCACCTCAGCCAGAAGCAAACAGAGGCTGTTTCTTGTGAGCATGGTTGTGCCATGACATGGCACTTATGGAGCAGCCATTAAAGTCATCATCTCTCACCTCCCAGCTGGATTTTAAATGTACAACCTTGGACAGTACAGGGATGCTCCAGTGTTGACTGAGTAAATGCTGCTACCACCAAAGTATAGCGTCATTAAAATAAGCATCCCTGCCATTAATGTATACCACATGCTGGGCACTGTGCTAAGTGCTTTAAGTTCCTGCCTCACAGAATTCTCACAGCCCTAGGACTATTTCCATTCCTGATTTACAGATGGGGAAACTGAGGCTTAGGGAGGTTGAGCAAATTGCCCATTGCTTTTTAAGAAGCAGGACCTCCAGGGCTCCTTTCTAAATGAATGTTCCTGAGAATCCTGGTGTCTCTTCCAGGGCCTCTCAGCTGGCCCTTATCCACAGTCCCTCATTCCTGGACCACCTACCTTCCCATCCCCATTCCTTGCCTCTGACCTCATCTCCCAAGCTCAGAGGGCCGGTAGGTGGTGATTCTCTTAATTTGGGGTGTATAGGTTTCTGTGCAGCGTCAGTGAACACTGTAGGTGGTATGCTCCTTGTCCACTGATCCCTTGCCAACTAGATGTCCCTGGCATCACTTGAGTCTGAGGGATAACTCTCATTTGCCTTTCCTTCTGTCCATTCCCATGAGTTGGTGGTTCTCAACCTGGGTGTACCTCAGAATCACTTGGGGAGTTTTCCAAAAGTACATATGCCCCACTCCTAGAGATTCTTATTCTGCAAATCTTAGGTAGGGCCTGATCATTTTTTTTTAAACTCCAAAGATCTAATATTTTTTAAAGGAAATACAATTTCCAGTAGTACAAAGGGTATATATAAAGTATCATTAGGCTGGGCGCAGTGGCTCAAGCCTGTAATCCCGCACTTTGGGAGGCCGAGGTGGGAGGATCACTTGAGGCCAGGAGTTCGAGACTAGTCTGGCCAACATGGCGAAACCCTGTCTCTACTAAGAATACAAAAGTTAGGCCAGGCATGGTGTCTCACACCTGCAATCCCAGCACTTTGGGAGGCCAAGGCGGGTGGATCACCTGAGGTCGGGAGTTTGAGACCAGCCTGGCCAACATGGTGCAACCCCGTCTCTACTAAAAATACAAAAATTAGCTGGGTGTGGTGGCTCACACCTGTAATCCCAGCTACTCCGGAGGCTAGGCAGAAGAATTGCTTGAACCTGGGAGGCGGAGTTTGCAGTGAGCCGAGATCATGCCACTTCACTCCAGCCTGGGCAACAGAGTAAGACTCGGTCTCAAAAAAAAAAAAAAAAAAGAATACAAAACTTACTCGGGCGTGGTGGCACATGCCTGTAATCTCAGCTACTCAGGAGGCTGAGGCACAAGAATCACTTGAACCTGGAAGGTGGAAGTTGCAGTGAGCTGAGATCGCGCCACTGTACTCCAGCTTGGGTGACAGAGTGAGACTCGGTCTCAAAAAAAAAAAAGTATCATAAATGTTTTCCATCCCTGGCTCCCAGGCCTACAATCACTAATATTTTATGCATAAACATGCATATCTATATCTATGTATATATATGCATGCATACATATATATATATCATGCACAAATGGTAGTATGTGCAATACTACCCTTCTTTTCTCACATCATTTATTTTGGAGATTGTTTCATATCTGCATACATGTGCATATCTCTTTCCTTAATGTCTGCAATACTACAGGGTACAGATGTACTGTTACTTATTTAACCAATGTCCTACTGAAGGGGTTTTAATTTTGGTGTTTAAAACAATGCCACAATGAGGCCGGGCGCGGTGGCTCACGCCTGTAATCCCAGCACTTTGGGAGGCCGAGGTGGGCGGATCACAAGGTCAGGAGATCGAGACCATCCCGGTTAACACTGTGAAACCCCGTCTCTACTAAAAATACAAAAAAACAATTAGCCGGATGTGGTGGCGGGCGCCTGTAGTCCCAGCTACTTGGGAGGCTGAGGCAGGAGAATGGCATGAACCCCAGGAGGTGGAGCTTGCAGTGAACTGAGATCGTACCACTGCACTCCAGCTTGGGCAACAGAGCGAGACTCCGTCTCAAAAAAAAAAAAAAATGCCGCACTGAATATTTTTGTATGTATGGCTTTACCTAGATATATGTGAAATTATATGTGTAAGATAAACTGCTAGGTATTGGATAGCTGAATTAAAGGATATATGAATTTGTAGTTTTCATAGATTTTTTTCCAAATTGCACTCAAAAGAGGCTGAAGGAATTTATACTTCCAACCATCAAATGCATGAGGGCATCTCTATTTTTCTTATTTGTTTTATATATATATATATATGTTTTTTTTTTTTTTGAGCCAGAGTCTTGCTCTGTCGTCCAGGCTGGGGTGCAGTGGTGCAGTCTCGGCTCACTGCAAGCTCCGCCTCCCGGGTTCATGCCATTCTCCTGCCTCAGCCTCCCAAGTAGCTGGGACTACAGGCGCCCGCCACCACGCCCTGCTAATTTTTTGTATTTTTAGTAGAGACGGGGTTTCACCGTGTTAGCCGGGATGGTCTCGATCTCCTGGCCTTGTGATCCGCCTGCCTCTGCCTCCCAAAGTGCTGGGATTACAGGCGTGAGCCACCGTGCCCGGCTGTTATATATTTTTTTAGAGGTGGGGTCTCACTATGTTGCCCAGGCTGGCCTTGATCTCCTAGGCTCAAGGGATCCTCCCACCTCAGCCTCCCTCACACACCACTGCACCTGGCTACAAAGCTTCTCTGGTTATTCGTGGGCAGCTGAGATTGAGACCCAATGCCTGCTCTTGAACTGCCTAAAACATTAGTTTCTTGTCAGTTTTACTGGCCACAGCCCACCTGGGGACTGGGGAGTGCTTTAGCCTGTCCACTGACTGACATTTCCTTCTCACCCTTCCCCCAACCCTGGCTAGGACACGGAGTTGCAGAGGAAGCTAGACCATGAGATCCGGATGAGGGAAGGGGCCTGTAAGCTGCTGGCAGCCTGCTCCCAGCGAGAGCAGGCTCTGGAGGCCACCAAGAGCCTGCTAGTGTGCAACAGCCGCATCCTCAGCTACATGGGCGAGCTGCAGCGGCGCAAGGAGGCGCAGGTGCTGGGGAAGACAAGCCGGCGGTGAGCAAGGGGGAGACGAGGCCTCGATGGAGGCAGGAGGCCTTCTGGGTGGTGGTGGTGCAGCATGTGCGTGTGTGGCATGTGGACCACCTTAAAGATGACTTCCCCATGAAGTCTTATCAGGGACCTGGGAGAGACCTTGGTGTTTTACCACCACTGTGTGTTGCCCAGAGGCGCATTTGTGAGTAGCCAGGGCAGGACTTAGAAAAGTCGGTGTGTCTGGTGAAAGGTAGCTGATCTGAAGGGTAGCAAGTAATGCAAAAGCACTAATTTGCTAAGCCCTGTCTGTGATCCAGTAAGACTGGCTATCTGGCTTTTGGAAAATTAATTTCCTCAACGCTGGTTCACAAAATCACCAATTTACCACATACTGACAATAGTTTGTTATATCTGGGGTTCACCTTCAGAGGCAGGGAGTGGGAAAGGAAATAAGAAACCACTTAAGGAAAGCCTACCCATTCAAACAAATTAGATTGTGCATTCTAAAAGGGCTCAGCTTCTGGATGTAAAATGTAAGCAACACTGACATTAGACTGTTGATCTGACAAGTCTATAATGACTTAAGTGATGCCATGATAAAACCAAAATATTGGGGAAAATATTTGGCAAATTATTCTAAGAATATGCCAATTTGGATAAAGTGGTCATTTGGAGAACTGGTTTTTAGGAAAGTGGCCTACTTACTCCACTGAGGCTGCTAGGGGAAATAGTCCCAGCCCCTCACAGGTATGGTGCCCATTCCAGCCATGAAGGCTGACACAAGAGGAGGTTGCCAGGAGCTCACCCATGAAGCTACCAGAAGAAGGCAGAAAACCCACTGTATGGCTATCCCATGAAGCTAGAGGAAGGGCAAGCTGGTGGGGGGACAGCCTCTGAGAGGCAGCATGGACAGACTCTGTCCTGCCAAAGTCCTCACACAGCCCACACAGGTGATTTGAGGTACACCCCAAGTGCCTGGCAGCTAAACACATTGCCATTAGTGCCACATCATTTAGCTTAAGGCTCTACTAAGTCAGTAATTACTTTAGTGGCATTATGAGTAAGTACAGATGAACTGGCAGTCGCTTCAGGAAAGGGACACATGGTGAGTCCTGATGATGGGCAGGGAGGGAAGGAAGGTGGGGTGTCGGGCCCTGCAGTGGGGTGTGGGGGAGCTGCAGAACTTGGGGCACTAGTAGGGTACACCATATCAGGCCAGGAGGAAAAAGGAGAAATCAAAGTTGGGGAGTGGTAGGGAAGGAAAAGGGTCTGTAGTGAATGGAACGTAACTCTTCCCTATTGGTGATTTTCCTTTGAACAAATGTTGGCCAAATTATTTTCTGACCCAGTACCCTCCTATATCAAAGAAGTGATGGGATGGTGGGAAATAAGCAGCTTTCCTATTGTTAAAAAAAAAAAAAATAAAGACTGGAGACCCCTCTAAGCCAGGGGTTTAATGGAGAGCCCTGGAAATGAAGTCTTTCTGTGGGCACCTGTCCCCTCAAGGCTGCACCTGTCCTTGGCAGGGATCTGGAGAGGTGGTCAGGGAGGTTGCTTGGAGAGAGGAGCCCTGAGCTTGTGCCTTATGTGTGAGTTAATGTGGCTTGAGTGTCCCTGGTGTCCCCAAGCCTGGCAAACTGCTGGGTTCAATGAACAACTTTCCCTTATAGTCCCTCAGCCCTGCCTGTCGGCCTGGCTGGGAACCTGGTGGCTGAGGCGCTGGGATCAGGGGGATCCTAGAGTCGTTGGGACCAGAGCAAGGGGGAATAGTGGCTAGAGGCCAGGCCAGGACATTGTGATTTATCCACAGGCCTTCTGACAGTGGCCCGCCCGCTGAGCGCTCCCCCTGCCGCGGCCGGGTCTGCATCTCTGGTAAGAAGCACAGCTACCCCAGCTGCTGGTACCCCTTGCCCAAGCACACGGCCTCCTGCCCCATCTCAACATCTATTCTTACCCCTCTGCCCCTTAGACCTCCGGATTCCACTCATGTGGAAGGACACAGAATATTTCAAGAACAAAGGTGGTGAGTTCCACACACCCTGGGACAAATTCAGGGGAATGACCCTGAAGTAGGAGGCTCTCGTGGGACGTGTTTTTTGTTTTGCCCTTTGTCCCCAGACTTGCACCGCTGGGCTGTGTTCCTGCTGCTGCAGCTGGGGGAACACATCCAGGACACAGAGATGATCCTAGTGGACAGGACCCTCACAGACATCTCCTTTCAGAGCAATGTGCTCTTGTGAGTACCTCACACTGTGGCTACCTCCTTCCTCCACTCTGCTCCAGTTCTGGATGAGCGAGTTCCAGGGGAGGAAGCTGGGATGGGGGCAGGGTGGAGAGGAGGGGCACCTGGCCTTCTCTGTGGAGCTGTCCTGCACTTGCCTCACCCACATCCCCTACCCTCTGCCTCCCTGGACTTTCCTGTGACCACCCTCCTTTCTTCCTCCCACCAGCGCTGAGGCGGGGCCAGACTTTGAACTGCGGTTAGAGCTGTATGGGGCCTGTGTGGAAGAAGAGGGGGCCCTGACTGGCGGCCCCAAGAGGCTTGCCACCAAACTCAGCAGCTCCCTGGGCCGCTCCTCAGGGAGGCGTGTCCGGGCATCGCTGGACAGTGCTGGGGGTTCAGGGAGCAGTCCCATCTTGCTCCCCACCCCAGTTGTTGGGTAAGGCCTTGCACACCGACACCACCCTCAGCTGCCTGTATTCTGCCCACAGGTGACCTTTGAACTGTGTTGAGTGTGCAGAACCCATTTTGCATTGCTGCCAGGATGTGCAGACAGATATGAATGAGCAGTGGCCACGTAGCTGGGAGGCATTCCAGCCCACGCCCCAGAGCTGGGCTGAAGCCAGTCCAGAAGACCAGTGGGAAGGCAGGGAGACTTAGGCCCTGGGGTCTTACCTTTTTAGCAGCAGCAAATACATTTTATTTTTAGAGACAGGGTCTCACTATGTTGCCCAGGCTAGTCTCGAACTCCTGGGCTCAAGTGATCCTCCCGCCTCGGCCTCCCAAAGTGGTAGGATTACAGGCGTGAGCCACAGCACTCAGCCTAGCAAATACATTTTATGTGGATAGAGCAGAGCTTCTTGGTTGGAGCAGAGTACCCTGGGACCTATGGTGGTACCTAAATGCACCTGGAGACACCGCATGGGACCACTGAGACTCTGAGAAGCAGTTTGAGAACCTTTGGGTAGTGAACAGAATACTGATTTTGGACATAGATATGGGTTCAAATTCAAACTCCCCCACTTTCCACCTATAAATTATGGGCAAGTTTCTTAACCTCTCTAAGCCTCAAGCTGCCTCATCTAGTTGAAGAATGCCACCAACCTCACAGGGCTGTCATAGGAATACAGTGGGATAAAACATATAAAGCATACGTCCTGACACTTAGCTGGAGCTCGGTAAATGTTCATTCCTAACCCTCTGGGGAGGCAAGCGAGTTTTCTGTGGGGCAGTCTGAACAATGGGGCAGATCTGCTCAGCCCTTAGAGTTCCTGCTGGCCAACATGCCCCTCCCTTGGCTGATGCTCTCTCCTATCTCCCTCAGTGGTCCTCGTTACCACCTCTTGGCTCACACCACACTCACCCTGGCAGCAGTGCAAGATGGATTCCGCACACATGACCTCACCCTTGCCAGTCATGGTAAGTATGTGTGTGCATGGGGGACATACACATGTGATGGTGAGAAGAGGGGCTGTGGGATGGTCCCCTTCTCATTCCCCTACCTCACCCTGCACTTCCTCCTCCCCCAGAGGAGAACCCTGCCTGGCTGCCCCTTTATGGTAGCGTGTGTTGCCGTCTGGCAGCTCAGCCTCTCTGCATGACTCAGCCCACTGCAAGTGGTACCCTCAGGGTGCAGGTGAGGGGGCCCTGAGGAGTGGAAGGGAGCAGGGAGAAGGCAGAGGAGAGCTGGATAACCAGGAATAGAAGAGCTAATGAAAAATCAAGATTTGGGTGGAAGAAATGGGGTATGGCCAGACGAGGGGAGGAATGGACAGCAGGGTGGACAAAACGAACAGGTTCTCATGGGGGGCTGAGAAGAGGGATACTGGGGGCCGTGACTTCCCCAGAAAATGTTGAGTCATTTGTGCAGCAAGCTGGGGAGATGCAGAACTGGGCACAAGTGCATGGAGTTCTGAAAGGCACAAACCTCTTCTGTTACCGGCAACCTGAGGATGCAGACACTGGGGAAGAGCCGCTGCTTACTATTGCTGTCAACAAGGTGATGGGTCCCTTGGTAGTAAGGCCACCAAGGGCACAGGCCCAGGAGCCTCTCCTTCAGGCCCCAGGAGGGTGGGCACATACCTCAGAGAGATAGAAGCAGGCCTCCTGCTCCTGACAGTGCCACATCCAGCTTCAGGGGCCCGTATTTTCCCCAACTACAGCATCACTGTGAGAGGATCGTCCCATTCACTTGCCATCCTCAGTCCCTGCCAAATCTCAGAGAGGGTTCTCTCGCCTGCAGGTTCAGGGCTTTTCATCCTCTCTCCCTCTTCTCCCTCAGATTCCAATTTATATCTACTTTACCACTTCCCATTTCTCTCCAGGTCCAATTGCCCTTCTTTGCTCCCTATCCCTTTTATGGGCTTTCCTGCCTACTTTTTGTCAGTTCTGAGGGACCTCTGGCTGGAGCATCCTTGCCTACCTTTGTGTCTTCCCTGCCTTGCTCAATCCCTTTTTCCCTGTCTCAAGCTGCTCCTCCTCCCCTGACTCAGGACTGGCTGTCTCATCCCCAGCCCTTTTTTGCCATTCCTTCCTACTCTGGTCAGTAGGAGGCAAATGAGAGGGCTCAGCAAAAGCCCCACAAGCTCATTCTTCTAAGGCAGGCGTGATCAAGGCTGCCTGATTGTCACTGCCAACTTCTGTGACCAAGGTAGACCTCTTCTTTCTCCTGCAGGAGACTCGAGTCCGGGCAGGGGAGCTGGACCAGGCTCTAGGACGGCCCTTCACCCTAAGCATCAGTAACCAGTATGGGGATGATGAGGTGACACACACCCTTCAGACAGAAAGTCGGGAAGCACTGCAGAGCTGGATGGAGGCTCTGTGGCAGCTTTTCTTTGACATGAGTAAGAGAGAAGGGGGCTGGGTTGAACCTTTGGGAAGAACTGGAGTTTGTCATTTTTACTAAAGGCCTCTGTTTCAAGATTATGTGGAAGGGAATGTAGCAGGAGAAAGGGCAGCCTGGCTCTCTCTTTTAATCAGCGCTCTTCTTCCAGGCCAATGGAAGCAGTGCTGTGATGAAATCATGAAAATTGAAACTCCTGCTCCCCGGAAACCACCCCAAGCACTGGCAAAGCAGGGGTCCTTGTACCATGAGATGGGTAAGTGAGAGGAATGTGAACTCCAGGAAGCTAATGGGAAGTAGGGTTGGGGACTTCAAGAGAAACCAGATAATGGAAACAGAGAGAAAGCACACTCTGGGCTACACCAGATCTCTGGGGACCCAAGTCTCACCCAATCTTGTGTGTTCTTTTCTCCTCTCCAACTCTTTTTAGAACCACCTCCACCAAAGTTCAAAACAAAACCCCAGTGAGCCAGGATCATTTCATTAATTTCTTTCCTAATTTCTTCTTTTCTGTTTCCCTTTCTGCATGTGGATTCCTGTCTCTTCTTCTGACCCCTCACTTGCCTGGCACCGCTTTCATTTTCTCCTCTTGGTTTCTTCACCCACCTCTGCTCCCCACTCCTCCCCTTCCCATCCCCATCTACCTTGTGCCCCATGTCCCACAGTCTTATCAGAGCCTGTAGCCCCAGGGGGCCCAGGTGAGGGGCTGCTCCTGCAGGATAACGCAATCTCCACTGAGATCCAGGCTTTGCTTTCCTCCTATTACAGTGACAGGTGATAGGGCTGGGTAGGCTTGGGGCCTGAGCTCTGACTAGCCCAACCCTCCCCCAACCCCTTCCTGGTGCCACAGCTATTGAGCCGCTGGATGACATCGCAGCGGTGACAGACATCCTGACCCAGCGGGAGGGCGCAAGGCTGGAGACACCCCCACCCTGGCTGGCAATGTTTACAGACCAGCCTGCCCTGCCTAACCCCTGCTCGCCTGCCTCAGTGGCCCCAGCCCCAGACTGGACCCACCCCCTGCCCTGGGGGAGACCCCGAACCTTTTCCCTGGATGCTGTCCCCCCAGACCACTCCCCTAGGGCTCGCTCGGTTGCCCCCCTCCCACCTCAGCGATCCCCACGGACCAGAGGCCTCTGCAGCAAAGGCCAACCTCGCACTTGGCTCCAGTCACCAGTGTGAGAGAGAAAGGTGCTGGCATAGGATCTGCCCAGAAGAGAAAATGACCCATGCGCAGTTGGGCTCTGGATACGGCGCTGTCTATAGCAAGTTGGCCAGTCTGGCCTCCTGTTCCTCTGCTGGACCTGGGGTAGGCTGCAGGGGTGGGCAGAAGCCCCTCTTAAATTGTGGTTGCCATGGTACCGAGGGACTCATTCCTGGGGCTCGCTGGGACCTCCCTAAACCCTTCCTGGAAGAAAACTGGAACCAACTCTGCCCTACCTCCCTGCACTAACCAGCTTTGAGGATGGCACTGAAGAACCCTTGGAGCAAACATACCTCCCTTGTGACTCCCACATCAACCATTAAAGTTATTTAACAGCAGCCTTCACCTGGCTCCTGAGGACAGGGTGCCTCTCTCTGCCTGGTCTAGACCTGCCTCACATCATCCCTGGAGCATAGTTCACCAGCTGTGAAACATGACTGTGATACTGAGTAATCAGACAAAGGCTGGGTGGAGCGGGTACTTTATGAATACCACAGGGACAAAGGAAGGCTGCTCTTCTCACACACTGCTGAATCTCCGGATCTCCGCAAGGTCATAGCCAGTCACAGCAAAGGAGTTGCCTGAGGAATCACAAAATCGAGCACCACACAGCTGGGTGTCGGCGACACACTCACCATGACAGTGTTCCACCTGGGGGAGCAGAGGGCTCGTCAGGGCCTGCTGCCCCATGCTTGGGCCCCCCCATTCCACCCACCCCATGACACATACCTCAATGTAGCCACTCTCTGGGTTTCTGCTCAGCTTCCAGATATGCACAAAGGTGTCCTCACCTGCAGAGAGTAGCTGTGGAGGAGGAAGAGGGGGAGTCAGAATGCCCTGACGGGACAGCTATAAGCTGGAATCCCCAGTCCAGGTGCCCCAGGGGAGGGGGCTACACTGAGTTGCAAAGACAAGCCTGTGGTGTTCTCTCAACATTCCACTGCCAGGAAAAAGGGTATGTAGGTACAGAGGAGGAGACTTACCTTGCCCACCTCAGAAGCCAGGTCCAGGGCGCAGATGGCCCGGGCATGGGCATTGATCTGGACATGTAGATTTCCTGTAGTGGCCTCATATAGATGCACTTGTCCGTTCCCATAGCCTGCTGCTATGATCCCCTGCCACAGCTGCACAGAGGGGCACGGAACTCTGCAAGGGTGACACCCAACTTTGTTTTGCCCAGATCAAATCCTACTCCCCAGCCTGAAGCTATCTCAGGAAGCCCTCTACCCTTTCTGCCTCACCTACCCAAATCCTGGAATGCGGGTCAATAATGTGAATTCTGGCCCTGACCGCCAGACACACAGCAAGCCTGAGTCATCTGCCGTCACCATGTCAGCCACACAATCCTGAAGGGAAAGGCAAGATCAACCCTTCCCTTTCTCCCCTGCTATGGTCCTGTATACAGGGCAGGAGGGGAAGGGAGGCAGTGTGTGCATCTTTGCCTCTCCAGGGAAAGGGCAAGGTGTGGAGCTCTCACTAGCTAGACCCATCAGAAACCACCCCTACCACCAGGGTTCCCTTGGGAAGCATGAACTGCTTTCCTTGAATTTCTTCATGGAGTCCCATCCCCCAATAACATTAGGAGGGGGTGCATAATTGCCTCACTGGATGGATGATAAAACTGAGGCCACAGTGTCGTGACCTTCTGGAGGTCTCGTAGTGAACCAGTCACAGTCATGACTAGACCCTGGGCCCCTGCACCCCCAACACCAGGCAGCCAACACAACCTATGGGCCTAGCCCTATGCCAGGTACAATGGAGAATATGAATAAGAAAATATACACCCTGTTCTCAAGAGGTTTGCAAATTACTTGGGGAGACAAGAGTTGTCTTTTGAGGGCAGTGCCAATTCAGGTTTCAGCTAAGAGACATCAGTGGGAGCTAGAATATGGGGAAGGCTTCCTGGAGAGGATGGATGGCACTGGAGCTGGGCCTGAATAGGTGGGACTTGCCCTAGAGAAGGAAGCTGCACATTTCAGAGCTGGAAAGTATCTTAGAAACCATTTGTTCCAACTCCTCATTTCACATCAGTATTATAAAGTCTTAATTAACTATAAAATACTACATAAATGTAAAGTATCTCTGGCTTTATCACTGAACCTGGTTGCTGAAGACTAGGAAAATGTAGATTTGCCCAAAGCCATCCACCTGTTTAGTGGCAGAGCCAAGACTCAAAGCCAGGTCCCCTGCCTCCCAGGGTGGGGAAGGCTCCCAGATGGGTAGGGGAAGTCCACTCACCTGTCCCTGGGCAGGCTCGGTGGCAATGTCTGTGATTGGCATCTGGTGCCCAGCCAGCTCCTCGCTCAGTACAATGTTGGGACCCTTTGCTGGGATGTCAAACACCAGCACCCGGCCTGACCACGTTCCTGTATCCAGAACCAGTACTCCAGTGATGACTTCCTGACCCTCCTGGGTCTCCAGCCACCATACTCAACACTTACTCCATCCCAGAAACCTTAGTAACAAAACCCCCTCTCACTGCTCCAACGGCCATGCCCCTTCATTCACTAGCCTTGTCTTATCCCACCCTGACCCTCTGAACCCTTCCATGGTTTACTGGAGTCTCTGATTCCACTCCACTTCCACCCTTCCCTCTAACTTTCCACAATTTCCTCAGGCCCTCATTATTCTCCTGGCCACAGCCCACATGCCCCAGCACCCCTCCATGCCCTGCACTTGGCTCCCTCACCCACACAGATGAAGTGGCCACTGGCAGCAATTCCCCGGGCAAACACAGCCTGTACTGAATATGAAAGGGGAGAATGATCAGAAATATCCCCTCCTGCAGCCCTAGCAAACACTCCCTGCCCCCACCCCACTTGGTCCTGCAGGTACCTGGGGAGGCATCTCCAGAGTCCAGTGCATGCCAGTAGACCATGGTGTAGCCATTGGACTCGTACATCTGGAAGACCGGGGCAAGAACCAGGGGGCATAACCCAACTGACCTCTGCTGAGTACTTCACATATCCGTGTTAGCCTTAGCCCATTTAATCCTCAAAACAAATCTGGGATGTAGGTACTATTTTTATCCTAATTTTTTCAGAGGACAACAGTGAGAGTGAGAAGTTAATAGTGTAAGGACATACAGCTAGTAAAGGGGCAGATACTGGAGGTGGCACTTGGAAACTGGAAAAGATGGAAAGATTGAAGATAAGAAATAGAAAAAGAGTGAGTGGGCCAAGCATGTGAAAAGTCTGGAAGTGTTTAGAGGCAAGTGGGAAAGTCTGGAAGCCTGGCAGGGAAGCTGAGAAGGCTCTGGTGGGGCAAGCAGGAGAGTCCTCTTCTTACCTGTATTCCTCGATGTGAGGTGAGTACCAGCAGCACTCGGAAGGGGAGGACACACCAGTGGACCTGGAGGGAGGTGCATCAGTGTAGGGAGAAAATCAAAGCAGGGAAGATGAGTTTGTTTGTTTTTTTTTTTTTTTTGGGGGACGGAGTCTTGCTCTGTGGCCCAGGCTGGAGTGCAGTGGCGCCATCTCGGCTCACTGCAACCTCAGCCTCCTGGGTTCAAGCGATTCTCCTGCCTCAGCCACCCAAGTAGCTGGGATTACAGGTGCACGCCACCACACCCGGTTAATTTTTTTTGTATTCTTAGTAGAGAAGAGGTTTCACCATGTTGGCCAGGCTGGTCTCGAACTCCTGGCCTCAAGTGCCCGTCTCAGCCTCCCAAAGTGTTGGGATTACAGGCGTGAGCCACCGCGCCCGGCAGGAGAGGGGAGATTCTGAGGTTAGGACATGCCTGGGGAGATTCTGAGGTTAGGACATGCCTGCTCCTGAAGGTTTGGAGAGAAAAGGCTGGGGGTAGGACTGGGTTCAGCAACATCACTCCCAGCTCCATGCCTCACCTGAGTGATAAGTGGGGGACTCACTCCAGCACCCTCCTTAGCGTGGAGCTGGCGCTGGGCCAAGGGCACACCCTCAGGAGCAGCGCTGAGAAGCTGGGCGCTTGGTCCATGAACCACGCCAAAATACGTGAGGTTGCGAGCCGGCAGCTGCAGCACACTGAGGTTGTTGCACAGGGCGGCGGCCGAGCCTCGCAGGGGAATGGAGCGCTCCCAGCGGAACATCCTGTGTGGGGGTGCAGCCGAATCACCAGGCGCGCTACAAACAGACGCAGCGGAGATGCCCGAGGGCGGCTATCATCGAGCATTTCGGAAGATGCCTGAGACTGGGTCATAGGATGGGGTGCCCAGAGGACGGTGATGGGGGAGGGTCTCGAGGAGCAAGACAGGGGAGTCCCAGGGCTGTTTTGGGGCGACGGGGGAATCGCAGAGGAGGAATGGGGATGACACAGGACCACCCGATGGCCCCAAGCCCGCGAGCCAAATAAGTGTGATGAAGCCCCCAAGGCTTTCTCCCTCGGCTCGGATCCCTGAAGCCCCCGGCCTAGATCAGAGGTAACACCTGCAGCCCCAGATCGGCTCGCCTGACTCCTGGTTCGTAGGGTCCCTCCAAATCCGCCGCCACCATAGAGACGACGCACGTACGCACGGCCCTTGGGCGGGGTGAGCGGCCGGAACGTGCCGCGGGCGGCGCGGTTGCCGGGGCAACTGTGGGCGGGGCGAGCGACCCCGAGCCCGTGGTTGCCCAGGCGACTGTTAGGTGGCTTACGCGGCCCGGATGCAGCAGAAACACCAGCGTTGCTGCGACCGCGTTGGCGATGGCGCACGAAGGCTCGGTGAGCTTCAGTTCAGCTGGGGATGCGCCAGAGCCAGGGTCGGCCGTTAAGGTCGGTGTCGGGAACAGTGGGCTGGCTCTGGGCCGCCCAGTGCCCCTACTTGCTCCCGCCCACCGCGCGGGAGTTTAGATGACCAAGGAAGCCACGTCGGTACTCGGGCAGAAAACCTACACCTGCACGGTGCCCACTCAAACGCTTTGTTACACTCAAGCCATGAGGGAAAGGGTCAGTGGGTGGTGTAGAGCCCGAGAACAGGAAGTGGATTTTGAAACAGCTAATGAATGTAGTAAGTCTCTTACATGGTGGTGCGTATTTAAATGGATGAGCATTTAGAGAGGGAAGATAACAGAAAAAATCTATTTCGAGAATTTCAAGAGGAAGAAATATATTAAATAATTCAGAGACTGCACTTGAAAGTCAAATTGTTTAAGAGCCAATCAATTTTAAAATAAAGAAAACGGGGCCGGTCTCAATGGCTCATGCCTGTAATCCCAGCACTTTGAGAGGCTGAGGCGGGAGGATTGCCTGAGCTCAGGAGTTCAAGACCAGCCAGGCCAACATGGCGAGACCCCGTCTCGACTAAAATACAAAAAATTAGCTGGATGTGGTGGCGCGGTGCCTGTAATCCCAGCTACTCGGGAGGCAGAGGCAGGAGAATTGCTTGAACTCGGGAGGCGGAGGTTGCAGTGAGCCGAGATCGCGCCACTGCGCTCTAGCCTGGGTGACAGAGAGAGACTGTCTCAAAAAAAAAAAAAAAAAAAAAAAAAAAAGAAGAAGAAGAAAGAAAACGGATTTGAAGAGCCTTTGTGCAAAAATATCTCTGTCCCTTCTGGTCACCATCACGGGTGTCAGATGCGAGGCTGGGAGGGGAGGTCTAAGGAAACAACTCTCTTTACTCAGTCCAGTCAGCCCTGCTCTAGTCAAGCTTGGCCTGGGCTATGGGCCACTCCTGGTGCTTGCTACAGGGCTGTTCTCACTGGTGGATAGGGTTAATGAGACTTCAGGGATTTTGAGTTCTGCAAGACTTAGGAAACAGCAGATTTGGGGGGATAATGAATTTTAGGAAACAGATATGAGACAAGGTTTTAGCGGGGCAATAGGCAAAGGTTTGGGAAGATCACATTTGGAAGTACATTTTGGAAGGAACCAGGTTCAGGGAGACTGTTGTGGGGAATTGAGGGAGCTCCCAAGAGATTGTTTGTAAACTTTTTATGTCTCTAAAGTGAGTTTTGGGGACTAGTCTTTTTTTTTTTTTAAGTGATTACAAAAGGAAACAAACTCATTGTAGAGAACTTACAAAATAGAAAAGAGCATAGGAAGGAAACGTATCCTCTGTTATCATTTTGAAGTTTTCCTTTTGTTGAACACATAGTGGTTTACATATATGAGATCATAATTGATGTGTAAGTTTGTATCCTGCTTCTTTCAATTAACGTTACATCATAAACATTTGCTTTATGCCATTGCAAATTCTTTCTAAAGATTACCTTTAATGGCTGGGTTGGTGGCTCATGCCTGCAAGGTGGGCAGATCACTTGAGGCCAGTTCAAGACCAGTCTGGCCAACATGGCGAAACCCCATCTCTACTAAAAATAGAAAAAAAATTAGCCAGGCCTGGTGGCAGGCGCCTGTAATCCCAGCTACTCCGGAGGCTGAGGCAGGAGAATTGCTTGAACCTGGGAGGCAGAGGTTGCAGTGAGCCGAGATCTTGCCACTGCACTCCAGCCTGGGTGACAGAGCGAGATTCCGTCTCAAAAACAAAAACAAACAAACAAAAAAAGATTACCTTTAATCATTGCATAATATTTCAGTATATATAGCATGTCAATTATTTATTCTCTTTTTAAAGACATGTTTTCAATATTCTGCTATTATAAAAATACCGCAGAGAATTTGTTGGAGAATATATTTTTATCTTCATTTCAGAAAATGCCTTTTGGTTGTATTTATAGAACTGAAATTGCAGGGTTGAGGAAGTGAAAACATTTTTTAATGTCTTCATGCATACTGTTGCAGCATGGTATCACACTAAACCTTTGCCAATGCTGAGTATTCTTGTTTTTAAAATAATTCCAATTTGATGAACTAGAAATCAGAATGTCAATACTATATTTATTAGTCATCTACAGTCCCTCTCTTGTGAAATGTCATGTCCTTTGCTTATCTTTGGGATCTTAAATGGTTTTTCTTCTTATAGTTTAAATTTTTATTGCAATATAGCCCAAGCTGGACTTGAACTCCTGGGCTCAAGCAATCCCCCTGCCTCAGCCTCCCGAGCAGCTGGTACTGTGGGTGTGCGCCACTGTGCCTGGCCATTTTTCTTCTTCTATTTTTTATTTTATTAGTTTTTTTTTTCTTTTTTGAGACAGAGTCTCGCTCTGTCACCCAGGCTGGAGTTCAGTAGCATGATCTCAGCTCACTGCAAACTCTGCCTCCCGGGTTCAAGTGATTCTCGTGCCTCAGCCTCCCTAGTAGCTGGAATTACAGGCGCCCACCACCATGCCTGGCTAATTTTTGTATTATTAGTAGAGACGGGGTTTCACCATGTTGGCTAGGCTGGTCTCGAACTCCTGACCTCAAATGATCCACCCACCTCGGCCTCCCAAAGTGCTGGGATTACAGGCGTGAGCCACTGCGCCCGGCCATTTTTTTTTTTATATGAGCTTTTAATTTACTCGGGGATATTTATCTTTTTTCATATTTGTTGCAAATGTCTTTGAGAGGCTCTGGAGTCAGACAGACTTGCATGTGAATGCATTCTGACTTCACTACATCCTACTTGTATGATACTGGGTAAATTACCATAAAATGGAGATAAGAATAGTTGGTTAAAAAAAAAAAATGTAGAGAACTTTTTAAGCTCCCCTGAGCCGGGGCTGTGCTCTTCTAAGTGGGACTCCGAGCCTGGGCTATTTCTGGCGCTGGCGCGGCTCCAGGAAGGCATCCGCATTTGCGACCAGGGGCGGCTGCGGTGGAGACTGGCCTGTCCTCAGCGCCCAGCACCGCTGCTCCCGGCAAACCGGAGCATGCACCGCAGGCCAGCGGCCGAGTTCGCCCATCCCAGCCATCACTTTTCCAACTAGTCCTTAGAGAAGGGAAGATGAGCGAGTCGAGCTCGAAGTCCAGCCAGCCCTTGGCCTCCAAGCAGAAAAAGGACGGCACTGAGAAGCGGGGCCGTGGCAGGCCGCGCAAGCAGCCTCCGGTGAGTCCCAGGACAGCGCTGGTAGGGAGTCAGAAGGAGCTCAGCGAAGTGCCAACACCTAAGAGACCTCGGGGCCGACCAAAGGGAAGCAAAAACAAGGGTGCTGCCAAGACCGGGAAAACCACCACAACTCTGGGAAGGAAACCAAGGGGAAGACCCAAAAAACTGGAGAAGGAGGAAGAGAAGGGCATCTCGCAGGAGTCCTCACTGGAGGAGCAGCTTCCTTCTGGGACTGGACAGCTTTGATCTGCTCCCAACCCCCCACCTCCCACCCCCCACCCCTTCCCTACACCCACCATCACCACCGCCTCCAGCCACCACCCTCATCTTCCACCTGCACCTTCACCACCACACTACACAACACACCAGCCGCTGCAGGTCCCTATGGGCTGAGTGGAGAGGACTTTTCCCCTGGCCTCTTCCCATCCCTACCCCCTCCTCCCCCCGTCCACCCACTCATACACATGTGCCCTCCTGGACAAGGCTAATGTCCTGCTTAGCCGCACCCTGCACCTGCTGCGTCCCTGATCCCTTGGTGGTGACATTGCTCTCTGGGCTTTTGGTTTGGGAGCCACTTCTCTGCTCCTCCACTGTTGCCTCTGGCTTCCCATAGAGGGGCCTGGGAGGGTTCCCCTGGTCTTAAAAGGGGCCCAAGCCCCCATTCTGGCACACCCCACTCCACTGTCCTGGCAGCAGCAGGTGTGGCCAATGGAGGGGGGTGCTGGCCCCCAGGATTCCCCCAGCCAAACTGTCTTTGTCACCACGTGAGGCTCACACCTTTCATCCTTCCCCACCTTCCCTAGTCCCTGCACTAGGTTGGACAGCCCCCATTGGCTACAGGAAAGCGGGAGGGGTGTGAGTCCCCTACTCCCTCTTTGCAGTGGCCCCAGCCCCCTTACCGTCTGCCTGGGATCTGAGTACATATTGCAGTGATGGAGATGCAGTCACCTATTGTCCAGGTGAGGCCCATGAGCCCTGTGGCAGCTACCTGAGGTGGGCTGGGGCTGCTCCCCCAACCCTACTTTGCTTCTACCACTTGGCCATTTTCCTCTCCTCAGATGGGGCACCAATAACAAGGAGCTCACCCTTCCCACTCCCAGCCCTCCTGCTCCTGCCACCCCCCCAGGTTCTGGTTCCATTTTTCCTTTGTTCACAAACTACCTCTGGACAGTTGTTTTGTTTTTGGTTCAATGTTCCATTCTTTGACATCTGTCATTGCTGCTGCTAGCAGCGCCAAATGTTCATCCACATTGCCTCCTGTTCTGCCCATGATCCCCTCCCCCAGGTTACTCTTCGTGGAGAAGAGGGGCTGGGGCATGGCAGGCTGGGTGACTGACTACTCCCCTAGGATGCTGCAGCAGAGAGAGCAAGGGGGCCCAAATCCACCATAAAGCATGTAGGGGCCACCTGCTCCCCCGGGTCTGTCAGGGAGGGGTAGCCATGATTTGTCCCAGCCTGGGGCTCCCCCTCTGGTTTCCTATTTGCAATTACTTGAATTAAAAAAAAAAAATCCTTTTCTGGAAAACAAAATGTAGAGAAGACTCTAAATAGCACCAATAATTCCAGGACTGTTTACTGAATTGTCTTTCTCAAGTAATTTGAACACTCAAGAATTTTGAACACTTTGCTCTGGTATAAGGGCCATGAAGTTAAACCTTCACATTGTCTGGGCTTGCTCACTGTGTGCTCCTAAGCAAGGCTGGTTAACTTCTGTCAGACTTCGGTTTCTTTTTTCTTTCTTTTTCTTTTTCTTTTTTTTTTTTTTTTTTTTTTTTGAGACGCAGTCTTGCTCTGTCGCCAGGCTGGGGTGCAGTGGCGCAGTCTCTGCTCACTGCAACCTCCATCTCCCGGGTTCAAGTGACTCTCCTTCCTCAGCCTCCCCACTTCAGTTTCTTTATCTGTCAATTGTGGTTAGTGGGCTGTTAATGAAAATTATTAGGTCAAACATCTACTAAGTATCTGTCACATAGTAGGCTCTTCGTCAATTGGCCCTTTTCCTTCCCACTAGACAACTTGAGAAAGCTTCCTCCTAGCCTATAGCTACTCTTCCGTTCCACTTCTTGGTTTCCTGCTCTGATTGCCATGTTTTGTTCTCACAGAGGCAGGAGAGGCAGGTCCGAGACCGCGGGGTGACCCGGTCCAAGGCGGAAAAAGTGCGGCCGCCCACTGTGCCAGTGCCGCAGGTGGATATTGTGCCTGGGCGGCTCAGTGAGGCCGAGTGGATGGCGCTTACAGCCCTCGAGGAGGGCGAGGACGTCGTAGGGGACATCTTGGCCGACTTGCTGGCTCGAGTCATGGACTCTGCTTTCAAAGTCTACCTGACTCAGCAGGTGGGCCGGGATCCGGGTCCTTCAGACTCGTCTCCCTCTCCCGCCCCTCCCTGCCGACCTGAGATCCTCTCTCGCCTCCGCAGTGCATTCCATTCACCATCAGCCAGGCCCGGGAGGCCATGCTGCAGATCACCGAGTGGCGCTTCCTGGCCCGGGACGAGGGAGAATCTGCAGTAGCTGAGGACCCCACATGGGGTGAGGACGAGGAGCCTTCGGCATGCACGACGGACTCCTGGGCTCAGGGTTCAGTGCCCGTGCTGCACGCGTCCACCTCGGAGGGCCTGGAGAACTTCCAAGGCGAAGTACACTCCTCAGGAGCCTCTCCGGACTCCTCTGCCATTGCTCCTGCTCTCCCCTTTCCGACATCTCACTGCCCGAGTGCATTTCCCCAGGACCCTGGGGGCGTGGACCGGATCCCTTTAGGAAGGTCGTGGATGGGTCGAGGCTCCCAGGAGCAGATGGAATCTTGGGAGCCTTCTCCGCAGCTGAGAGTCACGTCGGCCCCTCCTCCCACATCAGAGCTGTTTCAGGAGGCAGGGCCCGGAGGTCCTGTAGAGGAAGCGGACGGCCAGTCTAGAGGCCTCTCCTCGGCCGGGTCCTTGAGCGCGAGCTTCCAACTGTCGGTGGAGGAGGCGCCTGCCGACGATGCCGACCCTTCTCTGGATCCGTACCTGGTAGCCAGCCCCCAGGCCTCAACTGGGAGGGGACACCCCCTCGGCTTCCATTTGTCGTTGGAAGACCTCTACTGTTGCATGCCTCAACTGGACGCGGCTGGGGATCGGCTGGAACTCAGGTCAGAGGGGGTGCCCTGCATCGCCTCGGGCGTGTTGGTGTCCTACCCCTCTGTGGGCGGCGCCACCCGCCCCTCCGCGTCCTGCCAGCAGCAGCGGGCCGGGCACTCGGATGTGCGGCTGAGCGCCCACCACCACAGGATGCGCCGCAAGGCGGCCGTGAAACGCCTGGACCCTGCGAGGCTCCCGTGCCACTGGGTGCGCCCTCTGGCTGAGGTCCTGGTCCCAGACTCTCAAACACGCCCCTTGGAAGCCTACCGCGGACGCCAGCGGGGCGAGAAGACCAAGGCCCGGGCCGAACCCCAAGCCCTCGGCCCCGGCACCCGTGTCTCCCCGGCAGCGTTCTTCCCTCTCCGGCCAGGCATTCCTTTCCGTGACTTGGACTCGGGCCCCGCACTCCTGTTCCCCACTTTAAATTTAGGCCTATCGTCGCCATCCCTCGAGTCAAAGCTGCCACTCCCAAACTCCAGGATCCGCTTCCTCACCACACACCCGGTGCTCCCTGATGTGGCCCGCAGCCGCAGCCCCAAGCTGTGGCCCAGTGTCAGGTGGCCCAGCGGTTGGGAGGGGAAGGCCGAGCTGCTGGGCGAGCTGTGGGCTGGCCGGACCCGCGTGCCTCCACAGGGTCTGGAGCTGGCAGACAGGGAGGGCCAGGATCCTGGCAGATGGCCTCGAACCACACCCCCGGTCCTTGAAGCCACTTCCCAGGTGATGTGGAAGCCCGTGTTGCTGCCAGAAGCCCTGAAGCTGGCCCCTGGTGTGAGCATGTGGAACCGGAGCACCCAGGTGTTGCTCAGCTCTGGTGTGCCTGAACAAGAGGACAAAGAAGGTAGCACCTTTCCTCCCGTTGAGCAACATCCCATCCAGACAGGTGCCCCAAAGCCCAGGTGACCGTAGCACAGCTAATGAAGAACTCAGCCCCCAAAGTGTGGTCACGCTCCTCTAAGCCTGCTGCCTCCCTCTGATCCCTGAGCCTCTGGCAGTAGTAACTGGTCCCTCCCTCTGCTAGCCAGAAATAAACACCTGAGTTGCCTTAGGAACTAGTCTGATGTCTCTTGTCAGTTTCTTCCAAGGGTGTCCACCCTCTCACTGAACCCCAAGGGGAGCAGTTATCCTGCAGGCCTAGAAGAAGATAGAACCAGGGTTCAGGAAATAACCCTCTCGCCACCCTTAGGAGACCCTGCATTAGGGCCAAAGCTGCCCCATTGCAGAGGCATTCTAGAGAAACCCCTGTCCCCCAAAGGAGTAGACATAAGGGCTGCCAGCGGGTCTGGCTCTGTAGAGAGAACTTCGAGTCTCCTTTCAGTAGGGGAGGAAGGAGAAGGCCCCGCATAAGCACAGAGTGATTCGAGATATGAAGAACTTGATTTCTTGCTTCCCTGGTCCCTGGAGCTTGGTCACTTCACCTTAGACTGCAAATCCAAATTTCACTTTTGAAGTTAAGGAGGAACTCTCAAACTCAAACAGTATATTGAACAAACTCAAGAGTCAGTGCCTCCTTAAATTTTATCTTAGGCTCCACACCTGCCTCATTGCTAGTCTCCACTCTGCCCAGATTTATCCTGCACCCACTTCCTCCTACAGCATTTCCCCAGCAGGCCCAGGAAGTTTCTGCTATGTTGCTGTGGGCTGCACTCAGCATCCTGGTCTGGGGCGCTGGCTCTGTCTTCCTTATTCTGGTCTTCTTCAACTACATGTGCAGCTCTGGCAGAAGTCTCATCCCTGGGACCTCCAGTGCTGCTCCACAGATCTGACTGGGAAAATAGCCATAGTGACTGGGGCCAACAGTGGTGAGTGCTCCTCCCACCCTGAATCCTCACTATGGGCCTCAGCCTCCAACAACTCTCACAGGGAAGGCAGGGAGGAGCATCCACTATCAACACCCTTGTCCCTCCCCTAGAGTGTCCCTTGTTCACTGTAGTCACCACCCAGCCGAAGTTGTCCTCCCACAGGCATCGGGAAGGTTGTATCCCAGGACCTAGCTCGGTGTGGGGCCCAAGTGATCCTTACTTGTCAGAGCAGGGAATGTGGACAGCAAGCCCTGGCTGAGATCCAAGCAGCCTCAAACAGCAACCGCCTCCTGCTTGGCGAGGTGGACCTTAGCTCCATGACCTCTATTCGGAGCTTTGCCCGGAGGCTTCTACAGGAGAATCCTGAGATACATCTGCTGGTAAACAATGCTGGAGTCAGTGGTATGTGCCTGGCTTGCTTCTCCAAACATGTTTCTGCAGTCTCCTTTCTAGCTCAGGAACTCTAAAACAGGTATCCTCAAAGCCTAGTCTATGCAATCTTGCCAAAACACTAATCCATACCCTCCCCTAAAAAGCTGACATTGAGTTATAGCCTTAAACTTCATTGCCCCCATCTTCACATGTATGTGCCCCTGTGGCATTTCTGCTGAAGGTAATATGTCCCTCCCAGACCTTGTCTCCCTCAAGGTGGTCCCTTTATCACTCAATGCCAGTGTTTTCATTTCCTCCCAGGATTCCGAAGACACTTACCCCAGGGGGCCTGGATCTCACCTTTGTCACTAACTATGTTGGGCCCTTTCTGCTCACAAATCTACTCCAAGGTAAGGAAGGATGGGCACCTTCTGTGCTGCCCTCTTCCCTATACCCCTGGCATTCTAGTAACTGTCTCCCAGGACCACCTCTTGCCTCTTGGCACCCAGCTGTTTGCTGAGTGGTGACCCAACACACTTTTTGTGTCACACATCAGGGAAGCCCAGCTGGCACAAGTCAGTATTAGAAGGCTGATAGAAGAATCATTCAGCCCAAAATATAATCAGCAAGGGGATATGAGATCCCAGACCTCCTTCTCCCATCCCCTAGTTCTAGCCAGACCAGTAGAGTAGTTTTTGCAATGAAGGCTTCTTGAGGGGGACACTAGGCACCAGAAACAGAGAAAGCAAGAAGACTCAGTTTCTGTTCTCAGGGTCGGCCAGAGGTGTAGGCCATACAGATGATACAGTTGATACATTACTGCCTTGGGCCTAAGTCCTTTGAAGAGGCCCTTTCTGATTGAGAAAGTTTGGCTCCTCCAGGGAAAGTTTCGGGGAGTGGGTGGCAGGAACATTCTCTCTGACATTTTCTCCTAGATTGTATAATAGCCCCTTTATTATTATTATTATTTTTTAATTACTCATCCCCTTGCAATGTGATAGCCTCCTTAAAAGAAAAGCAATTTTTCTTTTGGTCAGGTAATACATATCCAAAGTACAAAATTGAAAGTGTACAAAAGGATACAGAGGGTTTTTTTTTTTAAACTATTTTTCTCTTCTGGTACATAAGCCACCTGTTCCCCTCCTGAGAGGCAACTACTGTTGCCGGAGTCTCACGTATCCTTTAGCAGTCAACTAAATTAATCCCAATTGGAAAGTGAACAAAGGCAAAACTCTATGCACCTGCAAGTATGATTGTTTTTGTCCCTTTCCACAAATTGTAACATGTCACGACACTATCTGCATCTTGCTTAGTGACAGTTTCTTAAACTTCTTTCCTGTCTCATCTTCTCTAATCTATTCTCCCCACTGCCACATCGAGTAATCACCTTTCATCATGACACTTTCTTGCTTAAAATCCTTTGAAGGTAACCTCTCCTTTGTAGGATGAACTCTAAGCCCCTTCTCTACACTTAGAAGGCTGTGTGCTAGGCTGGGTGCAGTAGCTCATGCCTGTAATCCCAGCACTTTGAGAGGCTGAGGTGGGCAAATCACCTGAGGTTGGGAGTTTGAGACCGGCCTGATCAACATGGAGAAACCCCGTCTCTACTAAAAATACAAAATTAGCTGGGCGTGGTGGTGCATGCCTGTAATCCTAGCTACTCGGGAGGCTGAGGCAGGAGAATTGCTTGAACCCGAGAGGTGGAGGTTTCAGTGAGCCAAGACCGCGCCATTGCACTCCAGCCTGGGCAACAAGAGTGAAACTCTGTCTCAAAAAAAAAAAAAAAACCCTCTGCTGACTAAGAGCCTTGCCTTTTGCCCTTCCTTAACCCACCTCCTAGTCTCCAGCCAGACAATCTGCAGCTCTTGGACCACGGTCTGTTTTTTTTCACCCTCTGGCTGTGTTTTTGCACATACGGTTCCTTCTATCTGGAATATCCTTTCTCATCATGTTGGCCTGGCTAACTTTAGTTCACCTGCCAAGACGCAGCACAGATATCACCTCTGCTGTGGATCTTTCCCCAACCTTCACCTCCCCCAGTCACCCCTATTTATGGGGCTCCATTAGCCCCCTTGTACATATCTCTGTGACTGCACTGATGTTGCTCTGTGAGGATCAGTCTCTCCAACTGAGCAGAGAACACTTTTGGTCTCTATGTCACTGTCTGCAAATTTAAAGTCCATTGTCTTCTTTAAGAATAATTTTCTTTCCAGCAAATTTTGGCTAAATACCACCTGCTCAGTTTCTCATTTGTAATTTGTAATTTTTAAATTTTATTTTGTATTAATTTTTTTTTCTGGGGAGAGAAGGAGCAGTGCTGGAAGCAGTCCATGCAGCAGGCTGGCCTCCCACTGAGTGAGTCTTAATTTCAAAATAGTTTTAGCATTTTAAAAACAATACTGTAAACTCATATGTGACAACAACTATTTTTTATACTTTACATAATCCAGACTTTTTTTTTTTTTTTTTTTTTTTTGGAGACGGAGTTTCGCTCTTGTTTACCAGGTTGGAGTACAGTGGCGCGATCTCGGCTCACTGCAACCTCCGCCTCTTGGGTTCAAGCGATTCTCCTGCTTCACCCTCCCGAGTAGCTGGGATTACAGGTGCCCAACACCATGCCTGGCTAATTTTTTGTATTTTTGCTAGATACGGGGTTTTGCCATGTTGGGCAGGCTGGTCTCAAACTCCTGACCTCAGGCCTCCCACCTTGGCCTCAAACTCTCGCCTTGGCCTCCCAAAGTGCTGGGATTACAGGCATCAGCCACCACACCCAGCCAATCCAGACTTTTTTGTATACTTATTGATATGGTTTGGCTCTGTGTCCCCACCCAAATCTCATCTCCAGCTGTAATCCCCATATGTAGAGGGAGGGACCTGGTGGGAAGTGATTGGGTCATGGGGGCAGTTCCCCCGTGCTGTTCTTGTGATATTGAGAGAGATCTCACAAGATTTGATGGTTTTAAAAGTGGCAGTTTTGACCTGGTGCGGTGGCTCACGCCTGTAATCCCAGCACTTTGGGAGGCCGAGGTGGGTGGATCACGAGGTCAGGAGATGGAGACCATCCTGGCTAACACGGTGAAACCCCGTTTCTACTAAAAATACAAAAAAAAAAATTAGCCAGGCGTGGTGGCGGGCGCTTGTAGTCCCAGCTACTCGGGAGGCTGAGGCAGGAGAATGGCGTGAACCCAGGAGGCGGAGCTTGCAGTGAGCCGAGATCGCGCCACTGCACTCCAGCCTGGGCGACAGAGCAAGACTCCGACTCAAAAAAAATAAAAAATAAAAAATAAATAAAAAGTGGCAGTTTTCCCCTGCCTGCTCTCTGTCTCTTCTGCCACCACGTAAGACATGCCTTGCTTCCCCTTTGTCTTCCACCATGATTATAAGTTTCCCGAGGTCTCCCCAGCCATGCAGAGTTGTGAGTCAATTAAACCACTTTTGTTTATAAATTACCCAGTCTCAGGTAGCATCTTAATAGTGGTGTGAGAACAGACTAAAACACTTATGTACTATTTTAAACATTTTTTTTAAGATTTAACTTTAGGATTTTAATTTTGTTTTTGTTTGAAACATAGTTGGTTTTTTTTTTTTTAAATATTAAGCTTGTTAATAGTTTTCCAGTGATGACCTTCCCTAGCTTTGTTTCTTTAAAAACATTTTCTCAAGTATCTCTGCACACATATTTCTTTTCCCCCAAACCTAGCACCGTTATGTCCTTAGCACCTAGCTTAGTGTCTGCCATATTCCAGGTGCCTAATGAACATTTGTGGGATGGATAAATGAAGGAATGAATGTATGAATACATGAAAGCAACTTTCACAGTGTTTCCAGCTTCTCCTTCCCCTTCTTAGCCATCAGTGAAATAAAACATATAAATGAGGATCAATTAAGGTAGCTCCAACTAGCAAGTAGAAGAAAAGAAAGGCAAAACTCCAAACACTAATATGAAAGAAGAAGAAGATCATTAGGAAGGCAGCTAATAATGAAAATGAGGTCCCAGCTAACATTAAGCTCTCCTATGCCTAGCCCAGGTTTCTGGATAGGGACCCCACTGCCCCTTCTTAGAGAGCCCTGCTCTCCTATCTTCTGGAGAAGCAGGTTGGGGAGTGAGCATGGGAGTTTACTCTAGAACTTGGATTGAAGCAGTGTGGTCCCTCCCATCTCTACCCAGGGGCCCTACGACAGGCAGGGTCAGCCCCAGTGGTGAATGTGTCTTCCGTTCGGCATGCACATGGGTACATTGATGAGGGGCACCTGACAGGCTGGAGGCCCTTTGACCTTTAACCAAAACTATGACTGCAGCAAACTGCTATTGACTTCATTCACTGGAGAGCTTGCCCAGAGACTTCAAGGAAGAGGTAACTGCCTCTGACACCCCTTACTCCACTCCCAGCACCACCTCCCAACCTTTCGCATCTCCTGCCAACATGTCCTGGCCATAAAGTACTCCCAATGTGCCCCAAACCAGCATTTTATTCCACTCCAACTATCATCTTTGTACCCTCTATTTCTCTCAACCCTGTATTCACATCATTTCAACCTTTTCCCACTCTTTTCATCTCCCACAATATTTCTTTCCTGCTGGTGTTTTCCAATACCAGCATCGTCCACCATGTTCCTCCTACAGTTCACCCAACACTTCCAATACCCATCCTTCCTTACTGGCTTGGGTACCATTAAGGTAAGCTACAGAGCACCAGTGTCCCCTGCACCACCCTCAAGTCACTGGTCAACACTACCCAACAGACTTGGTAGGATTTGCACGCTGCTGAACTACACTTAACCCCTTTTATCGGTCATCCTCCTCTCTCTTCACTTTGCACTCTCCTTGTGTCTCACCTTCTTAGGAATGACTGTGAATGCTGTGGAGCCCGGTGTTGTATACATGGGGATTATGAGGCATTTCTCTTAGCCATAATGCTTCCTCTTCTAGCTTGTCAGCTTCTTCATGAAGGTAGGTGGGGGAAAGAACTGGTTTGGCCTAGAGGAATGGGGCAGGGCTCAACTTCTCAGTGTGTCCCAGCAGGCCAAAGTTTGCCTGGCATGACTTCTTTTTCGCTTGTCCCTCCCAACAGGATCTCAAACAAGGTGTACTCCCAGTCCTCTACTTGAGCTTGGCAGAGGAGCCGGGTGGTATTTCTGGAAAATATTTCAGCAGTTCCTGTGTGATAACTCTTCCCGTTAAAGCCTCTCGGGATCCTCATGTTGCCCAGAGCCTCTGGAATGCCTCAGTCCGACTGACAAGCCTAGTCAAGATGGACTGACCCTCTGTGACCTCTGCCCTAACTTGCCACCCTGCCTCTAACTTCCAGCACTTACTCTGATTATGCCCTTTGTTTGCTGGCTTCTAGGACCAATTACTGTCCAGTATAATGACCACTTCCTATGCCTGTTGGCTTAGTGATGACTTGAGAGTCAAGAATAGTCGGGGCCAGCTGCGATGGCTCACACCTGTAATCCCAATGCTTTGGGAGGCTGAGGTAGGCAGATTGCTTGAGCTCAGGAGTTCATGACCAGCCTAGAGCAACATGGAAAAACCCCATCTCTACAAAAAAATACAAAAATTAGCTGAGCAGGGTGGTGTGTTCCTGTGGTCCCAGTTATTTGGGAGTGGAAGGTGGGAGGACTGCATTGAGACCGGGAGGTCGAGGCTGCAGTGAGCCAAGATGGCACCACTGCACTCCAGCCTGGGTGACAGAGCAAGACCCTGTCTCAAAAAGAAAAAAAAAAAAGAATAATTCACACAGTTTAATCTTCCACTTTATTGCCAGTTAGCCGGTGGAAGTATTCATCTTTTGGGAACTAGGATCTCCCAACCTACCGGGTGCTGTGGTGGGTTGTGGTAACTTGAAGTAAGACTCCTTCCGGGGAGCGCTGGGGATACCAGTAAGAAGGGAAACTTTCATTTGTACCTCTTGATTCCCAGACCTGTGCTTCTTGCCTATGGGGAAGATAGCCCCACACAGTGACCTCTGGATTAAGGCATTTACCACATCCTGTAGCACAGCACCCCAACCTCACAGGGAGTTGTCTCCCAACTAGTATTGTACTGAGCCTGCTCTGGGTGATGAGTCATAAAATCCAGTTAATTTAGGGAGTATGAGTCCATTGCTCCTTTTCTGGGATCTTTGTTCATGTATATAAATTTTAGAATCAGCTCTTTGAATTTCACACACACACACACACACACACACACACACACACACACACACACACATCCTGTTGGGGATTGCATTGAATCTATAGATATACTTGGGAGGATTGACATTTTTATGAGATTGAGGCTTCCTAACCATGGACAAGGTTGACTCTTATATCTATTTAAATCTTCTAAATACCTGTACAAAATTTTAAATAATTTTATCCACAAAGATCTTGTACAGAAGTTTTACTGCATTTATATTCAGGCACTTTCATTTTTATGCTATTATAAATGATATTTTAAAATGTGTATATCTGTTGACGGCTGTGTGAAACCTCAGTTCTTAGTTTGAAAGAATTTAAACAAGGGACACAGCAAAAGAAGTGCAGCATAGAGTAATTTATTGCACAAGAAAAAGAATATTTTGAAAGGTAGGTGCAGAACAGACAGTACACCGAAAGTGAGAGAATTCAGGGCAGGCTGCTCATAAGGATGAGACAGCAAAGACTGGCACTAGGGAGACTCTTATGGAAGTCTGACATGATTATTCATGAGGTGGGAAGAGGTGTTACTAGTAAGCATGTTCTGGGTGGTCCTCTGGGTGTGGATGTGCAGTAGCTGTATATGCTTGTTCATATGTCACATGTCTCATTAGCATCTTCAATATCCAGGGGTGTACTTTTTACTAATAAAATGAGCAAAGGGTCAGTTTGAGGACAGGTAAATCAAACTGCACATGCTGTCTGCAGGGGAAATTCCCTACTGAAGATAGCTTTGCTTGAATGAGCTCAGTTACAATGCATATGCTGAGGTTTATTGTGTTGATTGTACAGTCACCACTGTTGCTGCCTTGACTACTTGGTCACTTCCTTGACTACCTCTCCTGCCTCATATTGATCTTATATCAAACAACTTTATTAAGTTATCTAGTTCTAATAAGTCGTCCATAGATTCTCTTGGTTTTTCTACATGGAAAATCACATCATCCAGGAATAATCACAGTTTTATTTCTTCCTTTGTAACTATTCCAACTTATATTTCTTTTTCTAGAAAACTTTAATAGATTTTCTAGTATTGAAACAACCTTACATTTCTGGAATAAACCCAACTTTGTAATAGTGTTACCTTTTTTATGCATTGCTAAACAGCCTGCTCATTTTTTTTAAAACTTTTTACTATGTTCATAAAGGAGATTGGCCCAAATAAATAAATAGAAAAAAGAAAAAATAGTAAAGGAGATTGGCCTGTATTTTTCCTTATTTATGTGGAAACTGCCTAGTTTTGTTGTTATGAGTACTTTTTTTTTTTTTTTTGAGACAGAGTCTCTCTCTGTCGCCCAGGGTGGAGTGCAGTGGTGCGATCTAGGCTCACTGCAACCTCCGCCTCCCGGGCTCAAGCAATTCTCCTGCCTCAGCCTCCCGAGTAGCTGGGATTACAGGCATGAGCCACCACGCCCGGCCTAGAATTTTTAATCTACATATTTAACTTAATGTCTTTAATCAATATCTTCATTCTTCTTTAAAACAATTCATAGATTTTAGAGTTCTTTAACATTAATAATTCTCTTTGAATTTATACATTTTTGTAACCCTATATTTTAATTCTACTATTTTATTAATCTCACAAATCAGATATTATTATTATTATTATTATTTTTTTTTTTTGAGACTGAGTTTCGCTCTTGTTGCCCAGGCTGGAGTGCAATGGCGCAATCTCAGCTCACTGCAACCTCCGCCTCCCAGGTTCACGCAATTCTCCTGCCTCAGTAATCCCGAGTAGCTGGGATTACAGGCATGCACCACCAGGCCTGGCTAATTTTTTTTTTTTTTTTGTATTTTTAGTAGAGACAGGGTATCTCCATGCTGAGGCTGGTCTCGAACTCCTGACCTCAGGTGATCCGCCCACCTTGGCCTCCCAAAGTGCTGGGATTACAGGTGTGAGCCACCATGCCTGGCCACAAATCAGATATTATTTTAAATAGGTGATACTTGTATAGGTTTGCTCATATGTTTAATGTTAATACTTAATATTGCTTGCTCTTCTTTCTTGTATCTCAGATCTTCCATCTTGTGTTATTTTCCTTCTACCTGAAGTACATCTTTAGAAGTTACTTTAGGCCAGGCTTAGTGGCTCATGCCTGTAATCCCACCACTTTGGGAGACTGAAGCGGGTGGATTGCTTGAGGACAGGAGTTTGAGACCAGCCTGGGCAACATGGTGAAACCCCGTCTCTCAAAAATGCAAAAATTAGCCGAGTGTGGTGGCACGTTCCTGTAGTCCCAGCTATTCAGGAGGCTGAGGTGGGAGAATCACCTGAGCCCAGGAGGTCAAGTCTGCAGTGAGCTGTGATCACGTCATTGCACTCCAGCTTAGGTGACAGAGTGAGACCCTCTCTTTCTCTCTCAAAAGAAAGTTACTTTAGTGAGGATTTGTGGTAGACAGAATTCTAAGATGGCCTCCAAAGTTCTCATCTTTTGTTTATGTACCCTATAAAATCCCCCTTCCCCTTAAGTCTGAGCAGAACTCGTGAATATGATGGGATTTCTCTCCTGTGATTACGTTATTTACCTGACATAAGGGATTTTTCTGATGTAGTTAAAGTCTCTAATCAGTTAATCAAATTGGTGATTATTTTGGGTGGACCTGACTTAATGAAGTGAGCCCTTTAAAAGGCTTCAAGCCTTTACAGAAGTTAGAAAGATTCTCTCCTTTACCTTAAAGAAGCAAATTGCTACACTGTGGAGAGGGCCACATGGCAGGGATGGCAGATGGCCTCTGGGAGCCAGGCCTCAGTTCTATAGTCACAACAAATTGAATTCTGCCAATAACCAGTGAGCTTGAAAGAGGACCCTGAACTTCAATGAGCTTTCAACCCTGGATGACTTCTTGATTTCAGCCTGGTGACCTCCTGAGTGGAGGACCCAGCAAACATGTACCCAGACTCCCGACCCACAGAAACTGTGAGATAATAAATGTGTTTTTTTAAAAAATAAACATATTTATTATATTTTTTAGAGACAGGCTCTCTCTCTGTCACCCAAGCTGGAATGCAGTGGCACTATCACAGCTCACAGCAACCTCACACTCCTGGCTCAAGCAATCCTTCTGCCTCTCTGCCTCCCAAGTAACTGGGACTACAGGAGCATGCCACCACTCTGGCTAATTATTATTTTTTATTTTTTATTTTTTCAGAGGTAATCGAGTTAGAATTAAATTTTTTTTTCTTTTATAGAGATGGGGATTCTTGTTATGTTGCCCAGGCTGGTCTCAAATTGCTGGCCTCACAGGATCCTCTTGCCTTGGCCTCCAAAGTGGTGGGATCACAGGCATGAGCCATCATGCCTGACCTATGTTGCTTCACCCACTGAATTTATAGTAATTTGTTATGTAGCAATAGAAAACTAATATAAGATCTAATATAATAAACTTCCTCAGTTTTATTTGTTGGAGGATGTATTTATTTCACCTTAATGTTGGGGTATCAGTTTGCTACTGGCTAAGGAATTATAGGTTGACAGTTTTTTTGTTTTGTTTTGTTTTTTTGTTTGTTTGTTTTGAGACGGAGTCTCGCTCTGTCGCCCAGGCTGAAGGGCAGTGGCGCGATCTCGGCTCACTGCAAGCTCCGCCTCCCGGGTTCACGCCATTCTCCTGCCTCAGCCTCCCGAGTAGCTGGGATTATAGGCGCCCGCCATCACACCTGGCTAATTTTTTGTATTTTTTTTTGTTTTGTTTTGTTTTTAGTAGACACGGGGTTTCACCCTGTTAGCCAGGATGGTCTCCATCTCCTGACCTCGTGATCCGCCTACCTCGGCCTCCCAAAGTGCTAGGATTACAGGCGTGAGCCACTGCGCCCGGCCGACAGTTTTTGTGTGTTTTTTTTAATCCTGTTAAATATAGTATTGCTTTTTTTTTCTTTTCTTTTTTTTTTTTTTTTCGAGATGGGAGTTTCGCTCTTGTTGCCCAGGCTGGAGTGCAATGGCGCGATCTCGGCTCACCGAAACCTCCGCCTCCCGGGTTCAAGTGATTCTTCTGCCTCCCGAGTAGCTGGGATTACAGGCACGCGCCGCCACGCCTGGCTAATTTTGTATTTTTAGTAGAGATGGGGTTTCTCCATGTTGGTCAGTCTGGTCTCGAACTCAGGTGATCCACCCGCCTCGGCCTCCCAAAGTCCTGGGATTACAGGCGTGAGCCAGTCCACCCGGCTTGTTTTTTAAGATGGAGTCTTGCTCTTGTTGCCCAGGCTGGAGTGCAATGGCACGATTTCGGCTCACTGCAACCTCTGCCTCCTGGGTTCAAGCAATTCTCCTGCCTTAGCCTTCCGAGTAGCTGGGATTACAGGGGCCTGCCACCACACCCTGCTAATTTTTGTATTTTTAGTAGAGACGGGGTTTCACCATGTTGGCTAGGTTGGTCTCAAACTCCTGACCTCAGGTGATCCACCGGCCTCGGCCTCCCAAAATGCTGGGATTACAGGCGTGAGCCACCAACCCCGTACAAATACAGTATTTCTATGTCTTCTGGCTTTCATTGTTATTGAGAAATTGATGTTAATCTAACAGTTATTTTGCAGGGATTTTGCCTTTTCTCTTTTCCTCCTTTTAAGATTTTATCTTTGTCATTGCTTTTCTAGTTTCATTGTAATAAACTCACGAATTTATTACATGTGAATTTCTTTTTATTTATTCTGGTGGGAATTCCTTGGATTTCCTGAATTTGAGGATATGTATCTAACCTGTATTACTCTTTAAATACAACAATCTCTTCATTACCTTCCTTTCTTTCCTTCCTTCCTCCCTTCCCTTTTTCCCTCCCTCCTTTCTTCCTTCCTTTGCACCCCCCACTTTCTCTCTCTCTCTCTTTTTTTTTTTTTTTTTTTGGAGACAGAGTCTCCCTCTGTCGCCCAGGCTGGAGTGTAGTGGCACAATCCTAGCTCACTGCAGCCTCAAACTCCTGGCTTCAAACAATCCTCCTGCCTTGGCCTCACAAAGTGCTGGGATTACAGGAGTGAGCCACTGTGCCCAGACCTTTTTCTTCTCTCTTTATAGAATTGCAATTTAGATAAAAGCTAGATCTTCCCACTTTATCTTTCATGTCTCTTAATTTCTCTTTCATATTTTCCTTGTCTATATATGTTAAAGCTACATTTAAGTTCATTTTTTAAAAGCTCTATTTGGGCCCCCAATTCGAACCTTGGCCAAATTTCTGCAATAAACACTTCTAGTTCAAAAAAAAAGATCTATTTTCCAGCTTACTAATTTTTTTCTTCAACCATGGCCAATCTCTTGTTTATTCCATCTAGTAACCTTATGTTACCAATCATTATTTTTTTAAATTAATTAATTTTTTTTTGAGACAAAGTCTCACTCTTGTTGCCTAGGCTGGAGTACAATGGCACAATATCGACTCACTGCAACCTCTGCCTCCTGGGTTCAAGTGATTCTCCTGCCTCAGCCTCCTGAGTAGCTGGCATTACAGGTATCCGCCACCATGCCCGGCTAATTTTTGTATTTTTAGTAGAGACAGGGTTTCACCATGTTGGCCAGGTTAGTCTCAAACTTCTGACCTCAGATGATCCGCCTGCCTCACCCTCCCAAAGTGCTGGGATTACAGGTGTGAGCCACTGCTCCCAGCCCATTATTTTTTTATTACTAGATTTTATAATTAGTTATTTTCCAATCTATCTGGTCAATTTTGATACTCTTCTGTTCCTTTCTTATATTTTAAATCCTCCTATATGTTTTAAAAATATACTTAGCTTATTCATTTTATATACTGTAACTGAAAATTCCAGTATCTATAATCTTTGCAGGCTCGAACAGTTTATGGTGACTTGTTTCCTATGTTTTTAGTGACTGTAAACTCATCCTTCTTGGAACTATAGCTATAGAAATTATTTAAGGCTGTAATTAAAGTGCATTCCCTCATTACATTTCATTTGGCCGGGTTCCCAGGAGTACTAAACAACTTGGTACCACTTAAAATTAAATTTTTGTTTTGGGACTTTAAAAAAAAAAAATATATATATATATATATATATTCTGGTCCTAAACTTCTATGAGTACAAGTTTATTATTTGAATAATCAGAGAAGATTTCTTTTCCTCACCACTAAGATAGGCTTTTACCCTTACTGTTTCCCTCTGGAAGGGACTCTTTTTTGTTGTTTTTCACTCTATGGAGGATGTTACTCTTTTTCCTGGCTTATGTGTGTGGCGGGGGATAGCTCTCCATTCCAACCATCCATGATTTCATTTTCTGTCCCTATCCCCACTTGGAGATAGTGTTTCGCTGTGTTGCCCAGGATGGTCTCAAACTCTGGGCTTAAATAATCCTCCCATCTTGGCCCCCCAAAGTGTTAGGATTACAGGTGTGCGCCACCATGCCCAACCTTCTATCTACTTCTTATGGACTTTTAAACCCAGGTTCCAGACCACCAGAGGTTGACTACTTAGCAAACACTGGCTCCAGTGATCACCTGTGTTTTGGGATTCATATTTTCCTATCATCTCTATACTCTGAAGAATTTTCTTACTTTCCTACCAGTGCAGTCAGGCAATATAAATAGTTGTGTGTGTGTGTGTGTGTGTTTGTGTGAGTGGGTGTGTGTGAATGTTTTGTTCTGCCAACCTGCAGCTGGAGTCACCCCAAGTTGATCCCAAAGTAAGGGAGTTCCCACAAGGGAGCGCCCCAAACCATCTCGAGATGGGGCTGGTTGGGATTCCAAAGAAGGAAGCACTAAAAGCCTGGGGTATCAGTTCAAAGGATTTATTTGAAGAACTTACATATAGAGTGCTGCAGCATATTTTCAAGATGGACAGAGAGAAAAACAGGATGTCTTACCTAGGTTTGTCCACAAGGAGGGGTCAGGGTATGGAGTTTAAATGGGGGTTTAAGAAATTTGGCTCAGGGCTGGGGCCAGTTTATTTCAATATTTTGGGCAACCTAGATACCTTTAACAGTGCCTGGAAATGTTCAAGGCCCCAGTTTGGGTTCAAGCTTGCTGGGAAAAACCTGTAGCTGGCAGGGTCACAGAGTGACTCAGAAAGTTAAGGGGGTGGACTGGGAATCCCTATGGTGAAAGAGTGTGTGTGGTTGTTAAATATTATATCCAGCATTTTTAGTTGCAGTATATCAGAAGTTTCCGTAATATTTAGTCCACGGTAGCACCAGAAATGGAAGCACTTAATTTGTTCCTCTCTCCCTCCTTCCCTCCCTTTTTTCCTTCTTTTATTCTTTCCTTTCTTGCTTGCTTTTGCATTTGAATACCTAATTGTCCCAGCACCATTTTTTGAATGGTATATCTTTCCCTCACTGATCAATAATACAAATTTTGTCATATATTAAGTTTTTGGCCTGGTGTGGTGGCTTGCACCTGTAATTCCAGCGCTTGGGGAGGCCAAGGTACGGGAATCACTTTAGGCCAAGAGTTCAAGACCAACGTAGGCAACATGGCAAGACCCCGTATCTACAAAAATAAAAATAAAAAAATTAGCCAGGTGTGGTGATGACTGCCTGCAATCCTAGCTACTCAGGAGGCTGAGGCAGAAGGATTGCTTGAGCCCAGGAGTTAGAGGTTACGGCTATGATCACACTACTATATTCCAGCCTGGGTCACAGAGTGAGAACCTGTCTCTAAAACAATAATAATAATTTTAAAAAACGAAGTTTTTGTAGGTATATGTTTTAGTTTGTTTTTAGATCTAGACTCTTTCTATCCCTACGTCAATACTATATTGCTTTACTTAATAAACTTTAAAATAAGCACACACACACACAGCCACACTCTTTTTTTTTTTGAGATGGAGTCTTGCTCTGTCACCCAGGCTGGAGTGCAGTGGCGCAATCTCGGCTCACTGCAAGCTCCACCTCCTGGGTTCACACCATTCTCCTGCCTCAGCCTCCTGAATAGCTGGGACTACAGGCGCGCGCCACCATGCCCGGCTAATTTTTGTATGTTTAGTAGAGATGGGGTTTCACCGTGTCAACTGTCTTCTTTTTTTCAGAAGTTTCCTGGCTAATTTTTTGCCCTTTGCTTTTCTCTACAAAATTACTAATTTGTTGTCAAGTTCCTAGAATATCCTGATAGAATATTGATTGGAGTTATCTCAAATACATATTATTAATACAGGGCAACTAACTTCTTTATGACTTTAAATTTTCCTATTCATAAGTGTGCTATATCTCTCATTCATTTAAGCTACCTTTTTTTTTTTTTCCAGATGGACTCTCGCTTCTTTGCCCAGGCTGGAGTATAGTGGCACGATCCCTGCTCACTGTAACCTCTGTCTCCTGGTTCAAGCGATTCTCCTGCTTCAGCCTCTTGGGTGATTACAGGCGGGTGCCAGCACACCCGGCTAATTTTTGTATTTTTAATAAAGATGGAGTTTTGCCATGTTGGCCAGGTTGGTCTCGAACTCCTAACCTCAAGTGATCCACCAGCCTTGGCCTTGCAAAGTGTTGGGATTACAGGCGTGAGCCACAGGCTATCTTTAATGTATGTTTCCAAATATAATTTTGTAATTTTGGGTTGTGCACATCTCTCATCTCTCAGTCTTTTTTATTTTTTTGAGACGGAGTCTCTCTCTGTCACCCAAGCTGGAGTGCAGTGGTGCGATCTCGGCTCACTGCAGCCTCCACCTCCCGGGTTCAAGCAATTCTTCTGTCTCAGCCTCCCAAGTAGCTGGGATTACAGGCATCACACTCAGCTAATTTTTGTATTTTTAGTAGAGACGGGGTTTCACCATTTTGGCCAGGCTGGTCTCGAACTCCTGACCTCAAGTGATCTGCCTGCCTCGGCCTCCCAAAGTGTTAGGATTACAGGCGTGAGCTACCCTGCCTGACCACCCCACCTTTTTTTTTAAGACGGAGTCTCGTTCTGTCACTCAGGCTGGAGGGCAGTGGCACAATCTCGGCTCACTGCAACCTCTGCCTCCCGGGTTCAAGCAATTCCCCTGCCTCGGCATCCTGAGTAGCTGGGATTACAGGCGCGTGCCACCATGCCTGGCTAATTTTTGTATTTTTAGTAGAGACGGGGTTTTACCATGTTGGTCAGGCTGGTCTCAAACTCCTGACCTTGTGATCCGCCTGCCTCGGACTCCCAAAGTGCTGGGATTACAGGTATGAGCCACTGAGCCTGGCCGGGTTGTGCACATATTTTGTTGTTTATTACTAGGTGCATCAGTTTCATTTCAAAAATTATATAATTTAACTTTTCATTGTTGGTTAGAGAAATGCAATTGAGTTTTGCATGTTGATTTTATATCTAGTCACGTTGCTAAATATTTTCTAATCAATCCTAATAATTTACAGATTATTTTGGCTTTTTTTTTTTTTTTGAGATGGAGTTTTGCTTCTTCGCCCAGGCTGGAGTGCAGTGGTGCAATCTCGGCTTACTGCAACCTCTGCCTCCCTCCCAGGTTCAAGCAATTCTCCTGCCTCAGCCTCCCAAGTAACTGGGATTACAGGTACGTGCTAGCATGCCCAGCTAATTTTTGTATTTTTAGTCGTGATGGGGTTTCACCATGTTGGCCAGACTGGTCTCGAACTGCTGACCTCAAGTGATCCACCCACCTTGGCCTCCCAAAGTGCTGGGATTACAGGCGTGAGCCACTGCACCCGGCCTATTTTGGCCTTTTCCATGTAAGTCATCATATCATCTGTGAAAAATGACAGTTTAATTTCCTTCTTTCTAATCTTTATGTCTTTTATATACGTTTTTCTTGCCTTGATGCACTAGTTCAAATACAGTGTTGATCAGACTCAGAGATATTCGGCATCTTCGTATTCCTGATTTTAGAGAATCTAATGAGATCTTACATTCTTTTCAAGGATCTGTATTTGTTTTAACAAAAAGCTTTCATCTGTAGATTATTTTCTTTATGATTTCTACAGTGATTCACTTCTTTTTACTTTTGAAAATTCTTTTACTTTTTAAAATTGCATGGTCCTTGGTCGCCATTGTACTTTTTATGGTCGTTCTGGGTTATCCTACATTGTGGATTCTTCTTATCACACAGTTTTCAAGGAACCCCCAGGGGACCACCCTCATGCTGTTCCCTACCCCACCTCAGAAGGAAAAGGGGTACAGTAGGTCAGGCTCTCCCTAAGCCACCTTGTCTCCTCATACTCTACCTGTATGTTATAACAAACCAGGCAATGAACACACATGTGGTCCTTTCCTGAAGGGCCAGACCCTCTCATAAAAGTGTAACAAAGCAGGGAGAAGAAGGAGTGAAGCGCTATCTCTGTACTGACCAATATGGTAGCCCTTGGCCACATGTGGCCATTAAGCACTTGAAATGTGGCTAATGTAACTGAGAAATGGAATTTTAATTTTTATTTATTTTTAATTAATTTTATGTTTAAAAATGTATACATTTAAGTATTCAGTTCAGTTATTGGAAAATATGTTAAAATGTTTGAAATAAGTTGCATACCTGAATCTACTTTTCCAGGCTGAGCCTGGTGGCTCAGGCCTGTAATCTCAGCTTTGAGAGGCCGAGGCAAGAGGATCATTTGAGGCCAGGAATGCAAGGCCAGCCTGTCCAACATAGAAGGACCTTATCTCTGACATGAATGAATGAATGAATGAATGAGTAAATAAATAAATAAATCTACTTTTTCAATTGTAAATTTTATGTAGTCTAAACCAGATCAAGGATGTCCCATGAAAACTTAGCATCTGAATAGAGATGTACTATAAATGTGCAAAATACAGATCGCATTCTAAAGACAGTGCAAAAAAAGAGAATGTAAAATGCCTCATTTTTGTATTGATTACATGTTGAAATGACAATATTTTGAATATTCTGGTTTAAATAAAGTATGTTGTTAAAATTAATTTCACCAGGCTGGGCAACATGGCAAAAACCCATTTCTACAAAAAATATAAAAATTAGCCAGGCATGGTGGCATATGCCTGCAGTCCCAGCTACTTAGGAAGCTGAGGTGGGAGGATCGTTTGAGCCTGGGAGGTGGAGGTTGCAGTGAGCTGAGATCATGCTATTGTATCCCAGCCTGGGCAACAGAACAAGACCCTGTCTCAAAGAAAAAGAAATTAATTTCACCTTTTTTTTTTCTAACTTTTACAAACTGTCGCTACTAAAAAATTTAAAATTATATGTGTGGCTGGCTTATATAAAATTTTATCTTGGCTCGCACATGTAATCTCAGCACTTTGGAAAGCCAAGGCAGGAGGATCATCTGAGCCCAAGAGTTCAAGATCAGTCTGGACAACATAGTGAGACTCTGTCTTTCCAAAAAATTTTTAAAAATAGCCAGAAACGGTGGCCTTTGGTCTCTCAGCTATTCTGGAGGCTGATGTAGGAGGATCACTTGAGCCAGGGAGGTTGAGGCTGCAGTGAGCCATGATAGCGCCACTGCACTCTAGCTTGGGTGGCAGAGCAAGATCCTGTCTTTAAAAAATTAAGTTTTCTCCAGAAATTTTCTTTAAAATTTGTTAACCTATTTCCCAACTAAAAACAATTTTAAAATTTACATTTATGTCTATTGGGCAGTGCTGGTATAGCTAATCTAGATGCTTCTCTCTCCCACACATGTCCTCCCCCATGGCTTTGTCATCTTTGATTTACTCTCTATTGATTCCCCTCTCCAAGCTTTTCAGTCTGAAAACCCACCTTCTCCTGGAAAACAGCATCCCTTTCCTCAGGGGGAGGATTCTCCCATGGATTCTTCCCCACATTCTATAATGCCTAGGATTTCACCCAGGTAAGCACAGATGTTCTTCTCTGTTCAGCATCACATGTTGGGGGGAAGGGCTCTAGTTATGTGAACAGGAGTTTGGGGGTCCTTGTTCAGGTTCCCCATTGGAGGAAGCCAAAGGCAGCCTGGATCTCTTACAACAGCACCTATGAAGAAAAACACAGGACAAAGACAATATTAATTTTCCTTGAAGACCACTCAGCCTAATCAAATGTAAAAAAAAATCAATATTTCTCCTATTAGCACGTCCTGTCCTTATGATTCAGTAGGATCCCTTTCATGATGCTGAGAAACATTTTGGTCTTTCCTGAATCACCACCCCCATCCCACCTGAGGCCTGGCAGCTTTATATAAAAAACTCAACACACAGGTTTTTTTTTGTTTTTTGACAGTCTCACTCTGTCACCCAGGTTGGAGTGCAATGGCATGATCTCTGCTCACTGTGCAACCTCCGCCTCCCGGGCTCAAGCGATTTGCCTGCCTTAGCCTCCCAAGTAGCTGGGATTACAGGTGTGCGCCACCATGCCTGCTAATTTTTTTTGTATTTTTAGTAGAGACAGGGTTTCACCATATTGGTCAGGCTGGTCTTGAACTCCTGGTGTCAAGTAAAAACTCAGCACACAGGTTAAATGTTAAAGTCACTCAGAAGGAGATACATACAGTAGTTGCTGTGTGTCCTTCAGGGATTGGTTCCAGGACACCCCTTGGATACCAAAATCCATGGAATGGCATAGTATTTATATATAACCTACACACATTCTATCATACACTTTAGTTTTTTTGTCAGATCATCATCAGTATTAGTTTCTTATAGGAGCACGAACCCTATTGTGAACTGCACATGCAAGGGATCTAGGTTGCTTATTCTTTATGAGACTCTAATTCCTGATGATCTGTCACTGTCTCCCATCACCCCCGATGGGACTGTCTTGTTGCAGGAAAACAAGCTCAGGGCTCCCACTGATACTACATTATGCTGAGTTGTATAATTATCTTATTATGCATTACAATGTAATAATAATAGAAATCAAGTACTCAATAAATGTAATGCACTTGAATCATCCCAAAACCATTTGCCCAACCCAGTCTGTGGAAAGATTGTCTTCTACAAAACACGTCCCTGGTGCCAAAGAGGTCGGGAACTGTTTCTTTAAATAATCTCAGGTTATGTATAATACCTAATACAATGTAAACACTTGTTATACTGTATTGTTTAGGGAATAATGACAAGGACAAAAGTCTGTACATGTTTACTATAGACACAACCATCCATTTTTCCCCTAATATTTTCAATCCAAGGATGGTTGAACTCACAGATACAGAGGGCCAACTGTGTTTTATTTATATATAACCTACACACATTCTATCATACACTTTAGTTTTTTTGTCAGATCATCACAGAGGGTTTTGTTTGCTTACATGTTTGTTTTTGGTACAGAAAGGTGAAAAAGTTCTGGAGATGGATAGTGGTGATGATTGCACAACAATGTGAATGTTCTGAGTGCCACTGAACTTAAACATGGTTAAAATGGTAAATTTCATGTTATGTATGCTTTACGACAATTAAAAATATGTATATGCAGTATCTTTTAAAGTCTTTATATTTACTTTTTATTTTTCTTTAATTGAAGGAGATGGAAGACATTTCTACTAAAATTATAGATACATTTATTATTTGACCAAGATGTATCCTAGAGATATGCCTGCTCACATTGGAATGTCATTATGTTCAAAGTGATTCATTGCAAGATTGTAATACTAAAAGACTGGAAATAAAGTATGTAACTAGAAGAAACTGGTTAATAAATTATGTGTATCCATGCAATAGAGTACTAAGCAGCTGAAAAATGAGGAAGATCTCTAATTTATTGATTTAGAAAGATTTTCAGAATAGATTAAGTGAACAGAACTTATGCCAATTGTATCTGGCATGCTACATTTGGCATAAGAAATGGGAGGAGTAAGACTATATATTCATATGAGTTTATATTTGCACAAAACACTGAAAAGATAAACAAGAAGACACTAATAAGCATTATCTGTAGCAGGCAAGGGGGATGGAGTCGATGGGAACCAGGGTTGAAGGGAGGTTTCTCTGTGTATATTCTAAAATAGTGTTCTGATTTTTGAGCCATGTAAACGTATTATCTATTCAAAATAATAATTATAAATATTTAGAAGGTGAAATAGGGAAAAGGGGGGAGTAATAAAGGGGATACTCAATGCATCCCTTCTACTGCTTACTGCCCCTTACAGCAACTTTATGAATTTTTCAGTTTGTTTTAAATCTGAGATTAACTGAAATAAATATAACATTACAATAGTTATATTTCCAGCTCTTTACATGGATTAACTTAATCCTTCTAACAACATAATGAGATAGGTACCATCATTTACATTCTCACTTTAACAAATAAGAAAACAGAGGCACAGAGAGGGTAAATAAGTAACTCTAGATTTCACACGGCTAGTAAATTGCAGTTAGAATTTGAACCCAGGCGGGTGCGGTGGCTCATGTCTGTAATTCCAGCCCTTTGGGAGGCCGAAGCGATTGGATCGCTTGAGCCCAGGGGTTCGAGACCAGCCTGGGCAACATTGTGAAACCCCGTCTTTACAAAAAAACAAAAAACAAAAAACGAAAATTAAAAGGGCATGGTGGTGCGCGCCTGCAGACCCAGCTACTACGGAGGCTGAGAGGTGGGAGGATGGCCTGAGCCTGAGAAGTCAAGGCCGCAATGAGCCATGATTGTGCGTGCTACCGCACTCCAGTCTAGACAACAGAGCGAGACCTTGTCTTAAAAACAGAAAAAAAAGAATTTGAACCTATGTCTAAAATTTTAAAATGCCATTATGTAAATTTGTATTTTACATTCCCATCATAAGCGCATGAGAATGCCTGTATCCCCATATGACAGGTAACACTGAGTAGCAGCAACATTTAATTTTCTCCCCCAGGCTAATGGAGGAGATATGGTTTATCGCTATTGTTTTAATTAGCAGTTTAACACTTGCAAATAAGTCCTCCAGCCCTTCTGCGCTTTCTCCCCTCCGCCGAAAGAGGGCGCTCGCCACGACACGCCGATTTCTTATGGTCCTAATCGGCTTCCCAGGCACAGTGCGCGTGCGCTTATCCTGTCCCAGGTGTCCAGCTTTGTGCCTGATTGATGTAATCCCGGCTGCGGTCGGTGCGCAGTTTTCAGTCAGGGCTGGACTGCGGGAAAAGAGGGTTCACTCGACCCAGAACGCCTCTGGGCCTCTGGGCCGAAGGGTTCTGGGCGGTCCTGGAAGGGTCTGGCGGCGAGTCGGGCAGCCCACGAGGGCGGGGAGGGCGGGGCCGGCCCCGCAGGGTCTTGGGCGTCGGTCGTCGGTGGGGTCGGAGCTGGGCGCGGAGCCCCTCACAGTGCAGGTACGGAGGCGCGACTCTGCCAACCGTCTGCTCCGCCGGCCCCCTACGTGTTCGTGAGGTTGCCGGCGGTGGGCTGGGGACCGAGCCCGGTGTGCGGGGCGGGGACTGGCAGGGGTGGGCGCTTGTCGGGGTCCGGGGGCTCCGCCTGAGCGTTTGCCCCGAGGCCGGTCTGACCCACCTCAGCTCTTCAGCCTAGCATTGTTCTCCTGGGATCAGAGTGACTGCGCCTTAGAGTTCCTCCAGAACTGCAAGGGTCTCCCCTCCGTTCCTGCGAGCGTCTGAGGCGCCCCTGAATCCATACTGAGCTACAGGTTTCCTGTGGGCACATGGTTGAGAAATTCGTCTCAAACGGGGAGAAAAATCGTAAAGGACTCACAGCATGGGAGTCTGGATATGACTTGTGTGTGTGATCCTACTCCTGGGGTCCGCCTTAGCTGGCAAGATGATCCTTGAGGTCATCTTGCGCATCCCTTGTCTTTAGACAGAACCACAGCTAAATCACACAGATAAGGATCTCTGCTGTTTCAGAGGCAGGGATTTGAAAACTTACCGTCATTTATTGCAGTGAGGAGAGCAGCAAACCCATGTTGACCACTGGCTACTCAGGTATACTTAAGGTACCGAGAGGCGAAGAGCTAGGAGGTAGAGATTGACATCCTTTACTTAATGTACTGCCAAAGCCTAAGCTATGAGATGTTAAAAGAGATAATGATAACTTTATTTTTAAAAAAGGCATTTTGTTTTCGAAAGCTGTTGGAAAATTCGTGGTTAAACTTTACTACAGAATATTGCAGAGCCTTTAATATGCTAATAATATTTACCATGAATCTCCAACTGGGGGTATGGTATGTAGAATTTTGAAAATTTTACTAGGATATACTGTTATTCTTGGGTGATGCCTCTGGCTAACATGTGGGAACCGTTTGGGAATTGGAGTTCCAGAATTAGAAATTCAGGATTTAGAAGGGGCAGTATGGGTCAGTGCGCTTTGAGTTTTAATGGCGTGCACATGTAATGCGATCTCGTTACAGTACAGATTCTGATTGGTTCTGCATTTCTAACAAGTTCCCAGGTGATGCTAATGCTGCTGGCCCATGGAACACAATCTGAGTAGCAAAAGTATAGATCACTGGATTGAAAGTTAGAGACCATGTTTTCCAGAACAGATGTGCTGCCTTGAGAGAGTCACTTTATCTGTCCAGGCCTATAAGGTAGGAGTCTGGACTACAAGATCTCAAATATTTCTTTCAGATTTAAAATTCTGTGAGTCTAGTCGAGTTATCCCTGTAGTGTTGAATTCTATCTGAAATATTCTTGCCAATTTGGCAAATTTTGCAGCTTGGCTTGAACATTTAAAATAATGGGCAATTATCTGCATATAGGGCATCCCATTTTATTCTTGGAATAGCTCAAGAAGGAAGTTCTTCATGTTGCTGAAATACATCTCTGCAACTTCCATGCTGTTGGTCCTAGATTATCTCTTAACAATCAAACAGGAAAGAAGTGTTACCCGTCTTCCTAAAATGTTGACTCCAAGTATTAGATGACAGCTGTGCCTACTATGATTTTTCTAAGCGGAATTGTATTTAATTCTTCCATTATGTTTAAGAAATCCCTTTCTTAAATTTGTCTTTGTTCTCTGTGGAGTGTAGTGGGGCTTTGGCTGGACTTTGAAGGATGGGTGTGGCTTGCAAGACTAGAAAAGTATCTTAAGCAGTTGACACTGGTGCAGAGATGGGACTGCATCTGTTGAATCCAGGATTGTTTGATTATAGTAAGAAATGAGATTATCAGTGAAAGATGTCGGGCAGATGGGTGTAGGGACAAAGCAGTATTTTAGCAGATGTATGTGCTTTACTGTGATGTATAAGGTGGTTGGAACTAGGGAAGGAGGGGGAGACGGAGCTGGATAGGCTTCACATAGCAATATTAGACAATTTAGGTTGATAATAATAATGCCTTATATTTATGTATGACACTTTACAGAACTTTTCACAGGCATGATTTCATTTGATCTAATATTCCTACGAGGTAGGCAGAGCAGCTGTTATGCTGTTTTGTAGATGATGCACCAAAGAGGGTAAATGATTTGCCTTAATTTTCAAAGCTATTACATGGCAGACTGAAGTAGTGATAGTGATAATGGAGGAGAAAGGAAAGATGCAGGAGGCAGTACTAAGGACGAATTGATAAGTGGGGCCTGACTGACCATGAGGGTACAAAGGAGAAGAAGTTGTTAGGGAGGAGTCAAAGTAGTTGGGTGAATCATAATACCATTGAGAACTGCCACTCTAGGTTTTACTCTGCCAGCTCTATCATTGCTAGCAGCTGCTTGGAGTTATAGGTTGAAAGGGATTATAGATGATTCCCAGGTTGCTTGGCCTGTCTACAGCTACTAGGTGATACTGGGGGCACTTGGGCTATCTGTCCCATACCAAGGAAAATAGGAACTCGGTCCTCAGTGTCCCCTGAAGATGTAAGAGCTGGAATATTGCCAGATTCATATCTATATTAAGGTCCTTGCCATCCTGGAGACTCTGACTTTGGCTTTGTATCATTTTCCTTTTGAGATTCAGGCTGATGTTAGTTGAATGTGATCAAGGGACAGGTTAGCTATTTAGTCTGGCCTCCCCAAGGGCTTCACTACAGCAGAGCATGGGCCCTTGCTGCCCCAAATCCTTCCTAATGCTGTTTCCCAGGAGATTTGCACCTCACCTAGAGCTGTCTCTGTGGTTCTTTTACCCTGAAAGTATACAGGATTGAGATTTAGTGTCACTACCAAATTCCATAGGACCTAGGGCTGTTCCTGCACTTTTAGTTTCTTAGGCTTCTGTCTGGAGTGGAAAGAGCCATGTTTACTGAGGGTTAGGGGAGAGATGTGTGTGTGCGTACATATGTGCACATAAGTGGTGATTTCCCCAGTGGTGGTGGTCTTCAAGAGTGGAGCTACTCTCAGGGAAAGCTGTCAGAGCCAGTTTATATCCTGAGTGTGATGTTGGTACAGGCATCTATTCAACATTGAATACCTTCTCTTTGCAAAGCCCTACGCCGAGTGCTTAGATACTGAGATGGATACAATCCTCTGTCCTGGAGGAATTCATAGTAGAGTAAGAGATGATATTTTAAATAGAATGTGGTATTGAAATGGAGATATGTCTCAAGTGCTCTGTGAGCACAGAGGAGGGAATGATTAGCTCCACATGGAGAAGCCAGGAGAGTCTTTAGGAAAGAGGTGAGAATTGGGCTGAGCCTTGAAGGATGAGGAGGAAGAATTGTCCTGGTGACATTTGTAACATTTGCAGATGCATAAAGGGAAAGGCAGATAGATCCAAGTGGCTGGAATAAAAGAGAACTTTGGTGATTGATGCGACCGGATTCATAATGAAGCCATGTTGTTTTATTTTGTTTTGTTGTTTAGAGATGGGGTATCACTATGCTGCCCAGGCTGGAGTGCAGTGGCTATTCACAGACAAGATCATCACGCACTACAGCCTTGAACTCCTGGCCTCAAGTGATCCCCCTCAGCCTCCTGAGTATAGGTGGGTCTGCAGGCTGCTGTGCCAGTTTGAGGCCAGTTTTTTGTTTTGTTTTGTTTTTGAGATACAGTCTTGCTCTGTCAACCAGGCTGGAGTGTGGTGGTGAGATTTTGGCTCACTGCAACCTCCTGAGTAGTTGGGACTATAGCTACTACAGGTGGGACTACTTAGCCTCCTGAGTAACTGGTACTATAGGCATGCACCACCACCACACCCAGCTAATTTTTGTATTTTTAGTAGAGACAGGCTTTCACCATGTTGTCCAGGCTGATCTCAAACTCCTGGCCTCAAGTGATCTGCCCGCCTTGGGCTCTCAGAGTGCTAGGATTACAGGTGTAGCCACTGTGCTTGGTCAAGGCCAGGTTGTTAATGGCCTGTAGTGCAGTGCTAAAAAGATTTCATTTTGTGGGCAGAGAAGCCACTGGAGACTTTTAGGCAGGAAGATGACATGATTGTATTTTGGGAAGCTAAATGTGGAAATTGAAGGGGGAGAACCTGGTTCAGGGACATCGGGAGACTCTTGTAATATCATAGACATGGTTTAGGGCTGAGCTAAGGATTAGGTCAGTGGGGATAGAGAGGACAGGATGAATCTGAGAGAGACTGGAGAAACAGAATTAACCAGACATAATGACTAAATTGGTTGTTGAGAACAAGAGAGGGAGTTGTTGCGGATGACTCAGTTTTCTATTTTGAGTGGATGGTGGTGCCAATAGCAAAGAGAGAATATAGAAGAAGAACTTTTTTTTGTTTGTTTGTTTTTGGTGGGGGAGATACCAAGTGTGTTTTGGGTCATATTGAACTTGAGGGCTCTGTGGCAGTTAGCAGACAGTGAGATATGAGTCTGAAGTTCAGAAGAGTTTCTGTCTAGGGGCAGTAAGTATGAGTGGTAGTTGAAGTTGTGGGAATGGTTGAGGTCTCCCAGCCACGCTTACAGAAGGCTGAAAATAATGACAGAGGAGATGAGAAGGATTGACGTGCAAGGGTAGGAGAGAATGTTGCCCAGGAAGCTAGGAAAGGAGAAAATTCCAGGAAAAGGATTGACAATCTCAGTTGCTACAGGGAGATCAAGTTAGGATGAGCTTGGGAAATGCACCTTGAGGTTGTGTAGGACATTGGGGTCACCAGGGCTCTTTTAAAGTGTGAGCAGCTTCAGTGGAGTGGTAGGGATGGAGCCAGATAGCAATGGATCGAGAAGTAGATGGGAAGTGAAGATAGAGAATGTGTACTCACTTTGAGTAGTTCAGCAGAGAAAGGAAGAATACAGAATGGTGGCAGCTTGTGGAAGAGGTAGCAGGGACTTGTTTTTCCTAGAATGGAAGTCTTGTTTATGGGTTTTCTGATGCCATGTAAGATCCAGTAGACAGGGTGCAATGAAGACACAAGAGAAAAGACGATTGCTAAATCAAGTCCTCAGAGGAGAGGGGAAGGGGTGGGCCCTGAAAAGAAGGGGATACCATTTTCTTTAAAGAGGAATGTTGGAAGAAAGGAAGGAATTTAGGAAGAAAGAGATAATGACATATGCATGCAGATATATCTAAATTTTCAAAGAAATTCTTACCTAATAGGGCCAGTTTTCTTTTTCAGCAAGGTTATCTGCTGAGAGGTGGGAATGCTGGTGTTGGCTTGGGTGGGAGTAAGGACTTGAAAATGTAAAGGAAGCTTGAAATAACTGTTAAGAGGAAAGAGGAAGACAGTGGAACTGAAATAAGCTCCAAGAGTGTTGAGTACCCTCTGAACTGAAATCCTACACTATAAGCCTCCCCTTCATCTTTCTCATAATAATAATGGCTGACATTTATTGAGTGCTTTATACAAGGCACTGTTCTAAGTGCTTTTCAGGCATTCTCATGTGATTTTTACAACAATCCTGTTAGAAAGTTATTGTTATTATCCCTTTCTTCCAGAAGAGGAAATTGAGGCATAGAGGATTAGTAGCGCTTGTATTTGATGAATCTCTTACGTCTGCAGAAATGGATTCCTTTTCCTGAGGCATCAGAGAAGACAGAAATTTAATCCCAACTCCCGGTTTCTGAACCTTGAGAGCCTAGAGTCTAGGGTTGCTAAGGAGGGAATCTTACCATGCCAGTTTGTGGGCATGATGGTGGCATGGAGGGGGCAGGACAGTGGGATCACTGTTGCTGTCAGCTTTTGACAACTACATAGGGAAACTCGGATATTCTTGAGTGATTTTTCCAGCATCCTGACTAGAAAGACAAGTGACCGATAGTGATTTGTCAGGTATTGTGGGCTGAGATTGTGTCATCTGAGAGGTGAATAAGAAGAGAGACCTTGTCCCTGTTCCTATCACCTAGAAAAGGAGAATTTTTTCTTGGCAGAGAGACAGGCAGATCTAAAACCTTATATAATAACATAATGATTATTAACTCACCTTATGTGTTTTCTCAGTTTGTGTGACAGATACAATTTGTAGGTAAGCTGTATACCTGACTTGAGTGAAAGGAGAGAGTGATGGGATGGCGTGGATGGAAGAGAAACGGACTTACCTTTTCCTGCTGCAGCCACTGAAGCATCATCTCTGTGTCCTTCCTTTTGAGGTTGCCATGGATACGCCTTTGCATGGTGGTTTGAGGAGATTGATTTCCATTATGATCAGATGATGACGTGGGTTTAAAAAGAGAAAGGATGGAATGCTCTGCTTTTGGGGAGTGGCCGGCGAGCTGCCCAAAAGGCAGAGCCCAGTACAGCCGATAGGGCTGTGGCTTTGTTGGCTGCTTTGGCTTTTGCTGAAGTTGTGAAATGGTGCATCTCTCTCTTTAGAGCGCAGGCTCAGGGTTCCCTGTCTACAGGGTCCTAGTGCCAGGAACTTGCTGGTTGATTCAGGGGGAGGAATCAGCAGGAACTTCGAACAGCCTAAGTAGGACTTCTGATACCACTGAGAGGATTGAGGTTCTTGAGTGCAGGGCTGAGTGCCTCTTGCCTTCTTGCAGAAGTTCCTATATTGAAGATAAGTGAAGCATATAGCATAGCTTTTCTTCTTGACTTTTAGAGGTCTGGGCCCTTGGAGGTGGGCCTGGAAGTCACTGGATATTTCTGGGGAAAGGGGACATTTTGAGATGGAGTAGAGCTGCATTCAGAGTGGGAGTGGGTTTGTAGACGTTTTTTTAGGGTAATGAGGAGCTGGAGAAGGGAAGGAAGTCCGTTGAGTGTGTAGGCCTTATCTATGAAATCCGCAAGGCAGATACTGAGTAGGACCTAGGAACAAAAAGCTCTGTGTACGTTGTCTTCTGGGGTCCTGTGAATATCTGGAATCCAGCTTTCCAAGCTTCCAGTCTCCCAGCCTCCATTTACCACTCAGTAAGCAGACCTTTTCCTTTCTGACTCCTGAAGGACTTAGGTCCACGTTTATCTCTTCCTTACTAGTGCTTTCAGAGATGTATAGTTTTGCCTTGCTGTCAGACTGCCTGGGTTTCAGACAAGCTCCTCTAGGAGTGGGAAAGCAGGGAAAGCAGACAGTTGGGTTAGCCCAGGATCAAGGTTTGATAAGGTGAGACAAGAGGAGATCAAGGTATCAAAGGATGCTGGGGTGCCAGTAAAAACAAGGTAGAAATGGTTCAGACAGGGGAGAAATGGTAGAGGTGGAAAAGAGGCTTTTCCTCCTCACTTTCTCCTTTTTCATTCTCCAAAATCTTATTTTCCTATAATTTCCTGAAATTTCTCTAAGACTATTGGCAGACACAGAGATTATTATTTATCAGACACAGAGATTTTTCCCCTCCTCTCTTCTCATTTTTCTAGATATTTTAGTGGTATTTAATATCATTGGAGAGGAAAATGGATTAGAAATCCAAGAGGTGTCTGTCTCCTCCCTGGCTGGGGTAACATTAACCCAGGATTGTCCTATGGGATATGGGCCTGGGCCCGGTAATGCTGTGGAAGGAGCACCTACCTGTAGAGATATTCAGATGTGCCCCTCTGCCATTTTTTGGCTATGAGACTTGGGCAAGTCATTTGACTTCTGAGACATAGTTCTGTCATCTGTGGAATGGAGAGAATGGAATCTGTTTTGGCTACATCACAGGTTCATTTTTGAAGGAGATAGTGAAGTACATGTATTCGTGTATGCAATTAAGTTTTCCCCAGAGAAGGCCCTAAGAACAGGACGCATTTTCTCTCTCCTAACATGTTGTTTCTCCTCCCATTTTTTTCAGTTCTGTTAATGTTTCAATTATTACATTTCTCATGCTTGAAAACTCCTGAGTGTATTTATTCATTTACTTATTCATGCATTCATTGACCCATCTATTTATCCTTGCAGCATTTGAGTTCCTACTGTGCGCAAGTCATCGTGGATATTCCCTTAAAATAATGAATGAAGATGATATCTACCATTTGTTGAGCACACAGACATTGTGCTAAACGCTTTACTTAAATCTTATTTAATCTTCAAAATGTCCCTGTGAGGTAACATTATTTCTTCCTTTTTGCAGTTGAGGTAACCGGGACTCAGGAAGTTAAATATCTTGCTCAGAGGAGAACCAAAGGTATATTCAGGTCTGTCTCCAGAGCCCATGTAGGCCTGCTGCCTCTTTCCTCATGTTTGATCTATTACAAGGCCTTCTCAGGGCTTTTTTGGTACTGTCTCTGAACTGGCCTCTTTCTTCTCCTCCTGATCCTGGTTCAAACCTTCCTTACCCTGTGTCAAATGTTGCAGCAGCCTCCTTGCTGTTATTCCTGTCTTTGCCAGGTTGCTCCTGCCTGCACTCCATCCTGCAGGTGTCATCAGTTTGATCTTCCTAAAATAGTTTTCACTATGCAGTCTCCTGCTCAGGAACAAGACTGCCTTCCTGTTATTATTGGATCAAGTCCTTCTCTGTCTGCCTGATGTTAAACTCCGTGCCTACCCACAGTTACCTCCCAGTATGTTGCAATGTTATTCAATAAATGTTTATTCAATAAATATTTGACCATGAGCTACTTACTGGCTATTGGATCATAAAGAGGAAAAGGTGTGGGCTATGCTTCAAAAGGCTTATAGTTTGATAGAATAACCATCTACAATTCGTTACTTCAGCTAAGCTAGGGTTCTTTACTATTCGCTAGTCAAGCAAAGTTATTTCTGCCTCTGTTCATACTGTGTTCACAAGTTACAGGGCTTTGTAGGCCTTTCCACATATTTTTTATTTTTATTTTATTTATTTATTTTTTTTTTTTTGAGACGGAGTCTCGCTCTGTCGCCCAGGCGGGACTGCGGACTGCAGTGGCGCAATCTCGGCTCACTGCAAGCTCCGCTTCCCGGGTTCACGCCATTCTCCTGCCTCAGCCTCCCGAGTAGCTGGGACTACAGGCGCCCGCCACCGCGCCCGGCTAATTTTTTTTTGTATTTTTAGTAGAGACAGGGTTTCACCTTGTTAGCCAGGATGGTCTCGATCTCCTGACCTCATGATCCACCCGCCTCGGCCTCCCAAAGTGCTGGGATTACAGGCGTGAGCCACCGCGCCCGGCCTCCACATATTTTTTAAAATTCCCATAATTCAAGGCATGCTTAGGTACTCCCTTTCTTTCTAGCTCACCTCTCTCCTGTCTATAATTTCTTATATTTATTGTGTAGATGTATATACCATTTAGTATCATGTCAGGTAATTCTTTGCAGTTCTATAATTTCTGTACTTTTTACAAGGTGCTTTTTTTTTTTTTTTTTTGAGTCTCAGTCTGTCGCCCTGGCTGGAGTGCAGTGGTGCGACCTTGGCTCACTGCAACCTTCACCTCCCGGCTTCAAGCGATTCTCATGCCTATAGTCTCTCAAGTAGCTAGGATTATAGGTATGCGCCACCACACCCAGCTCATTTTTGTATTTTTAGTAGAGATAGGGTTTCACCATGTCAGCCAGGCTGGTCTTGAACTCCTGGTCTCAAGTGAGCCACCGGCCTCAGCCTCTCAAAGTGTTGGGATTACAGGCATGAGCCACCACACCTGGCCTACAAGGTACCTGTATATGCTTTAGCTTTTTTGAACCTCATGATACTGACGTAGATATGGCAGATATTATTTTCATTTCATAGGAAAATAAACAGATTCCAAGAAATTAGGGGACTATTGATACCTATGTGGTTAGTGAGTTGTGAGGCTATTTTTAGATCTGAGCTCTTTTGAATTTTTTAAGGCAGTGTGGCCTACAGGAAGAGCAGGGCCTTGGAAGCCTAGATATGTCTGTGGTAATGGTGAGGGGTAGTAGAAAGCACAGAGGGCTCTGGGTCAGGTTGTTTCCAGTTTTGGCTCTACTCCTCACAGTCTGTGTGTCTTCAGGGAAGTTGCTCAGTTCTCAAAGACTCAGTTGCCTTGTCAGCATCATCCCTGGCCAACCTCTCAATGGGGTTATTGTAATGTCTATATATGATGACATTGTTCTTAGCTAACTTTTATTTAGCACTTATTAAATACCAGGCGGTGTCCTGGATGCTTTGTTTGGATTATCTCAGCTAATCCTCACGATACCTCTCTGAGATATGTTCTTTGTTACTTCCCTATGACGGATGAGGAAATTGAGGCATAGAGATGTTAAGTAACTAGACCAAGTTTATGTAGCTACCAAGTGATAAAGCCAGGAAAGTAGCCTGAGTCTAGAACCAGTACTCAACCATGGTTCTATAAAATGTCTTTTTTTAAGGTGTCCTATAGACTGTAAAGTGCTCCGAACATGTGAGGTCCAGGCTGCAAGGATGTGCCTGGCCCTGCCCACCTGTGTAATGGCGAATAGGGAAAGGAGGGGGCGACATGGAGATTTTGCAGGGAGGAGAGAGATTATTTCCTAGGGGGTCTGGCCAGGACTGAAGATTTGGAATTGTGTTTTGGGGCCATATTTCTGAATGTTGGCTGTCATTCTCCTGTTGGGCTACCTGGCCTATCTTAAGAGGGTAGAGCGGGGTAAAGTCACTGTTCTGCCAGTGAAGTAAGCCCAGTGCAGAAAAGACAGGCGTCCCTAGGCCCAAGGGAACTAGATCCATACCATACTCAGTGGAGCCATAGGTCAGACCCCAGGCCAACCTTGTTGGCTGTGTAGGGGCAGGGACCCTGGTCTTTTGGTTTCTAGCCCATGATAGATGGGCCAGTGAATGAAAGCAGTGTGGTAACATAGTCCCTTGGAGACCTCTCATTAGAATGCATAATCTCATTAAATTAAACAATTCTAATTATAAAAGTAATACATGGTTACTGAAGAATTTTTGTGAAATACAAAAGCGTAGAAAATAAACCATTTCATTGGGTCTGAGATGCTAGGAGGCAAGGCCAAGAGTACAAGGGGCAGATGACTGAGGTGGACTGGGCCTTGTGCTACAAGAAGAAAGAAGGGCTCTCTGCTTTTGACTACTGCCTTTAGTAATCCAGTTGAGTCTGATACTCTTGTGTTTTACAACCTGGCCCCTTATAACAACCATAAAGGGTGAAGGGTGACTATGGCAACCTTTGCCAGCCTTGTGGGAGGGGGCTAGGGTACTTGGCTTGCTTTGCTATGTGTGTGAAGTTGCCTTCATTACTGCCCTTCTCTTGCTGCCTCCTGGGCAGGGCCTGCCTCCTCTGGCTCAGTGTGAGATTGAAATCCAGGCCCTACTCACATGAATTTGGACCCTGAGTCCAGAGTTTAGAGAGGGGAGGGAGAGAGAAGAGCACCAGAAAGGTAGATGAGAGACCCTTATTTTGGCTGTGTGGAGGCTCTAGGCAGCTGATCGCTTTGAAGTGTCACTTGATGCTTATGGGCCTGCTGAGGCCTTACATCCTGGGGGAGAGGGGAACAGTGATGGTGAGTGGGTACAGACTAGGAGGACGTGTCAAGACTGCTTCCAGCCCTAGGACAGTGTATTCAAGAGTTGAGTGCTGAGGGTCTGTGGCGTATGCCCAGCCCTTAGTTTCTGGCCCACGTGAAGCAGGGGGGCACTAGGACCCAGAGGCTAGCACGGTTCCTGACAAGTCTAGAGCAGCACTAGCGCAGAGTGAGACTCATCAGCTGGCAAGCAGGATTCTGTGTCTCTGGGTTCAGGAATCCTCAGGCAGCAGAGGGGACTTGCTCCTCAGCCCCCATCACTGCCCCCACCCCTACCCGTGTAGGCCACCGAGTGAGGCCCATGGACTGGGGAGGGCTGTGCCTGACGACTCCTGTGTCCCTCTATGAGGGCCCAGCGCCCTGACCCTCCTGCCTAGGTTTCTACCTTTTCTCTCTGTCTTTGGCCAGCTGGGGGAGGGGGTAGAGGCCGGGTGAGCAACATGGCACAGAGCAAGAGGCACGTGTACAGCCGGGTAAGTGGCCCTAATCTGGGATGGCCCTGGAGGGCTGCTGGGGAAGGCCTGGCTGCCTGTGGACATCATTGCTGTGGGGGCTGGGGAGATAGGCTGGAGCTCAGCTGAGGGCACTCAGACTGTGTTTTCTAAGGAGCCCTCGAAGCCCTGGTGGTGTAAGGCTGGACAGGCTTCCCTTTACAGAGTTGATCCCTAAATGGGGACTAGCAAGGCCTGACCTCTGACTCTAATTGGCCCTCATACCAGGGGCTCCTGAGGGGGTCCAGACTATCCTGGGGACTCAGAATGGGGATGATGGCTCAGAGAGGTCTTACAGTGAAGCCTTTCTTAAGAGCTGCTTTGTTATTTGTTACTTGCTTTCTTTCTCTTCTGAGATAGAATCTGTAGCTACTGTTGTGGCCCCCTGGTTCTGAGAGGCTTATTGGGGTTGGAAAGTGGGGGAGTCTCTGACTTTGGGTTCAGCCTTTTATATCACTGGCAATTCCTTTTATTGTCAGGTCCATGAGAGCCATCCTGCTGTTCCAGGTGTGATTTGGGGTCCTGGAGCCTCTGGGAACTACATCCTCACCTTCCTGGATGAGCTGTTTGGGGAAGGGAATTAGGCAGTGATAGGCTGGGAGGTGTCCTGGCTCTTCCCTGGCTCTGCCAGGGCTCCCTTCTGAAGCTATTATAAATGAGAGTATCAGAAGGGTCTCCCATAGAGTCTTTAGGATGATGGTATCACTTCATCATGCCTCATTCATCTGTTTGCTGCAAGGCCCCTGGTTCATGGAGTTGCTGTTGCTAAAAATGACCTAAGTGTGATTTTCTTCTAAACCATGGGCCTATTTGGGACCTAATTTTCTATTGTGTTCAGTCATCATGGGTGTGCCGAAGCTAAGAGCTGCCCAAGGACAGTGTCTTAGTCTGTTGTTTTGCCTTGCCCATCTGTGGAGTGATAAACCATTCATTTGGACCACTGAGCAGAGTCTTGGGGACAGAGCGAGGGGTAGATCCACCCAATTTACTTGGCCTGTGTTTTCCTTTTTATAGCAACATAGCATGGAGAAGAATCTCCAGAGCTTGGGGATAGAGAGTTGACCAAACAAGACTCAGGCCAGGTAGAAGGGGAGTTGAATGGTTGAATGGGCTGTGGTGAAGCATCTGGGGTTTCATGGTGGGTTTGTGGATGGGGGTGGGAGGAGTCAGATCAGGAAGGAGAGGTGGTGACTTAAGGGTCTGGAAGGAGGCACAATTGTGTGCCTCTGAAAGGGTGAGGCCTAAGAAAACCATTTGAAACACAGAGGAGACAAGTGACAGTGGAAGGGGAAACAGGATTCTGTAGGATCACCCACTGAATTGCCTGTCTTCCCAGCTCAGACTCCTGAGTCAGGGCATTGGGTTGTGGGGAGCCTGGTCTAAACTGAGTTATTTGCTTGATCTTATTTCCCCTCCTGAGAAGAGAATTAAGGAGACAGTGCTCCTGAGAAAGCAGCCATGTGGTGACATTCACAGACTGGTCAATGAATTCTGATTTGTTATAAAAAATATAAACTTAAAAATTCTAGCAGATTCCAGAGGAATTTGGAGAAATCTTAGAATATCATTGGCATTTTTTCAAAGGGGAATTTGGGGGTCCACCCAATTCTGTAAATGGGGTTTAAGAAAATGACTCTGGTTGTTTTTCAGTCCAGCATCTTGGCTGAGGCATTTCTTATACATAAGAATGCCACCTTTGATCTGAGGCCTCTAACTGTCTGTGTTTACCTGTGTCTTTCAGACGCCCAGCGGCAGCAGGATGAGTGCGGAGGCAAGCGCCCGGCCTCTGCGGGTGGGCTCCCGTGTAGAGGTGATTGGAAAAGGCCACCGAGGCACTGTGGCCTATGTTGGAGCCACACTGTTTGCCACTGGCAAATGGGTAGGCGTGATTCTGGATGAAGCAAAGGGCAAAAATGATGGAACTGTTCAAGGCAGGAAGTACTTCACTTGTGATGAAGGGCATGGCATCTTTGTGCGCCAGTCCCAGGTATTCACGCCCTTCTTTTGTGTCTGTGCATGTGTGCACATGTCTGTCGCATGTGCAGCTGATGTGTTGGTACTTCGTTTTCCTGAGCATGGGCATAAGCCTCTGGTTGGGAGAGTGGAAGGTAGTGGGGGAGGGAAGATTGAAGATGCATCCTTAGGGAAGCTGCCCTGTACTCTTGGTTTGCTTGGAGCCTGGGGAGGGGCCCATATTACAGCCGTCCTTGATCTGGCTATATTGAAACTATTGATCTGGCTATATTGAATCTGGCCTCAGATCCAGGTATTTGAAGATGGAGCAGATACTACTTCCCCAGAGACACCTGATTCTTCTGCTTCAAAAGTCCTCAAAAGAGGTAACAACCACCCACTTAAAGTTGCCTCCCCATAGCCAGGAGGAGTCCCCAGGACTTCTCCTCATAACATGGGGCCACAGTAGATCCTAAGATTTTTTTCCGTCACTACCATATTCCCTTATTATATCTCCCCCTACCTCTCTATACAAGTACACACTTTGTTTCTGTTTGCTTTCTACAGAGGGAACTGATACAACTGCAAAGACTAGCAAACTGGTGAGTGATTTGGGGGTGGGAATGGGGAATAATAAAGGGAGGGGAAGGAGAAAGAGGAGGGATACCCAGTGCTAGGCAGGTAGAAGTAGTAGGTGAGTCTGATTTGCCTTCTAGTCTCTCCAACTTCCCTAAGAAGGAGGCTTTCTGGGGATTAATTGCTGTGTTAGAGTTACAGTAAAGATGGTAGAAGGGAAAAACTCATAGGCTCCAGAAGTTCAGGGTCAAATGAGATTGAGCTGAGGGTGATAGGAAGGACAGGTCTGGCCCTAGTAGTGTAGCCAACTTCCTACCTTTTGGTACCCAAAGATGCCAACATCTAAAGGGTCTGAGGGTAAGGTTAAGGTAGAAGATAGAGGAAGAAGCAATCTCCTATTCACAAGTGAATGGCAAGGAGCCGGGCCCTCTGCCTCCTGTTTTAAGCTGGATGCAGAGAGTGCTTCCTAGTTCTTCTCTGCTACTCTGTGCAGGATGTGTGTGAGGTGGGGCTGCAGACTCTGCAGCTTCTCTGGGCCAAGGTGTGAACATCCTGGAAGCTGATCTTTGAGGGGCTACTCATCTCACCCTGACTCCCCCCTACCCGCGTCTAACCTGTGTAAGCCCGAGTTGGTCTTAACACCTATGCCCAGGACATCTGTTCTCTAACTCTGCCCTTTCCTACTCCTCATGCAGCGGGGACTGAAGCCTAAGAAGGTGGTGTGTTTACTATTTGTGCCTGGGTGGATGGGGGCCATGAGCCCCTTCCCCAGCTGTCCTGCATGTCCCTGGGCTGCTGCATGCATGTGTGTGTGACCTTGGGCTGGGATGGCCAGAGGAAATGGTGGCCTTGGCTTTCAGAGTTCCTTTGAAGGGTGCAAGAACATCAGGCTCAGTGTCCATACCCAGGTAGCACTCATTAGGGATGATTCTCTCTGCCCCAGGACTCCAAGTCAAAGATTCCCCAATCAAAAACTATAAGCATTTGACTGTAAATAGCAGCAGTGTGAAATAGATCATTTACTGGGTTACAGTGTGTTCTCACTTAGCCCGAGCTTGGACGACTGTGGAAGGATAGACTGGGGGAATGGGGCTGAGGAAGGTACCAAGTGAGGGGGTTTTGCAGGAAGATGGGAGGTCAGGGAACAGAGCCTAGGAAGAACAGTCCCAAGTTGGAAAACCTAAGAGCCTTCATGTGCCTGCCTGTGGATGGGCACAGCCATAAATATCCCCACACCCCACAACTCTGCCCCATCAGTCTGTCCCTGTCTCCTTCCTCTGGTGGTGTGCCTGAGGCCTACCTCCTACCCCTTGCAGCCTTTCATCAACCATCATTGGAGTGGGGCTCAATCATGTCACGTCCCCTCCCCTTCCCACCATAGACTCTTTAAACTCTTAGATCACTGCCATGACCACTTCCTCAAACCAGCCCCTGCCTTGGGCCTCTGCCCAAGCTGTTTTTGACCTGCATGTGCCTGTCTGGCCTGTATGTACTGTGCTGTATGTACAATTCTGTGATTTCCTTGTCGTCAGCCTATCTCAGGCCATTCTGACATTGCATGGAGAGCTGCTGGATTGGGGCTGTGGGAGGGAAGAGGAAAACATCTCCTTTTCCAGGGGGAAACCAGCTCCTGGTTGGTGATGGGTCCTTTGGAGTCTTGCCATGGTAGAGACCACATGCTGGTACTTGCTTTGGTAGGGAATGGGGATATAAGGAAAATAATGCTGTGAAGGATCCTGGGCCCATTTCAGAGTCATAGAAACTTGGCTTTGTCCTTTGATTATTGTCTCCTGGTTGGGGCTTCCATTTCACCTCAGGCCTTGAATAGAGAAGAGCATGAAACTATGGTCTGATATTTATGGAGTTCTGGCCCCAGCCTGGTCTGACCCTGGGCTGGGGCCTGAGCAATGCCCAAATCCAGGGGCTTTGGCAGCTGCCTGGGGAAATGTGAAAAAGCCCAGCCTAGGCCACCCATGCTGCCCTTCTGCACTCACGTTGGAAAGTGTCAATCAGACAGTTGAGTGCCCCCACCCCGGAGCACCCCAGTCTTCCTCTCCAGTAGTTATTTTTCAAAGCAGAGGGCCCCTGCTCTCACCCATGTGGATCAGGGAGCTGGTTCCAGAGCAAAAGAATATGCTTTGAAGGGGAAGGCAGAAGAAAACTCAGATGTCTCTGCAAAGTGCCTAGTTCTTTTTGGAAACCCTTTAGAGACAGGCTTTAACCTGTCTACAACCAGGGGATGGTTGGAGAGGAGCCCAACAGTCATTAGAGCTGCTGCTACCCAGATGCGTGTTCCGCAGGGTTTCGTAGTCACTGTGTGTGCTCCTCAGAGCTGAAGCCTGTTGCTGGAGGGGCACTCTAGATGTGTGTGCCAGATGAGAGACTGTAAGGGTGTTGCCAGGTTGTATAAGAGACAGAAGTGGAGTTAATGGGGCTGTGGGTAGGTGGGTGGCGGGGGCAGAATGTGAGTATGATGAGAGAGACTGCTGGAGCAGAGAGGCCATGTGTCCCTCCCCAGTGATGCCCTGGCCCCATAGAATGCCATTTCTGGGATAGCCCCTGGCCCAGTTTTTTGGAGCACGCTCTTGGGGGTGGGCAAGGGAGGGAAGAGAGGAGCCAAAACCTGTTCTTTGGAGAAAGAAGCAGGACAAGCTCTGCGCATGACTGTCATGAGGAGGAGGAGCCAGCAAAGCCCTAGATGGTTGCTAGGTGACTGAGGAGCAGTGGCTCCACCCCCATGGAGCAGAGGAGGGTGGGTGCATGACGTCAGGTGGAGCTGGTGCTGCGGCCACTGAGGCTGCCATCAGCCTAAGCTGGTGAACTGGGCCAGGCACCGCTCCGGTGCCTGCCGGAGCCTGGCGATCCAGCTGCACGTCTGCGGGGGCCTCTGTGTCAGAGCGGCGGCCGTTTGCAGGCTGGGAAGCTGCCGCACCGGGAGGCTGAGACTGCATTGTTGGGATTTGATGCACTAATCTCCTGTCTCCGCCGCCTTTCCCTCTGTTCGGTCTCTTGCCCTCCCTCCCTTCGTCTGTCCTTCCTCCGTGTGTTTGTCTATCCTCCTCTGTCCCTCCTCTTTCCTCTCCTTGCTTTCTTTGGTTTTCTGCAATGATGAGACAGGCACCGACAGCCCGAAAGGTACTCTTGCTTGCTCTCGTCCTGCTGCTGGGTTGCCAGGGCAATGGTGGCAGCAGGCTGCTGGGGTGGGGGTGGGGGCTGATTGACTTCATCTGTCTACCTGGTCGGGGAGGCGGGTGAGGACGAAGGTGGGTTAGGGAGAGGTGTGTGTCACCACTATGCCCCACACCCTGGGCATTTGCTTACTGCCTTGCCTGCTTTTGGCTCTGCCTGTGTTCCAGGCCTTAACACCCAGTGGCCTCACAGGCTTGGGCTTCAGGCAGCCTCTACCGCATACCGGATCTGGGAGGGTTTCCTGTGGTAGAACCTAGGGAAGCAGGCCCAGGTATCTCAGTGCCTCTAGCAGGCCTGCCTGCCTCACCCAACCTTTGCTAGAATACCTCTTGGTTGTTCTCCCAGTATCCCCCAATCCCCAGGATTTGTATCAGGGCACTTTACCAGGGTGGGATGGGGAACCTAGAATAGTCTTTGACCCACAGCTGTGGAAGCTTAGCCCAGGGTAGAAGAGGTGGGAATTGGCCTCAGTGTATGCTGGAAATAGGGCCCAAGCCAAATCTTGTCTTGGCTAGAGCAGTGAGATACTGGGTAGCAAGAACACTATTTGGAAATTGGAGTTAATTGTCCACTTACCATTTTGCAGTAACCTGAAGGGGCTGTAGTTTCTCTGTGCTGCTGCCCACCCCCACCTCCTTTCCTACAGCTGGGTGGGGTTACTTTGCTGAGCTCTGGGCTTCTGCTAATGCAATATTCATGGTCCTGACACCTGAGCCCTCTTCCCTAGTGATCGGGACTGCTGCAGGATCTGGTTCTGGGGAAGGGGGTTGGGGGAGGGAGGACAGCAGCATTGTTCTACCCTAGGGACCTGATCTCCCATTTCTGGGCTTAGATTACGCTCGTCACATGGGGTTTCTAGGGAGTTCTGTGTAGAGTCTAGCACTTGAAGGAAGAGGCTGACCTGGGAAAGTCCTTGGGAGTGGTGGCTGGGCGGGGCCTCTGGCTCTGGACTGGAGTTGGAGAGATCGTTAGCAGGAGGACTGGTCTCATGGGACCTTCTCACTAGCTGCTTCCTTGTTCTATGGCTCAGCCTAGAGATGGACTTCTGGGATTTCTGGGGTGTCTGAAGGGGTGAGGCCTGCAAGGATTGGACAAAAGTGGGAGCAGGAACCAAGGGGAACAGGAATTCTGGGTTCCTGAAGTAGGAATACAGTGATTCACTGAAGGGAGAAGGGGATGGGATGGGGGGGAGGGTGGCTAACTGTAGCCCCATTCCTGTTATTTCTTCTGCTCTCATTGCTGTCCCTTTTGCTCTCTGTCTTTCTGCCATTGTCCTTTCTTTCCTGACTACTTCTCTTCTGGCTCCTGTTGCCTGTCCAGACCACAACTCGGCGACCCAAGGTGAGAAAACAGGCCCCTGTGTGAGCCACTGCTGAGTGTACACACACGTTTCAGGCATGTGGATGTATGAGGGCACGTGTATGAGCAAGTGAAAGTTCGTCATAGTGTATCCTGGGTTCTCTTCAGAGGAAAGGGTGGGGGTTCGCAGTGCTGGCAGGCACCTCCTGGGGAAAATGGCTTTTGGCTTTTAGGAGGTTGTCTAAGCCAGTAGCTTGAATGCAAAAGAGAAATGAATGGGGTTGTGGTGGTTAATCAAAGCAGGCTTTCTTGAACAAGGGAATTTTGACCAGTTTTGATGGGAGGGATTGGAAGAAAGATGAACTTGGCCATGTAAAATGTCAGGGGATAAGGAGGTGAGTGTGTCTGTGACAGGCCTTGGGTGGGGATGTCTGAGGATTGCACATGATCTCTGAGTGTCAGCCCACTGGGAGACCTTGGGGCTCAGCACTTTGAGCACATTGGCAGGCCTGTCTGCTCCAGGGCTTGAACTTCAGGTCAGCTCCTCTGCCCACCTTCTCCCCTGCCCCACAGGGGCATGGATAGTGTTGCCAGATCGGGGGAGATGACGAAGAGTTGTTTCAAGGGGGAGTCTAGGGGTACAACTTTCACCTTGGCCCTTTTACCTGCAGGGTCCTCTGAAATAGACTGAGAGAGGGAGATTCAGCTTGACTCCCAAAGAGGGCTTAGCAGGGGTAGAGAGCCTGGCACCCCCACTTTTGGCCCAACCTTCTGTGGAAATTAGATTGTACTTTTTCCGTCTAGGGGTGGAGGGCATAGACCTGGAGCAAGGATGGGACTGAGAGTATAATGGAGTTGCTAGAATGATCACAAGTGGGTCATAGATGGGGGTTCTAGGGAATAACGGATTCTGCTCTTAAGGGTAGTGCCAGAGCTAGGAGGAATGTGGAGTCAGTGCCAAGCGAGGAGCCTTATAATCTTATGTCTTTCTCTTATCTTTTCCTCCCTCTCTCCTCTGCCTCCATCCTCCCCCTGTCCTTTGTCACTATCTCTCTCTGCCTCTCTGTATCATTTTCCTTGTCCCCTTCATTCTTCTTTTCTCACTGTGCTTTGATACTCTCTTTCTGCTTTTTCCCTTTTCTGTCTCCTTCCCTTGCCATATTCTCATATTCTGTTTCTGTTCCTCTTACTACCCCTATCCTCTGCTTTCTTTCTGGTCTGCCTCTACCCTTTCTGAATAGCCCACGCGCCCAGCCAGTACTGGGGTGGCTGGGGCCAGTAGCTCCCTGGGCCCCTCTGGCTCAGCGTCAGCAGGTGAGCTGAGCAGCAGTGAGCCCAGCACCCCGGCTCAGACTCCGCTGGCAGCACCCATCATCCCCACGCCGGTCCTCACCTCTCCTGGAGCAGTCCCCCCGCTTCCTTCCCCATCCAAGGTAAGGCCTGGGGTAGGGGTAAAGGAGAATCAAGACACCCAGAGGCTTGTGGCTACCCGCTGTGTCTTGAAAATTTCCTGGGGTTGGCAAAGACCTAGAACTTGGATCAGAAAGGGTGAGGACATAGCCTATGGATATCTTGCTACTGACTGAGCCATCCTTTCCTTTCTTGCCCTTATGCCATACTTTCCCCATATATACTGTGCTACGGTTTCCTCTCAGATGTTCTTATGCCACTGACTGTTGGCCACCCTGGGGCTGGGTGATGTTTGCACACTTTCTTGTGTTCTTTGCGCCAGCTCAGTGTTGGTGGAGAGGAGGAGTGGGCTGTGCACAGACCGTGAGGCCTCTCCTTTGCAGGAGGAGGAGGGACTAAGGGCTCAGGTGCGGGACCTGGAGGAGAAACTAGAGACCCTGAGACTGAAACGGGCAGAAGACAAAGCAAAGCTAAAAGAGCTGGAGAAACACAAAATCCAGCTGGAGCAGGTGCAGGAATGGAAGAGCAAAATGCAGGAGCAGCAGGCCGACCTGCAGCGGCGCCTCAAGGAGGCGAGAAAGGTTTGACTCTGGATGAAGGGGGTGGCTGGGGCAGCCTGAGACCTAAGGAAGCATGCTGGAAACTAGACTGGAGCTGGAGCCTGGAACATACTGTGAGAAAGGCCTGGGGCATCTCTGTGCTGGTACCCCCTCCCACCTCCACTTCTTCCTCAGGAAGCCAAGGAGGCGCTGGAGGCAAAGGAACGCTATATGGAGGAGATGGCTGATACTGCTGATGCCATTGAGATGGCCACTTTGGACAAGGAGATGGCTGAAGAGCGGGCTGAGTCCCTGCAGCAGGAGGTGGAGGCACTGAAGGAGCGGGTGGACGAGCTCACTACTGACTTAGAGATCCTCAAGGCTGAGATTGAAGAGAAGGGTAAGGGGCCCACAGCTGCTGGGGGCCAAACGGTCAGGTGAGAACCATGCCTGAAAGTGTTAATGATCTTCTCCAGGCTCAGATGGCGCTGCATCCAGTTATCAGCTCAAGCAGCTTGAGGAGCAGAATGCCCGCCTGAAGGATGCCCTGGTGAGGTAGGGTCTTCAGTGCTTGCCTCTGATGCTTACTCTTGTGTCTCCAAATGTGTTAGAGCACCCATCGCCAGAGACTCTGACACGTGCTTTCCTCCTTCTGCCTTCCTCACATCCCTGCAGGATGCGGGATCTTTCTTCCTCAGAGAAGCAGGAGCATGTGAAGCTCCAGAAGCTCATGGAAAAGAAGAACCAAGAGCTGGAAGTTGTGAGGCAACAGCGGGAGCGTCTGCAGGAGGAGCTAAGCCAGGCAGAGAGCACCATTGATGAGCTCAAGGAGCAGGTCTGGGGAGCCCAGCCCCTCACCCAGAATCCCCCACCTGACTCTCCTATCAGTTGATGCCTCCTCTTTCTAGGTACCTTCCAGCAGCCCTTCTCCCTATCCTCCCCGTAACACAGGTGGATGCTGCTCTGGGTGCTGAGGAGATGGTGGAGATGCTGACAGATCGGAACCTGAATCTGGAAGAGAAAGTGCGCGAGTTGAGGGAGACTGTGGGAGACTTGGTAAGAGAAGAGCAGACCCCTGACATCTGACTTGGACCTGCTGAGAAAAAGATTGACATGTGACCCTTGGCCTTTGAGCAGGGTGTGCGGTGAGGGACCCAGCCTGGGCTTGCTACCCTGACCCTGCCTTTTTTTTTTTTTTTTTTTTCTGAGATGGAATCTCGCTCTGTTGCCAGGCTGGAGCGCAGTGGCGCAATAATCTCGGCTCACTGCAACCTCCGCCTCCCAGGTTCAAGCGATTCTCCTGCCTCAGCCTCCCGAGTAGCTGGTACTACAGGCATGCGCCACCATACCCAGCTAATTTTTGTATTTTTAGTAGAGATGGGGTTTCACCATGTTGGCCAGCATGATCTCGATCTCGACCTCATGATCCGCCTGCTTTGACCTCCCAAAGTGCTGGGATTACAGGTGTGAACCACCGCCGCTGGCCGACCCTGCCTTTCTTTAGCCCAAACTATGGTGTGGTGTCCTAGGAAGCGATGAATGAGATGAACGATGAGCTGCAGGAGAATGCACGTGAGACAGAACTGGAGCTGCGGGAGCAGCTGGACATGGCAGGCGCGCGGGTTCGTGAGGCCCAGAAGCGTGTGGAGGCAGCCCAGGAGACGGTTGCAGACTACCAGCAGACCATCAAGAAGTACCGCCAGCTGACCGCCCATCTACAGGTACATGCCCACTGTTTGCTCTCTGCCCACCATCACCCCAGGGCTTCCTTATGACCCAGCTGTGCTTCACTGTCTCTCCTCCTAGGATGTGAATCGGGAACTGACAAACCAGCAGGAAGCATCTGTGGAGAGGCAACAGCAGCCACCTCCAGAGACCTTTGACTTCAAAATCAAGTTTGCTGAGACTAAGGCCCATGCCAAGGTCAGGAAAGTGTGTGGGTCTGAGGGAGCCCTGCCTGGGATGAACTGGTATGGGGTCTGGGCTTCAGATTCCTGGGGGAAGGGGTGCTTTGTGTGGTGGTTTGGAAGACTCTGGCCTGGGCTTGCCCTAGAAGCAAGGGATCTACTGGAGCAAGGCATGGGAATTTTGGGGCTCTTTCAGCTCTGGCTAAGAGTCCTCCTCCCTGTTCACCTCACAGGCAATTGAGATGGAATTGAGGCAGATGGAGGTGGCCCAGGCCAATCGACACATGTCCCTGCTGACAGCCTTCATGCCTGACAGCTTCCTTCGGCCAGGTGGGGACCATGACTGCGTTCTGGTGCTGTTGCTCATGCCTCGTCTCATTTGCAAGGTATGGCCAATCAATCACATGTTCCACAGAAATCTAGTGAACTTGCCATGAACCAGGCATTGAAGATGCTGAGTGAAGACAACAGAGTCTCTGCCCACAAAGAGTTTATGGTATAGTGGAGGAACACAGCAAAGTCACCGATTAATATATATTACAAATGGTGTGTTTTCAAGGAGAGATAGGTTCTGTGAGAGAGCACAATTAGAGATTTGATTTAGAGGTGAGCAGGGTGTGACTGAGGGAATAACATTGTCTGAGGGCCAGGAGGTGCCTAGGGGTTAACCTTGGGGATGATGGGCAGGATAGCATTCTAGGTGGAGAGATAGCAGGAGTGGCAGCTTTAAGTCAGGAAAGACCTTGATTCCACCGGTCCCACTACCCTTTCATTTTCACATCCTGACTCCTCACAACCTCCAGTAATCACATCACTACCCTTTCCCCATGCAAGATTCCCCACCCAGGTAAGAGCTATTTCTGCTTTCTCTCCCATGTGTGTCCATGCTCCCCACATAGTTAAGCTCTGAGTACTATATTCCTGAGTCTCTGTTCTCCATCCTCTGCTCTGAGGCCCAGGTTCCTGGTGCTTTTTCCCACAGGCAGAGCTGATCCGGAAGCAGGCCCAGGAGAAGTTTGAACTAAGTGAGAACTGTTCAGAGCGGCCTGGGCTGCGAGGAGCTGCTGGGGAGCAACTCAGCTTTGCTGCTGGACTGGTGTACTCGCTGAGCCTGCTGCAGGCCACGCTACACCGCTATGAGCAGTAAGTGACTCCTGACTCCCTCACCCCAGGGTGGGGGTCCAGGATTGGCCAGAACTGAGATTGCCTGGCAGACTCTAGCCTCACAGTGCCCTTCTCTGGTCTCTAGTGCCCTCTCTCAGTGCAGTGTGGATGTGTATAAGAAAGTGGGCAGCCTGTACCCTGAGATGAGTGCCCATGAGCGCTCCTTGGATTTCCTCATTGAACTGCTGCACAAGGATCAGCTGGATGAGACTGTCAATGTGGAGCCTCTCACCAAGGCCATCAAGTACTATCAGGTGTGGGGCAAGAATTTGGGCTTGGGGCAGGAGGCAGGGAAGCTTTCACTTGATGGGGGCTCTTACTAATATATTCAAGGTTGTATGTCCCATGCTTGCTGCTTGAGGCCTGGTTTGCTCTTAGATGAACTCTCCATATGATGCAGCTGCTTGAGGGCTTTGGATTCTCTTGTACCTCCAGAGACCCATGATGACCAGGGCTCAAACTACAGTTTGGGAAGAACTCCCCACCCGCTCCAGGGCCTAAAAGTTGTCTGTCTGTTATCTCTCCTCAGCATCTGTACAGCATCCACCTTGCCGAACAGCCTGAGGACTGTACTATGCAGCTGGCTGACCACATTAAGGTGAAGTATCTGGGCCAGTGATTGAGCCCCCGTGGAGATCAGAAATGGAGGGCATCAGGTCAAGAGATCAGGCACCCAAGAAGTGTCACATAAGACTAGGGCAGAGTTACCAAAGCCATATCAGGGAAACTAGAGGACCTACTTATGTATGGGGGTCAGCAGAGGATGGGGACTTCTTAGAGATGTTGATAAGGCAGAAGGGCTCCTGCTGGGGGCTGATGATTGCATGCTTCTATCCTCACAGTTCACGCAGAGTGCTCTGGACTGCATGAGTGTGGAGGTAGGACGGCTGCGTGCCTTCTTGCAGGTGAGAACACATCTAGATCTGTGTGAGCTCCTCTTCTTTCTTAGTCCTCACTTCCTTACTCCGAGCCTTAATGCTAACTTGGTTCTCCATCCATTTTCTTTTTCCTGAGTAGGGTGGGCAGGAGGCTACAGATATTGCCCTCCTGCTCCGGGATCTGGAAACTTCATGCAGTGACATCCGCCAGTTCTGCAAGAAGATCCGAAGGCGAATGCCAGGGACAGATGCTCCTGGGATCCCAGCTGCACTGGCCTTTGGACCACAGGTTTAAGGCTGCAACTGGGGAAGGGAAGGAAACTGAGTAGAAACATGAAGGGTATAGCACTTGAAGATCTGGATCTGGTTAGGGGACAAAAATGGTTTTGGGGTAGCTGGAAACTGTGGTGCTGAACCCAGGGTTGACTCCTGACTCTGGCCTGGCACACAGGTATCTGACACGCTCCTAGACTGCAGGAAACACTTGACGTGGGTCGTGGCTGTGCTGCAGGAGGTGGCAGCTGCTGCTGCCCAGCTCATTGCCCCACTGGCAGAGAATGAGGGGCTACTTGTGGCTGCTCTGGAGGAACTGGCTTTCAAAGCAAGCGAGCAGGTGGGCCTGGATGGCTGGGTAGAAGGTGTGGGGAGAGTTAGTGACCAGTGTGGGGCTTTTACTTCTGCCCTTGGCTCCTGCAGATCTATGGGACCCCCTCCAGCAGCCCCTATGAGTGTCTGCGCCAGTCATGCAACATCCTCATCAGTACCATGAACAAGCTGGCCACAGCCATGCAGGAGGGGGAGTATGATGCAGAGCGGCCCCCCAGCAAGGTAGGTGGAGATTTCCTTGGAGAAGTTGCAGAGGCCTGTAGGAGTAAGACTTGCAGAGCTACTGCTAGTTGTGGGAGGACGGGGAGACAGGAGGAAGGCATCTGGAGAGCACCATCCTGCCTAGAAGGCAGGGTTTTCCCTGTAACTGGATCTCTCTGTAAGGAGCACAGTGATGATCTCTTCTCTCCACCCTCACTTTCTCACCCCCTACCGACCATTCCTTAGCCTCCACCGGTTGAACTGCGGGCTGCTGCCCTTCGTGCAGAGATCACAGATGCTGAAGGCCTGGGTTTGAAGCTCGAAGATCGAGAGACAGTTATTAAGGAGTTGAAGAAGTCACTCAAGATTAAGGTGAGGGTAGTGTAGGCTCAGGATCTGGGGGCCAGGAAATTGGTAGGACTCAGGAAAGCAGTGAGTGTTGGGGATCGGGACCAAGACGGCTTGGGAGTTAAGGGGAGAAGTGGGGCCTGCAATCAATGGGAGCTGTGGTGAGCCCTCAGGGAACCTACTATCTCATGGTCTAGCCCCCAGTTTCCAGGGACTGTGGGGAGGATGTCAGGGATCTAGAAGTTCTGTCCTTGTCCAGGGAGAGGAGCTAAGTGAGGCCAATGTGCGGCTGAGCCTCCTGGAGAAGAAGTTGGACAGTGCTGCCAAGGATGCAGATGAGCGCATCGAGAAAGTCCAGACTCGGCTGGAGGAGACCCAGGCACTGCTGCGAAAGAAGGAGAAGTCAGGCACTTTCCCTGGGGCCTTGCTTCCTCTAATCCTCCCACTGCTGGAGCTCTCTGCCTCCTAACCCATACCCCTACTCAGGTTCTCTTATAGTGAGACTCCCCATTTTCTTTACCCACTGCCAACCCCATTGCATCACCCCAGCCTAAGCCTGTGCTGCTCTGCCCTGGCTTCTCACTGGCAGGGCTATTCCAAGGACCTCTCAGGACTGAATAGTCAAGGAGTGCTTTAGAGAAGGGACACTGCCAAAGCCCAGATTCTCTTTCACAGAGAGTTTGAGGAGACAATGGATGCACTCCAGGCTGACATCGACCAGCTGGAGGCAGAGAAGGCAGAACTAAAGCAGCGTCTGAACAGCCAGTCCAAACGCACGATTGAGGGACTCCGGGGCCCTCCTCCTTCAGGCATTGCTACTCTGGTCTCTGGCATTGCTGGTGGTGAGTACTGTGGAATAGGCAGCACTAGCACAGAGGAGATTGTCTTCTCTCCTGTCCTTGGCCTCATTTTGACCTCTGCCCCACCCCCCTTACCCCCGGGTATTCAGCCAGGAACATGCTTACACAGTTTCACTCTGTGCCAGTTTTCACCAAGTTTTCCCTTCCGCTGAAGATGTGTGCTGAGTTTCTCTGGGCAAAGGAGGGCATTACTAAATTGTTAATGAGGCTCAGAATAATGATGACAGTTGGTCTCTAGTAGATGTCCTTTCTGGCTCTGTAATCTGACCTTTCTGCCCAGCCCTATATCCCAGAGGGTTGTCAGCCAGCAGCAGGCTGGGCTGACTCTCCTGGGGCATCCAGCCCTGCCCGATACCTGCTCTTGATTGCTTCTCTGCTTGGACACTGTGTTTTCTCACTGAGTTCATGTGGCTTCATTTTATGATGTGGTCATATCTTCCACTGCTGAATTATCCCAGTTTCACTTGGGGCTTGTGTTTTGACCTTTGTCTAGTCACTCAGTATAGTCAGGGCTCCTCACCTAGAGTTTTTCTGGTTACCAGTTCTAGCCTCCCCAGTTACCTGACTCAGGAGGTGGCTGCTGCTGTCTTTGTTCTCCTCTGCCCTATAGTTTGTTTTGTTTACTCTCCAGTTTCTCACTTAACCTTCTCACCTCCAGAAGACAGGCTTTTTGCCCTGGAATTAAACCCTTAGGGCCTCCAGACTTTCCCAGCTGCTCCTGAGTCTTGTCAGCTGACCTCACCTACATAGAGTCTTTGACAAAGTCTCTGTTACTGACACCCCTTGATCTTGGGAGGTGACCAAGTACCTTCTTGACTTTAGGCTCTTGTGGTACAGACAGCTCTGTGTTCTTTGGAGAGAGTTTCCAGGATTACTACTTTGTGTTGTTTTTAGCACTCTTGAAACAAACATTAGCACTCTTTAAACAAACATAGTTCTGAATTTATGAAACTTCCCACCAAAAAAGAAGGTCTTTTGCCTCAGAGCAATGGGGAATCCTTAGGAGCAAGGGAGTGTGTTTGCATCCCCAACTTAAGCTTTGCTGCTGGTGAGCACTAAGGGTGCAGACATATTGGGGTCTCTGGAGCATTCTCCGTGCCCTTCTTGGAGATGGCATCTGAGACAGGGAGGCAGGAACAGCCTCATGTTCCAAGTACTTTGTACAGTGCACACTCTCTTTGCCACTGTTCTTCACACATTGTACCCTGTCTTGTGGCCTCACTCCTGTTTGGTGTCTTTCTTTAACACTTATCTGCTCGTCCCCAAAGATAGGTGGCAGAGAGTCTTGTTAGAGAAAGTATGATGATTAGGAAAAGGGTTTTCCTGCAGGTTGTGTCCAGGATTCCTCTGGTGTGTCCCCGTAACCCCCAAATCACCTAACTCCTCTCTCCTCTTTTCCTGCTCCCCCATGGGCTATCCCGAGCACAGAAGAACAGCAGCGAGGTAGAGACCCACTCTGGCCGGGGGTTACCAGGCTGGTGGGAGTTGGAGCTAAGGGAGCAGGGTGGAGGGGGAAGCCAGGACTGGAGATGGGTGATGGGGGGATGAGGAAAGGGGAAGAGTAGGAATGGAGCCCAATTTTCAACCCTTTCCACTTGGGGCTGATGAGATTTTTTATGGTCCCCACAGGAGCCATCCCTGGGCAGGCTCCAGGGTCTGTGCCAGGCCCAGGGCTGGTGAAGGACTCACCACTGCTGCTTCAGCAGATCTCTGCCATGAGGCTGCACATCTCCCAGCTCCAGCATGAGAACAGCATCCTCAAGGTGAGGGAGCCACGGGGAGGACTGGGATGGGAGATGGAGCATATTTGCCCCATTGATGATAGATGACAGGGGCCTCCTAGCACCTCTTACCACTATCCTTCTTTTTTCATCCACAGGGAGCCCAGATGAAGGCATCCTTGGCATCCCTGCCCCCTCTGCATGTTGCAAAGCTATCCCATGAGGGCCCTGGCAGTGAGTTACCAGCTGGAGCGCTGTATCGTAAGACCAGCCAGCTGCTGGAGACATTGAATCAATTGAGCACACACACGCACGTAGTAGACATCACTCGCACCAGCCCTGGTATGTACCTGCCAACCCCCAAGATGAATAAAACTGCCCCCTCCACTTGGCCCAGGGATTTAGCCCCTGCTCAGGTGGTTCCCCCACCACAGAAGCTCTTCCCAGCAGTGTTCTTTGGCTTCACTGTTCAGTTTGTTTGATTCACCCACTCTCTCTCAAGTACTTGTTCTGTTAGAGAGTCTTATACCTGCACCCCTAACCCTTAATCCAGTAGAACTGCCTGCCTGCGCCTTGGTGGGCCTCACCAGCTTTCTCTCCCCACAGCTGCCAAGAGCCCGTCGGCCCAACTTATGGAGCAAGTGGCTCAGCTTAAGTCCCTGAGTGACACCGTCGAGAAGCTCAAGGTCAGCTCAGTTTGCCAGGCAGAGCTCACTTCACAGCATAAACTGGTGGAGCCAGGCACTTGTGGAGTTCCTCTGAGCCCAGCCCTGTGCTAGACAGCAATTGGGGAGGAGATGGAAGGGAAGGCAGGGTTCTTGCCTTGGAAGCTCACTGTCTCAGTGCAAACAGAAGACAGATTCTCATAACAAAATGGATAAGCTAGGGTAATCTTTAGAGTGACTGGTTCAGGCTTTAGCTTCCATCAGCGCTGAGATCATTGTGGGGTAGAACGGTTGGGCATGGCTTCCCAAGAGCGGTAGAATGTGAGTTGGGCCTTACAGGATGAGGACTTGCAAAGTAAGGAGGAGTGCTGGTGTGGGGATGGGGTTGGAGATGAGAGCAAAAGTATGTTGATATAGAGGACTAAGTCCCTGCCCCCCTGGTATTAGTGTCTCTGTGAAACCACGTGGTCTTGTGCTAGCCTGTGGGGGTCCCATAAATGAACCCTTGTCTTCCTCTCCCCTTCCCTAGGATGAGGTCCTCAAGGAGACAGTATCTCAGCGCCCTGGAGCCACAGTACCCACTGACTTTGCCACCTTCCCTTCATCAGCCTTCCTCAGGGTGAGGGGGAGCATGGGGTGGAGGATGGGACAGTGTGGAGAGCTCAGGCGGGCCCCCCTCTCCTCCAGAATTGGAGGAGGCCTTTGGAGTCTCAGGTCTAACAACTGCATACCTTGGGTTATCTGGCCAAATTTTACTTACAAGTAACTCAGAAGTGCTTACAGTGCTTTGAAATTCCAATATTTTAGCACCTAAACACCTTCCGTGACTTTTGACACCAGGAGGGCCTCAAAACTCCCTTGTCAGATTATGTATCCCCATTCTTATTTGAAAAATGTGGTCACAATAGCCCAGGATCTCAGAAGCCCTAGTCACCCAGGAGCTGCCTTGGTCTCAGTGCTCAGGGACCCCTTCAGTGGCCCACAGCTCAAGTGAGCCCCTGACCTGGAGTCTTTTTCTCCTCATCAACCACCAGGCCAAGGAGGAGCAGCAGGATGACACAGTCTACATGGGCAAAGTGACCTTCTCATGTGCGGCTGGTTTTGGACAGCGACACCGGCTGGTGCTGACCCAGGAGCAGCTGCACCAGCTTCACAGTCGCCTCATCTCCTAAGCACTCCTTTCCCCTGCTGTCCCCTTCGACCCTCAGCCCTCTGGTGCCGCTCTGCCCGATGCACAGCCACCTCAGCCAGCCCCCAGGTAGAAACGTGGGTTAAGCTCTTCCTGCCCCGTTCAGCTTCACTCCCACCCTTTCAGCGTCCTGCCCCTTCACCTTGACCCGGGTTCCCCCACTCCCATTCCCTGGCCTCTGCCATAATTTGTTGTTCAACTGCTCCCTCCTTCCTGAGGGGCCTCAGGGCTTGTGGGGGGTAGGCTGAGACCCCACCACCAAAGGTTAAGTGAGGTCCCCTTGATTGAGGACTTCACCCCTTGATTAAAGCAACTTCTGCTTCAGTGCTTCCTGTGTGGTGTTGAGAGTGGGACTTGGGCCATTAAGCTCACAGCAGGAGTGGAGGAGAAGCGATGCTGAGGAAGCTTTGGCTGTATCAAATTTGAGGTCTCCTCTTCGTAGTGACCAGAAGAATGCTGTTTCTAAAATTCATGTGCAGTAAGTTACTCTAACCAAGGAGGAAAGGGCTAGACTTAGGACTAGGTACCTAAGTTCATTTATGGAGTCAGGAGGGCTGGGAGGGTGTAGCCTCTGCCAACCCTGCCTCTGCTTCCTGTAGCTTCCACTGCTCTTTAGTCCAATTTTTGGAGCTGGAGTAATGATATGATCACCACCCCAGCCAATTTTCTGATGTACTGGCCAGTCTTCCCATAAGACCTGGGGTCTCTCAGAGGGAATATTTACTAAATAAGGGAAAACTAAAGTGGCATACTAGTAAAGGATAGGAGGTACAAAAGCTACTCCCAAACCCCACCATAAATTAGTATCACCTGGGGAGTTTCTTTTAAAATGTAACAGATTTCTGGTCTTGACCCAGACCTACTGAAAATACTTGCAGAGTTGGGACTCATTAGGCTGGTAAACAGCACCCCAGCATTGTAGATATTAGCCCCAGTTTAGATTAGTTGGCTAGCTCCTTTATATTCTCTTTTTTTCCCTCTTGGGGAGAGAAGTCCAGTTCAGACTCCCAAAAGGCTCTGATCTAGATGCAGAAAGAGACCCTTGACCCTGCAGAGTGCTAGGCCTAAACTAGGCCAGACCCTCTGCTCTTCTGCTTTCTGTCTTGAGGGGAAGGGCAGACAGGAGGAGGGGTGCTTGAAGTTGGGCGTCCAGGGGCCATATTCTCAATGACTATACTGTCTGGGAGGTCAGTGGGTTATGGCGTTTGAATGCCTGCTCTGTACCTTGGCTCTTCTCACCTGGGATTCCGAGAGAAAATGATTTGATGACTTTTCTTCAATACTCTCAATGATGGTACACAACCAGTGTCATTCCAGATGCATAGGATGTAATGCATTACATATGAGGGATTAATTCTCACAGAACTGGTTGAGAAGGGTTATTATTGTGTCTTGAACCAGAGAGTCTTCACCTCACGTCTCCAAATTGGGCTCTGCTAGGGCAAGGAAATCACAGACCACACTGTCCTTTCCTTGGGATTGGATTCTACCCAAGCTGCTGACCTGCCTTCTGATTGGTGTGGTTAAGACACCGAGGCCAAGCAACTTCTGGTGGCACTTTGAAAGGAGAATGGGGCTTTTTGTTCCATCCTTTTCCCTTGGTGGCAGTTTCTCACTACTTAAACTGCTGCTCTCTTGAATGCCGAATTCATTCACCCAATTATTTGTTGGCTATCACCCTGTGAGTGCCCCACAGGTATCTTAAGAGTCAGCATGTCCAAAACTGAAATCATCTCTTCTGTGTCCTACATGTGACAAGCCACAAACCTGGATATCCTTGACTCCTTCTTTGATCTCTTTAGCTAATTTAGTTATCCAGTCCTGTTCAGTTTGTCCTTCATTACTGTCTCTCAAATTTTTCCACTTTTTTTACATCCACGAACTTTGTCTATAAATAACTTCTTGCTCTGGGCACTTCAGCAGTTTTTAAACTGGTTACCCTACCTCCATTGCCTTTCTTCAACCAGTTCTACACATCGATATGAGGGACCTTTCCAAAATGCATACTGGGCCATGTCACTCCCCAGTTTAAATCCTGAAATGATTTCTTCAACTAGATTTAAAATTTACATAAGATCCTGAAATGGTTCCTCTATGTGTCTAGATTTTAAAATTTAAACTCACTAGAATGGCACATGAGACCATCAATGATTTGGGTCCTGTCCGCCTCTCCAGCCTCTCCCGATGTGCCAGGTGGTTCAGCTTTAGTGAACCCCTGCAGTTTGCTTGCCACCCGGTGCTCTCTTAGGCCTCTTCCCACCACCCAGAATGCCATCTACCTCCTTCCCTCCACTCTACCTCCCTGCCCTCGCCCCATCCCCATTCCTCAGCTGACATCCTGTCCATTTATTAAGATAGCTCTGGCAATGCCATCTCAGGAAATTTCCAATCCCTATGGCCTGTTAGGTGCTCCTCTTCTTGAGGCAGCAAAAGATACCGACCTTTTTTCCAGGTGTGCTTGGATTTAGTTGCTTTGTGACTTTGGCAAGGTTTCTAATCTCTGATCTGTTTTCTTACCTGCAGAATGGAAAAATGATATCTTACAGGGTTGTTATGAAGGTCAAATGAGATAGTGCATGCAAGCATCAAGCACTGTGCTGGCACACAGTAGCCTTGCTTCTCTTCTCCAGTATGTGCTCCTACTACGCTACTTTATGCCAGTAAGCATCTGTTTCTATTTTAAGTGTTAGTTAACTCCTCTCCCACTTCAGACAGGAGTTCCTTTAGGGTGTCTTCCATCTCTGCATCCTGCCAAATACAAGTAAAGGGCACGTATTTGAGGAGGAGGAAGATGACTTTTATTTTGGACATGAGTTTGAGGTGCTTGTGAGAATGTACAAGCAGAGATGTCCCTTTGGCAGTTGGAACCTGCTGGGTCTGGAGCTCAGCAGGGATGTCCAGATTGAAGATAGGAAAAGTTTGGGGAGTGAGTTGGGAGTGTATCAATGGTGGTTGAAGGCATGGTTTGGGTGAGGTTACTGTCTGTATTCAAGTTACTAAGAAAACCGAATCTGAGGCAAAGCTAGTGTTAGCACTTTATTGGAGGGTGAAGTCTCAGAGCAGCGAGAGTGAGGGAAAGGAGGAAAAGAAAATCAAAGGTTGGTGTTAGTGAGTTGGCTCCTGCCTCACAAAGACAGCTAGTCACTTGCCCATGTTGGATGTCTCTGGATAGACTACACAGAAACACCATGACTGGCTAGAACATTGTATTTGGATTGATGGAGGGGAAATTCACCTGTTCTGCTTCCTGCCCATGCTTTACTGCTCAAAGTTTGCCATGGAGCCAGTGTTAGCTCCCCACTTTCTTGCTGGGATGATATTTCTTGGCCACTGCGAAAGCCAGATCCCATGCCTTGCGGCATGGCATTTAATCTAAGTCCTGCAATGGCAAGGGGAACAGAATGTGGTCACCGGCCTGTGGGAGTTAGTCAGCACAGAGCAAGCAGCTGGAGACGTGGGAGTCAGGTGAGGCTGAGAGAATCTGAAGCAGCAAGTTACCTCAGGAGAGTATTCAGAGGGAAGGGAAGGTAGAGCCCTGGGAAGCCCTGAGAGTTAAAGAGCCTGCAGCCTGAAGGGGCATCCACTGCAAGCATAGGGCCCCTGTAGAAAGCATTGTCACAGAGCCAAGGGAGGAGAGAGATTGAGCAGCTCAGAGGGCAATCAAGTTCTGGGAAGTGGCCATTGTGATTCAGAGATGCCTGATGAGCTGGCCAGGGCAGTCTCCATGGAATAGAGGAAACAAACTGGGTTGTGGTGGCAAGAAAGGGGAGACAGCAGCTCATGCTCACTGTGTGTCCTGGGTAGCATCCATTCATGGGGATTGTGGAGAATGGATAGCCAGGCAGATGACCAGGGGAATGATTTCTGGAAACTGGGGATGTGATGGTGGGGGAGAGGCCTGGCGAGGTGCTCTGTGTACCAAGGATGGAGTATAGCATAGTAACAGCCACCTTTGATTCATCCAAAGCCAGAAATGCCAGTGTGACAAAACCAAGCAGACCGGCAGTTGGCAGGGGCAGGGTATGAACATTCTCAACTCTGTTCCCTAGGAGCTTCTCTCTTTTGGTGGGTTTTGGGCAGTTTCCTAGGGTTAACGTTACCTGCCCCAGCATGGAGGCAGCTTTGTGAAATAAGAATAGGGCTTATATTCCATCTCTTCCGCTATTGAGCTGTCTGAACGTGGGGAAGGTGCTTAACCTTTCAGCTTCAGTTTCTGTATTTGTAATAGGCCAATAGCACCTTCCTCAGGTGATATTCTTAGGTAATCTTCAGGGAGAAAATTAAATAACATAGCATGCTTGATACAGGTATTTAAAAAAGGATACCTGGAAGAGGCTGATACTAAACAAATGAAAAGGAAACAAAATAGAAGCACATTCCCAAGATGTACACTGTGACACACATAACCATCTTTTGAGCCCCAAAGGATTGGTAGCCCTGGCCAGGCGCGGTGGCTCACGCCTGTAATCCCAGCATTTTGGGAGGCTGAGGTGGGCGGATCACGAGGTCAAGAGATCGAGACCATCCTGGCCAACATGGTGAAACCCCATCTCTACTAAAATACAAAAATTAGCTGGGTGTTGTGGCGCGTGCCTGTAGTCCCAGCTACTCGGGAGGCTGAGGCAGGAGAATCACTTGAACCCCAGGAGGCGGAGGTTGCAGTGAGCTGAGATCACGCCACTGCACTCCAGCCTGGCGACTGAGTGAGACTCCGTCTCAAAAAAAAAAAAAAAAGAAGAAGAAGGATAGGTAGCCCTTAGTGCCCCAGCTTTCAGCTTGTTTCTGTGGGCAGCTACTGTCTTATTTTCTACCATCCAGGCACTGTTTTCTCCTCCTTTTAGCAGGCCAAGGCTGAGAGAGAGAGTCTAAATGTGGTGGCACGTCCCTCACCCCACTCCCACAATTTGCATTCACCTGTTTGGTTCACATTTTCAGTGCTCTGCCTCAGTGGGGAGCAGGGGTGGGGCAACACAAAGACCCAAATAGGCTGCTGGGTAATCCTAGGGAATGTACAAGGATGTACAAGGCCCCAGAGCTGAGTCTACCCTACACAGCCATGAGGCAAAAAGTGAATTAGGAACAAGTATGCTCTATAGCCCAGGTACTCTGGAAGTTTTATAGCACAGGTGACCTTGGCCCCTGTCAAGTATAGGCCCAGGGCACCTGGAGAACACTTAAGTCTGAGGGTGAGTGGTCCCTCCTGCTTCTCTGTGGTTATTGTTTCATGTAGCCAGCTTTTCTATGTGTATGGGTAGCATGACCATTCATCTAGCCTCCCTCCATCTCTATCATCCGTGCCACCCGAAACAGGTATTGCTACTCCCAGGGACAGAGGTCCTCAGAGGGGCAGCCTGGGACGTTTGGCCTACATTCCTTTTCCGAAGGCTGGGGAGTTTGGATGTGGGAATTGGACTCTTGCTCAAATAACGGGTACCAGTGTAAATAGATGTCTCTCACCCTCTGTTTTGTTACTTTTTATTATGGAAAATTTTAACATACAAATGAGAGGAGAGTGTAATGACTTACACATACAATATATGTTCATTTCATGGTTCATCTTGTTTCGTCTATATCCCCTTTCCTCCCCCTTCTTCTCCCAGAATGTTTTGAAGCAAATCTCAGACATCTTATCACCTTATTATTTCATCCAAAAGTATTTTAGTATCCCTGAAAGATACAGCTCTTCAAAAAAGAAAACTACAATACCATTATCACACCTGAAAAGTTAATTCATCAGCTATCCAGCATTCAAGTTACCTTGGTTGTCTTATAAACATTTTGTTTTGTTTTACAGTATGTTTATTTGGATGAGATTTAAGACAAAGACAATACACTACAAATAGATGTCTTTTGAGTCTGCTTCCCCCTATTTTCTAATTATTTTACTAATACAGTGTTTGCTTTATATACGTTCTTCTTATTCAAATACATAACATTATCACCTTGATAATGCAAATAACACAATATGGAGGAAGATTGAGAACATAGGCTCCCAGTACTTAGTCACTGGGATTATAGAGATTTTCCTTTTAGTATTTTCTATCAAAATTTAAAGATGTCCTGCCATGGCTGTGCAAGAATAGAACTGTCTGGAATGGGAGTGCAATGAAAAAAAAAATGGATTCAAAGTTAGGAAAAGATGAAAAGATGTAAGTCAAGAAGAGAGAATATATTTTGAAACTAAATAGAATTTCCTGGCCAGGCGTCGTGGCTCATGCCTGTAATCCCAACCCTTTGGGAGGCCGAGGTGGGTGGATCACGAGGTCAGGAGTTTGAGACCAGCCCGACCAACATGGTGAAACCCTGTCTCTACTAAAAATACAAAAATTAGCTGGGCGCGGTGGCGTACGCCTGTAATCTCAGTTACTCAGGAGGCTGAGGCAGGAGAATCACTTGAACCCGGAAGGTGGAGGTTGCAGTGAGTCGAGATCGCACCACTGCACTCCAGCCTGGGTGACAAAGCGAGACTCCATCTCAAAAAAAAAATAAAAATAAAAAAAATAAAATTTCTTCATTCAGAGTGTAAGCATGCAAACAGGTGCTAAGGAGAGAAGTTGTATCATCTTATTTCTTCCTCAGATTGCCCTTAACAAACCAAATAGGTAATGCCCATTGACCTAGAAAAGGGAGCTCTCTTCAAGCAATGTATAAGAAAAAGCAGGGCAGAGGGAAAGTAGTGAGAGGGTCACTTGCTTTGAGGTACTCTAGGTCAGGGGTCCCCAGTCCCTGGCTATGGACTAGTACTGGGTGCATGGCCTGTTAGGAACTTGGCCGCACAGCAGGAGGTGAGCAACGGGCAAGGGAGCATTACCGCCTGAGCTCTGCCTCCTGTCAGATCAGCAGCAGCATTAGATTCTCATAGAAGTGTGAACCCTATTGTGAACTGCAATGCAAGGGATCTTGTGGGCTCCTTATGAGGATCTAACTAATACCTGGTGGTCTGAGGTAGAACAGTTTCGTTTCAAAACCATCCTCCCCCTCCTCCCCATTCCATGGGAAAATTGTCTTCCATGATCAGTCCCTGGTGCCAAAAAGGTTGGGGACCACTGCTCTAGGTGATGGATATCAAAGCCTTCACTTTGGGAAACCTGTCAAATGGCTGAAGCTGTGACTCTCCATCATTACAAATGATGAAAGATGTAGCAGATTTTTACTGAGGTGCTAATGGATTGAAAAAACGTGTCTATTAAATGTGGCCAGACAGATACCCAGGCAGCAAGTCAACATGGATACTGAATGAGAGTTAAGTGCTTGCAACCTCTCTGCTCCACAAATCAGGTTAAATTCTAAACTTTTTTATTTTAGATTTAATAATGGGGCAAATACAAAGCAAAGCCTTCCATCAGTTGCAGCAGCTGGATGGAGAAAAAAAACACTTCTAGAATATAACTTAGAACATCCCCTTGAACTTCCTTCATCTAAGCCATACCCACTGGCTGAAGATGTTGCACTTTTTGACAAACAAAAGAATGGAGGTGCTACCAACACCTTTGTATCATAGGAAGAGACATGTAAACACACGAGGGTAGTGGAGCTGCACTCAGCACTGGATGTGGTGAAGAAGGGTATATAAGAGATATTTCTCCATACCCATCAAAATTTTGGATCTATAAACACTGAAGGCAAGTGTATCCATTTTCAGAGAATTGGTTTAATGGAGTAGGAAGTAGCAAGGGTTTTTTTGTTTTGTTTTGTGTTTTTGTCCCCTGAAATTGCTAAATAGGACTTCACAAAGGGTACATGAGAGCCATGAGATGACTGAAGTAAGTTATGGAATTTAAAAGGTGGAGAAAAATTTTACAATGTTAGGGGTCATTTCCTCATAGCCGCAGGTATGGTAAGACCCATTAGTTCCTGGCTTGTTAGTGAGCAGGAGATGGCAGACACTCTTGGCTGCACAGCAAGTAACTGCAAAGGGGAATGACATAAACCAGCTTGAATATAATGGGGAAGCTAAGAAAAAGGTTGTTTAGTAATTGTAGTTCTGGGAAGGGAAGGAGTTTCTAGCCTCTTAAAGATTCCTGCTCCCAAGGTCATTTTATTTCTGTTTAGTTTTTCAGAAATTATTCCTGGTATCAATAGGTTAAGAAAGTAGAATTTTCCCAAGTACTGGCCAGGCGCGGTGGCTCACGCCTGTAATCCCAGCCCTTTGGGAGCCCGAGGCAGACAGATCACGAGGTCAGGAGATTGAGACCATCCTGGCTAACGCGGTGAAACCTTGTCTCTACTAACAATACAAAAAAATTAGCCCGACATGGTGGCGGGTGCCTGTCAGTCCCAGCTACTCGGGAGGCGGAGGCAGGAGAATGGCGTGAACCTGGGAGGTAGAGCTTGCAGTGAGCCGAGATCGCGCCACTGCGCTCCAGCCTGGACGAAAGGGCGAGACCCTGTCTCAAAAAAAAAAAAAAAAAGTAGAATTTTCCCAAGTACTGATTTATAGATAATGTTTATAAGTGGCACACAAAACTTTCTGTTTCACAAACAGTAGCATTGATTGATCCCTTTAAATGCAAGTTCAATCCTTATAAGCTAAGTGCAGTGATGATTTTATGTAACATAGCTAAATGCACACAAAATCTGTATATTCTGAACTACAAAAGTGGTTTCCATAGCCACATATGGTTTTAGATAAGGATTCATTTTCATAATGAATAGTACTAACAAATACGTTAATAAAACAATACTTGTTTGTTTAACACCAAATACTTGTTCTGTCACCAACTTTTAAAGCAACACCATTCCAACTACTACTAAAAGCATTTTTAGAAGCTTTGATCTGTGAAAACAAATTCTCCAAAAACTTGACAAATAGTATGGATAAACCTCAAAGCTTTTAAATTTAAAAAGCCTTCCAAAGGCTGGGCACAATAGCTCACGCCTGTAATCCCAGCACTTTGGGAGACCAAGGCAGGCAGCTCACTTGAGTCAATGAGTTTGAGACAAGACCAACCTGGGCAACATGGCGAAACCCCATCTCTACAAAAGAATACAAAAAGTAGTTGGGTGTGGTGGGATGTTCCTGTAGTCCCAGCTACTTGAGAGGCCGAGGCTGGAGAATTGCTTGAGCCCAGGTGGCGGAGGTTGCAGTGAGCTGAGATCCCACCACTGCACTCCAGTCTGGGTGACAGAATGAGACTCTTTCAAAAAATAAATAAAAATAAAAAGTCTTCCAGGCCAGGTGTGGTGGCTCACGCCTGTAATCCCAGCACTTTGGGAGGCTGAGGTGGGTGGATCACAAGATCAGGAGATCGAAACCATCCTGGCTAACACGGTGAAACCCCATCTCTACTAAAAAGACAAAAAATAAGCTGGGTGTGGTGGCGGGCGCCTGTAGTCCCAGCTACTTCAGAGGCTGAGGCAGAAGAATGGCATGAACCTGGGAGGTGGAGCTTGCAGCGAGCCAAGATCGCACCACTGCACTCCAGACTGGGTGACAGAGCGAGACTCTGTCTCAGAAAAAAAAAAAAAAAAAAGGAAAAGCCTTCCAACACTGAAGCCTTCACATGAAACTTAGTTTCTCCAAAAAATCACTTGCTATCTGAAAAAAAGGATATTAAAACAAATTACCTTTTAATACAAACATTCTTAAAAGAGACTTTTCCTATATCTACTTAAGAGAAACATAAAACAGCTCACTATCTTTAATAATTTGTCTGATACTGTCTAGAAACTAAAGAATACATGACAGAGCTGTGTCTCAGCTATGGTGAGTCAAAGGTCCTATCTGGATTTCACATATTAAACAGCTGTAGTGTAGCTTACAGCGGCACAAACACTCAACAAAAATATTGTGTTGTTTCATCATTTAGGTAGTAAAAAGAAGGAACTGCACAGTTTGCAAGGTCCTTTACATGTGGTCATTAAAACTGAATAATTCAAGTATGGTAATATAAATACAGGCGTTAAAGTCTCATTCTAAAATTGAAAATATGAAAACTTTGTTTCTTCATCTTTCATTTACATGGTTAGATATCGGGACCTTACTGTAGAAATATTTAGTTACTATATATGGTTGTCCCAGAAAATAATGGAGCTTCAGAACGTACAAAAGGTGTCAAAATCATAGTTGACTCTGTCAGATGCTTTTCTAGCTCATTTCAATTATTCATTCATAGTAACCAAGTCTTTTAACTCTAGCAAACTTTCTTGGGTCCTTTCTAATTAAGAAGACAGTATCATCAACTTGTACTTGATCTGATCTTCTAACTGGCGTTGGAAGTTCATAATTTCATTGATGAACTCTATAAAAAGATCTTCAGGAATATCCATTGGCTCAGTGTAAGGGTTCTGATAATCCCCAAACCCATATATCAGACATCATAATTCTTTAGGAAACAGTCTTTCTTTTACAAGATCTGCTCTTTGCTCCTTCTTCATTTTCTTCCTCAGAGACGTGATTTTCTACCCCATTTTCTCAAGGTCATTTTTGTTGTTCAAGTCTGTCCTTGATGTCTTGCCAGTACTATTCAGATCTGGAGTCAGTTGGATGGCTCTGATGCCAGGTTTGGGACAGAATGGTTATAAAGTCTCTCCAAGTCGTTGCTCACAGAGACTGCAGCTGGTGCTGGTGTCATGACAGGAGCAGAAGAATCACAGCCTAAAAGGATATCTGCATCACTCCCTCCATGGTTAGAATTGGAACAGCTGGTGAGGCAACATCCTTGGAGGATGGAGGGGAAGAGTAACTTGCTTCCAGATGGGGTTGGGAGTAAATTGAGGCCTCCAGTCCAGTCTCTTGCAGTCCTGAGCTTAGAAACATCTCCTCCTCCTCCTCATTATCATCATCATCATCATCATCTCTTTCTCTCTTTTAGAGAAGGGCCTCGCTGTGTTGCCAAGGCTGGAGTACAGTGGCCATTCACAGGCATGGTTATAGCACACTACAGTCCCCAACTTCTGGGCTCAAGTGGTCCTCCTGCCTCAGCCCTCAGCTGGGACTACAGGTGCGTGCCACTGCACCTGGCTGAAGCTCATCATTCCTTGGTTGTAATGTTCCCATTACTCAACTTGATGGTCTGTCTTTCCTTAAAGCCCAGATCCAACCTGGGATGAGTGTTCATTTCAAGAGATCCTTTGGCCATCTCAGATACCTGTTTTATCCATTTAAGGTGCTTTTTCAGAAGTTATCAAAGTCAAAGGCATCACCCTCATCTGTGAAGCCAATGCCGATGAAAGCACTATACCTGCTCAGTGTCATCCTAGAACCACATTACAAAGTAGAAGCTGTAATCTTTCACTGTCTCAGCAGTGTCAGCGTATTGTTCTACTGGTGCCCGAGCAAAGAGCTCTCCTGATATTTTATACTTGAGTTGACATAGGCAGTCTTCCCTTTTGAAGACTAAGCAGGCTGGTCCACATTCCAGCCTGTAGCCATTGTTGGAGGCCTGGGGCAGAATCTAGTAGACATTGACACCAGCTAAGATAGGCTTGTACCGTGCCTTGGGCTGCCATCTTGGCTCTCTGCCCTTTGTGACCTCCAGATGACGTTGGGAGTAAATTGAGGCCTCCAGTCCAGTCTCTTGCTTAGAAACATCTCCTCCTCCTTCTCATCATCATCTCTTTCTCTCTTTCAGAGAAGGGCTTTGCTATGTTGCCAAGGCTGGAATGCAGTGGCCATTCACAGGCAGTCTAGGTTCGTTCTTGCTTGATTTTTCCTTATAATTTATTTGTTGAAAGAACTATTTCTCAGAATCTGGATTTTCTTAAAATGCATCCTCATGGTGTTAATAAGTTCCTCTGTCTTCTCCATTTTCTGTAAATTATTAGTTGGGTTTAGAGCAGTGATTTTCTGACTAACAGCATCAGCATCATCTGGGAATTGTAGGAAATGGTAATTCCTACTCATCCCAGAGAAGCTGGCCATAAAAGTCACCATCTTGGTGAGACCTAGCATCTCAATTCTGTGAAGTCACCCATTGAAAGAGATCAAAACAATTGGAGTGGAGAGGGGTGAAATATTGGATGAGGTAGTGGTTGGTCTCTTGATGGTATGGCATGCCTGTTATTTCTATGTTTTCATTTCATATCAATCAAAAATTGGGGTTTTTGCATAACAGATGGAATGCAAAAAAGAAAAAAAAAGGAGTGTTGAACTTATGGTTAAACAGTTAACTTAGCTGATTTAATGTACTTTAAAGACTACGTTATTACTAATGGTTTAGTGTTCCCTGCCCTTGACAGAGACACAAGGAGAAAAGTGTTCACTCTCCCTGAGTGCTTAGACTACTATTTGACCCTTTCTAGAAGACAAGGGAATTCAGATAGGGCAGACTGTCCTCCCTCAGAGATTGGAGTTTTAGTTACCTACATATTTGACAGCCAAAGACACTTGATTTGGAAAGATCCTTGGCTGGGCCCTCTAGCTGCAGCCATGGCTAGTTAAGTTTCCACAGAGAGTACAAGCCAGGCTTGCCTTGCCAGAAGAGACCCTTCTGATCTTTGTAGAAAAGATCAGCCCAGGACTGGCCATCTGGCAGGTAATCAGGACCTACTCAAACAATTGAGCAAGGAACAATAGGTGGAACTGAACCCTCATGAACTCATGGAGTAAACTCTAAGCCTCAGTGAACAAAATCTGAGATAAATCACTTGTAACTCATCTTGGTATTCCTTTGTAAAAAGCAAAAAGCAAAGGATAGACTATGCATTTGACAACATAGAACTGAAAACCTAGATATATATTTAAATTTAAAAAAATGTAAACACACATTTTAAGAAGTGAATTTTTAAAAACGCAAAAAGAAACACTTAGATTAACAAATGATAAAACATGACCACACCATTTTACAAAATTTTTATACTTTTTTTTTTTTGAGACAGAATCTCGCACTGTCGCCTAGGCTGGAGTGCAATGACGCAATCTCGGCTCACTGCAACCTCCGCCTCCCAGGTTCAGGTGATTCTCCTGCCTCAGCCTCCCAAGTAGCTGGGTTACAGGCTCACAACCACCACCCCCGGCTAATTTTTTGTATTTTTAGTAGAGATGGGGTTTCACTATGTTGGCCAGACTGATCTTGAACTCCTGACCTTGTGATCCACCCGCCTTGGCCTCCCAAAGTGCTGGGATTACAGGCGTGAGCCACTGCACCTGTCCAGTTTTTATACATATTAACATAGTGATATTGGAAATTCATTTTTCAGTGGAAAAAAAATGCTCTCTATTTTGGAAAGTAGGTAGTTGGGCTCCTGTTTTAAATGAAGACATGTTATCTGAAAAATTAACATGCTGTGTAAGTTCAGTGAGGAGGCAAGGGGAGTGAAGAAGGGTGAAGAGACCAGAACATACCCATTCCACTACCAGTGGACATTTGGGTTGCTTCCGAGTTCAGGTACCTCCAAACCATGCTATATAAATATCCTCCCTTGTTCATGTGCTTTGGCACGCATATGCAAAAGTTTCTGTAAGGAGTTAAATTGCTTCGTCATTCCTTATGAGTATTTTCATCTTTATTAAATATTGCCACATTGTTTTTGCAGAGTGGCTGTACTGGTTTACAGCCTCATCAGCAGGATAGGTCCCCTTGGCGGGATTCCAGTCTGCCCCTTTGGGGAGGAGGGTGTAGCAGGGAGAGAAATAAGGCTGGCAAGGAATGAGAAAGCCAGGCAGGAGAACACCATTAGTGCCAATCCAAGGAGTTCAGACTGTATTTGACTGCATTGGGAAGCTACTGGCAATTCTGGAACAGGGAACAAAATGCAAAAACAGGGTTTTGGGAAGGTTAGTCTTTAAAGCTGTCTCTTGGTTTGTGTTGGCAGTTGGTAGTGATAGTGGTGGGGTTGACTTAGGCCAGCAGCAGGACTCAAGCTCACAGGAGAGAGATCTGTAGGGTGACAGCACAAAGGGGACAGTGAGCACATCCCTGGGGGCAGAAAACCAGAGCATCCCAGATCTCCCAACTCTTATCCTTAAATAATCCAGTTAGACACACACACTGCTAGTAGGTGTGTGAAGTGCTACAGCCACTCTGGAAAACAATGTGGCCGTATTTAACAAAGATAAATATGCACATACTGAATGGCCCACAAGTTGTAAAATATACCAAGCAAAACAAACAGGAAAAAAAAAAGAGGAAAGAATTGTCAATAACACCAGATGTAATAGAGAGGTCTATCAAGCAAAGATCTGAAAAGTGTCCACTGTCTAATTGTCCACTTGGCAATTAGAAGTTTGATGATGAGCTTTGCCACAGAAATGTCTGTGACCAGTAAGGAGCAGAAATCAGAACACAGTGGTTTGAGGGATGAGTGAGTGGTAAGAAAGGGAAACTGGGCACGGGGCCTACTATCAGGTTGGTTGGCTGAGAACAGACTCAAGCACATAGAAACATCAGTATGTGATCAAGCAGGATGGGTCCCCTCGGCTGGATTTCAGTCTGCCCCTTTGGGAAGGAGGGTGTAGGATGGTGGGTACAGGGTACATAATTTTACAAATGGTGATTTAACACTTGGGAAAAACAAGTTAAATCCTCATATTACACCATATACCAAAGTCCAGATGGATTGAATATTTAAATATACAAAGCAATACCGGAAAAGAACTAGAAGAAAATTTAGAACATACAGATTTTCTATATAAAGAAAATTTATTTTGTATATAAAGTTGGGGATGGCTAAAACTTTTCTAAGATTGACAACAAAACTAGAAACCTTAAAGAATAATATGGATAAATTTGACTTTATTAAAATACACACACACACACATCGTATTAAACCTTCCTGTAAGAAAAAGAAAAAGACTGCAAACAAAATTGAATGACAAATGACAAACAGAAAAATATCTATAATTGGGAGGCCGAGGCGGGAGGATTTCTTGAGCCTAGGAGTTTGAGGTTTTAGTGAGCTGTGATCGCGCCACTGCGTTCCAGCCTGGGTGACAGAGCAAGACCCTTTCTCTAAAAACAAAGAAAAAGAAAAATATTTATAACATAAATAAGTAACTTTTACAAATAAATAGGAAAAAGAAGCTGGGAGTGGTGGCTCATGCCTGTAATTCCAGCACTTTGGGAGGCTGAGGCAGGTGGATCACTTGAGGCCAGAAGTTTGAGACCAGCCTGGCCAACATGGCGAAACCCCATCTCTATTAAAAATACAAAAATTAGCCTGACATGGTGGCGCATGCCTGTAATCCCAGCTACCTGGGAGGCTGAGGCATGAGAATCACTTGAACCTGAGAGGCAGAGGTTACAGTGAGCTGAGATGGTGGCCAGTGCACTCCAGCCTGGGTGATAGAGTGAGACTCCATCTCAAAAATAAATAAATAAATAAATAAATAGAAAAAAGAAACACATCAATAGAAACATAGATATGAATAGGAAATTCACAAAAAATACACTTACCAAGTTAAATCAACCTTAAGTAAAAAATTCGTTCAAGATTGTAAAGTGAACTGTTAACATTTACTTCTCTTTCCTCCCTAAGTCCAACTGGAACTACATTTTTTAAATGAAAAAAAGTAAAGTATGCAACCTCATGAGAGAACTTGAAAAAAAAAAAGTAAAAAGGAAAAATATCCAAAGCAAAAAAAAAAAAAAAAAAAAAGCATTCCAAAGCAGTGCTGGAATACGAGGAGGGGTTTACAGTATACTTCTTTGGACCTGACGCCTAGCACTTTTCCCTTCTGAGAGAAAATCTGCCATCCCCACTTTAGTCGCCTGGTTCATGTGGGAAACTGAGGCTTAGAGACAGCAGAGCTGGGGAGTGGCAGCAGGATATTGTGGCAGGTGGTGGCAGTCGGGGACTTCAGGCTGTGGTCTCACACCGCCACACTGCCTTTCCCTTTTCTCACAGAGAACATTCAAATGGCTGTCTTTCTCTGGCAAGGTAGAAAGCCTCTCAAATAAGTAAGGAACATGCTTTGGTTAACAGCTAACGAGGCATTAGGTCTGGACAGGGAGACAAGCAGTGCAGCAGCCAAATCCCAGTGGACACTAGACACGAGGAAGAAAGCACGGTGCTGCCAGGGCAGGTCCTCCTCCCTCCTTCCTCCTTCCTCCATTAGGAGGATTCCTGAGCCTGCAAACCTGTTCCCTTTGTGCATCCTGGAGGGACAGCCCCTGCCCCATACCTTCCAATACCCTCACCAAACCAGATGAAGCTCACCCTCAAATTCCTGTGTGAAGTGAGAGACAAAAAAACCCCAAACCTGAAGTGTCTGAAATAAATGTCCAAATTATTTGAACAAAACCTGGGTAGGTAGAAACCAAAGGGTTTCACTTGAATGCTTGGCAGTAACGTCTCAACTGGTCTTTCCACCTGTGCTACAATCCACTGTGAAGTCCATTATTCCATTCTTGTACCAAGTCCCCTTCCACATTCCTTTCACTTCAGACATGTTTGCTGATGTTTACACCTCTCCATAGACTACCCAGCCTATCGTCGCATGCCCAAAGCTTTATTTCCCCAAACCTGCCCTGTGCCAGGGAAACTGCTCTCCAGTTCTCAGGATATTTATGCTATGTTCTCCCACCTCTTATGTCTATATTTTTTGTGGCTTCTTCCCTCTGCCTCAGATACCCCTTGGTAGTTCTACTGTTCTAAATCCTACCCCTATCCTATCCCTTCACTGCATCTCCAAGGCCATTTTCTCCACAAAGCTTTTCTTTAACACATGGGGCTGGTAGGTAAGCCATGAACATTTGTGGAACAAGGTAATCCTCCAAACAAGGGTGATTTTTCTTTCACTGAACCCTTCCCTCCCTTTGTGCTTCTTTTTGGAGCCTCACACTCTTCTGAATTTGTTGAATCCCCAACCAGCTGGAAATTCCCTAAGGCCCGAAACTGTTTCTGGCCTAGGCTGTGCTGATCTTCCTGGGACTAAGGGGTTTCCTGGGTCACAGATCTTCTGTGCTAAAACCAGGAAAGCCTCTGGTGACCCAGCATGTGTTGATCTCCCTAGTCTTGCCTGTCTTTGATTCCATGGATTATTAACAGAAACTATAATGTTGGGTTAATGTGTTGGCTTGGGCATGGCCTCCGAAACATGTTTTTTACATGTCTGCCACCAGCAGGCTCTAGATCCAGGAATGAGGCTTTTCCACTAAGGGAAAACTCCACGTGATCTAGGAAGAAAGTGAGGATATCCAACCAGATGATAAATTTCCTATCTGAAAGAGAAGGTCAACCCTGAAATAAGGAGGCTGAAGACCCTTAGAGAAGCCACAGAAGAGACTGGAAGAAGAGGGGTAGAGTTGCTTTTTTAATGGGGCTTCCAGCTCCTACTTTTCTTCCTGTCTGTAAGTCTCTGAGCTTCTGTTCCAGCTCTGTAAGGTTGGGGACGAGAATGCTCTCCCCACTGGACTGTTGAGAGTTCAATGAGGGGAAATGTGTGCATATACCAGGCCCCATGCTGGGTGCCCAGAGACGCTGCGCCTTCCTGGCATGCTTCTCTTCCCCATCGCTCAGCACCGCGTCCCTCACTCCCTCCACTCCCGATTCTCACTTCCTACTCACTGGCTTCTTCCTTCCCATCTTCCTCCAAACTTCCCATTTTCCACTATGTCTCTCTCACCGTATCTTTTTCACTTAAACAAAAATGGAATTCATAAAAACAGAGGCCAAAAGTCAGGATAAACCTGGAAAAATCACCAAGTACGCAAAGTTTTTCTTGCAAGGTTTGGTTTTTTCAAATGCCTTCTTTGTTTTCCTTGCCCATATCCTTCTTCGGAGAGTCAGGATTTGGGGTTTGCAGAGCTGTGTGGCAGTGGAATGTGGAATGTTCTCCTGAATCTCAGTCCCATGAAGAAAAGAGGCAAAAGTCCTGACATCTTTCCTGAGGATTGTCTGATTTAAAAGAGCTGATTCTCCCCAGGCAAATGACTTACCTTTGTTGTGCTGGGACAAGCTGAACAGGCAAGGAATAAACCTCCCTAGAACACACTGATTAGATTAGCCAGTGAGAACCACTGAAGACGCAGACATTAGATTAAAAAACAGAAAAATGAATGTTACTTTTACAGTGGCTATGAATAGACAAAGACTTTTTGGTTTGAAAATAGTTGGTGAGGCAATAGAGGAGGGGCTATGTTAATAGCAGAGATAGAAAAAACGAGAGGTGGATGGTTCCAACTGCAAGGTCCACCCTAAAGGAATTGGAGTCAGGGCCCAGGAGCCACAGGCCACTGCACTGGGGTAAGTAGAGTGGATTTTACATAAATAAAGTTACAGAGTGGTTGTAGGTTCTGGTTTGGAGATGTGAGTGAACCAACTGAATAGAATAGGCAGATTCCCCAGCCCACCAAGAGTCAGATGAGAATTTTATTGCTTTTTGCTAAAGGCCTGTACAAGACTTAGAGCAAAGATAAGGAGTAACCTGATTGTTGAAACTAATCTATAAGTATTCCAACATAGCAAAGGACAAGTAACGGAATGACGAGGTTTTCCTGTAGTAGTGTTGCGATTTTGTTCTGCTGTGTCCCCCTACTCCAGTTTCCTCTGTGAGGGGAGCGTGTAGTGTGTGCATATCTGTGGAATGTCAGACTTCTAAAGTCAGGGGCTGAGACCTATATCTAGTTAGACCTCTGTGCATATTCTTGAGCCATGGGAGTCTCAGTGGTTGATAGTACTTCACACTTCTTCCAGTTCAATAAGGGTTACCTATGGTGTCTCCTCTGAGTCTCCTAGGAGTCCAGAAAACATGAGACTTGTATAAGAATCCACACTTCAACTAAGCTTTCTGGCCCAAAGAAGGCATTGTTACCAAGGATCTGTTTCTTGAGGTCTTTAGGGAGTGAGAGGGAAGGAACGCATGAGGAACCAGAGCTAGTCCCCATCTCTCTCCCTAGAAGTGACAGACTGCATAGCTCTTATGTATCAGGAGTCCTGGAGATCAGCTGGCTTTCCTTAAAAAAGGGTCATCCAGCCGTGATGAAATCCTGACTTAGAAACCCAGTGCCCTTAGCTTTGTGGGCTTCTGTCCCTGAGAAATGGTGTTTTACCCTCCCTCCAAGCAGGCATCCCAGGATTTGGAATTCAGCTGTGAGCTCATGAGCTGATGGATGTTTCCAGGAGTACCCTGAAGACCACCCAGGTATGCTCTCCCCACCTCCTTTATTTTGGATGGACCAGTCTAAGGAGAGTCATCTTTTCCCACACCATTGGTGGCACTCAGTGAGTGGCTTGTTGCTTGACTGAATGCCTGCCCACACCCTCTCCAGTCAAGTTTATCTTGAGTAACTAAACACTTAGCAATGGAGACACTCATACATCTCCACTGCACTAGAAGTAGGGATGGTGGCCATGCCAACAAAGGAGATAACTTTAGCACAAAGGATGTCACAAGAAACAGATAGTAGAGTGTGTTCTCCAGTGTTATCATTTCCCAAACCAGAATCAACTGGTCTTGGGTTTCCTTCCCTCATCCTTCATCTGTAGAAAACTTTGTTTCTTGAGCTACTTCAGATCTACTTCCCTATCTTAAGAGGTGGGCTATGTGCTTCTTCTGCTAATTTATTATCTCAGAAGTACATAATTTGAGCAATTTTATATAGTTTTGAGGACAGGAGCCCTGTAAGAGTCTCTTACTCAGAAATGGATTCAGCTTGGTTTGAGGTTTAATAGGTCATTGCAATGCTCCCTTCTGGTATCACAGGACATAAGCTGGGTTGGGCGGAGTCCCCCTTTTGTGTCTTAGCCTTCCTCTCCTTACTCCAGAGTAAGAGCAGCCCTGATGGAAAAACAAAATTACCATCCATGCCTACTTCATTTCTGCCCCTCTTACTCTAAGTCTGGGCAATCCGCAACATCTTTTTATATTGGACTTCCTAGATCACAGACTCTTTTTTTAGGAAGAGTCAATTCAAGCCACCCAGGACTTATGATCCCTTGCTCTGTGTCGGGCACAGTGTGAGCACAGTAATGGCATGGGCTGCCTGATGTGGGGCAGTCCCTCTTGGTCAGCAATTCACTCAGCAGCCATCTCAGTGCCCCCTGTGTAAATTTGAGGCACTTTGCCAGGCTGTGGGAACAGTGTGGGGTTAAACAGCACATGGTCCTTGCCCTCAGAAAGCTTAAAATCCAAAGTCAGATACAAGGTTATTTAACAGATGCGTGTTAATTAACAATTAAAGCTAATGTGCACTGTTCCATTGAACAAACATGACTTATGTGGTAAAATCAGAAAGCAGCTTGATTTTTGTCTCTTACTGCTCTTTTACATTTACTCTTTTTTTTTTTTTTTTTTTGAGATGGAGTCTCGCTCTGTCGCTAGGCTGGAGTGCAGTGGCACAATAATTGGCTCGCTGCAACCTCCACCTCCTGAGTTCAAGCGATTCTCCTGCCTCAGCCTCCTGAGTAGCTGTGGTTGTAGGCACCCACCACCACGCCCAACTAATTTTTGTATTTTTAGTAGAGATGGGGTTTCACCATGTTGACCAGGCTGGTCTCGAACTCCTGACCTCAGGCGATCCACCCACCTCGGCCTCCCAAAGTGTTGAGATTACAGGCGTGAGCCACTGCACCCAGCCTCTTTTACATTTATTCGGTGGGACTAGCTCTTGCTTTGCCCCTGAATGGAATTTAGGCAAGTCACAAGGTTGTTCCAGCCACCCTTGGTCTCAGTCTCATTTTAATAATTATAATTTCCAGTCCTACCTAAAGATACCACTTCAATCTTGACTTGGAGTGGAGCCTCTTCTGGTGCTGCTAAAGAACAGAGGCCCGTGGTGGATGGTGGTCTGGATGGGGAGTCCCTGGTTTCCACTCTTCCTCACTTATTTAGCTAACCAGGGTCCTCAACCCCGTCAGGGTTGTTGCCTGGAAGAGAAGAGGTGAGAAGAATATGAAAACTATACGTTTGTGATCTCCAGCTCACCAGTGGAACATGGTGATTCTTTTACAGATTCTTGCTGTAACTCCTCTGTTACTCCCCTCAAAGGCCAGCTTTTTCCACCCCTGTAGGAAATTCCTTTCCTACACCCACCCCATTTATCTCATCCTCATGGCCCCATGGGAATTTCTCTGCTTCTGCCCCCACCCATCATCTCTTTCCTGCCCATTTCTCCTCCATCTTGGATGAAGCTACCCTCTTCCCCTGGTCCTGGTTCAGCCTTTCATCGCTGCTCAGTAACATGAACCCCCAAAAAGCCAGCCAGCAAAGCAGAGCAGGCCTGCCTAGCATAGAAAATGCCAGAATTTGGAGAACAAAAGTGCTTTTTTGGATAGGACTGTTTTTTGTTGTTGCTCATACAACACAGCTCTTTGTGATTAATCTACATTTAACATAGCTCCAATCAAAGTGATAAAGAAATATTTTTATTAAAATGATTTCCTTTTATGGCAAAATAAGCATAAGATTGACCATTTTAACTATTTTTGAATGTACAATTCAGTGGCATTAATTATATTCACATTGTTCTGTAATACAACCATCACCACCATCCATTTCCAGAACTTTTTCATCATTCCCAACTGAAACTTTATACCCATTAAACACTAACTCCCCATTTCTCACTGCCCCAGGCCCTGGTAGCCATTAATCTACTCTCTGTATCTATAAATCTGACAATTCTAGGTACCTCTATAAGTGGACTCATACAGTATTTGTCGTTTTGTGTCTGGCTTATTTCACTTAGCGTGATGTCCTTAAGTTCATTCATGTTGTAGCATGTGTCTGAATTTTATTCCTTTTTAAGGCTGAATCACGATTGTATGTATGTACCACATTTTATTTATCCATCTGTTGATGAATATTTAGGTTGTTTCTACCTTTTAGCTATTGTGAAGAATGCTGATATGCACATTGGGATATAACTATCTGTTTGAATCCTGGTTTTCAGTTTTCTTGGGTGTATACCCAGAAGTGGAATTTACTTAATTGTTCTTGAATAGGGAATACCTCTGTATGGTGGACAATATAAAAGGTACAAGAAGTCATAGAGTTCCCTGAGCCCCGACCTCCAAGTTCCCCTCCCAGGAAGCATCACTGTAACCAGTTTCTGTGACCTCTTCCCTGGAGAGACCATACTGTACCCATAGGCACCCTCTACACAGGCATGATGACAGCCATAAGCACTCTTCTACACTTTCCCTTTTTCCTACTTAACAATATTTCTTTTTTAAAAATTTAAAAATCTATTTATTTTTTTCTTCAACTTTTATTTTAAGTTCAGGGGTACATATGCCAGATGTGCAGGTTTGTTACATAGGTAAATGTATGCCATGGTGGTTTGCTGCACAGATCATCCCATTACCTAGATATTAAGCCCAGCAAATATTAGCTGTTCTTCCTGATGCTCTCCCTCCCCTAACAATATTTCTAAAAAAATCATTCCATAGCACCATTTAAAGAATATCCTCATTCTATTTAAAAGGTTCATCGTTTTCCAAAGTAGAGACAAAACTTGTTTTTCTTTCTTTCTTTTTTAAAATCAGTCCTTTATTCATGGACATTCAGGTTGTTTCCAATGTTTTGCCACTGTGAACAATGCTCGGATGATAACAGCCAGCATTTCCTGAATGCTTACCATGTGCCAGGCCCTTGTTAAAATCCTTCCCATGTATCATATTTAATTCTCACTACAACTGTGACATAAGCACAGGGAGGTGAGTAACTGTCCCAAACCACATCTCTGTTTTTGTCCACAGGTGGGAGTGTAAGATAACCTTCCAGATAAAGAGTTGCTGCTACCAAAAGGTATGTCCATTTTATTTATTTATTTTTATTTTTATTTTTTTGAGATGGAGTCTTGCTCTGTCACCTAGGCTGGAGTGCAGTGGCACGATCTGGGCTCACCACAACCTCTGCCTACTGGGTTCGAGCAGTTCTCATGGCTTAGCTTCCCAAGTAGCTGGGACTACAGCCACTACACCTGGCTGACTTTTGTATTTTTTTAGTAGACATGGGGTTTCACCATGTTGGCCAGACTGGTCTTGAACTCCTGGCCTCAAGTGATCCACCCACCTCAGCCTCCCAAAGTGCTGGGATTACAGGCGTGAGCCACTGTACCTGGCCAGGTATGTCCATTTTAAAGTTATATAAATACAGCCAAACTGGCTGCATCGAGGCTGTGCTTATCTGCATCTCACTGGCAAGTAGATGTATGAGGGCCCATTGCCCTCCTCTCTCACTGTTGAAAAATTTCTTGATATCTGCCGATCTGAAAGGTAAAAAATGGTATTTCATTGTGGTGCTGATTTGCATTTTAATTTTACTTGTAGATTTTTAAAATAACACAGTTACAAGATTCAAAATTTGAAGAGTACAAGAGTAGAGACAAACCCCCATCCATGTGTCTCCCCAGTGCCCAGTTCCTGTCCCCAAACAAAATCAGGCCTCCATTTGCCTCCATTTCTCCCTCCTATGCCTATGGTCAAAACCTGGGCCACACCATTATCCTTAGCTGCTCCATCTCTGAAATATTAAATTCAAACATTCTACTCTGATCTCGCCACTGTCCTATTAACTACCAAGCACCTGACCCTCTCTTGATGCCCCACCTGCCCTTTACCTTACCTTCCTTTCCCATCCAGCTGAGGTTCTCTGCCCTCCAGAGGCTCCATGTCAGGCGCCACTGGGCTCCAGCCACACCTGCCTGGAAAGCCTTACTTTCTGTTTCACGATACCTAGTTCAGAGTCAGCCCACCCATGGGATCACTCTCATTTAAAGATCTTAGGCAGAATAACCACATAATTTACTGCTCAAAATGGGACCCTTTTGAGAATGAAAGGAGCACAACTAATTATGAAGCCAAGACAACAGGGGCAGATAGTTACTGTCCAAGGCAGATCGGGATGCAAATTCAAGCTCAATCTTAAGGAACAATTACATTTAATTTCGGAGCAGAGATCAATAATATGTGCTGAGCCCTGCGAATGATTTAAGTTGCTGCCTTTGTCCGCTGCCCAAGCTTCTCTTCTAAATGGATTTTTTAAACAGTGCATTTCCCTAACACTATTTTCTTAAAACTTTATCCTTTAGAATACCAGTTTCGGCCCATAAACTCAAGTGTGTAAAAAAATTAGTTTGTTTATAAAATTCTCCTTCATCTGTACTTGAGCCCCGCTCTTTAAAAAGGTGCTGACCCTTAATCCCAGTCAGTTCTGAGTTTCCTTTGCAGTTTCCATTTTGGGTTTGGGGTGGGGTGGAGTGCAGGGTTCTAGACTCTCAGTGACCTACAAAGGGTCCTGCCCTTCATGTCATCTATCCTTGTCCCATCTGGTCCTGGGTCGTTGGTGCCTGCAGGTTATTGTGGAGGTCAAAGTCTCTCTCCACCTCTTCAAGCAGCCTCACTCAGGGAGCTTGCCTGGGGTCCTCTTGGCCTAGATACACCCAGCAGCTGTTCTGTTCCCTGCTCTCAGATCCACAGATTGTGAGGGATGCTGCTTTCTCTGTGGGGCTCAGTCCAGGGAGCGGGGATTGGGACCTCAGCCTCCAGGACCTAGCAAAGTCAATGTTTCTCAACTTCCCTCCAGCCTTTGTCCTTGCCCTGGGGAATTATTCTTGGATATGAGTGAGGGGCAGGGAATGCCTTGATCTTTCTCATGACCATTTTCTCCCACACTTTGGTCTAGGTCTAGGCCAGAAGTCTCTTCTATTCCCCTAAGGAAAGAGGCTCCTTACCTCTTCTTTCTGTTTTCACACACCTTCCCTGCAGCAATGAGCATAGAATGGCCTGGCTATTTGAGGCAGGGAAGGGAGAGAGGTAAGGGGAGTATCAGGCTGGAGAAGGCATTGGCTAATATTTCAGAACATAATCTTGCAAGGCATATAAAAATATCTTATACAAGATGTGCTTCCTGTTTTAACTATTATGATTTTATAATTTTTCAGATCTTGTAGGCAAGACTCCCTATTCCCATCCCCCAGGCCAGGGCAGCCAGTTATCAGCTGTGTGAACTTGGGCAAATTATGTTATCCTCTCTAAGCTTTAGTTTTTTCGTCTGTAAATGAGGATAATAGTAGTTCATATCAGTGCTTCTACTTGCCAAGCACTGCTCTCAATGTTTCATGTATGTTACCTCATTTAATACTCATCATAAACCTATGGGATAGCTGCTATCATTCCCATTTTACAGATGAGGAAACCACTTCTCACAGTTGTAACTTGCCCAAAGTCATGTGATCTCCTGCTCTTAATCACTTCCCCAACCTGTCTTTCATAAATATTAATAATGACCTCAGCCAGGCGTGGTGGCTTACTCCTGTAATCCCAGCACTTTGGGAGGCTGAGGTGGGAGGATTGCTTGAGCCCAGGAGTTCAAGACCAGCCTGGGCAACATATTGAGACCTCATCTCTACAAAAAATTAAAAAGTAGCCTGGTATGGTGTGGCACCTGCCTATAGTCCCAGATATTTGGGAGGCTGAGGCAGGAGAATCGCTTGAGCCTGGGAGGTCAAGGCTGTAGTGAGCTGTGATAGTGCCACTGCACTCTAGCCTAGGTGACAGAGTGAGAATGCTGTCTCCACAATAAATAAATAAATAAATGAAATGACCTCTTGAGGTTGCTGTGAGGATTAATTGAGGTAAGGTATGTAAAGCTGTCAGCCCTGAGCCTAGCACATAGTAAAAACTCAGTACATTCTAAGCTCATACTTTAGCCATGATTTTTTGGTCATTTTCATTCAAAATGCCCTTGGAATTGTATTTAAAATATATATAAATGTCTGAACTTAAGCATATTTGCCCTATTCAGTTTTCCCATCCAGAAATATGATGTCTTATTATGTGTTTCTTAGCAAAGTTTTGCCACGTGTCCTCATATAAAACATGCATTTCTAGGCGAGTTTATTTCTAGATGTTTTAGGGTTTTTGTTTTTATTGAAAATGAAATCTTTTCCTCCATTGTATCTTTTGATCAGACAGTGCTGGTGTCTCCAGGTTCTTATTAGTTAATCAGCTCCCAGATGTCTCTAGAGGCTATGTCTTTCCATAGCCCTCTTATTTTAGGTTGACATGAAGATCATTTGGCCCAGCCAGTGACATACGCTCTGAGAGAGAGGCACAGGGGCACAGGGTGAGAAGTAGCTTTCCAGGGTAGCTCAGGTTGGCTGAGGTGATCAGAGAACTGTCCTTTGGCTAAGGAAGTACAGCCTGGGGAGAGGGGAAGGAAGGGGCCAGCCCTTGCTTGGCTGCATGCTGTTTCTGGGTCCATTTGGGGATCTGTCTGAAGAACGAGTTCCTAGGTACCCACATTTCCTCTGTGGCCTCAATGATTCCCAATAGTGTGTGCCAAATGATGGCTCCAGTGGCAGCTCTGCCAAGGCCCAAGATGCCTCCGTGGGCTCTAGCTTGCTTAAGTAGAGAGACTGTCATCCAGCAATGTCTCATTCTTCATCATGTGATTAAGAGCAGGAGATCACATGACTTTGGGCAAGTTACTTACAACTGTGAGAAGTGGTTTCCTCATCTGTAAAATGGGAATGATAGCAGCTATCCCATAGGAAGTGGAGGATACATAATCTGTGGCGTCCCTGAATCAGCTCCCTGCCTGACTCCACTGCAGACCTCCAGAGGGCAGCAGAGAGCAGGCAAGACGGGAGAACAGGACTTGGTTCCTGGAGAAGCAAAAAAGACTCTCTGCTCCTGCAAGCTGCTAGGAATACTGCTCATCCCCCTCCCCGCCTCCTCAGGATACACATGTGAGCTTCTTCCTGAGGGTGTAATAATTATAATAATATTATTAGTTAATACTAACTATTCCCTGTGGGCCAGACATTGACCTAAGGTTTCACATTGATTCAGATAACCATTGAGGTAGATATAATTATTATTCGCATTTTTTTTCAGTTGAGGAAATTGCAGTGAAAAAAAAAAGAAGTTGTCCAAGATGCCACAGTTAGTTGAGTCAGGATTTGGACCCAATCATTTATGAGCCAGGCTCTATTCTAGGTATCAGAGATACATCAGTGAATAAGACAAACTTTCTGCCATATTGGAGGAACAGACAAAAAGTGAACAAATGAATAAACACATACTGTGGTTTTGGATAGAAATGCCATTTAGACAAATAAAGCAGAGTTAATGACCAGAGAGGGGCATTTTAGATGGGCTGGTCAGGGAAGGTTTTCTTGGGTAGATGGCATTTGACCAAATAGTTGAATACACGAGGTAGCAAGTCAGGCTGAAGATTAGGGAAACAGTAAGTGCAAAGGTCCTGAGGTGGGAATGAGCCTGGGGTGTTAGAGGAACAGCAAGACTTGCGTCGTGGCTGCTGTAGAGTGAGCCGAGTCCATAGGCCACAGCAGCGATTGGGAAGTAGATAGGGGTGGTGAAGAAAGAGAACTCCTCCACAGCATCACCTGGGCTTGGCCTCTTACAATGTCTCAGCTTCTCTTTAACATATCTCTCACCTTTTTTCACCTTCCTGCAGAGTGCTGACACCATCACAGTATGTTCCCTTCTCAACCCTGGACATGGTTCAGAAACAGCTAAAGCAGACAAGAATCTGGGGCAGCCAATATTGTACCACCTGCCAAAGCTTGGCACAAACAATCTGGAAGCCAAAAATTGCACATACTGTGGTGAGTACTGCCCAGCCTGTGGGGAACTTCTTGTGGGTAAAGGTTCTAGATAAGCCTGCCAGGGCCCCCAAATGAATCCTTAGTCCCATTAACAAGGGCCTAAGTCCCGCAGGCCTTTCCAGGGTAGGAAGCTGCTATTTTCTTCAAAGAATTTTGCCCCCATGCCATGGTCCTAGGTCAGACCTACCTAAATCCTTTCAGATGTCAAACCCAGGTAGGGTTCAGATGGCATTTAGCCAGGAGATGGAAGGGAATCCGTCCCAGTGAGCAGCCATCACTGTCCACCAGGTATCTGAAGAAAATGGAGGCACAGAGGTCAAACAGTCATCCCTCAGCATCTGCAAGGGATTGGTGCCAGGACCACCCGTAGATATCATAATCTGAAGATGCTCAAGTCCTTCACATAAAATGTGACCTATGCAATCCTCTGTTTATCTTAAATCATCTCTAGATTACTTCGAATACCTAATACAATGTAAATGCTATGTAAATAGTTTTTTATACTGTATTTTGGGAGTATTATTTTTTATTGTTGTATTGTTATTTATTTTTATTTTTTCAAATATTTTTGATCTGCTGTTTGTTGACTCCTTGGGTTAGGAACCTGTGGATATAGAGGGCCAACTGTACTAAGAATCTTTAGCTCCCTCTCCTGGCAGATCCCTGGCGAGTGAGGTGGGCCTATGTTGAGTGCTCCTTTTGCCTGAGTGAGAGCCTAGAACCAGAGACTGAATGCCCTAATCCAGGATTTCTTGATCATGGCACCATTGATAGTTGGGGTCAGATAATTTTTTTGTTGTGGGGGCCATCCTTGTAGGACGTTAGCAGCATTTCTGACCACTACCCACTAGAGGCCAGAAGTACTCTCCCTCCAGTAGTGACCTTCCCTCCAGTATAACCAAAATAGATCCAGACATTGCCAGATGTGCCCAGGGGAAGACACCTGTGGCTGAGGAACACTGGGGCCAGTTCTTTCCCTTTCCCCAAGACCAGTGCATGAGCCTCAGCTGTTACCACTCTGGTGGTGAGGAAGAGTTGACAGTATCCCCCAAGCATTTACTTCAGTGCCACAGCTGAGTGGCTGGCTTGGCATGTCCTTGGCTGTAACATGGAAGGAGGCCAGAGGACAGGGAGCAGAGAGAAAAGGGGTAGCCATATCTTCTCTCAACATTTTTTGGCTTACAAAACTAAACCACAGGGAAGGGCAGGGATGAGGTTGGCCATACACATCACAGGACTAGGTCTTTCTCTCCCTCCTCATCTCTCTCTCTCTTTCATGCACATACATGCGCACACACACGCACACACACACACACACACACAAATGGACACCCCTCTGCCATTCTGTGTATTGGCTTTTCTCTCTCCCACTGAAGACAGGCTTTTTCCAGAGACAAAAGAGTACTTTGTGCAGGAGGAAAAAGTTAACGAATGGACTGATTTTGCCCAAGAGATTGGCAGGGCAGGAATAAGAGGTTATGAGTATCAATGAGAGAAGAGAGGAAAGGATTCATTATGATGTCCAGACCAGAAGGGGAAGTAAATGAAGCCATGAGGAGCTGGTATATGGGGAGAAGAGGAAGATGCCTGAAGATCAAAGGTCTTCATGCAGTTGAAAAGCAGGAAAGAAGGGAGTCAGAGCTTGGGAAGTTATCCATTAAGAGTCCCAACATCTGACCAGAACTGTCAATGTATGTTTATTTTGCTTCAGCGATAATTTCACTTAGACACATAGAATCGTAGGGCAGTAGAGTTTCAAAGAAACTTAAGAGATCCTTGAGTCCAACCCAGTCTATGTGGACTCTTTTACTAATTCTTCAGTGCTGGACTTTGAGAATGAGACTTGTTCACAACCCCTCTGTGCTTAGAATCAAATGAGAAATAAGATATAGAAGTCCAGCAGCTGGAACTAAAATAAATTTATGACAGCTAAAGCTGATTGGAGAATGTGGTTTTGAATGTACAGTTGGGCTTCCTAATTCTTTCCCTCAGAATGAAACTTATCTACCCAGAACTGGAAGACTCCCCTATCCCACAACGCAAGAACCTGCCCTTCCTAGGGCAGGTTGAAAAGAAGAGGAGAGGAGGGAAGCACAGGCCTTCTCTGAGGAGGCTGTTCCCAGAAGGAGGAAATCCAGAAGAACCTGAGTCATGACATATGCCCATTTTATGTGCTCCAATTCTCCAAGCACACGAACCACTCATCCTCTGCTAGATAGCATGAGTTTAGAGGTAGAGCAGTAAGTGGAGAGTACTTTTCTCAAGGCTGCAGCAAGGACAGAAGTTCCCACTTTATAAGGTGAGGCAAAAGTGCTTGGAGGGAGAGAGGTAGATTTCCCCCTGACAAATGCCATTTAATAGAGCAAACTCTGCTCCAAGAACACTGAGGCCCAGAGAGGTGATTTCCCAAAGGTACCATGGCTCTGAAAGAATAAGGGTCTCCAGACTCCTAATGGTGAAATTTCACCATTTCACATGTGTAATCAAAGGAGGACAGGTTCTTCCACATTTATCAGCATAATAGCAACAACAATCTTCTATTTCTTCATGCACAAGGCCTTCTAACTCCTTCCTTCATCACTATCACTGCCTCCACATCCTCCATCTACACCTTGCCACCTCTATCTACACATCACACCCTCATCCACACCTCACCACTACCATCTACACCTCACTACCCTCACCTATACCTCACCACCTACACCTAAACCACACACCTCCATCTAGACGTCACCACCTCCATCTAGACATTACCACCTCCATCTAGACCTCACCACCACCATCTAGACCTCACCACCCTCACCTATACCTCACCACCCACACCTAAACCACACACCTCCATCTAGACCTCACTACCTCCATTTAGACCTCACCACGTCCATCTAGACCTCACCTCCTCCATCTACACCTCACCACCACCATCTATACGTCACTATCACCATCTACACCTCACCACCCTCACCTATACCTCACCACCTACACCTAAACCACACACCTCCATCTAGACCTCACCACCTCCTTCTAGACATCACCACCTCCATCTAGACCTCACCACCACCATCTACACCTCACCACCCTCACCTATAACTCACCACCTACACCTAAACCACACACCTCCATCTAGACCTCACCACCCACATCTAGACCTCACCACCTCCTATACCTCACCACCTACACCTACACCATACACCTCCATCTAGACCTCACCGCCTCCATCTAGACCTCACTGCCTCCATCTAGACCTCACCACCTCCATGTAGACATCAGCACCTCCATATAGACCTCACTGCCACCACCATCTAGACCTCACCACCCTCACCTATACCTCACCACCTACACCTAAACCACACACCTCCATCTAGACCTCACCACCCCCATCTAGACCTCACCACCTCCATCTGACATCACCACCTCCATCTAGACCTCACCACCACCATCTATACCTCACCAACCTCACCTATACCTCACCACCTACACTTACACCATACACCTCCATCTAGACCTCACCACCTCCATCTAGACCTCACCACCACCATCTACACCTCACCACCCTCACCTATATCTCACCACCTACACCTAAACCACACATCTCCATCTAGACCTCACCACCACCATCTACACCTCACCACCCTCACCTGTATCTCACCACCTACACCTAAACCACACATCTCCATCTAGACCTCACCACCATCTAGACCTCACCACCCTCACCTATACCTCACCACCTACACCTACACCACACTCCTCCATCTAGACCTCATCACCTCCATCTAGACATCACCATCACCATCTACACCTCACCACCCTCACCTATACCTCATCACCTACACCTATATCACACACCTCCATCTAGACCTCGCTACCTCCATCTAGATATCACCACCTCCATCTACACCTCACGACCACCATCTACACCTCACCACCCTCACCTATCTCTCACCACCTATACCTACGCCACACACCTCCTTCTATACCTCACCATCACCATCTACACCTCACCACCCTTGTCCACACCTCATCACCATGTATACCTCATACCTCCATCTATACTTCACACCACCATACACTACCTCACCATCTCCATCTCCACCTCACACCTCTGTCTACAACTTACCACCTCCATCTACATCTCATCACTTCCATGTAAACCTCACCACCTCCATTCACATATCACATTTCCATCTACACTTCACCCCCCATCTACACCTCACACTTCCATCTACATCTGATCACTTCCATATACACCTCACCATCTCCACCTTACACCACCGTCAATACCTCAGAACCTCCATCTATACCCCATACCACCATATACATCTCACCACCTCTCTCTACATGAACCTCATCATCTCTGTCTACACCTCACACCTCCATTTACACCTCACACCACCTCCATCTACACCTCACCATGTTTGTTTGTTTGTTTGTTTGTTTGTTTGAGATGGAGCCTCGCCGTGTTGCCCAGGCTGGAGTGCAGTGGCACTATCTTGGCTCACTGCAACCTCCGCCTCCTGGGTTCAAGCAATTCTCCTGCCTCAGCCTCCTGAGTAGCTGGGATTACAGGCATGTACCACCACATCTGGCTAATTTTGTATTTTTAGTGGAGATGGGGTTTCTCCATGTTGGTCAGGCTGGTCTCGAACTCCTGAACTCAGGTGATCTGCCCGCCTCAGCCTCCCAAAGTGCTGGGATTACGGGCGTGAGCCACCACACCCGGCCAATTTACTATCTTTATCTACATTTCATTACCTCCATCTACACCTCACACCTCTATCTATACCCCACATCTCCATTTATACCTCATCACCTGCATCTGTACTTCATAACTTCACCTACACTTTACACCTTCATCTACATTGCCACCGTTTTACTGCTACTTCTACAACCAACACCTCTGCCTCTATCATTTTCTCCATCATTCCTACCACCTCTCCTTTTGTCAGCAGAGAGCCAGCAGCCATCCTTTTGGCTGGAGTGACAGGTGTGAACTAGGAGCCTACCTGCATGGCTGTAGTCTAGAGAGGTCTTCAAGGTCTTTGAGGTTAAAAAAAAAATGTCTCTAGCTTTTGGTGTCACCTGATCTCTCCGAAAAGGTCACCTTGGAGCATTTTACAAAGATTGGGTTAGAGATGCCTAAAAATAAGTACACATGTTTATGTAAACTCATTGACCACAAGTACAGACTGCCACTATTTCCAAGCCATGCCCTAATCTGACAGCTGAACATTTAGGTACTTGCAATGTGATAAGATCCTTTATCAACATCTCAGCAGTCCTCAAAGCTCTAACAACTTAAAAGTTGGAGACATTAAAGTGAGCTGTAATTTTGAGCCAACTGGGGTCATGCCAGTACATAACAACAGGCCCACGTATCTGTAGGTTCCTGGAAATGCCACTGCCCCTCTCTGGGCCTCAATTTTTCATTATATAAAGTGGGCAACCTTGAGATAAGGCTGGATTCTTCAAGTTCTCTTCCAGCTCTAACATCCCTCCAAGACAGAATCCAAAAAGAATCTGGGTTAAAAACTATGCAGGGAGATAAAATAGCATTTCAGAATCAAGGCTGGAATATACCACTGCCATAAAAAGATCACCAAGTTAAAATTCAAGAAGAAATTTAGAGCAAAGGCATCTGCCTATGATCATGGCCAGCTCTATTCAGACCCTGCTATACCCTGGTCTGTCAGTCAACCAGGCATCCATCCCTGACCCTGCAGGAGCGTCCCTCCCCCCACCTTGGTCACATGGCTGGCCGCCACTGAGCCTCAGAAGTCAATCTCCAATGCCCCAAATACTGTTCAGCCTGGAAACCACAGAGAGCCCTTCTTGCCACCCAACAGGAACAGAGCAAGTGGTTCTGGCCTCCCTGGGATTTGGATCCTGGTTTCCAGAGCTAAGAACACAAAGGTAAGTTTGCAGCTGGAAGCTTCAGAGAAAGTAGACAGAGCTATGCAGATAAGGGAAAATGTGTTTCATAGCATGAACACAGAGTATTTAAGAGTAAGCTTCACACACACTGAAGAGGAGAATACCAGGAAAGCTGGGCAAATCTTCCAAATGAGTATAGGATATTTGGTTTTCCTTTAAAAATTATACTGTTTTTATCACCCTGGCCTTGAGGTTTTTGGGTGCAAAACCACTCCAAATTAACAGAAATGACAGGAAACTTGTTCTGTCTGACACCATGGTAAGTTAGTTCTATCTTGTTCTCATCTAATAGAACTGAATCTTTCTCTTCTAGTACGTAAATTTCTGTTGTCTTTGTCAAATGTGTTAGACTGGCTGAAATACTTATGAAGTAGCAAAAACCCTGAGACTTACCTCTTTCCCAGAAAACCATGGGAAAATAAATTATATCTGCTAATGTAGCATCTCAGGATAGAAACAGAATAATGGCTAGTCTCCTTTCATTACACATTTTTGTTTTTAGGTTTTGGATACGGTACCTGGTTTTGCTACTGCTAGTTTTCTTAGGGATATTTGTTTGTTTTGTCCTTTCTCTCCTGGAGCATGCGTGGGTGTTTCAGTCTGCAGGGCCCCGAGGCAATGGACAAGCTAGGGGTTGAGAGGGTAGCCTTTCCCTGGCTTCTAGCTTAGCTTTCTAAAGCCCAGCATGACCCCGTGTCATTCTTGTCGATTCAGTTCACAAAATAATCCCAGATAAGCCCTTGGGGAAGTCCTTTTCTGAAATACTCTGGGCTGTCAGAAGGGTGCATCAGACACCATGTTGGCTGGTCTAGAGTTCTTAGATATCAAGGTCAAGTGGCTTAAAATATGGGGTGGAAAGAAAAGCTCCCCAAAAGCTGACCAGTGAATGTGGCACAACCTTTTTACTAGTTACCTTTTTTCCCAGAGACATGGATGTCTAATCTTAAGGATTCATTACTATGCTTTACTCTTCTTCCCTAGTAATGAAACTATTTTGTTCTGTTCCCAGTGTCTAGTGCAAATATCTGGAACAAAGTGGATACTCAATAAGGATTTGTTGGATTGAATTGATGTGTCCTTGTGGATAGGGAAGGGGTGGGCACCTAAACACCAGATGATTCTATCACAAGGGCTCTGATGACTAAAACGTGTCATACATCTTTAAAGCTAGCTGTGTCACCACCACCTTGCTGCTTTGGGCATGCAGTCTGCTTGGGCAAGGACCCCTGTGTGTCTGTTTGCTAGGATAGCACTCTGATCCTTGGTCTTACAGGCTTAAGGTGTTTTGTTTGTTTGTTTGTTTTTGTTTTTGAGTGCAGTGGTGCCATCTCAGCTCACTGCAACCTCTGCCTCCTGGATTCAAGCAATTGCTGTGCCTCAGCCTCCCGAGTAGCTAGGATTACAGGCGTGCACCACCACACTCGGCTAATTTTTGTATTTTTAGTAGAGACAGGGTTTCACCATGTTGGCCATGCTGGAATCGAACTCCTGACCTCGTGATCTGCCCGCCTCGTCCTCCCAAAGTGCTGGGATTACAGGCGTGAGCCACTGCACGTGGCCCAGGTGTTGATTTTGTCAGTAGGGTTTTGGATTCTCAGGGATCCCAGATGTGATTTCAGGCTAGTGGTAGGGGCAATGAAATGGAAAGTGACTTTTGACTCAGGACAGAAGAGAATTTTGTGTGTTCCCTTACTGTAAAGCCATGCTCAACACCAAGGCGATCTATGATCTAAAGATGGATGGGGGAATAACAGTGAGCTAGTTGGGCAGGGAAGAGACTGGTGTTACAGGTCCTTTCATTTGCTGCATGCCAGAGGCTGATGTGTTGCTAGCACAATTCCTTTGGCAAGATATTGTAGTGGATGATTGTACTGGTTAGTACTCTTTGGATACAAGTAACTCAAATCAGCTGAAGCTAGTTGAAGAGAAAAGAGGGTTTTTAAAATTTTTTTATTTTTTTAAACATCAAATGCCTTTTTACCAAGGAGGGACTTATTATAATACCAGGGAAGTCTTGTGGACCGGAGTTCAGCCAGGCCTCAGGAAGGGCCTGGAACCCAGAAGTGGAAGACTGTCAGTAACCCATACCAGGCCCCCTCTGTTTCTCACATCTTTATTTCTCTTTCGTCTTTCTCCCTCCTTCCTTCTCCCTTCCTTCTCCCTTCCTCCTCCCCTCCTTTCCTTTCCTTTCCTTTCCCCTTCCCTTCCCCTTCCCCTTCCCCTTTCCCCCTCCCCTCCCCTCCCTTCCCTTCCTTCTTCCTTCTTTCCTTAGGTTTGAGAATCAAAAAGAATCCAGTTTGAACCCTGGCTCCACCATGGCTGGTTCTGTGATCCAGGACAAATCACTTAACTCTTAGTCTTCATTTACTCATCTATAAAATGTGGGTGAAAATTATATACCTCACTGAATTATAGTGAGGATTCAATAAGATGATGAAAGCAAAATACCTGACATTCAACTAATACACATTATATGAAATGCTGGAGGTAGAAATTCTGTTGCATGAATTAGGCTGGGACTTTTATGGTGGGCAGTATAGTTGCCAGTCAGAGCAGAGCTAATCCAAACACTTCCCCAGGGCCAACACTCAGCTTCAGATGGATGGACTCCTTTGAAGATCATCTCAGGGAGTTTGGGTTCTTCTACTTCTGCATATTCCTGGGAGGGAGCTTCTCTCAAGTTGTGAGAAGTTGGGATCTAGCACAGAGGACATGAAGCAGGAATGGTCTTAGCTAGTCCAGAACTGGAAGGTATGCATCTACCTGAATATTATAGCTACATTATAGCTCCATACTTCTATAGTTTGTAGAGTTCTCATCTGTGTTTGCATATGTATTGTCATTTGTCAGTGACAAGCAGGCATTTCATTATTTTTCCAACAAACTTTCTTTTCCAATCTGAGAATCCATAGTACTTCAAATAGGAAATAACACATTTTAAAATCATGTTGGAAAGCTCTATTTCATTTTCATTAGTCAGGCACTTGTGATTGCAAACATGAGAAGCCCAACTCAAACATGAGAAAAAATAAAGTGAATTTAACAGCTCAACACAACTGAGAAGGACAGTTCAAAATTAACTGACTCAGGGAGTCACAGTGTTATCTGGACTCTGTTTCTCTACTTTTCTTGAATGCTTCCCTCCATGTGACAGGCAAAATAGTAACTTCCAAGCTTATCAGCTTAGCAGTGCCAGAGTGAGCAGAGTTTTTGGATGAATCAAGCAGAAATGTCCTGGGAAGAATTCTGATTGGCCCAGTTAAGGACATGGGATCATTCCTGAACCAGTCTCTGTGGCTGGAATGGGGTGTGTTTGACCAGCCTGGGTCACATGGCCTTTCCTTCAGAGGCTTGGGGAGACATGGAGTCTCCCCCTAAGACATTTGAAGGTGGTTGTCTATGGGAAAAAAAATCTGTTACTCAGCTTCTCTGTACTCTTCACACCATACTGGAGTAGGAAGATATCAGCTTTTTAAAAATCACCAACTGACCCAATTTAATAAAAAATATAAATTGGGAGTTACTTTCTTAAAATAGAGGTTTTAAATGTGGTCCCTGGATCAGCATCATCAGCAGCAACTGGGAACTTGTTGGAAATGTACATTTCCAGGCCCCAACCTAGAGCTATGGAATCAGGCACTCTGGGGATGAGACCCAGCAATCTATTTTAACAAGCTTTCTGGAGCTGCTCACACGTGTAATCCCACCTACTTTGGAGACTGAGATGGAAGGATTGCTTGAGCCCAGAGGTTGGAGGCTGCAGTAAGCTGTGATTGCGCCATTGAACTCCAGCCTGGGCGACAAAGCGAGACCCCAACTCCAAGAAAACAAACAGAAAGCAGCCTTCTAGGTATTATGATGCACGCTCAAGTTTGAGAACCACTGCCTTAAAGGGTTCTTTGTTGTGTAATTCTGCTAAGTATTTTAAACATGATTCACTTTGAACAAATAGATTTAACCATTAATTTTCAAGGATACAATTATCACATAAAGTAGGAACACATGGCATATTAAATTATTTACTTTAAAACGTTTAAAATAAAAAAGCTATAATTTAAAAATCAATTAACACATGTAAGAGCTTTCCATAAAAAGCAATGGAACTCCATTCCAGCTTCCTCCATATGCCACAGTTCCACTTCCCAAAGATAACCACTAGGAATTCTTTTAGCTTTTTCTCCTGGCTACCTTTTAATAATAATGATAGTAATAATTATTCCTGCTATTTATTGAAGTTAGATATTAGCCACTTACAAGTGAATATTTAACTATCTTACAACCACAGACATCTCTTTTTTATCCTCCCAATGTAGAATATCATCACCATTTTTAGTTCATTCAAAAATCAGTGTTTATACTCATGATTACATGCCATGATCACATTTTATTCCTTGCAGAGTTTTAATTTTTCCCTGGTATTTCTCATTGCTGTCTTTTTTCTTTGCATTTTCTGTCACTTTCTTGAGTTGTTCTAAAATCCCCAAGAGTGTATCAAATCTTTTACATTTCATTTTTTCCCTGAGTGGCTCGTTCCAAAGCCTCATTTTCTAGCTCTTTTGAGGACTGATTGATTTTTGAGGACACAGCTGTCATCTGGGGACTGCTCTTCATTATTCTGATTTTATCCACTCTCTCCTGCATCTCATTGTCTTCTCCTTCTTGATTAATGATGGGTAACTTTTTTAAAGAACTTCCTAGGAAGTTATGAAAGAGAAGTAAAATGATTTTTTACATGTCTGGAAATGTCTTCTACCCCTACTCTGGACTGGTAGTTTGGCTGGGTGGAGAATGTTAGGTTGGAAACATTCTCCCTTGGATTTTGGGTGGCTTTGCTCATTATCTTCTCTCTCTCTTTTTTTTGAGACAGAGTCTCACTCTGTCACCTAGGTGGAATGCAGTGGCACAATCTCAGCTCACTGCAACCTCCACCTCCTGGGTTCAAATGATTGTCGTGTCTCAGCCTCCCAAGTAGCTGGGATTACAAGCATGTGCCACCACACCCGGCTAAGTTTTGTATTTTTAATAAGAGACGGGGATTCACCATGTTGGCCAGGCTGGTCTTGAACTCCTGACCTCAGGTGATCCACCCGCCTTAGCCTCCCAAAGTGCTGGGATTACAGGTGTGAGACACCGCACCCTGCCCATTATCTTCTCTTATTTAACTTGCTGAGGAGGAGTCTTCTGCTAGTCTGATTTCTATTCATTGACAGGTGACCTGTTTCTGATTGTTTTACTCTAGAAGTTTTTGGGATCTTTCTTTTCTTCATAGTCACTGTTCTAAAATTTCATAATGATCTAGCAAAGTGTGAGGAGTTTTTTTCCCAGATATTTTCTGTGCAGAGTGCTCAGTTGACCCATTTTGCCTGAGACTATTATCTCATAGTGTTGGGGAGACCTCTTAGTTATTTTTAAAAATACTTTTAAAAATTTAATAATAAAATACCTCAAATGTGTACAATATGACAAATATTGATATATTACTGTCCAGAATTAACAGATGTTAACATTTTATCATATTCGTTTCATATCTACATGTATATCTATCATCTATCCAAAATACCAAAGATCATCAAGCATCATTAACCTTATCCTTCCCCAGAAGTAACCTGAAGTTGGTGTGTATCATTCCTCTACATAATTTTATGATTTTATTACTTATAAATGTAACTATAATCAATATTGGTAGTGTTTTGTTTGTTTTAAAGTTTTATGTAAATAATATCATTTTCTTTTACAACTTCCTTTTGTTCTCATTATGTTTTTGAGATTTATACATGTTAATACATAAAAATCTAGTTCATTAATTTCAACTGTCCATAGTCATCCATTATGTGTCAGTTAGGAAGGCCTCAGCTAAAAGTAACATAAAACTTGGCTAGCAGTTTAAATATAGAGATTTTTTTTTTTTTTCAGATAACAGGAAATCCAGCAATAAGCAGTCCAGAGCTCAGTGATATTCTCAGGAACCCAGATTTGTCTTATCCTTCTGCCTTGTTCTTAGCCTGTGCCTTTGGTCTTCATACCTGTCACCTCATTGTTGCAAGATGGCTGCTTTATCTCAAAGTCTCAAGGTCCGTGCAAGAAAGCAGGAGGGTAAAGGACAAACTGTGCATTCCAACTGTGTCACTTTCAATTAGGAAAATAAAAGCTTTCCTGAAAGTCTTACCCAATGGACTTCCACCTAAATCTCATTGGCTAGAATAGGGTCACATGACTATTCCTAAACTCAGTGACTGGCTAAGGGCAACCAGAATACCGTGAATGGTTTATATAGATCCCAGCTCATGCCTGAGCCTAGGGAAGGTGACTACTGGCAATCAAGGGCCCTGTGTCTCTACCTGAACAAAATAAAGTTTTGTAAATAGGCAAGCAGAAGAGGGAATGGTTGTTGGACAGTGTAGGAGACATGCTAGATGACTACCCAATGCGCATTCTCCCTTTTTCCCTTACTGACAGACTCAATATTATTTTCCCAGTAAAAACTTACTTTCCCAGAGTCCTTTGTCAGATGACCCAGGTGTGGTTTTCAGTAACCACATCTGGGTCACCTTTGTCAACACATAATTTTTAGTAGAAGTATATCCCAAATATTGTGCTGAACATATACTCAAAGTTATTTGTTGTTATCTGAAATTCAAATTTAACTGGGCAAACTGTAGTTTCATTTGCTAAACCTGGCAACTCTATCCAGGAAGGAAGAAGAAGGAAAAGTGAAGAGGCTTTCTTCTGAAAATGCTTTATCTAGGAAGGGACTCCTTCCTCAGGTTCTTTCTCCTGTAGCTCTTCAGCCAGAGAGAGCTGAAGGGTGTCTGAGGGAAGTGTTTCTTTTTAGTTGGCCATAGTGCTACTGTGGCTGGAGCAGAAGTCAGAAAGTCAGAGCAGAAAGGGGAATGGGCATCAGGGAAGTAACTAGCAGCATCCTCCACAGGTGTTTTATACTCCCCAAATAGTTACATCCAGTGGTGATATTCAAAATATTTAACAACCAACATGGCACTGACATTGACCAACCCAAATGAATACCTGATCACTAAAAATGGACACCAATCATAAATAGCAGCCATACCAATGCGTATCGGTGGAATATCAACCCTGTTTCTATTGCTGTTTTCAGGAAAATTAACACTCACTTGATTTATTATGACTGTGTAAATATTGCTCACAGTTGAGTATAGTGTACCATGATTACTTTTCCTTTCTATGACTATTCTTGACAAAGTTTTTGTATCCTCTTGCAACAGTCAAACACATCAAGACCATTTTTCAGATCCAGGTTTTTTTCCTGAAGACATCCTGTCCAGAGCCTGCTCTAAGATGTGCCTGTTGCTCTCTGGACTGCTGCAGGGTTCTTCTCCGGTGACTTTCCTTTGCCTATCTTTTGTGGTGAATCCCGTTTCCCAGACTTAATTTCTTTCTTAGTGCAAGTCCTTCATCTTGCTAGAGTTCCTCCTTCAGTCACTTCCTGAAAAAAAGGTGCATCGAAGGTAAATTTTTGAGATAGTTTATGTCTGAAAATGCCCCTATTCTACCCTCCCACTTGATTGATAGCTTGATTGGGACTGGAATTCTAGGTTGGAAATAATTTTGTCTCACTTTTGGAAGCATGACTTCATTGTCTTGTAGCTTCCACTGTAGTGATTGAGAAATCTGATATCAATTCTTGTTTCAGATTCTTGGTAGATGACTTATTTTTTTCTGGAAGCTTTTAAGATTTCTTTATCCATGAAGTCCTAATGCTTCATAATGATGTGACTTGGAGTGGATTTTTTAAAAATTAATTTTTTCTGAGCTGATCGAAAGTTCTTTCAATCAGAAAATTCTTCCAGATCTTTCAGTTCTGGAAGGTATTCTCATGTTATTTCATTGGTAATTTTCTCTCCACTATTTTTTTATCTCTCTTTTGGGAACTCCTATTATTTTGATGTTTGGGCCTCCTGGATTGATCCTCTGGTTTTCTTGTTTTGTCATAGTATTTGTTTAATCTCTTTTTATTTGTGTTCTATTATCTGATATACTCCTTCAAATTTATGTTCCAAGTCTTTTATTGAAAATTTTCTTCTAAGGTATTTTTAATTTCGAAAAGTTCTGTCTTATTCTTTAAAAACTTATAGGTTCATAGGTTTATAGCATTCTGCTTTTCTTGTCGTCATGAATACAATGTCTTTTCTTGTCTCTGTTGTGATTTCCTCTAATTTGGTCTTGAGAGCTGTCTCTGGAGAGTAGCCAGAAACCAAGATAGCCACTTTCTAGGAGAGCTCTAACCAGGAGGAGAGTAAGGTTTAGATGGTCAGGTGAGACCAAATGAAACCAAAATGCATAAAACAGAAGAAATTTATTATTTACAGATCTCAAAGAGGTTAGGGGTGGCTGATGGGAAGTCAAGACGCAGTAGGATGTTCAATCAGTGAATGGGGAGAGAGAGAGAGAGAAAAAGAGAGAGAATGCACTATATTGCAAACAATCATATAGGGAGGGGAAGTTTTAACTAGGCCAAAGGAGTACAACTAATTGGGTTTCAAACAACTTATGTCAGGCCAAAAACTGGATGCCAAGAAAGCAACTATATTAAACAAACCTATGACAATCTCCTTGAAGATATTAACTATCTTTGTTTTTGTCTTTGTTTTGTAATCTTTGTACAGGGGTCATGCTTATCTTTTATTATTCCAGTTTTAGTATATGTGCTACTAAAGCGAGCACCAGCTACATAGTTTTTTAAAGAACCTAAATGTTTTAAAATATATATTTAGGGAGTACAAATTCAGGTTTCTTACATGCATATATTTCATTGTGGTGAAGTTTGAGTTTAGTGTACTCATCACCCGAATAGTGAACAGTGTAGCAATAGGTCACTTTTCAACCCTCACCCCCTTCCTACCCTCCTACCTTTTGGAGTCTCCAGTGTCTGTTATTTCACTCTACATGTCCATGTGTACGAATTGTTAGCTCCCACTTATAAGTGAGAACATACAGAATTTGTCTTTCTGTTTCTGAGTTATTTCACTGAGGGTAATGGCCTCCAGTTTCATCCATGTTGATGCAAAAGACATGATTTCATTTTCTATGACTGATTAGCATTCCATTATATATATATAATGTAATGTATATATTACATTTCCTTATCCAATCCTCCATTGATTACACTTAGGTTGATTCCATATCTTTGCTATTGTGAATAGTGCTGCAATAAACATACAAGTGCTGGTATCTTTTTTAATATAATGATTCTTTTCCTTTGGGCATATACCAGCAGTGGGATTGCTGAATCAAATGGTAGTTTTATTTTTAGTTCTTTGAGAATCCTCCATACTGTTTTCCATAAAGGTTGTACTAATTTACATTCCCACCGACAGTGCATGTTTTCTCTGCGGCCTCGCCAACATCTGTTATTTTTGGACACTTTTTTTTTTTTTTGTGAGACAGAGTCTCACTCTGTCGCCCAGGCTGGAGTGCAGTGGCACAATCTCGGTCTGCAACCTCTGCCTTCTGGGTTCAAGTGATTCTTGTGCCTCAGCCTCCTGAGTATCTGGGATTACAGGCATGCACCACCACACCTGGCTAATTTTTGTATTTTTAGTAGATACGGGGTTTCACCATGTTAGCCAAGCTGGTCTTGAACTCCTGACCTCAGGCCATCCCCCCCACCTCTGCCTCCCAAAGTGCTGGGATTACAGGCATGAGCCACCTCGCCAGGCCTAGACTTTTTAATAATAGCCATTCTGGCTGGTGTAAGATGGTATCTCATTGTGGTTTTAATTTGCATTTCTCTGATGATTAGCAATATTGAGCATTTTTTACATGTTTGTTGGCCATTTATGTGTCTTCTTTTGTCAAATATCTGTTCATGTCCTTTGCCCACTTTTTAATGGGGTTATTTGTTTTTTTCTTTTTGAGTTGTTTGAATTCCTCACAGATTCTAGATATTAGCTCTTTGTCACATGCGCAGTGTGCAATATTTTTTTTTCATTCTGTAGGTTGTCTGTTTACTTTGTTCATTGTTTATTTTGCTGTGTAGAAGCTTTTTAGTTTAATTAAGTGCCATTTGTCTATTTTTGCTTTTGTGACATTTGCTACTACATAGTTTTAATGGTTTCTTTGGCTGCCTACATTGCTCCTGTTTCCTTGGACTTTTTCTTTTCCTGTTTGTTTTGGTATCTGTCATTCTGGTGATTCTTGGCTGGCTGTTCATGTTTTGAAGTGGAGCTGCCAAACAGCTGCCATGTGGCCAGGCTGGACTTGTTGAATGATAGACTTACAGTGGGCAATTGGATGCAGCCCTTGCCATTTTGTCAGAGGTCCCCAAAATGTTGGAATCTGGAAGTTCTCCAATGTCCTGCCTGGAGGGCCTAAACTTCATTAGGGTTCTAGGAGTCCAGCAGGCAAAGGGCTGAGGGGCTAACTGCATTTACTTAACTCCTTTTTGTTTCCCCAGTGAAATTACTCCTTTTTGCCCTCAGCTGTCCAGGGATCTTCTGTCCTGGCTTTAGTCTCCTACAGGGCCCCTCCATATTCTGAGTAGAAAGGGCATTATAGGAGACTAGAGCCTAGAGGAGAGACCTGAGGATTTAACCTCAGAACTCCTTATGAAGATTTTCCACCATCTCCCCTGTGTTCAGCCCGCTCTGCATCATGGTCTTGAGATATCCCTATTGCCTCTGATGTCCTATTTCTATCTTTGAGAAACATTTTGTATATGTAGAGGCTGTCTAATCCTTGAAGGTTCAGATAAAACATTTAAAAAAAAAACTATCTGTTCCTGGTGTTTATTTTTCTTTGCATTATAGAAAAATTTTCAAACACAACAAAAGTAAAATAAATGATGATGACCCTGTTAACTTAAAGATCACATGATCTATGCATTTGGAGAGAAGACTTTATTTCTTGTAAAGGGTTACAGCCTGCAAGGTGGCCATGTTACAGGATGGGAACCATAGCCTCAGGGTTAGATCAGAGACAGGCACTTCGAAGGAGGAGGGGAAAGGCAGGAATTTAAGTTGACTGGGTTGGCTAAACATGCATATTCAGTAGGTTACAGGAGGATCTATGAATATTCATGAAGGTGGTCCTGATGCATGTGTATTGAACAAACATGCATATTACGCATGCCCATGTTCACCTTGGGATGGAGCCATAACATTTAAATGTATTACATTAGGCATTATACGTTAGAAGGTCTTTGTAGGACACAAATGCGTTCAAGTGCACAGCCTCTGTAAACTGACCAGAACCAGTCCATGGTTCATGATCTTCTTATCAGGAGGGAGTTACTAAAGTCAGTCTTTTGTCCAATCAAAGCTATAGTTATGGCTTATGGAGCAGGGGGTTGGTTAGTCAGCATCTGCTGGTAGATGTGCTGCAAATTGTTCTAATATTGCTTGTCTCAAGGCCAGTGCTTGCTTAGCTGCTAGAGGAAAAGAAAAACCGTGTGGCAGTTAGGACACAGTTTATTCTTCAAGTGTAGGCGTGTATAACTTAACCCTTGCCTGGCCTGGCTTTAGGTCTTGTTTACAGTTTGGTACCTTATTGCCATAAAGGGTCTGTTCTGTCAGTCTTATTCTCAATTTTAACATAAATGCTGGTCAGTTATGTCTACACTGCAAAAGGGAGATGATATAACCAGGTGTGTCTGACCTCCTATCCTGTCTTGGCCAGGATTTTGGTTTTTAATGTATCTCTGGGATCCCCTTGGCCAAGAGGGAGTCTGTTCAGTTGGTGGGGAGGCTTAGGATTTTATTTTTAGTTTACAACTCTTTTTTTTTTTTTTTTTTTTTTTTTTTACAACTCTTTTGTAGCATAACCTAGCTTCAATAATTATCAATACATGACTGATTGTGGTGTCTTTCCTACAATCATTTTAATTGTTATTGGTTAATTTAGGTTTTCTAATTTTTTTAAAAGTCAATTTTGATACTTCTATTGTTTTTGTAGAGAAGTATCCATGTATTAGCCTTGTGGCTGAGGGCTATAGTTCCAGAAACAGATTGTCCAGATTTGTTTTTCCATGTGGGTAGTCATTTAAGCTCTCTGTGTCTGGGTTTCCTCATTTGTAAAATGGGAATAATAATGTTATTTATGTCATAGGATTGTTGATAAGATTCAATTAAATCATACATGCAAAGCACTTCTGGCACATAGCAATGTTAACTATTCTTATTATTTAAGTTTTAAAATTAATTGGCATGAATTTTTTAATGGAATTATAATTTTTAAATTCTCAACTATATTTTATGTCCCTTTTTCAGTCCTAGTGTTGTTTACTTAAAAACAAAAGCATAGATTGCTTTTGTTTTTTCTTTTTCGTAGAGATAGAGTCTCACTCTGTCACCCAGGCTGTAATGCAGTGGCACAATCATTATGGCTCACTGCAGCCTCAAACTTCTGGGCTTGTATGATTCTCCCGCCTCAGCCTCCCAAGTAGCTTAGCACTACAGCACACCATCACACCTGGCGCATATATATATGCATAATATATTACTTTTATATATATTATTATATAAGCATAATAAATTTACTTTTCAGAGGCTTTTCTGTGACGTAGTATATGTGCTCTCTTTGTAAATGTGTCATTTGTACTTGAAAAAGAAGTGTGTTCTCTGCTTGTTGGAAATTATTCTTCAATTTGTTTATATGTCCTTTTTTTTTTTTTTTTTTCTTTTCGTAAGACAGAGTCTTGCTCTGTTCCCCCGGCTGGTATGCAGTGGTGCAATCTCAGCTCATTGCAACCTCCACCTCCCGGGTTCAAGAGATTCTCTTGCCTCAGCCTTCCTAGCAGCTGGGATTATAGGTGAATGCCACCACATCTGGCTAATTTTTGTATTTTTATTAGAGATGCAGTTTCACTGTATTGGCCAGGCTGGTCTCGAACTCCTGACCTCAGGTGATCCACCCGCCTCAGCCTCCCAAAGTGCTGGGATTACAGGTGTGAGCCACTGCACCCAGTTATATGTCCTTTTGTCTTAGTTTTTTATCTGTATTAAAATCTCCCATTATGACTGTGGATTTGACCATTTCTCCTTGAAATCCTACCCTTTTTAATGTATACATTTTGAGGCTGTGTTCCTTTTACTTTATAGTCATGAAGGTGAAGGAGGAGAAGGCTGGGGTAGGAAAGCTGGACCACACTAACCACAGGAGGAGATTTCCGGATCAGAAAGGTGAGGTCACTTTGAGGACTTGATGCAAATCTCAGGAGGCACTGAGAATTCTCTGAATGTCTTTATGACAGCTCTTTCAGCAGGAGAGTCTAGGGAGCAGGTCCCTTTTCCTGACTCATCCACAGTGTCTCCTTGAGGCTGGTGGGACCAGCCTTCATGGTATCCCCAGGTGACTGCATGGTCAAGCTGGAGACAGGAAACTGCCACTTTGCCTATGTGGATTAGAATATAGCTTCCCCAACACAAAATGTAACTCACCTAATTTTACAAGATCTGCAAACCATAATAAATGCCAAATATCAACATTTTATATTAATAGATTCCCAAACTGACAGCACAATTAAAACCAGTGCAAGAGGATGTTGAGGTGGCAGGTATTTCTGTTGCTCCAGAATTGCTGACTTTAGCTGCCCAAAGCCTCCTACACACTACAGAGAAGAAGCCATGGGGCTTATGAAAAGGCAATCAGATGGGCGGCTACTGCCATCGTTACCCCAGCCCCACTTGAAGGAAAATACCAACCTCGCTGCCCACCTAGAGGCTCGGTGAGCTGCAGAATGTGTAGAGCCACTCTGGAGCTGTCAAGCAAGAAAAATGCCCTAAAGAGTTGCTAGGAGAACTTGGCACATGTCCTGAGCCAAACTGCAAGATACTTACCGTGAGAGGAGAGGTCTTGTAGAGCCACAGAGGAGAATGTAGACTTGGGGGAGGGCAAGCCACTCCCCACAGTTCACCAGCTAAATCACCATGCTCTTTTGATTATGATAGAAGCCAAGAAAAGATGGGACAATTTAGATTCAGAACAGAAAGTAAAATAGTTTTTTGACAGCCATCTCCTCTGATTTCTATAATAAATATACTCTTCCTGTGTATAGTCCCTTACAATTTGCATAATCATGTTCTTATACATGATCCCATTCTATCTTTTCAGAAGCCAGTTTGGTAGAGAAAGGATTTTCATTCCCACATTACAGATGAGTTCACCGAGTCCCAGAGAAGCAGGATGGCCACAGATCAAGTAAAGGACAAGCCAGGGAGCACCTAGGGCAGCTGCCTCTTGGGTTGGGGCCTTTCTGATATACCTGCTTCTTTTCATTTCCATTCCTGGCCTCAAGGGTGGAGAATAGGAACTTGCTGTTGGAAGACCCAAATATGCTAAGCCCTTAGAGTGGAACTACTTACCTCTAAGTGCTAGTGTCTACTGCTTATCTCAAATTGCAGCTTGCTTAAACAATGCAGTATAGGGAAGGGAAGTTCCACCATGATGTGGGGAGGTGAGAGGAGGAAGAAGGGAAACTAGTCATTCTGACACCCGTGCCCTAGGAAGTGAGGCCATACTTCATAAGAATCTCCACTTCGTTTTCTTCATCCCTGTTACATCCAGGAGAGAATGGGATCCAGAAGAGCATGCAGTGGGGTGAGCTGGGACTTTAGACAGATTTGGACACTGACATCCAAGTAACCTGACCCCTAGTACCTAGGAATGCACCAACCAGAGTAGACTCATAAAACATCTGTCTAAAGCATATTCAACATCTCTCTAAAGCATATTCAACTTCTCTCTAAAAGGCTTAGACATGCTTCTCCATAGTTCAGCTGAGAAACAGTATAGCGTTATTTGAAAGTGGACATAGATTAGTTCTAACTGTATATTGCAAAGTCTAGGGCAAACACTAGAATTTTTTAAGGGATATAATTTATACACTCAGAGATGAGAGAAAACAGAATCATATAAAGTGCTCAGTTAAAACCAGAGGAGGAGCTGGGCATAGTGGCATGTGCCTATAGTCCAAGCTACCCAGGAGACAGAGGCAGGAGGATTGTTTGAGGCTAGGAGTTTGAGGCCAGCCTGGGCAACACAGCAAGACCCTGTTTCTTAAAAAAAAAAAAAAAAAGACCAAAAAGGGGGAAGATTAAAAAAAAAAAAAGGACAAGTGCCACAAACACAAAATTGTTGTAAACATGGTAGATATTAATTCACTGATCTCAATAATCACTTTATTTATTTATTTAGAGATGAAGTGTTGCTCTGTCACTCAGGCTGGAGTGCAGTGGTGCATCTTAGCTCACTGCAACCTCTGCCTCCCAGGTTCAGGCAATTCTCATGCCTCAGCCTCCCGAGTAGCTGGGACTATAGGTGCCCACCACCACGCTGGTTTATTTTTTATATTTTTAGTAGAGATGAGATTTCGCCATGTTGGCCAAGCTGGTCTTGAACTCCTGGCCTCAAGTGATCCACTCACCTCAGCCTCCCAAAGTGCTGAGATTACAGGCATGAGCCACTGCACCCAGCCAATAATTACTTCAAATATGAATGGTCTAAACATATCAATTAAAAGGCAGAGGATGTTAGGCAGGATCAAAAAACAAGACCCAACTATGTGACAAGAAACCTACATTAAATATAAAGACACAGGCCAGGTGCGATGGCTCACACCTGTAATCCCCATACTTTGGGAGGCTGAGATTGGAAGATCACTTGAGGTCAAGAGTTTGAGACCAGCCTGGCCAACATGGTGAAACCCTGTCTCTACTACAAATACATAAATTAGCCAGGCATGGTGGCATGCACCTGTAATCCCAACTACTCGGGAGGCTGAGTCAGGAAATCAGTTGAACCCAGCAGGTGGAGGCTGCACAGAGCAAGACTCTGTCTCAAAAAAAATGCATATACACACACACACACACACACACACACACATATACACACACACATATAGAGATATAGATAGATAGGTATAGATATAGATACAGATGGATTAGAAGTAAAGGGAGGGAGGAAGATATACCATGATAACACTAATCAAAAGAAAGCAAGAATAGGTATCTTAATTTCAGACAAAGAAGAATTAAGAGCAAAGAACATCTCTTTAACAGGGATAAGGGAGGGCATTGCATCATGATAAAAGGGTCAATTCTTCAGGAAAACATAATAGTCCTTAACATGTATGTACCTAACAGCAGAGCATCAAAATACATGAGGCAAAAAAATGACAAAACTGAAGACGAACAGACAAATCAGTGATTATAGTTGTGGACTTCAATACCCATCTACCAGTAATTGACAGATCCGGCAGGCAGAAAATCAGTAACGATATAGTTGAAAGGAACAGCATATAAATCACCTGGATTTAATTGACATTTATAGAATACTTCGTCCAACAATAGCAGAATGCACATTCTTCTCAAGCTCATGTAGAATATCCACCAAGACAGACCACATTCTGGGACATAAAACACACCTGAACAAATTTAAAGGAACAGAAGTCATGCAGAGTATGCTGTAACACCACATTGGAATTAAACTAAAAATCAATAACAGAAAGATTACTGGAAAATCCCAACATATTTAGAGATTAAACAATACACTTCTAAATAATATATGAGTAGTCAAAGAAGAAGTCTTAAGAAAATTTTAAAAATATTTTGGACTAAATGAAAATGAAAATTCAACTTATCAAAATTTGTGGGATGCAGCAAAAGCAGTGCTTAGAGGAAAATGAATAACATTAAATGCATATATTAGAAAAGAAGAAAGATCTAAAAGCAACAACCTAAGCTCCCATATTAGGAAACAAGAGAAGGAATTGCAAAATAATCCTAAAGCAAGAAGAAAAAAGGGATAATACCAAATAGAGCAGAAATCAGTGAAATTAGAAATAGGAAACAATAGAGAAAATCAATGAAACTGAAGCTATCTCTTAAAAAGATTAATAAAATTGATGAATCTTTAGCCAGGCTAACCAAGGAAAAAAGGGAGAAGACATACATTAATATCAGAAATGAAAGGTGATCATTATTGATTCCATGGACATTAAAAGGATAATAAAGGAATATTATGAGCAACTCTGTGCCTACAAATTTGATAACTTAGGTGAAATGGACTAATTTATTGAAAGACACAAACTACTAAAACTCACACAGGAGAAATAAATAATTTGAACAGGCCTATTACTATTAAAGAAGTAATAGATAATAATAATTAACAACTTACCAAAAAAAAAAAAAGAGCAACAGGCCTTCATGATTTCACTAGTGAATTCTACCAAACATTTAAGGAAGAAAGGATATCAGTTGTCTACAATCTCTTCCAGAAAATAGAAGCAGAAGGAATGCTTTCTAACTAATCCCATGAAGTCAGCATTATCCCAATACAAAATGAGATAAAGGCATGACAAGAAGAAAAACTACACACCAATGTCCCTTATGAATATATATGCAAAAATCCTCAACAAAATGCTAGCAGATCAAATTCAACAATGTGTAAAAATAATTATACACCATGACCCAAAAGGATTTATCCCAGGTATTTAAGGCTGGTTTAGTATTCAAAAGTCAATTAAGATAATTCATCATATCAATAGGCCAAAGGAGAAAAATCACACAATAATGTCAATAGATGCAGAAAAAGCATTTGACAAAATCCAACACCTATTCATAATAAAAACTTGCAGTAAACTAGGAATAGAGGGAAATTTCCTCAACTTGATTTTTAAAAAATCTACAAAAAACCTATAGCTAACATCATACTTAATGATGAGAAACTGAAAACTTTCCTGCTAAGATCAGGAACAAAGCAAAGAGATCCCCTTTCACCAGCCCTTTTCAATATCATACTGGAAATTCTAGCTAATGCAATAAGACAAGGAAAGGAAATAAATGTATATAGTTTGGGAAAGAAGAAATAAAACATCTTTGTTCACAGATGATATAACTGTCTATGCAGAAAATCCCAAAGAATTTACCAAACAACTCCCATAACTAATAAGTGACTGTAACAAGGTCTCAGGATGTAAAGTCTTAGGATACAAAAGACAGTTGCTTTTCTATATACCAGCCATTGGAATTTGAAATTTAAGACATGATACACTAGCACCAAAAATTTTAGACATAAATCTAACAAAATGTATACAGGATCTACATGAGAAAAACTATAAAAGTAATGAAAGAAATCAAAGATCTAAGTAAATGAAAAAATATTTTGGCCAGGCACGGTGGCTCATGCCTGTAATCCCAGCACTTTGGGAGGCCGAGGCAGGCAGATCACGAGGTCAGGAGATGAAGACCATCCTGGCTAACACGGTGAAACCCCGTCTCTACTAAAAAAATACAAAAAAAAAAATTAGCCGGGCGTGGTGGTGGGCACCTGTAGTCCCAGTTACTCAGGACCCTGAGGCAGGAGAATGGCGTGAACCCGGGAGGCAGAGCTTGCAGTGAGCTGAGATGGCGCCACTACACTTCAGCCTGGGTGACAGAGTGAGACTCTGTCTCAAAAAAAAAAAAAAAAATTTCATGTTCATGCGTAGGAAAATTCAACATTGTTGTCAGTTCTCCCCAACTTGATCTATAGATGCAATATAATCCCAATAAAAATCTTAGCAAGTTATTTTTTTGGATGCTGACATATTGATTCTAAAGTGTATATGGTAAGGCAAAAGACCCAGAATAGACAACATAACACTGAAAAAGTACAAAGTTGAAGAACTGACACTACTCAACTTCAAGACTTACTGTAAAGCTACTACAATCAAGTGTGATATTGTCAAAAGAACAGACAAATTGATCAGTGGAACAGAATAAATAGCCCAGAAATGGACCCACACAAATATAATCAGCTGATCTTTGACAAAGACACAAAGGCAATTTAATGGAAGAAGAATAATATTTTCAGCAAATGGTGATGGAATAACTGGACATTCATATGTTTAAAAAAAAAAATGAATCCAGGCCAGGTGTAATGGCTCATGCCTGTAATCCCAGCACTTTGGGAGGCCAAGGCGGGAGGATTGTTTGAGCCCAGGAGTTCAAGACCAGCCTGGGCAACATAGAGATTTTGAGACTACTAAAAATTAAAAAAAAAAAAATAGCTGGGTGTGGTGATGCATGCCTGTGATCTCAGCTATTCTGGAGGCTGAGGTGGGAGGATTGCTTGAGCACAGGAGGTCAAAGCTTCAGTGAGCCATGATCATACCACTGCACTCCAGTCTGGATGACAGAGTAAGACTCTGTCTCAAAAAAAAAAAAAATTCAGACATAGTCCTTACACCTTTCAAAAAATCATCTCAGAGTGGATCTTAAACCTAAATGTATAATGCAAAACTACAAAACTTCTAGAAGATAACATATGAGAAAATCTAGGTGACCTTAGGTCTGGTGATGAGTTTTTAGATACAACCCTAAAAGCACAATTGATGAAAAAAAAAAAATGATAAGCTGGACTCTGTTAAAATTGAAAACTTCTGCTCTGTGAAAGACATTTAAGAGAATGAAAAGAAAACCCACAGACCAGGAGAAAATATTTGCAAAAGGCATGTATCTGATAAAAGACTTGCATCTGAAAATACCAAAAGAACTTTTAAAACTCAATAAGGAAACAACCCAATTTAATAATGGACAAAAGATATGAGCAAACACCTCATCAAAGAAGATATACAGATGGCAAATAAGCATATAAAAAGATTCTAAATGTCATATGTCAGTTGGGAATTTAAAATTAAAACAATAAGATCCACTAACACCTATTAGAATGGCTATTTTTTAAAAAACTGCCAATACCAAATGCTGATGAGGATGCAAAGCAATAGGAAATGCTCTTCCATTGCTGGTGGGAATGCAAACGATATAACCACTTTGGAAGATGGTATGGCAGTTTCTTACAAAGCTGATCATAGTCTTGTCGTCCGAACCAGCGATCATGTTCCTAGGTATGTACCCAACTGAGTTGAAAATTATGTTCACATAGAAGCCTACATATGAATGTTTAGAGCTGCACTATTCATTATCACCAAAACTGGAGGCCACCAAGATGTCCTTCAATAGGAGAATGGATGAACAAACTACAGTACATTGATCGGTGGAATATTGTTCAGAGATAGAAAGAAATGAGGTCATCAGCAAAGCCTGAGTCCTTTCCTCTCACTCTCCTCCCCGGACAGCATGAGCTTCACCACTCGTTCCACCTTCTCCTCCAACTACTGGTCCCTGGGCTCTGTCCAGCCACCCAGCTACGGCGCCTGGCTGGTCAGCAGTGTGGCCAGTGTCTATGCAGGTGCCGGGGGCTCTGGTTCCTGGATCTCTGTGTCCTGCTCCACCAGCTTCCAGGGTGGCATGGGGTCTGGGGGCCTGGCATGGGGATGGCTGGGGGTCTGGCCAGAATGAGAGGCATCCAGAACGAGAAAGAGATCATGCAAAGCCTGAACGACCTCCTGGCCTCCTACCTGGACAGTGAGGAGCCTGGAGACTGATAACAGGAAGCTGGAGAGCAAAATCCGGGAGCACCTGGAGAAGAAGGGACCCCAGGTCAGAGACTGGAGCCATTACTTCAAGACCATTGAGGACATGAGCGCTCAGATCTTCGCAAATACTGTGGACAATGCCCACATTGTGCAGATCGACAGTGCCCATCTTGCTGCCAATGACTTTAGAGTCAACTATGAGACAGAGCTGGCCATGCGCTAGTCTGTAGAGAGCGACATCCGTGGGCTCCACAAGGTCATTGATGACACCAGTGTCACTCGGCTGTAGCTGGAGACAGAGATCGAGGCTCTCGAGGAGCTGCTCTTCATGAAGAAGAACCACGAAGAGGAAGTAAAAGACCTACAAGCCCAGATTACCAGCTCTGGGTTGACCATGGAGGTACATGTCCCCAAATCTTAGGACGTTGATAAGATCATGGCAGACATCTGGGCCCAATATGATTAGCTGCCTCAGAAGAGCCGAGAGGAGCCAGACAAGTACTGCTCTCAGCAGATGGAGGAGAGCACCACAGTGGTCACCATGCAGTCTGCCAAGGTTGGAGCTGCTGAGATGATGCTCATGAAACTGAGACGTACAGTCCAGTCCTTGGAGATTGACCTGGACTCCATGAGAAATCTGAAGGTCAGCTTGGGAAACAGCCTGAGGGAGGTGGAGGCCCACTACACCCTGCAGATGGAGCAGCTCAATGGGATCCTGCTGCACCTGGAATCAGAGCTGGCACAGACCCAGGCAGAGGGACAGTGCCAGGCCCAGGAGTACAAGGCCCTGCTGAACATCAAGCTCAAGCTGGAGGCTGAGATCACCACCTACCACTGCCTGCTGGAAGATGGCAAGGACTTCAATCTTGGTGATGCCCTGGACAGCAGCAACTCCATGCAAATCATCCAAAAGAACACTACCCACTGGATAGTGGATGGCAAAGTGGTGTCTGAGAATAATGACACCAAAGTTCTGAGACATTAAGCCAGCAGAAGCAGGGTACCCTTTGGGGAGCAGGAGGCCAATAAAAAGTTCAGAGGTTAAAAAAAAAAAAAAGAAATGAACTATCAAACCTTGAAAACACATGGAGGAAGCTTAAATGTATATTGCTAGTTGAAAGAGCCAATATGAAAAGGCTTCATAATATATGATTCCTGTAAGAGTGAAAGAAAGGAAAGAAACACGAAAAGTGGCTCGGCAGTCAAAGACAGTTTTACTTTGGAGAATAAACCTGAGAGGGGTTTCTGGCCGATTTGGGTCAGAAGCGCTCTCTCTTACAGACTAAGACTATTTATTTTAGGGTAAGAGAACTTACCACAAGCTTGGAATGTTTCTGTTTGGGGAAGAAGTTTTGGTGGTGTTGGAATGTCTCTGGTCAGAGAGGCAGTTATCCTGGGGCTAACATCTCTCTGGCCAGAGGGGAGGTTATCTCAGGGCTGGCATGTCTCTGGTCAGGGAGGGGTTTTGAATGTTTCTAGTTGGAGATGTTATTTGTGGCTTATGGTCATGCTCACCTTAGCCATTAGGCTGATGCCCTTTGGATTTAGGTGGTTTTTGATCAAGGTGAACTTTAGAATGGCAGTGCTTGTCCAACAAGATGGCAATGCTCCTGCTCTGTCAATTCCAACTCTGTGATATTTTGGAAAAGGCAAAATTGTAGAGATAGTAAGTAAAAAGGGGGTTGGAGCCAGGCACGGTGGCTCACGCCTATAATACCGGCACTTTGGGAGGCCAAGGCGGGTGGATCACAAGGTCAGGAGTTCGAGACCAGCCTGGCTAACATGGCGAAACCCTGTTTCTACTAAAGATACAAAAAATTAGCCAGGCATGGTGGTGCGTGCCTGTAATCCCAGCTACTTGGGAGGCTGAGGCAGGAGAATTGCTTGAACCTGGGAAGGGGAGGTTGCAGTGAGCCAAGATTGTGCCACTGCATTCCAGCCTGGGCGACAGGGCAAGACTCCGTCTCAAAAAAAAAAAAAAAAAAAAAGGAAAGAAAAGGGAGTTGGAGGGAGGAAGGGGTGGGATGAAGAGGTGAAATACAGGATATTTAGAGTAGTGAAGCTATTCTATATGATATATAATTGTAGATGTATGTCCTTATGCATTTGTCAAAACCCATAGAAGTATCTATACAATAGAAGAGTAAACTTTAATGTAAACTATATAGTTAATAATAATGTGTCAGTATTGGCTCATTAATTATAACAAATGCACCACACTAATGTAAGATGTTAATAATAGGGAAAGCTGTAGGGGCAGAGGTAGGATTAGGGTCGAGGTAGGTATATTGAACTCTGTGTGCTGTCTGCTCAATAATTCTGTAAATCTTAAACTGTCCTAAAAATCTATTAATTATTTTAAAAATTGTTGACTTAAGACAACACTGATGTTAAACTGATAGCAATGTCCTATCTGAGAGGTGAGGGAATTCCAGCTACCTCTGTGTGCTTTGCCCATTACCCTGGGTTTCAATAGTAATCAGGCTTATTAGTGGGATTCTGAATTAGGGCTCTTGGTAACTTTAGTTCTTAGAAATTTTAGTTTACAAAGCCAGCTTTGTGAAACCCTCAATAACTCACTTTTCTGATAAGTAGTCTATGTAGTCCTTGATTGTTAGTAAAAATGGCTCTCAGTAGAAATGCATATGACTTTCTCATAACAATCAAAGAGGGCACTTGGCATTTTGAACTACATCTGTGACCCACTGAGGGACTTTCCCCTTAACCACGTGTCATAAGCCATATCCAGTAATCACTGTTCCGGACAAGCAAGAACGGGGGAATGGGAGTTCTGCTCATTCTAACAGAATTCTAATTATAGCACTGAGGGTATTCCCTCCAGCAACTGTTGATTTGGTTCATTAATGGAACTTGGTCAAACCCAAGCCTCAGGGCAATGACCCCATCCTGGCACTCCATGTCTTCCATTTTGCTTCTGCAGCCCAATCTCTTTGTAACTGATGAATATTATGAAAAAATGCCAATTTTCAGTAACCCTGCCTCCCCTGTCTTTTGTGCCGTGTCCACAGAATGCCCTCCTATCCACATTGGGCTTCCAGTACCCACTTACCCTCAAAGAAAAACTGACCAGAAGGGACATCTTTCAGGCCTGCAAAAAGTCCACTGGGGCCTGCGGCCAGACCAGCCACAGCAGGAACTGACTGGCCCAGGGAGTGGGGCAAGCAGCCAGGACAGCAGCATGGATCTTATCAGCAGGACTCGTGAGTTCCTTGAGGGGTACATTCTGGGGAGCCATCCTGCTGGTGTGTCCAGATGGGACCCAGCAGGGCAGGGGGGATTTTCTGGAGAATGTGGGTAACGCTCCACATGGCTCAGCCTAACCTCTCTGGCCCCCTCTGCTCTGCTTCCATTGTTGGCCAACCTTCCTGCTCACTGACACTTTTGGTCAGACTGACACCCTGTCTTTCTCTGGGGACTTTGAGACCTCGACTCTGATCCATTCTATGTTGATTTCATGGTTTGATTCTCAGAATTATTTCCCTCATTTCCAAATTCCAAGGACCATACGGTCATTGCCCTAAGAACCAATAATGGACATGCGGCCGGGCGCGGTGGCTCACGCCTGTAATCCCAGCACTTTGGGAGGCCGAGGTGGGCGGATCACGAGGTCAGGAGATCGAGACCATCCCGGCTAAAACGGTGAAACCCCGTCTCTACTAAAAATACAAAAAATTAGCCGGGCGTAGTGGCGGGTGCCTGTAGTCCCAGCTACTTGGGAGGCTGAGGCAGGAGAATGGCGTGAACCCGGGAGGCGGAGCTTGCAGTGAGCCGAGATCCCGCCACTGCACTCCAGCCTGGGCGACAGAGCGAGACTCCGTCTCAAAAAAAAAAAAAAAATAATAATAATGGACATGCTTGTTTTGTATGAGGCATTGTGCTCAGTAAATTGAAGTTCTTGTTACATTAGCTCCACCCTCTCTCCTCACTGGAGCTGAAAGACCTGGTACAGAATTGTGTAGTCACCCTGCACGGTAGCTTGCAAGACACCTAGGAAGCTTTCTTCCAGGACAACAAAGCCCCCAGGCCTTCCTCTGCTCCTTCAGAAAATAGTTCTGGGCTAATTAAAAATCAGTCTTTTGCTCTTTCCTATGGAAAGAAAATGATCAATCTTAAGAGGAGTAAAAAGGACTGGAATCCTTAGAGCACAAATGTGACATTTTACTGTGACTTTACTGATGTTTCTGGGGACGTGATTTCACTCTCAGCATATCCCAAACCTGCCTAATAAACAGTATGAATTTGGTTTCTACTATATATAGCTCACTGTCTTGAGTGTGGAAAAGTTGGTTTATTATACCATCTATACCTTCCAAGGAGTGTCAGAGGCAGTGACTGCATCTTAGTATCCTGGCAGGAGACCTGATGCACCTGCTCTCACAGGCCATGGGAGCTACCCCCAACCCTGCAGAGCCCTCTACAACCCCCATCATTGGCATTAGGTTGACCAGGGCCTGTGGCTTTTACAGAGTAAATGTGCCTTTGTAGGAGATGGGGTAATGGTAAATCCTTTGGAGGAGTCCAGTGTAAGAGATGGGCTATAGTTAAAATACAACACACACACACACACACACGCACACACACACCACATGCACAGGCATACACAGACACACACCACACACACACAAAAAAACACTTCCACATGCACACACACACACACACACACACACACACAGTCCTGCTCAGGAGTGGGAACATCAGAGACCAAGAGGAAAGCAAGCCTGCTGGGAAGACCTCTTGCCCCCGTGTGGGTTCTGGATGCCTCACACATACTGACATGGTCTCTGAGATGTTCCCCTGTCACCTCACCACCTCTCCTACATTCAGGATTGAGGTCGTCCTTGGAAGGTGGAGTCTGCTGGGTCCTTCCTGAGCCAGAGAAGAAGAAAGCAGTTTAGATTTGGTGCCCTCTGCTCAAAGAGTTTAGAAGAGGTGACATAGAACATCACAGAAGTAGTTATAGATGGTGGATTTGACATTGCTTTGGTGGTGTCTTGTTCAGTTAAGTGGACACTGATTTTAAATGCAAACCAAAGGAAAAAGAATGTAGAACGCTTTGGCATATATATATTTTTGAGACGCAGTCTCATTCTGTTGCCCAGGCTAGAGTTAAGTGGCGCGATCTCGGCTCACTACAACCTCTGCCTCCCAGGTTCAAGTGATTCTCGTGCCTCAGCCTCGCGAGTAGCTGGGATTACAGGCACGTACCACCACGCCCAGCTAATTTTTGTATTTTTAGTAGAAACAGGGTTTCACCATGTTGGGCAGGCTGGTCTCGAACTCCTGACATCAAGTGATCTACCTGCTTCAGCCTCCCAAAGTGCTGGGATTACAGGCATGAGCCACCACGTCCAGCCCTTTTGGCATATTTGTACCAAATATATTGGTGCATTTCCTTCACCGTCTGCTCTTCCTATACTATGTGTGTGTGTTACTGGCTTGTTCCCGACAGGGCTGTGGAGTAGGAAAGGGAGAATGGGAGAGCCTAGGAGGACAGGGAATTGTAGGCCATGTCTCATAAGCTGGAGTAAAGTAAAAACCCCTTTTAAAGGGAAAATAAAGTCTTGTGTACCCATGAAAATGCATTTGTATATTTGTAGGGCCCCAGGAAGCCACATATTCCAATTTGAGAAATAATCTAACTAATTAGGGTTTTATTCCATAAAAATATCTTCCAATTATGAATTATAACCCAAATTTTGCTGTTCCATCTAATAAAAGGAATATTTTTAAGATTATCAAAATGGAAGCAAAATTTAAAAGTTCAAGTAAAACCTTTCTACCCCTGAGAATACATTCCAGACCCCAGTTCCAGACACTCCGGTTTAAGGAAGCCACAAAGCCTGGTAACAAAGTCACCAACCACAGTGATTTTTCTGCAGCCCATGGGCATTGAGTTGGTTTCTGCTGTTCTTCACGGAGTGGAAGTCTCAACCCTCAGTCTTTCACTTCTAAGCAAAATGGGCATTGTATGTGTGATACAGATATAAACCTTGCTCTTGCCACATCTCAGGGATAGTGCCAATGCCCTGCAGAAGTCAAAATAAAACAGCGCCAGAATCATTTTACCTGCCTCATCTGGATAATTGTCTGAATCTCCCACTTCTCTTTGCTGTAGGACACCTGACCACATATGTTTTTCCTCTCTGAGTGTCCTGTCTGTTCTGTAAATCCATCCAGACACCTAGGCAGGGGGCCCAGCTGGTCTGGCTGCATAGCCCAGCAGGAACTCCCACTTCAGAGAACAGGGGCATCCTGCAGAGTATGAGGGGCCTGGGCCAGGCAGGGTGGCTAGATGTGTCTGGGCCTGAGGGTCAGGCACACTATGCAGATGGAGGATTGAGCAGAGACCCCTTCAGTTCCTGCCTTACAGAATAATGGCAAAGATCCAATAAGACAGTATATGTGAAGGGGCTTGGTACCTGTGAAAGCCCCCTGAGAATGATAGTTCAATATCATTTTTAACTAAATGTATAATATTAATAATCATAACTATAAAGTTGAAACAAAGGCCAGGTAGCTGACTTTTATTCCTTCCACAGAGACCCACGAGGGTGGCTTTAATATATGCTGCAAGGTTCCTAACCTCCAGGACAGTTTTGAAATACACAATCCAGCTGCCTGACGTGTTAGATGTGAATGGGGCTTGGGTGTCTGTACTTTTCTATTAAGTTCCAGTGTACCTGGTTAAAAAATACACTATCCTAAAGAAATTTGATGCTTCCTTGAACCACATTTAGCTTACAGAACCCTGTGAAGTCCCTGCTTTAACTCTAGTTGAGGCCCAAGTAACTGCTGGTCCTCATTCCCACAGCAGGTCAGGGGCAGGAAAGAGGCCAGCCCAGGCATCCTTGTCCTTCTTGTACTGGCTCCATGCGCTACATGGAAAGCAGCCCCTTGCTGCAAAGTTGCTCTCTGGATCATGTCAGAGCTCCTTGGAGAAAATATCTTGCACCTGGAGATGACAGACCCACAAACAGATAAGCATAAATTGGTGGGAGGTGCGTTGATGGAGGTCTGCACAGGAAACTATAGGAGGAGAAACAGGAGCACATAGGCCTAGGTGGTGAGTGGTGGCAGAGGGGGCAGCACAGGCTTCCTGGAGCAGGTGACACCTGTCATGAGTCTTAAATGATAGGTAAAAATTAGCTAGAAAAGGCAGCTGGGAGAATTAAGGAAAAGGAAATTCATACATTTCTCTTTTCTAGCTTTATTGAAGTATAATTGACAAAATTATACATGTTTAAGGTATAAAACATGATTTGATATACATACACATTGTGAGATGATTACCACAATCAAATTGGTTAACACCTTCATCACCACTCATAGTTACCTTTGTGCGAGTGTATGGTAAGAACACTTAAGATCTCTCTAAGCAAATTTCAAGTATGCAATACAGTATTATTAACTATAGTCACCATGCAGTACATTAGATCCCTGGAATATTTTTATCTTTGACCAACATCTCCCCATCTTCCACATCCGACCCCTGGTAAACACTGTTCTGCCCTCTGTTTCTATGAGTTCAACTTTTTCAGATTCCACATATAAATGAGAACATGCAATAGTTCTGGCTTATTTCACTTAGCGTCATGCCCTCCCGGTTCTTCCATGTTGAAACAAATGGCAGAATTTCCTTCTTTTTTATGGCTGAATAATATTCCATTGTATATATTTGTATATGCCACATTTTCTTTATCCCTTCATCTGTCAGTGGACATGCAGGTTGTTTCTGTTTTGGCTATTGTGAATAATGCTGCAGTGAACATGGGCACGTGGGTATCTTTTCAAGATACTGATTTGGCTTCCTTTGGGTGTATACCCAGAGATGGGGTTGTTGGATCATATACTAGTTCTACTTTTATGTTTTGAGGAACTTCCATATTATTTTCCATAATGGCTGTACCAATTTACATTCCCACCAACAGTGCACAAGTGTTCCCTTTTCTCCACTTTCTTGCCCATACTAGTTATCTTTTGCTTTTTGTAGCCATTCTAACAGGTATGGGGTGACATCTCACTATGGTTTTGGTTTTAATTTGCATTTCCCTGATGATTAGTGATGGTGAGCACTTTTTCATATACCTATTGGCTATTTCTTTGTTGTATTAGTCCATTCTCACGCTGCTAACAAAGACATAACTGAGACTGGGTAATTTATAAAGAAAAAGAGGCTTGATGGACTCACAGTTCCACATGGTTGGGGAGGGCTCACAATCACGGCAGAAGGTGAAGGAGGAGCAAAGGCATGTTTTACATGGCAGCACGCAAGAGAGAATGTGCAGGGGAACTGCTCTTTATAAAACCATCAGGTCTCATGAAATTTATTTATTTATTGAGATGGAGTTTCGCTCTTATTGCCCAGGATGGAGTGCAATGGCGCAATCTCAGCTCACCGCAACCTCTGCCTCCCGGGTTCAAGCAATTCTCCTGTCTCAGCCTCCCGAGTATCTGGGATTACATGCATGCACCACCACACCCAGCTAATTTTTGTGTTTTTAGTAGAGATGGGGTTTCTCCATGTTGGTCAGGCTGGTCTTGAACTCCCAGCCTCAGGTGATCTGCCTTCCTCGGCCTCCCAAAGTGCTGGGATTACAGGCATGAGCCACTGCGCCTGGCGAGATTTATTCACTATCATGAGAACATGGGAAAAACCCACCCTCATGATTAAATTACCTGCCACCAGGTCCCTCCCATGACACATGGGGATTATAGGAGCTACAATTCAAGATGAGATTTGGGTGGTGACACAGCCAAACCATATCATATGTCTTCTTTAGAAAAACATCTATTCAGATCCTTGGCCTTTTTTTAAGGGTCTCACTGTGTTGCCCAGGCTGGACTTGAACTCCTGGTATCAAGCTATCCTCTTGCCTCAGCTTCCTGAGGCACTGGGACAACAGGCACATGCCACTGTATCTGGCTTCCTTTGCCCATTTAAAAATAGGATTTTTTTCTTTTTGCTATTGAGTTGTATGAGTTCCTTATATATTTTGGGTATGAAGCCCTTATCAGATATATGGCTTGCAAATCTTTTCTCCCATTCTGTGGGTTGCCTTTTCATTTTGTTGATTGTTTCCTTTGCCATGCAGAAGCCTTTTCATATGATATTGTTGCACTAGTTTATTTTTGCTTTTGTTACCTGTGCTTTTGGTGCCATATCCAAAAGAAATCACTGCCAAGACCAATGTTAAACAACTTTTCTCCTGTTTTCCTTTAGCACTTTTATGTTTTGAGGTCTTACATTTAAGCCTTTAATCCATTTCAAGTTAATTTTTTGTCAGTGGCATAAGATGGGGTCCAATTTTATTCTTCTGCACGTGGATATCCAGTCTTCTCAACACCATTTATTGGAGAGACTAATCTTTTCACCTTGTGTATTCTTACCACTCTTGTCAGATACTAGTTGACCATGTATGTGTGCATGTTTCTGTGCTTTCTATTATATTCCCTTGGTCCACGTGCCTGTCTTAATGCCAGTACCATACTGTTTAGATTACTATAGCTTTGTAATATAGCTTGAAATCTGGAATTACATCTTCTCAATTAATCCTCACACCAACAGTAAAAGGGAGATATTATTATCCCCATCTTCAGATTGTGAAACTAAGATTCAAAGAGATGTAGCATAATGCAGATGTTAATCAGTGAATGTGGGAAATAAAAACAGATCTATTGACTCCAAAGACTGTGCTTGCCCTTTCACTACATTGCTTTCCTTTATAAGATGTCATTGGTCAGTCACCATATTGGACCCTGGCTGATAATGATGTCCTTTCAAGTAGCCAAATTGCCTCATGTTGAAAGGAATAGATAGGTAGGAAATAATAGGCCATAGCAGTTGGTTTATTTATTTTCTCTCTCTCCCTCCTTACCACACCTTCCCCCAATGTGAATATATTAATAATTTAGGAAGTCAATACTTAGTAGCCAATCAATTTTGACTGAAGCAGAACTCATATGATGAATAGAATCATCAAGCTGTGGTGAAAGTCAGTAGGAGCCAGGGTTTCTACCCTGGGGGGAAAAAATGTGTTTTCTGGCTGTGAAAACCTCTTGAGAGGCCATTAGGAGAAAGAGGATTAGAAGCAGCTTTAGAAATGTGGTTGCACTTCCACTTTTCTAGGCTGCTAATAAGAACTGGAGCCAGTTTAAGAGAAACAAGGTCAGTCAAGCCCAACTGGGGTGTGTAGACCCTGGAGTCTCAGTATTCTCATCTGGAGAGTGAAAGATTGTTGCAGGGTGGCCAATTGTTTCAGTCTGCCCAGGACTGAGACTTGTCCCAGGATGAGGGAGGAAGGACTTTCAGTGCTAAAACCAGATCGGTCCTAGGCAAACTGCATGGTTGTTCATGCCAGATTGCTACGAGTTGTTAAATGAGAGATAAATAGATATTAGATACCTCACATGGTGCATGGTGCATGGTAGGCACTTAACATATAGTTGGTTCACTTTATACACATTAACCCAATTTAAGAGCACCACGCCCAAATCTTTTTCCTCTAAAGTGGGCATTTGTTTGATTTGGCTGCCCTCGTTGGTACTGAGAAGCTTATGAGATCCTTCTGATGGAAGGAGTGTGAAAAATATTCAAGCCTTCATCTATTTGCCAGGTATTGAGCAGCGCTGGGATCACCAAAAGATCAAAATTACCCTAAGATGAGAAGTAAAGGAGAGAAAGGCTTTCTATTAAGACACTGGAACCTCACAAGGTTCCAAAGCCTTAGGACCAAAGACATGTTTCATGTTGTCTTTCTTTTCTGATAAGAAAGGAGCCAAGGGTTAGGATAGAAAATAAGTTTATCTCTAAAACATCTCCTGCACTAAGGAGTCCCTGAGGCAGGCCACGTTTCAAACATGGGAGCAAAGACAACTGGCTTTCTTTTTTTTTTTTTTTTTTTTGAGACAGAGTCTTGCTCCGTCACCCAAGCTGGAGGGCAGTGGCACGATCTCGGCTCACTACAACCTCCGCTCCAGGTTCAAGCAATTCTCCTGCCTCAGCCTCCTGAGTAGCTGGGATTACAGGCATGTGCCACCACACCTAGCTAATTTTTTTTTTTTTTTTTTTTTTTGTATTTTTAGTAGAGACGGGTTTCACCATGTTGGCCAGGCTGGTTTCAAACTCCTGACCTCAAGTGACTCAAGTGATCCACCTGCCTCGGCCTCCCAAAGTGCTAGGATTACAGACGTGAGCCACAGTGCCTGGCCGACAATTGGCTTTCTTTTAGGGTTTGAAACTTTAAAATTGGGGTGGCTTCCTCACCTTTGTCTACTTAATTTGGATCTTGAAGGAAGTGGTGAAGAGGGGAGAAGTGAGAAAAGAGAAAAGGAGGAAGAAAAAGGAGAAAGGATAAAGATCATTCTAGACCTTTTATGCTCCCCCCAACCCTGGGGCTGGGGAAGGAAGACAAATTAAAATTACCTCAAGGAAGTCTGTTTCTACACCACTCTCTTCTTGCCCTTTAACACCTTAAAACCAAGATCGCCCCGAATTTTCAACATATACTGCATTCCCTCCCTAGCCAAGAGGGCTGTTCTCCTAAAAAACAAAAACAAAACTCAAGCAAAAAACCCTACCAGGAGAGAATCTTGAGTTAGTGACCTTAAGACCTTAAGGGGAAATGGGTTGAGAGCCTGAATTTGCAAGTGAACCAATGAAAATCCTAATATAAAGTTTTTATAACCTTATTCGATGTGGTTAACTAAAATAGACTCCAGCCTCCTCGCCACATTCTAGAATAGGCCCACACCTTTGCTTAAATGTCTGTGAATTTCCAAAGGCTTCTAGTCTCAGCGTTGCCCTGGCTCCAAGTCCCTGCTTGGTGGACTCAGTCTCACAGTGCTTCACCTTTGGCATCTGTTCTCTGCTTTCACCTCCAGGAAAGCCCAGGTATGGAGTTCTGCCCTGCTGTGGTTTCCTCAAAATTGGTCGTTTAAGGCACATAGGTGAGCAGCAGGCTTTGTTGAAGGTTCAGAACCATGGAGGGGGTTTACTTTGTAGAGATACTCAATTTTTTCTTTTTCTTTTTTGTTTTGTTTTGTGTTTTTTGTTTTTGAGAAGGAGTCTCCCTCTATTGCCCAGGCTGGAGTGCAGTGGTATGATCTCTGCTCACTGCAACCTCTGCCTCCCAGATTCAAGCAATTCTCTTGCCTCTGCCTCCCGAGTAGCTGGGACTACAGGCACCCGCCACCACACCTGGCTAATTTTTGTATTTTTATCAGAGGCGGGGTTTCACCATGTTGGCCAGGCTGGTCTTGAACTCCTGACCTCAAATGATCCACCCACTTCGGCCTCCCAAAGTCCTGGAATTATAGGCATGAGCCACTGCACCTGGCCGAGATACTCAATTTTTAAAATGAGATATTAGATATCCCTGTTCTTAAAAATCCTCTGGCCACTGAAGGTTTCCCCTTGGCCACCTTCCTCTGTAGTTTCACCTTCCTACCATATTTTTGGCAACTCCCACCCCCCATCACTGCCCTCCTGAGTCTCCTCGTATCTCCTTGCTTCTCGGTTTCTGAGCCCCCTCTCCTCAGCGCCCCCTCTCCAACACACACACACTCACTCCACTCACTTTACCTGTCATATGATTTACCTCGGTCTCTCTCACCTTAGCTCAGAGCCCATTTTCACCCAACTGGACTCATAATGTGTTGAACTAAACACAAAGACCATCTATCAGTCTAGCGCTTATGCAGCATAAAAGAACTGAAAGAGGGCCAGGCATGGTGGCTCACACCTGTAATCCCAGCACTTCGAGAGGCTGAGGCAGGCGGATCACTTGAGGCCAGGAGTTTGAGACCAGTCTGGCCAACATGGCGAACCCAGTTTCTACTAAAAATATAAAAATTAGCCGGGCGTGGTGGCAGACACCTGTAATCCCAGGTACTCAGGAGGCTGAGGCACAAGAATTGCTTGAACACTGGAGGCGGAGGTTGTAGTTAGCTGAGATTGCGTCAGTACACTGGGCGACAGAGCAAGACTGTGTCTCAAAAAAAAAAAAAAAATCCAAAAAACTGAGAGGCCTTTAAATTTTCTTCTCTCCTTTCTCCGTCCCCACTGGCCTCTGTCAGATGAAAGAAGCGGGATCAAGATTCAACTTCCTACTGATATCATTAGGCTCCATACCCCTCTTGGCTTGGAAGGAAAAAGCAGAGCAACTGTTCAGTTTGATTTTAAATGACAGCTTCTTCATTATACTGCATTTATATCTACCAAAACAGAACAATAAGGACAACATGCAAATTGAAGACTCTTGGTGACATTTTTAAATCTTAAATCATGAGTAATAATTGCCTTTTACCCTTTTGGTTTTCCAGAAACGTCTGATTCTCCTTCCCTTGTGCGCCAATGAGATGGATGTCGTTGTTCTCTTTTTGCTGTTGGGTCTTATAATGCTCGGGGCCTTTCTGATTTCACACTGAGGTTGTTGCCCTTCCCAGGCCTGGTAGGTCCAGAGTGGCGTAGGGAACTCAGATGGGAAAGACGGAGGGATCTCTTACCTGAATTTCTCAGCTAGCCTTGACTGAGTCTCCCCTGACCCCCAACATACTTAGGCCTTCTCCAGCCTTGGCTCCATCCACAAGCACTTTTGGGGGGCTGGCCATGCACATGCCAGGCTCTGCCAGCCCCTCTGACCCAGCTGAGCTTCCTCCCTTATCCAAGGTCACGGAGTGTTTCCTTTGCCTCTCTTTCTTTCTTTAGGCCTGCCCTGCCTTTTTTTACTCCCCGCTCTTTTACTTTTCACATGACTAGGCTTAATCTAACTATTCTTATGACAGTGACTCAACATTCTTTTATAACCTTTACACTTATGGTTTTCAAGAAGGTACTCAGAAAAAAATCTCCACACTCTAGAATTTCATACAAAGGGGACTCATGATTAAGAAGGTAATTTTATCACAATGCCAGAAACCTATTTGAACTGGCTTGGGGAAGCAGAGAGAGAAGGGGTGTGGGGAGAGATTGTTTATATTACAAGAACAAAGGAGTTTCTCACAGTCCCAAAGCAAAACGAAGAGCCGGGCTCAAGTGGGTGAGCGCAGTGCCTTCTCAGCCCCCTCTCTGGGTGTACACAGCCCTTTCCCACAGCTTCGCCTCTAGGCTGCTTCCTCTCTTTGCAGCCCAGCCCTTTCTGCCTCTTCCATTTACCAGCTCTGTCTCCCAGAAACCATCAGGAAAGGCCCAGCTAACTCAGAGACCCAATTCAAAATTCACAGGCTTGGGACAGGTGTCCAATGAACCATTCCTGCTCCAATTCATTGTGGCCAGGAGCACAGGTCACATGTCACACAAATACAGCTGCCCAGGGTCATCCTTATGGGAGGAGGGGACATGGGCTGGGCAGACATTCCAAAGCCACCCACCCCAGGAAGGATTCCCGTGAACACAGCAAGTCAGCAGATTCTCTCCTCTTCCTCTCTCAGAGGGCACACTTGGAGTTTGTATACAGCCTTCTAGAAAAAGAATGTTATTGCCCATGAAACTAGGACTCAGGGCCTCCAAGACCTACTTCACACAGTTGGCAAGAATGGTTTTGGCTCCTTTGGGTTCCCTCTCCCAGTCCCCAATAGTCAGTGGCCTGGAGTCACCCGAATCCCCCCATCCCTGCCCCCTCTGCTTCACCCTCAGCTCCATTTCCTTGTTCTTGGCTCCTCTCTTGCTGAGGCCAGCCTCAGCAAATATACTCCCGAGTGTCAGGCAGTCAAATCCATTCACCCAGCAAATATGCATTGAGTACACATGCTGTGTGAACCCATGTCAGGGGCCAGCAGTGCGATGTGAACAAGATAGGCCCTGACCTCACAAAGCTGACCGTGTAGCCACCCATCAGGGAGCCGATGAGAGAGAGAATGTCTGAAAGGACTTGCCCAGAGCTGAGGACCCCAGGATCGTGTCCTGATGTTGACTTCCAGATGGCCATAATGGCTCCCAGATCTTTACTAAGAGTTGAAGTCCACACTGCTTGCTAGTTTGCAGGCCACTAGATCATTTTGTGCTAAGTCAGTCCCCACCCAGTAAAAGCATGATTCTTTGTGTGGCTTTAGTGTGCCTCCTGAAGCGGTCCCCATGGAGGTTATGTTTCTCCCAGCAACTGCTGTTAGAATCCATTCCTATAGTTGGGCTGGCACTTTGTGACTCTTGCTGTTAGCTATAGAACAGAGGGGCTATTACCTGTGGCATTTCTCATTATGTGGATTAACTTCTGACGTGCTGCACACATGTGGGATCCGCAGGGCATTAGAGAAACCCTGACCCAGTGGCCCAGCATGTGGTGAGCTAAACCTTCTGTGGGCAGAAGGGAGGGGCAGAGACAGCGTAGGGGCCTGGGATGGAGGGCCAGAGGTAGCATGGGAGGAGCATGGAGTCTAGAAGCTGAGAAGGATTGGGCCCTTGGAATGTTTAGAGGGAACAGGCTGGTAACTGGTAGTAACAGAGGAAGCATCTCACCTGCTGGCATCAACAATAATAGCAATATCACCTATTGAGTGACTGGTGTACACGAGTGCTGTGCCAGCCAGTCACATTACATGTATTATCTCATTGAATCCCTGCCACAGTCCAGTGAGGGGGGCGTGATTATTACCGCTTCATAGATGAGGAAACTAAGGCTCAGTGGGAGCTTGATGTCTTGCCAGGATCCTACTGCTAGTAATAGCAGAGTCTGGAGTTGAGCCCAGGTCTGGGCTCTTAAAACACCACATGAATAAAGAGGGTCTTTTTGGGATCCTTGGCCATCTTTTTTTGGGTATTGAGGCCACCCACAGGGCCTGACTTGGTGTGGCCTGCTGTGGCCACTCAGAAGGAGCTGGGTCAACCTCAGCCACAGTGCAGTGGAAGCTGCAGAGCCTGGGACCCTCAGGCAGGGCCTGGTGTCCTCTGCTTCTGTTTTCTCAGCTTTAAAACGGGCATACTTGTGGCCACGTGTGATGGCTCACACCTGTAATCCCAACACTATGGGAGGCTGAGGCGGAAGGATTGTCTGAGCACAGGAGTTCAAAACCAGCCTTGCAAAACATAGCAAGACCCTGTCTCTAAAAATAAAATAATAAAATGGGCGTACTTGATCCTCGAGCCTCAGGTATGAAAATGTCACCAGTGGAGCCAGCCTCAATGGGGCAGTGTAGGGGGAGAATGTCAGATGTCTGTTCTCCCCCAGGCTCTGCTAACCTGTGTTGGGGCCTAGGGGGCCTATGGGGTAAACTGGGTCTTGGTTTTCTCATCCGTGAAATGAAGGGTTTGGACTTGACCATCACTAAGCTCCCTCCCAGCTCTAAGACTTAGTGAATTCAGGGTTTGTAACTCCCTGGAGCAGCCACCACTCAGTGACCTCCAATCAACCTTGGCACATTCTAAGTACTCAGTAAGCACTTGTTAAACCAAACCCAGGAGATTAGGAGTTTCTCAGAAGAGCAAAATAATTCCCCAGTGGAGTTTACCTCACACTCTGAAGTGACGAGCTTCCACTGTCCGTGGGCTCTCAGAAAACACCTGCCGAGTGGTGACACTTGGCACTTTGCCTGAGAGGTGGAGGAACAGGAAGTGTATCAGGAGTTTGGGTTTAAAGTTGGGGAGGAAAGAAACCAGCTACATAGCACATTATCGAGCACTGCTTGGTCAGTGTGAGACCCCACAGCAAACACTCCCCTCCAGCAACCCCACTCCACCTTTGGGGCTGTGTGGTGGAGAGGAAGGGCCCTGCTAGGTTCCTCTCCAGCCAGCTCACCTGCCACCAAGGCTCCTAAGGAGGCCCTGGGGAATCTCACAGCACATCCTACCCCTGCCTTTATAAAGGGGCCTGCAGAGAGGATCCTGGGCTCTCCTAGAGACCACAGGCACATAGGAAGCACTCATGGGGAAGGGGGTAAAGGGGCAGTTTTGCCAGTCCTCTCACAGGTCCTCAGCTGCCACCACCCCTGCTGCTGTGGAGACCCGGCTTCCTGCTTGAGGTTCTGCTGCAGCCACTGAGCCTTTCTCTCTCTAGTGCACCTGAGATTTCTCTCTCACCCTCTCACTTCTCTCTCTCTCTTGCTCACTTCTCTCTCTCTCTCTCTCTCTCTCTCTCACTTCTCTGTCTCTCTCTCTGTCTCTCTCTCTCTCAGATCTTTAATTAACTCAGTGTAGCTTTTCTCTCTCAAACACTTTTGCATAATCTTTCTCACACTTACACTTACCACACCTATATTCTCTCTACATATAGCCTCTCTCTCCACCTCCCCAGTCCTTCACACATTCCTTTTCTCTCTCTCTTTTTCTCCCCTCAAACCCCCCTTCTTCTCTCCCCACACCTCCCCTGGTGCTTAACTGGAAACAAAAGTGAGTTTGTTGTGTGAAGAAGAGGACCTGTGGAAGTAGCAGCCAGGGAGGCAGCAGCGGAAGCAGGCTGGGGCCAGAGGCAGCATCGACAGCCAGGGACCCCAGCGCTCAGCTGTTCCAGGGAGCAGGTAATGCCCCAGGCAGAACTGGTTTGCATCCTGCTCTCTGCCTGTCTCCTCTCTCCAGGACCTGTCCATTTATTTGCCTTCTTGTCTGGCCTTGAAGGGGAAAGGGGATTCCAGACTTAGGGAATGGCAGGCACAGGGGCCCAAGGAGTAGCATGCCCTCCTCTTCAGGGATGTGGTCTGCTGTGGCTGGGGTCGGGGTGGCTGGGTGAGGGACATGCTAGAACCTAGAAAGGCAGGTTAGGGCTATATTATGAGGGGTGGTTTGAGCCATGTCACTGACCCCTAGGCTTTAGGCAATAGAGAGACATTGAAAGTTTTTCAACTGGTGAATAACATAATCAAATCTACATTTTATTTTATTTTATATTTTATTTTCTTTTTCATGCCATCCTCCAAGGTACATCAAATCTACATTTTAAAAGAGTAGTTACTGATTTCTGATCCCAGGGAGAATTGGTATGGCCCCTCAGAATCAAGCAGTCACAGTTTTCTCAATTTTAAGAAAAAATAAGGTTATTTTCTCAATTGTTGGTTTTTTGTCTATAAAATTTCTTTAAACATTTGGTGTCTGCTAGCAAGCGCCAGCAATCAATAAGACAATGGAAAGGATGTAAGTTAAAAGTAATAGGCTGGGTCCAGTGGCTCATACCTTTAATCCTGGCACTTTAGGAGGCTGAAGCAGGTGGATTTCTTGAGCTCAGGAGTTCGAGACCAGCCTGGGCAACATGGTGAAACCTCGTCTCTACAGAAAATACAAAAATTAGCCAGGCATGGTGACATGAGCTAGTACTCCCAGCTGCTCTGGAGGCTGAAGTGGGAGGATCACTTGAACCCAGGTGGTGGAGGTTGCAGTGAGCCAAGATTGTGCCACTGCACTCCAGCCTAAGCAAAAGAGTGAGACTCTGTCTCAAAAAAAAAAAGTAATAGAAAAATTGAGAAATTTAAAATTCATTTAAATACATGAGTCCATGAGTTCTGTAGATAATAGTGTGTTCTGCTAGTAAAATGATTTCTAACTCATATGTATAGTGTTTTATGGTGCTATTCAAAGAGAACCATGACTCCCAGGAGCCCATTGTGTGAACATGTTTGAAATGTTTTAAAAGCACACTCTACTGCTACATAGGGAATGGGATTAAATGGGACAACCAGAGGCAATGGCAACAGTAGGTGGCTATTGCAGTGATAGGAGCAGATGATGAGAGCCAGAACCAAGATGGTGGCAATGGGTGGGGAAAAAAGGAGAGAGCCAAAAAATGTTTATGAAGCAAATGAAAGACATTAGTGTCCAGTTGGACATGAATTGTGAAAAAGAAGGAGCTTCAGGAATGAGTCCAGCATTGTCTAGATGGGTAGGTGGCTAGAGGTGCTATTAATAAAAACAGAGGAGAGCAGGGCTGGGTTGATGGGAGAAGGGATGCAGAGCTGTTTTGAATATGTTGAGGTTGACTTGAGAAGGCTGCCGAGCTTCCAAAAGGAGCAGTCCAATTGTCAGTTGGAATGTTCAATACACATGGGTGTATTGCCTGGACACAAGGGTGACCTCATTTATAAAATGACACCACAAATAACGTGAGCTAGCCCAGAAGGAGTGTGGAGAGAGAAGAGAGAACAAGATGAAGCAGAATCCTGGGCAAGATCAAGATTTAAGTGTTAGCCAGGCAAGAGGAACTAGGGAAAGATATTGAGAGAGAATCTTCAAAGAGGGAAAATATCAAGAAACTGCCACGTTATAAGAGCCATAAGTCACATTTCAGTTCAGAGCGGCGATGATCACCTCTGAAGTTCCAGAGAGATAAGCCAGACCATAGCTTCTCAGTGCTGTTGGTTTGATTGATTTTATTAGCTTATTGGTTTGACAATTAAAATAACAAGAGGGATCTGAGGGCAGGGGTTGTGAATTTGGGTGCATGGCAATAAGTGAGATTAACGGGACACCAGTAAGAAGTAGTGGGGACTGTGGCAAACTAAAAAGCATATGTTTACCTAAGAAGGCACCATCATCAACTCTCATGGATTGTTGCCAAGCAGGAACGTGGGCACAGTGATCAGAACATCTGACTTTTCAAGAAAAGTCAGAGATCTGGATTTCTATATGAAATCTTACAATTCTTTATCTTAGCAATACTTTCAAAAAATTTCATACTCTGCGAGGCCTGAATTAAACACACCTTTGAACTGTCAGTTTGAAACCTCTGCCTTTGTCAATGTCCTTAGCGTGGTGGGGGCTGAGCCAGTGGCAGCAGGCCGGGAACTGATTGGGCAAGGAGGAGATGGAGACCATGAGCACAGACCACTACTTTAGGAAGTATGGGTAAAAGAAAGAAGAAGGCAAGCAGGAGAGCTAAGGAGACAGGCAGGGTCAGGGAACCTGTCTTGGGTAGGAAGAGCTGTTTCTAGGCTGAGAGAAAGAGGGTGGAGAGAGGGAAGTTGAAGATCCAGGTGAAGAAAGACTAGCTGATGAAATAAGGATCTGAAAGAGTTGAGGGGATGGAAGAAAGGATGTTGATGGATTTCATGCCTGGAGGCCTTTATTCTCTTGGTGAAGTGGGGTAGGAGTTGAATCAAGAAGCTTGAAGAGAGGAGCAAAGGTTAGGGACAGCCTTGAGGGACACAGTGAGGGCGCTGACAAGGATGCATGGAAGGATGCCGCACTTGAGACTTGCTGAGGGGAAACCCTTACAGTGGGGCTCATGGGCCTGGATGTGGGTGTTGGTGGTGAGGGGCTAAGCAGCTGTTACCTTCCAAGCCCTGTGTCAGGCATTTCATTCTCTTACCTGTTGTATTCCTCCCAGCAGTCCTGCTCACTCAACTGAGTTCGCTTGTGAATAAGTGGCAGCCCCGAGACTCACACCCTTGTCTAGCTGGATTGGGATTCTATTTGATTCCACCACACTACCACTCCGTGCTGCCATCCCCACCCCAGCCATCCCCCAGCCCAAGCCCTCAGACACACCTGCAGAGGAGACTGGGCCAGTGAATTCTTGTTTGGGCATTGCCTGGCTGGTTTGATTGGGAAGTCAAGGGGAAAGAATGGAGGATGTGATGAAGAAAAGAGTAGAGGTCCATGAAGAAATAAGTGAGGACAGAAGGGAATGATGAACTGAGGAAACAGGCTGGAGGAAGGGAAGACCTGATGAGGCCCAGGAGACAGTGAACGAGAGATTGCGTCGGGGCAGGGCAGTGGGGTTCCTGAAAATTTCAATATGAGTGTGAAGATGAGGGGAAGGGAGGTGAGGTAATGATGACTCCAGGGTGTCTAGCCTGTGCAGTGGGGTGGGCAGGGATGCCTTTAGTCATGGCATTGGTCACCACTTTGACATCATGCCATCTCTCTGTCCCTTGCTCACGTGCTGAACCACACTCACCAGCACGTTTCCACCACAGGGTGTCTGGAACATGCAGAGCACTCTTCCTCCAGATCTGCAGAGTGGCTCGTTCTCATTTTTCAAGTCACAGCTCCAGTGTCCCCTCCTCAGAGAGTCCTTTTGTGACCATGCTATCTACTGTAGCTCCCCTGGTCATTTTGTTTATTTTAGACAACTTATGATTGAAATGGTCATTTATGGATTTGTTGACTTGTTTATTCTCTGTCTCTATCACTAGAGGACATGCTCAAGAGAGCAAGGACACATAGGTCTTCTTCATAGCTTTATTTGGCACATAGTAGGTATTCACTGGAGAGAGAGAGAGATGAAGAAAAGTAAGGAAGGAAGGAAAAGAAAGAAAAAGAGAGAAAGAACACAGGTGAAGTGTGTTTGGGAGAGGAATGTCGAGTTTTGAGGTGCCTGGGAGACACCCAGGAAGTGACTTCCAATGGGCAGCTGGAAAGCAGGCTGGGGCCTCAGGAAATGGACTGCCATCTTGCCCAGGAAGAAAGTGGGCCCACATGGTACAAGGGTGTGCAAGCTGTCCTTTTGCATGGCTGACTGCCTTTTCAAGACCAGTGTTGGAGGATGGCTTGCTTGGGGCCCGGTGGGAAGAAGAACCCCCTCGGGTGGTAAGCTGAAGTTGGGTCAGAGTGCTTCTCACTTCTCTCTTCAGTTCTGGTTCTTGCTACTGCCCTGGCTTCGACCATTTCCCATCATTCTTCACTGCCAGCTGCAAGACCCTGGATCTGAATGCAGACTAAATCTTTTCATCTCTTTTATCTTAAAGAGTATCTCGCCCACCTCTGATTCATGGTTACAGGAGGCCAGCATCACCCAGGAGCTGGACTTAGTTTTACAGAATTAGAAAATACTTTTCCCTTGTGCTTGCCTCCTACTCCATTTCTGTTGGCCTTGTGGTCCTCCTGCCTTCCATGGGACACTCAGCAGACCTGCTGCCCCTCTTTTGCAGGGTCCCCAGCTGCTGAGCAGCTCCAGGACATCCTGGGGGAGGAAGATGAGGCTCCCAACCCCACCCTCTTTACAGAGATGGATACTCTGCAGCATGACGGAGACCAGATGGAGTGGAAGGAGTCAGCCAGGTGAGGCGGGGCCCCACGAGGGAGGTGGGCACTTCAGTCTCACACAGCCTGGGCTTGCCTGACCCTCCTGGTGGGAAGTGGCACCTTGTACCTTGAGAGCTTCCTGGTCCACAAAGACCCTCCCAGCTGCCTTCCTTGGTGTCCAGAACTAAGGAGCAAACAGAACCTTATGAATTCCTCTTCATCCTCAAATAAATTAAAGTTCAAGTGGGAAGATAGAACAGTCATCCATGAAACTCTGAGAGTAATACAAGGGCATATACCATTGTCCCTCCATATCCATAGGGCACTGGTTCCAGGACCGCCTGCTGATGGCAAAATCCGCATATATTCAAGTCTCCCAGTTGGCCCTGTGGAACTACCTATATGAAACAATGGCCCATATATGCAGGTTTTGCATCCCATGAATACTGTATTTTTGACCCCATTTGGTTGAAGAAAACCTGTGTAAGTGGGCCCATGCAGTTCAAAATCCATGTTGTTCAGGGGTCAACTGCATTCTTCTCGTTGTTGTTGTTTTTCCAGAGACAGGGTCTCATTATGTCGCCCAGGCTTCAGTGCAGTAGGGTAATCATAGCTTACTGCACGCAGGCTCAAACTCCTGGGCTCAAGTGATCCTCCCGCTTCAGCCTCCCAAGTAGCTGGTACTTCAGTCACATGCCACTGCATCCAGCTAATTATTTTTATTTTTTGTAGTGATAAGGTCTCACTTTTTTACCCAGGATGTTCTTTAATATAAAATGGTTCAAGGTAAATGCTGTAAAAGGGAAAGTAACAAGCAGGCTGGGGTAGACAGCGAGGGCTTCTTGGAGGAAGGAGAAGGTGTGCCAGGCACATCAAGTCTGAATGGTGGGAAAAATCCAGATGGAGAGGGCTATCTGGCAGAGTTTGGGGCTGCAGAGTTGGAGCCATGGAGAAAAGCGTGTGGAGCAGAGAGCACTCCATATATACGGAGAGCAGAAACTGGAGGGGAGCCGCACGGAGAAGTCGCAGGAGCCAAGGGAGGGGCAGGGTAAGAATGGTTGGCACTGCTCATATCCCCAGTGCCTGTGACAAAGGGGCCTTGGGACTTAACTGGACTGTTCAGCAGTGCCCAATGCTCCCAAGAGCCCAAGGGGAAGGAAGGCTATGGTAAGAGGCAGCGGGAGGGACCTTCGGACAGGAAGACAGACTGCCGATATTTCTCCACCTTCTTTACATGATGCCACTCTGCCCCCAGGAGAAGAATTTAATTTGATTTAAATCAACTTTATTAAATTAATATTTAATTTCTTTCATTAGAAATAAGGAATAGGCCGGGCGCGGTGGCTCACGCCTGTAATCCCAGCACTTTGGGAGGCCGAGGCGGGTGGATCATGAGGTCAGGAGATCGAGACCATCCTGGCTAACAAGGTGAAACCCCGTCTCTACTAAAAATACAAAAAAAAAATTAGCCGGGCGCGGTGGCGGGCGCCTGTAGTCCCAGCTACTCGGGAGGCTGAGGCAGGAGAATGGCGTGAACCCGGGAAGCGGAGCTTGCAGTGAGCCGAGATTGCGCCACTGCAGTCCGCAGTCCGACCTGGGCGACAGAGCGAGACTCCGTCTCAAAAAAAAAAAAAAAAAAAAAAAAAGAAATAAGGAATAAGGGCTAGGCACAGTGGCTCATGCCTGTAATGCCAACATTTTGAGAGGCCAAGACAGGCAGATTGCTTGAGCCCAGGAGTTCAAGACCAGCCTGGACAACATAGGAAGACCTCGTCTCTACAAAAATAAAAATAAAAATAGAAAATTAGCTAGGCGTGGTGGCACACACCTGTAGTCTCAGCTACTTGAAAAGATGAGGTGGGAGATCACCTGAGCCAGGGGAAGTTGAGGCTGCAGTGAGCCATGATTGTGCCATTACACTCCAACCTGGACAACAGAGTGAGACTCTGTCTCAAAAAAAAAAAAAAAAAGGAATAAGATTTGTCAGGTCGAGTGTAGCTCTAGAGTACCACAAACCATTGTAATATCTAAAATATTTTCACTCCTCGAAGAAACAGTTTTTGCCCCCTTGGGGGCAATTATGCCCAAGTTGAGAGTGCATAGACTCAACCGTGCCCAGGTCTGTCTCTGCATGGGGGCCACTGTGACACCCAGAGCCTGACAGCTGCCCCCAACCATGGCCTGGGCTCTTCCCTCGCTCATCTCCCTCACTAGCCTGGGTAGTTGCTGTGCAGAGCCAGAAGGCACAGGTTTGGACACCCCCAGGTTTTCCCCACTCCACGTACCATGTATCTGGAAGAAAAGCCACTGGGTGTACTAGTAAATAAGTCCCTGCGGGCCTCAGAGAGGAACAAATCCCCAGCTCCACATCTGGGCCCGGTCCCTGTGTGGAAGCCATTGAATCTCTTCCTATGATGCCGTTCTTTGAACACTTACGGTGCTGATCGATTCACGGCTTGTCTCCTGCAAGTTGCACAGTGACCCTGAGTGGGTGGAATTTTCATTATCCCTATTTTATAGATAGGAAACTGAGGTGAAGGGGAGCAAGTAGCTCACCAGGGGTCAGAGCATGTAGGTGGCTGAATATGGATTCCAGTCCAGGCCTGTCTGACTTCCCACTTGAGGGATAATGGACTTTGTCTTCCTTTCCTCATTTTCTCAGCCCTTTCTCTTTCTGTCTCTAACTTCCAGTGACTGTTTTGACTTCCAGGGAAGAACATAGGTCTGGAAGCAATTCTGTTGGGGTCAGAGATACATGGGGAGAGCTGCAGAGCCCAGGATGCCTATCCAAGATTGACAGGGAAGGGGGACATTTCAAATGACCAGGACCCACCCTGGGTTATTATGTCTTAACACCTCTGAGGGGCCAGGGCCTGAAGCCACTGCCCGCCCTGAACGAGGGCCTCTCCTGCCCAGAGTGAGCAAATAGAGAGGAGGAAATCTGGGCAGGGCCTTCTCAGAGGCCCAGGAAGGGGAAGGTGCCTTCTCCACACCCTGGACAGGGTCTGCATCCAGAAGCCCTAGCCATGGTTGCCAGGACCAGACCCTCCACGAGGGCCTATCACACACACCCGTGGAGCCCTTGCCAAGAAGGCCTTATGGCCCCCAGAGACCTGACTATCACCAAAGGCAAACCACACTGTCTCTATTCTCTCAGAGTGTGGATTCACAAAGCCCTCTGCACTCCAGACCCAGTGAAGGAACCAAGAAACTGTAGATGAGGATGTTTCTAGAAGGGGGCTTCTCCTAAAACATAAAGGGGTCTGGCAGTTACCATCTGCAAAGTGGTAGGTTTCCCTGCAAAGCAGGCTTTCTGAAGATGGCATCTGAGGAGGTCCTGGAAGAAAGGCCATCAGGACCTCAGGATAACCTGGCTCCAACCAGCAGTGAGAAGAAAGCAATGACTAGAAGTTAAAGTGGTCGAACCCAATTCTAGGCAGATCCCAAAGAGGAGTAGCTTGAAGGCCAGCTTGCGGACAGGAAAATGTGGGAAGAGAGTAGCTTTCTCGACTTCTGCTCCACCCTTTTCTACTCTCTACAGCTAACCCCATCTGGTTTCCAGATAACTCTCCAAGGTATGACCAGCAAGCCCCTAGTGAAGTCAGAAGAAGGGTTTGACCATCAGCCAAGAAGCCCACCATGGGCCTGAACAGTTTTGCTGGGCCCTCCTCCAGGCAAACTACAAGGTTAGAGGTGCTTGGGTCAGAGCTGTTTGAGGCTTGTCACCCCCACAAAAAAATAGCAGTTTCTTCAGTTGACAGGCCAGTGGAGCCACTCAGGGAAGCTAGAGATCTCAGATGTTTTGAGAATCTAAGAATCAGTAAATCATAATGGGTTCTGGGCCTTCTTAGAGTAACAGGAGAAAATGATAGGGAGTAGGGGACAGCCCCTCACACAGACACTCAGGCTCCAAGACGGTTATGGTCCACAATGCCCATGTCAAAGAGAATCGGGGAGGGGACGCTTTAATAAAAGTATTTAATTTGCTGCAGGGAGTGTTTGCTTTATTGAGTTAGGAGATTAACAGAGTGAAAATCTCAAATCCGCAAGGAATTTTCCCTGGCAGTGCTTTGTCGGGAGTTATTAGTTTGGGGGATGTTTCAGGCCCTTGGAGGAGTCACTCCTGGAGGGATTTAAATGGCTTTTTGAGCTCTGCTGAGCCTAGCACCATGCACATAATGGGGACTGTGTGTGCAGCGTCATTTCTAATGTGATCAATGCTGGTAGGTCAGGCTGTTAATAAGATAGATTTTTATTAACTCTGTCTCTAGCATTCCCATGAGGGAAATGCAGCTGGCTGTTTGCTGATAATGACCTTGCCTGAAGGGAGGGCTGGATCAGATTGGGTGGGGGCGACCACCTGACTGTGAGCAAACTATTTACCCAGAATTCTATCCTCTCTCATGCCCACCTCTGCCTGACTGCAAGTGGAGGGGCTGGGAAGGAGAATGACCTGGGTTGGAACCCACCCAAGTGTGGAGGGCCCTTTGGGGTTACTCAGAAATAACCAGAGCTTAGCGCCTCCCAAGAGCTGTGAAAGCAAATTCCAAATCCAAGCTGCTTCTGGTCTCAACTCAGAGCAGACCATAAACACGAACCTGCCAGAAGATTCTTATGAGACACATGCTCTGAGAATGTTCCTGCAGTGACCGGGAAGGGCAGGAGAAGTGGGTCAGTTGTTGGGTCAAACCAGATCAGTATGTTTTCAAAAGCCCTGAATGGTTCTATGCACATAGGCAGGGATGCTCTCACTCCATACAGGATGGAGAAAGCTGAACTATCTGTTTCAACCCTGAAATCACCCTCATTAAGATCCTGTATAGTCCAGGCACAGTGGCTCATGCCTGTAATCCCAGCACTTTGGGAGGCTGAAGCAGGTGGATCACCTGAGGTCAGGAGTTCAAGACCAGCCTGGCCAATATAGTGAAACCCCATCTCTACTAAAAATACAAAAAAATTAACCAGGCATGGTGGTGGGTGCCTGTAATACCAGCTACTCAGGAGGCTGAGGCAGGAGAATTGCTTGAACCTGGGAGGCGGAGGTTGCAGGGAGCCGAGATCGTGCCATTGCACTCCAGCCTGGGCAACAAGAGTGAAACTCTGTCTCAAAAAAAAAAAAAAAATCCTGTATAATGCCCTCTTAACATCATTTCCCATCTTAGTATGGGGCAGTAGGCATCCCCAGCCCTCTGGTCTCACCACCCATCTGGAATCAACCTTCCAGTGGAGCCAGAGCTGCCCACTCAGTTTGAAGGAGAGTAGGATGCTGAGCTCCCAGTGCAGAAATCAACAAACTTGGTTCATTCATCAACTAATATTTATTATCTGCAAGCCCTGAGCCTGCTAGAGATATAAAAATGGAACATGGCAGATGCTGCCCCTGCTCTCTTGGGCTCTCAGTCTAATTGGACACTGAGGCAAATAAGGGGGCATTTGGTAATGGGGGCACTGTGAAAGCAGAGCATAGGGGCATCTAATCCAGGCAGGAGGGGTCAAGGAAGGCTTCTAGGAGGAAGAGATGTTCACATTGAGACCTGAAGGATGGGTCAGAGTTAGCCAGGAGAGGGTAGGGAAGGGGGAAGAGGCCTCTGGAATAGGGCAAACAGACACATAGAGGAAAAGGCACAGGTTTCCTGTGGCTGGACTGTAGAATAGGAGGCAGGGAATGGCAGGGCTGATGATGCAGATTCTATGCCAGCCATGTTGCAGTGTTGGAACTTGGTGCTGAGAGCTTCAGAGGACCACAGAAGGGTTCTAGGTGGGAAAAGGACAGAATCGTGCATATCCTTAAGAGAGTTCATCTCACTTTAGTGTGGAGAATGGATAAAAGGGGGCAAGACTTGGCTAGTTAAGAGGCTGGTCCAAGGGAGAGATGCTGGCAGTAGGGATAGAGAGAAGGGGTAGATTGAGACAAAATTTAAAAGGTACAATTGACAAGACTTGATAACAGATGGCACGTGGGGACAGATAGTCAGGGAGACACCCAGAATTCCAACCTGAGCTAGTGAGTACCTCATGGTAGCAGCTTAGAAAACACAAATGTAGTAGTAAAGTTTTATTACATTGGATATTTTTAAATTTTGTTTTGGGGGCAGTTGATAATGAGTTCCATTTTGGACAGGTTCTATTTGAGGAAACTCCAAGTGGAGATGTCCAGGGGTCATCATGTGGCCACCGTGTCTGGAGTTCAGTAGAGAAGCATAAATTTGTGAGGCATCAGCATCTAGGTGGAAATCAAGCCCACAGAAAAGGATAAGGTTGCCCCTGAGGTCTGTGAAGTGAGAAGAGAGCCCAGAACAGAGCCCCTAGGAACTTCAGTATTTGCAGGATGGGCAGAGGAAGAGGAACCCACGAAAGAGACTGAGAAGGGGCAACCAGGAGGTTAGGAGGGGAATGGAAGGAGGGCTTTGTCCTGGAAATCAAGGGCTGAGAGACATTCAAGATGAAGGGAGGGGATAAGAAGTACCGCAAGAACTGAAGCGCATCCGCAGGATGGACCTACTCCCGCAGTCTGAGGAGGGGTAGGGCAGAAGCCAGAGGGCAGTAAGTTGAGAAGAGTTAAAAGTAAAAAGCTGGGTTCACCTGACAGTTCTTCCAAGATGCTTGTCCATGAAGGGCAGGAGTGAAGGAAGCCTCTTAAGGAGAACATGGGCCAAGGGAGATCCTTTTGTTTTTGAGGGTCAGCGAAGTCTGAGCACATCGTAGGCTTACAAGAAGTGTCCAGGGAAAAGAGAGTCATTTAAAGGGAAAAGAAGCTGAGGGAGGCTGCTGGATGGAGCAAGGCGGCCCTGGGCACAGGTGGAGGGGCTCCTAGCAGGGAGTTGAGGGAATTCCAGGCCGGTCTGTGGTTTGAGGAGACAGGTGGGGTGGAAAAGCGACTGTAGGAGCTGCAGATGGCTGGTATACATGAGCCAGGTAAGCAGCTGCAGGCTAGCAGCCATCGCTCTCTTGTTTTATTGCAGTGGAGTCACACATGGAGATTTATGGTCAGATGAAGATTTTTAAGGTTGTTTGACTTCCACCTTCTGCTGATCTAGTGTTCTGAATAATTATACTCTTTGTCATTATCCAGCTGCTTTTATGTCCAGTATCTAACTTGGTCCTTCCCTCTCTCTATGCTAGTCCAACACTGACACTTGAGGCTTATGTTGGTGAAGTAGGAAAAAGGGATTTTTATATGAATCAGAACCTGGATCAAGCCCCAGGTAAAAGGTTCCCTGAAGTCTCAGAGGCCCTGGGTTCCATCCAGTGCTCTCACAGCTGGCAGTGTAACACAGAATGAGGGCTATGCTAGGGGCTTTCATCCCTCAGGGACTTAGGATAACTTACAGTTATTCCAGGGTGGAGCTGCAAAAGAGACCTTCAAAGTCCTGCAATCAGACAGGGGAAGCACAAGTCCACACCCATGGGGACAGCCAGGCAGTGACACAAGGCCATCACGCGGTTGACCCAGGATAGTACAATCAGATTAGTTGGCCAGTGAGTGAGATTGGAAGGCTAATTAAGTGAGGAGAGATGGGAGGGACTGGAGCACTCAGGAAGCTCTTCCCAGATAGGGCACAACTGGCTGGCAGCTCCTCAGAACCCTTGGAGCTGGTCTGCAGGAGCAAACACCTCCCCCAACCAAAGTCATCCCTGGATAGCTCACTCAGTTGCAGCTGTCAGAAGGGGAATAACCCCACCATCAGACCACCTTCATGTCAAAACCCCTACTTGATTTACCTATTCATGTATATTTTTATATATCCAAATATATATTTAAACTTTTTATTATGAAAAATTTCAAACACAAAAAGTAGAGAGAATGGTCCCCATCACCCAGCTTCATCAAAGTTTCATATTTATCTATCTCCACCACTTTTTTTGTTTGCTTTTGGGGATTTTTTTTTTGTTGTTTGCTTTTGCTGGGGTATTTTAAAGGCAATCCTGAATGTTGTAAACATTTCAGTACACATCTTTGTGAATTAGACTTCATTGTAAACACAATGCCGTTATATTTCCTAATAAAATTGAGAAAAATTCCTTACTATAATTGGTTATCTAGTCTAGATTCAGTTTCTCTTACTGTCTCAAAAATATCATATTTCTGTTGGTTTATACAACTTAGAATCAAAACAAGATCTACACATTGATTTTGGTGGTTATATCTCCTGTCTTGTTAGGATCACAGCCATCAGACTCCAGAGATGCCAAAGGAAGAGTCCTGCCTAAAAGCCCTTTGGCAACAGTACTTTATTTTTTTTTTTATTTTTCAGTCTCTGAGACGGAGTCTCGCCCTGTCACCCATGCTGGAGTGCAGTGGCACAATATCAGCTCACTGCAACCTACGCCTCCTGGGTTCAAGCGATTCTCCTGCCTCAGCCTCCCGAGTAGCTGGGATTACAGGCGCCCACCACCATGCCTGACTAGTTTTTGCGTTTTTAGTAGAGATAGAGTCTCACCATGTTGCCAGGCTGTTCTCAAACTCCTGGCCTCAGGTGATCCACCCGCCTCAGCCTCCCAAAGTGCTGGGATTACAGGCGTGAGCCACTGCTCCTGGCCGGCAGCAGTACTTTACACGAGAGTCAAGAGCCCCCCACCCAGCATCTCCATCTCTGGCTCCCACAGCCTAATCTTGAGTGAGCTGTTGGGGACTGTTTGCGATGCCCAAGGGGAGAGAAATGCCACTGTCATCGTCAGGAGGTTTGGGGCTACAAGTAACAGAAGCCCACTCAGGCTAACTCATACAAATGGAGGGAGCATCACTGGGACACTGGGATGACTTCATAGTCCCCAGGGGCATGATCTCTCAAGGGCTGGGTCTGGGAAGCTGGCCTGTCCTCTTTCTCTCTGCTTCTGGTCTCTGCTTCTCTCAGGGCATCTTCTTTACTCTTCTGCAACCAGCTTCTTCTGCTTGTCCCTGCCTTTGGCCAATCCTCAGCTTCCATGTTCACATCCACCCTACTCAAGGGACCATCCCACAGCGATTCCAAATTCTTCATGGAGAATCTGATCTGTCCAACTTTGATTGCCCTATCACTGGGACCCAGATCAGAGGTAGGAGGTATGGGGAGGACTCGCTATATCCTAGAGAGCACATCCCCATGGAAGACAGGGAGAGCAGACACCCCAAATATGTCTTTCATACCTGTAGTAATGAAGATATACACTTAACGTAAGCAATCCTTTGGCCACAGTTCTGCCTCTAATACCAACCAGAACTTTCAGAATTCTTCAAGTTGCCTATGAGAGTATAGGTGGTGCAATTTTACAAACTCAAACTCATCTTCCTCTTGAAGGAGAGAGAGACCACACCCCATCTCTGTCCATGGAGATCTGCTGATGTAACTGCAGCACTACATCAATCCCTAGAGCAGCGGAAAGGTGGAAGCTCTAACTTCTGAGTCTAGGAGAGCTTTGGAGAGGTTGTTTTATCCACACCTTTCTTCTTTCATTCCAAAAATAGTTGAGGGGATGTTGTGTTAGGTCCTGTGGGAGAATTAAAATGAGTAAAATATGAATCTGTTCTTAAAGAGCTTATGATCTAGTACAGGTATCAGCAAACATGTTCAGTTAATGGCCAGACAGAAAATATTTTAGGCTTTTTGTGCACAGATGATCTCTTCCCCTGTCCTTTTATTTCCCCTCCTCTCCCCGCTCCTCTTCTCTTTTTCTCTCCTTCTCCTCTCCTTTCTCTCTTCTGCCTACTCTTTCTCCTTCTTTACAATGCTTTAAATATATAAAAACCATGCTTAGCTAGCTGGCCATACAAAAACAGGCTGTGGGGTGCTTGGAGCCCATGAGACATGATATTTCAACCCCAATCTGGTATAAAGCAGGCATGTGCTCATACACACAGCTAACTAAAACCCAGGGTGGTATGTGCAAAGTGGTGAGAACAGGCTCTAGAATCTAAAGACATGCCTTCAAACCCTGTCTCTTATGAGCTGCATGACCTTGGGCAGGCTCCTCATCCTCTAAGGGTCTCAGTCTCCTCACCTGTACAATGAAATAGTCACAGACCTACCTCATGAGACAGATTTAAGGATTAAATGAGATAATACCTGTTAAGTGCTTAGCATAGTGCCTGGCACATAGAAAGCCCTCAGTAAGCTTTAGCTGTTGTCGTGATTAGGAAGTGTTATGTGATAAATGATAAAAAGTGTGATGCGAGTTAGAGGAAAGAGAGGTCTCCTCAACCTTGGCCCTTGGGAAGGCATTGTCTTCCCAACTGGGAAGGAGAGGTGACTTTTGAACTTGGCCCAGAATAGCAGAGGTGGAAGAGAGTGCCTAGGTGAGGAGAGGGCCTCTCCTGAGAGGCAGTGAAGGGAGGTACCAGCAGACTCTGAGGGAGGCAGACCACTGCGTAGATGACAGTCCCATGGGGCAATTACAGGGACTTCCTGGATACACAGACAAGTGGCCCTCAGAGAGGTTTTGGTTCCAGAAGCCTCTCCTTGAAGGAGCCCATTCAGAATTTTTCAGTAACTTTGTCTGATGACATTCACTTAGCTGTGGGCTCTCCTTCAACCCTGAATGAGGACATGGTGTGCAGGAGGATGGACCCTTCACCAAATGCATGAGCTTGGGAGCAGAGGCCACCCCCATTCCATTCACCACAGCTCCCTCGAATGCCACACCTCTGCCCCATCACCACCAGCTGTGCCACTGCAGTTCATCACTGTCTGGGAAGGAGTGTTTCTCCTGTAATGCCCAAACTGTACTGCATCACCAAAGGCCCTCAGCGGAGGTTCCTAGGCCACCAAAAGGAAAGACTTTCATTCAAAGGGAATCAGTCAGCCATGGGAGGAAGTGGGGTTCATTGCAGAACAATCTAAGACAGAAGGCCCTATCAATCTGATCCTAGTCCTAGACATATCTCATGAGTAGAGATGAAAGATCATCCTAAGTCTATTAAACACTGGAATCACTTAACTAATGATTAACTCATTCTGATTCTATATTCAGCAACTTTTTGGTGATAATTTGGCTTACCCTGTATATCTGCCCATGAGGAGAGAATGCAAAGGCTAGAGGATGAACATAACAAACCCCTATAACGATTGTAAATCTCACTGTAAATTAAATAAATTGGCCTTCAGGTTTATGCATCAGCCTTTGTGATCTTGGTTAGCATTAGACAGTGTCACTGGACCTAATCATCTTTGGGACACTAAAAAGATAAAATTTCTGAGCCTGGACCGGGGTGGGTGCCCCAAGAGGCCTGTGAGGCCTTTCTGGTGCTCATCAGCCCCTTCTGGTAGCTTCTGAACTTCTCCATATGTGTGCTGACCCTTGACCCATGCCTGCCCCCTCAGTCTTTTATACTTTATAATCTTTCAAATTTACTGCCAAGTTTGGTTTATTAACATATACATGGTATGCAAAGTCATAATCCGTTGTAGAAACAACTTGTTGTACTATCTCACATACATATTTTCATGCATGTGATTTTATGTAGCATGAATTAGCCAAATAAATTGTAAGAATGGGCCAGAATTTGCTTAGGTGTTTCTCCCGTTTTTTTGAGACAGAGTCTTGCTCTGTTGCCCAGGCTAGAGTGCAGTGGCACCATCTCAGCTCACTGTAACTTCCGCCTGCTGGGCTCAAGTGATTCTCCTGCCTCAGCCACCTTGGGCAGGCTCCTCATCCTCTAAGGGTCTCAGTCTCCTCACCTGTACAATGAGAATAGTCACAGACCTACCTCGTGAGATAGATTTAAGGATTAGATGAGATAATACATGTTAAGTGCTTAGCATAGTGCTTGGCTGGGAGTAGCTGGGATTACAGGCATGCACAACCACGCCTGGCTAATCTTTGTATTTTTAGTACAGACAGGGTTTTGCCATGTTGGCCAGGCTGGTCTCAAAACTCCTGACCTCAAGGGATCTGCCTGCCTTGGCCTCCCAAAGTGCTGGGATTATAGGCGTGAGCCACCAGGCCCGGCCTCAGGTGTTCCCCTTTTGAAAAATCTTCCTTCCACAGATCATTTTTTAGTGCCTCTGTCAAAGACTGAACCAGGGGAGTATCTGATGATTCCTCAGACATCTCTAGGAAAATTCTTAACGGGCTTCTAAGTGAATTAATACTGGTCTTCAGTATCTGTTGGGAAATTCAGTATCCTGATATGACTCATATGAAGTTAAAAAACTTTGCTGGATATTGAAGGAAAACTTACATTTCTTACTTTTAAGAAATGAATTTGTTGGAGTTACAAAATGTATTACAGGCCTTAGGCAGAAAGCACAAACATGTCTTGATGCTTTGTAACTAATACACAGAAGTCAAGCTTTTGGGTAATGGGGCGGGGTGGGAGAGTTACAGAATAAAGTTGGTGAGGCCACATAGATAGAGTGACCACAGGGATATATACTTTACAAATTTTAGCTGAGTAAACTTCATGAAAGAAACAAATTCACACAAATGTAATTCTTAAAACAAATGTTTGGAGGCAACATAGCCTTAGCATTAAAGGTTACATACATTGGGAGATTACATTTTTTAAATTAGAATGTCCTAGGGGGGATTTTGCAAACAAACTAACCAAGACACTATTTAATTATAATGATATTCAAAATAGTATAGATAGAAGCTTCTCTTCAATCACAATGTTTATGTATATTCTCCAGATTTTACTCTTATCTAACTACACATAATGGGCAGCCTGTTGTTTTATCATCTCAAGGATCTGTGTCTTCCTTTTAAAAAATATTGATGTCTGATTGTCAGTCCCCTGAGATTCTGATGTAATTAGTCTGAGATTCAGCCTGGGTTTTAGAATTTGTAAAAAGCTCCCAGATGATCCTAATGCAGCCATTGAAAACTGCTGATACTTACTCTAGCCCAGCAGGATCAGTGGGAGTTACGAAGTTTCCATCTGAGGAGACAACTAGAATAGAGGTCTCTTGGTTTTCAGCCCTTTCCAGATCCTCCTTGAAGGAGAACCTCCTCTTCTCCCATCCTGTGGTTTGAGCATTGGAAGCCTTGACTGTACCTGGTAGCTAGCGCCATGATGCTTTCTCCTGCTCTTGTTATTAATTGAACAGCAATGTCCTCTAATTATATCTCTGACCGAGTTACTAGGCACAGAAAAGGCCTCAGTTCTGGCCCTGCTTTGTGTGACAGAGAGCTGCTTTCTGTGACAAGTGACATTTCAAGGTTCCTTTTAGCTACATTCCAGTCAGGAGCGGGGCACCTGGTGCCCACCCTGGCATGCAGAGTTGGGGGTCTACACCCAAGCTTGGGCAAAATCCCTAAAAGTTAAAGCTTTGCTGGATAATGAAGGAGAACGTGGAGATTTTCTTTCCACTTGACCTGCTTCCCCAACTCTAATACCCCACTTTTTGAAGCCAACCATGGTACACAGTTCACTTTGCAATGAGTTGTTTGGGATTACACATGAACCTTATTATCAGGCTTTTGCAAGTTTTTAAACTTGGCTTTGACCAGAGGCTTTTTACAGAGGCCATTCCTTTATTCATTCTGGAGAATGTTTAAGGATTTTATTATGGAAAATTCAAATTTATACAAAAGTAGTATATAGCAGAATGAACCCCCACCTGCCCATCACCCAGCTTCAACAGTTAACAGCTAACTCATAGCAATTCTTGTTTCTCTGTCCCCCACCTACTACCCCAGACACACAGACACACATGCTAGGTCAGGTTGACACAAATCCCAGACACCACATCATTCCATCTGTAAATATTTCATTATGTCTCTAAAAGATAAGGCCTCTTTCTTTCTTTTTAGAGATAGGGTCTTTCTCTGTCACTTCAGCTTCATTGCAGTGGTGCGATCACAGCTCACTGCAGCCTCAAACTCCTGGACTTAATCCTCCTACCTCAGCCTCCTGAGTAGCTGGGACTACAGGCATATGCCACCACACCTGGCTAATTATTTTATTTTTTGTATAGTGGAGTCTTGCTTTGTTTCTCAGGCAGGTCTCAAGCAATCCTCCCACCTCAGCCTCCCAGAGCGCTGGGATTACAAGTGTGAGCCACCATGCCCGGCTTCTGAGTATTTTTAAATATACTTAAACAAAATGAGTTTTAAGCTTTTTTTCCCCAGTCATTTCCTCATAGCGAGATCTCACCCAAAGTGATCAGTGAGGTCTTGCTACCCTCAAGCAGAAGGGAGCAAGCATTTAATGCAATTGATCTGGGCAGGAGACCATAAGGGGACACCAGAGAGGAAGAAATGGCACCTGTCTTCAAAAAGCTTAATGTATATTTGGCATTTGTTATATACCAAAACAATCATAAAACATGATTGGCTACAATTAATTATTAATTTAGGCACTGAGCCTGAATTAATTAATTATTTTAGGCTCTGAGCCTAAGAAGTTAGAAACTTTACCTAGGATAGTCTGGAGCACAGAGTTGCCTGGATCCCACCCGTTTTTATTCTGATGTCAACTGGTCTAGGATATGACTGAGACATGAAGATTTTAAAGGCATCTAGGGTATTCTTATATGCAAGCAAGCTTAAGAATCACTGTCCTAGAACAGTGGTTTCTAAAGTGCTTCAGGTTGAGAACCATCCTAGGGTGTTATAGGAGAAATAAGCAGAATAACTGGCAGAGGCTTTGTGGAGGAAGGGGCATTCTCGCTGGGCAGTGGAAAACAGAGAGGAAAGAGGACATTCTACATGATCTCAGAGGTGATCTGCAGACCAGCAGCATGAGCACACCTAGGAGCTTATTAGAAATGTAGAATCTTTGACCTCATTCCAGACCTGCTCAATGAGGATCTGCATTTTGACAAGATCCCCATGCACATTAGAGTTTGAGGCACACTGGTGTAGTAGAATATGTACTGTAAATGGACTTCAGTTATAAAATCAGAGAAACTAAAGCATAGCATGACTGTGCTAGAAAGGAGACCCTTTCAGCTAGTGTTCTTGGAGCCATTCTAAGGGAAAGAGGCCATGTCCTGCTGTATAATGAGAATCAGATCCATGTGAGCTACGTTTGCCTGCGTTGGGACCCCATATAAGTTGAACTATCCCTAAGTCACACCATTCTATGTACCTACAGAGCAGGGGCTCCTGAACCCACAGGGTGCAGTCAGATAACCCGGGAGTTTCCATGGCAGGGTCACCCTCCTGGTGGGGTAACCATCCAGGCATTGGTTTTTGTTTTGTTTTGTTTTGTTTTGAGACGGAGTCTCGCTCTGTCATCCAGGTTGGAGTGCAGTGGCATGATCTCTGCTCACTGCAAGCTCCGCCTCCCGGGTTCACGCCATTCTCCTGCCTCAGCCTCCTGAGTAGCTGGGACTACAAGCGCCTGCCACCACGCCTGGCTAATTTTTTGTATTTTTAGTAGAGACAGGGTTTCACCATGTTAGCCAGGATGGTCTCGATCTCCTGACCTCGTGATCCGCCTGCCTCTGCCTCCCAAAGTGCTGGGATTACAGGCATGAGCCACCGCGCCCAGCCCCAGGCATTGGTATTTTTATAAATCTCTCCAAGTTATTCTAATGGACAGCCAAGGTTGAAAACCATTGCTATGGATCTTTGGTCCTCCATGTTTCCTTTTCCATTCAAGGTGAAAGTGAGCTAAATTTCTAGCTGTAGCCATTGAAAACACAAAATTAAGTTCCAGGTAGCAAGCTTAATGGTTCAACATCTGGATTCCCAAAATAGTTATAGAGGGGACTAGAGCGGTGTCCCTAGTTAAATGGTCTCATATTCCGGAATTTCTTAAATCAAATTTTCTGGATTCTGGTAGCAGAGTCTAGTTCTGGCATTGGCTTAAAATTGGAGACAAGTAATTTAGTGTTTATGCAGGCTATTCTCATGTGGGTTATCGCCCTTGTCTGTGTGTCTATGGGGTTAATGTTTGGTGTATGCCTAACACAGTACAAATAGTTGAAGTCCTGAGAGGTGGAGAGGACTGCATGTCTTTGCTATCTGCTATCTGGAGTTAGTAGAGGATGTTTCAAAGAGGAAGCATTGCTCTTATCACTCCTTCAGGTGGAGTTGCATTTGTATGGGCAGAAGACTGAAGAATGGGATGTCAGGGGAGAGAGCTGCCTGAGACTGTCTGGCCTAGGATGTTTGTGAGACAGTGAAGACAGCAACCCACTCAACTGGCCCCATGCACTGGGCCACATCACACCTTTAGGTGGGTGGGTAAGACCATGGAGTAGCAAAAGAGTCTTTGGGAGCAGGGTGACAGTTCAGTTTATCTTTTGTATTATTTTTGAGAAAAAAAAAACAATAAAAGGCAAGCTGAATAGGAGGTCGATCCTCAGGAAGAAAAGTTGAGCATCCTCTCAACTAAAACATTTGGACTGGCCGGGCGCGGTGGCTCACGCCTGTAATCCCAGCACTTTTAGAGGCGGAGGTGGGTGGACCACCTGAGGTCAGGAATTTGAGACCAGCCTGACCAACATAATGAAACCCTGTCTCTACTAAAAAACAAACAAACAAACAAACAAACAAACAAAAAACAAACAGCCGGGCCTGGTGGCAGGCACCTGTAATCCCAGCTACTCAGGAGGCTGAAACAGGAGATCACTTGAACCACGGAGGCAGAGGTTGCAGTGAGCCAAGCTTGCACCATTGCACTCCAGCCTGGGCGATGAGAGTGAAACTCCGTCTCAAAAAAAAAAAAATTTTGAACTTATCCTTTGGTCTATTCCTTGTAAACTCTTATGTTAATATACCTTTTAGAAACATCTTACTTTCGATATCACATAGTCTTGGATCTGCCATAATTTAAATGATATTTCCCAAACAGATTTCTCCACAAAAAGGTCAGCTACAACTTGTCTGCCTGGTCTCTGGCTCCAGCCCCCATGTTTCAGGTCTTCACCTCCCAGTCCTTCTCTAATTAGATCTCCCCATTCTGTGTCCATCTGATTCCCCAGGATCCCACCAGGTGCCTGGTTAACTTGTCTCAAATAAATGTATGGAATGAAGGTGTTAAACATAGATAATGCAAAATATACAGTTACGTGAAGAGGAAATCTGATGAAGGAAAAGATGTTCAATCTCACTAGTAATCAGAAGAGTGCAAATGTGAGATAATTTTTCAACTACCAAATGAACAAAGGTGAAAAAGAATGAAAATACCAAAGTCTGGGAGACTTTAGGGAAATGTAAGATCTCATTGGTGGCAGTGGGCACTGACATAAGCTTTCTGGAAAACAGTTTGGTAATGCTTGTTATAAATGTAAAAATGTGCAGACACAGTAATTCCACTTCTGAGAGTTTATCCTAAAGAAATTGTGGAGCAGGAACCAAGGATGTTCCAACCAGCCTTAATTAATAATAAAGAATAATTAGAAATAATCTGAATGTCTACCAGTTGAGAACTGTTCCTATCAATTATGGTACATTCAGACAGTGGAATACTAGAAGGACTTCAGAATGATGTTAATACTAATAGAGATGAAAGGATGTCCATTAGATACTATACCCTTAAGGTCCTTGTGGTGCCATTAATGTACAGTTAATGCAAACACAGGCATATGTGCATGCATGCACGAGGAGATCTAGAATGGCAGTTACCAAAATATCAACCATCAAGACATCAGCATGATGCCTCCTGGTTGGAGGAGCTTTGAATGACTTTGCTTTCTTCTTTTTTTATTGTTCCTAAAATTACAAAAGTAATATTCTTTATTTTTAACTTAATAGCTAACATTAACAGAGTGTATCTTGTGTGCTAGGCACTGCTCTAATTGCTGTACATTATTATTATTACTGAAGAAATCAAAGGTGATGAGAGATTAAGTAACTTACTCGAGATTTTCAGCTAGTAAATGATGGAGCTGTTATTCAAAACCTAATAGTGTTGCTTCATAGACTGTGCTCTTTTTTAAAAAAAAAAAAAATGTAGACGGACTCTCACTCTGTTACCCAGGCTGGAGTGCAGTGGTGCCATCTCGGCTCACTGCAACCTCTGCCTTCCAGGCTCAAGTGATCCTCCCAAGAAGCTGGGACCACAGCTGTGTGCCACCATGCCCAGCTAATTTTTTGGGTTTTTTGGTAGAGTCAGGGTTTCACCATGTTGCCCAGGCTGGTCTCAAACTCCTGAGCACAGGCGATCCACCCACCTGGGCCTCCCAAAGTGCTGGAATCACAGGCGTGAGCCACCTCACCCAGCCTAACCAGACTGCACTCTTGCTACACTAATTCGCCCCAATAAAGTGAAAGTCTTAAATCCCGCCCCAACAACAATCCTACTCCTCTGCTCAAAGTAATCATTGTTAACCATTTGACATGGATCCCTCCAAAACTTTTGCTTTCTCCAGACACATGTGTGCACACACACAAGTGTGTTTTTCTTTTTTATAAAATGGGATGGTAGTGTCCGTCCTGTCAGTATGTGAGTTCACCCACATATTTTTTATTTATTTCTGGGGGATATTCCACAACATGGACATACAGAATTGATGTAATCATGCTTCTACTGAAAACCTGGTGGTTTCCAGTTCTTTGGCCTAACAGACAAAGCTTCATCGAGCGTCCTTGTATACATATTACAGGGTGTGGCAGTGTAATTATATTCCTGTGATCGTTTCCTAGAAATCGAACCACTGGGTCAAAAGGCATGCACACTGAATGTTGAAACAGGCTGCCCACACCAGGAAGGCTGTGTCATTACACCTGCAGCAGATGAGAGGCCACCTCCCCATGTTTTCACTGACACAGGAAGTTGTCAATCTTTTTAACTTTTGCCAGTATTAAAAAATGAAGAATGTTATTTCATTTGTAGTAATTTAAAAGTCCATGATTACTGGTAAGGTTGAGCATCTTTTCATATGTTTATTGGCCATCTTCATTTCTTCTCAGGATTGTTTACTTTCTATTGGATAATTTGAGTTAATTGGTTAATTTCTTATTAATTCAAAGGAGCATTGTTATAAATATTAGTATTTTGATGCTTTCTTTGTTGCAGATATTTTTCTCAGTACATTACTTTTCTTTGAACTTGATTTATATGTTATTTTACTATATAGAAGTTTTCATTTATTTTAGTTTTGTGCAATCAAATCTGTCCATTTTTTTCCTTTATGGTTTTATACCTTGTTTAGGAAGTCTTTCTCCACAATATTCTCCAAGAATATAAGAATACTCTCCTATATTCTCTTCTAGTATATTTGCATTTTTGCTTATAGATTTATTTTTATCTTTAGACTTTAATCTATGAAGAATTTAGTATTGTGTTTGGTGAAAAGTAGGGATTTAACTTTCTATTTTTAGGTTGGTTGTCTTTTAAACAACTCCTTCATCAAAATCCTAATTCCGTGACTGGGCGTGGTGGCTCACGACTGTGATTCTAGAACTTTGGGAGGCCAAGGTGGGCTGATCACTTAAGCCCAGGAGTTCGAGACCAGCCTGGGCAACATGATGAAACCCCATCTCTACAAAAAATACAAAAATTAGCCAAGCGTGATGGTGCATGCATGTAGTCCCAGCTACTTGGGAGGCTGAGTTGGGAAGATCACCTGAGCACAGGTGGTCGAGGCTGCAGTGAGCCAAAATCATGCCACTGCACTCCAGCCTGGGGGAGACTCTGTCTCAAAAAAACCAACAAAAAACCTGAATTCCCATGGATATACAGGTCTGTTTCTGGACTCTTGTGCCACTGATCCCTTGTCTATATCTGGCCTGGAATCACACCGCTTTAATTACTGAAGCTTCTCCGCAAGTTTCTATATGTGCTAAGGCATGCCCCATCCCCATTTCTCTTCATTTTTGAACTTTCCTCACCATTCTCCTACATTTACCTTTTTTAGAGGAACTTTAGAATTAGATAGTCATGGTCCAAAAGTCCTCCCTTGGGATTTCAGTTGCAATAGATTGGAGCTACCCATGCATTTGTGGTTGACATCTTACAAAGGGGAGCTAGGTGTCTCCGGCCAGGACTCCTTGCTCCCCTGGCACTATCTGAGGCCTTTCTACTTGAACACCCAGCCCATGATTCCAAGTCTTCTAGAAAGGACAGATCCCTACACATCCTTGGTTTAATTTCTTTCCTTCCCTGGATGGCATGTGAATTTTTACCTGAACTTTCAGAGGCAAAAAGAGTGAAAAGCATGGAAACCTCAGACCTTGCAGGGGAACTCAGGGAGAAATACTTTTCGTCAGGGAACATTTTTCCTGCTCCCAGCAAACCACACTGAACACTCATGTGTGAACAGCCTGAGATAATCAGGTTCCAGTTGAGGCTTTTTAAAAAAACAGCTTTATTGTTCTAGAATAACTTAAAATTCTCTAATTGTAAGTGTACTGGTAAATGATTTTTAGAAAATGTATGGAATTGTGCAACTGTCACCATAATCCAATTTTAGAACATTTCCATCACTCCCAGAAGATCCCTCATGCCCCTGTATACTTCTCTGGATGCCACTTTCCTTCACATGACAGTATCAGGAGGAGTGGGGGACAAATGAGGGGATCCCCAAGAGATCCTCTGCCTGTGAGTCTGGGACCAACACCACAACCACATACATAGCATGAACCCACATGACACCCCTCTTTTGGGGAGACCCAGGTGAGGCCTCCTCCTGAGGGCCCTGGCCACACTGAGCCCCATCCTTACCCTTCCAGGTGGATAAAGTTTGAAGAAAAGGTAGAGGAAGGCGGCGAACGCTGGAGCAAGCCCCACGTGTCCACACTATCCCTGCACAGCCTCTTCGAGCTCCGTACCTGCCTGCAGACGGGGACGGTGCTGCTGGATTTGGACAGTGGCTCCTTACCACAGATCATAGGTGAGGCAGGGGCCACTGTGTGCATCTCTCCTGTGGTCCCTGCAAACCAGGGCAGCTCCCCTGACCTCATGCCTGCCCTCAAGTCTGTGTGACGGCCCGTCTCTGACACCTGATTCTGCAGAGACCAGCTTTGACTCTGTTGCTCCCAGGGCAGGATCATAGTCACTCCAAGTTTCAGTACCATGTAGACCTCCAGTAGAGAGGAAAAGACCATCCTCCAAAATGCCATCCAGAAATGTGGTAAAAGGGGAGAGGGCCTCTTGCATAGTCAGAGATACCTCTTGCCATGACAACCTGTTTCTTTTCAGGGTAAAATGGGTCATCATTCATCTTTAGGAAATTAGCTGTCATTTAGTGGTGTGTCGAAGGGAGGAGTTGGCTTGCCTTAACACCCCTAAAAATTTTTGTGAGTTTTGTTCTAGCACATTGGATTTTGCCAGAAGTATTTTGCCCAAAATACTTTTCTAAAAAGAGTTCATTTTAGGACTAAAACCATTGAACACAGTACTTTTGTGCCTCCTGGGGCAGTTTCATATGTACTGTTTATTTCACTTTTCATAAGAACATTGACAGAAAGAGCAGACACACACACACACACACACACACACACACACGTGCCCTTGAACAGGAGGAGGCCAAGAGTTGGTGATGTGCCCAGTTTTCCACAGCTAGTGGCAAAGCCAGGAGTACTTCCACACCCCCTCTGCCACATTTAATCCCACTAATAACAGGTGAAACTGAAGACTTCCATACCCTGGAGCTGTTCTGTCCCACAGGGATGAGGTGTGTATGTTTTCCACACAGATGATGTCATTGAGAAGCAGATTGAGGATGGTCTCCTGCGGCCAGAGCTCCGGGAGAGGGTCAGTTACGTCCTCCTGAGGAGGCACCGCCACCAAACCAAGAAGCCCATCCACCGCTCCTTAGCTGACATTGGGAAGTCAGTCTCCACCACAAGTGAGTCAGGCCTTACGCTGGTAGGCATGGGACATGCAGGGCCAGTATCAGGCCCTGGTACCCGGGTGAGCCCACCTTAGGGGCTGGGAGTTTCTGGAGAAATTCTGATGTTCTGGGGATCCCTCAGCCTCCTTCTCTGGCAGGCCTGTGGGGACCCCAGCCACACTCCCGTGTTGTTCCCACCACCAGAGCAGAACAATTTCTAGGGAGAGAGTTGGTTCCCAGCCAGGGCTGCATGTGGCAGATCACTTTGGGGCTTGAGATGTGTCCTAATGCCTGGGCCCCACCTTGGAGAGTTGGAGTCAATTGTTCTGGGGTATGGCCTAGAAAAAGAGAAGTTAGAATGCACCCCAAGAGATTCTTATGTCACACAGCATTGGGAAATGCTGGTAGAGATGGCTTGCTATGGAAAGGACCCAAAAGTTTCACATCAAACCCCCTAGAGAGGTCAAGAGCCTCAGCAGAAAATGGAACACATCAGGGTGGTAGAAGGGGCTGGGCTTATCTCAAGAGTGCCAGGGCTTGTAGATCTGGTGGCTGATGTCACTCTGATTAGCAGGACCTGGGGCCATTTAGAGAGAGTGGCTTGTTGCATGTACACATCTCAAATCTCCAACATTCCACTATCAGTATCCCAGCCTAGATGCCCAGGGACACTAGCCCTACTGAGCCTGTCAGACAAACACAGTAACCAGAGCAAAGTTGCTACATTAAAAACATTGAGGAACCTCTTTAAATGAATTACTTAAAAATGGGAAGTGGGCCGGACATGGTGGCCCACACCTGTAATCCCAGCACTTTGAGAGTCCAAGGTGGGTGGATTGCTTGAGCTCAGGAGTTTGCGACCAGCCTGGGTGACATGGCATAAACCCCATCTCTACAAGAAATACATAAACCTCATGGCTTAAACCCCATGGCATAAACCCCGCCTTACAAAAAATTAGCCAAGTGTGGTGGCACACACCTGTAGTCCCAGCTAATCAGGAGGCTGAGATGGGAGGATCGCTTGAACCCAGGAGACGGAGGTTGCAGTGAGCAGAGATCGTGCCATTGCACTCCAGCCTGGGCAACAGAGCAAGTCCTTGTCTCAAAAAATCGCTCCCAAAACAACGGGAAGTGTTTAACATACCATAATAGCAACAGATACATACTCAGCACTTAACTACATTCTGGGCACTATTCTGAGTGCTCTTCCTGTTTTAACTCACTTCATCCTCACAAAAATGCTGTGGCGTGTAGGTACGGTTCTTGTCTCCATTTTACAGATGAGACGCCTGAGGCACAGAGAGTTTAAGTAACTTGCCTAAGGTCACAAAGCCATTAAGTGGTGGAATCAGGGATGAACCCAAGCAGTCTACTACACCTTGTGCCCATTTAATGCACTGTGTATCTCTCTCACTTTCAACAGTACAGATATTCTCTCTAATCTTGTTCTTTTTTTTTTTTTTGAGACGGAGTCTCACTCTGTCACCCAGGCTGGAGTGCAATGGCGCGATCTCAGCTCACTGCAAACTCTGCCTCCTGGATTCAAGTGATTCTCCTGCCTCAGCCTCCCAAGTAGCTGGGATTACAGGTGCCCACCACCATGCCTGGCTATTTTTTGTATTTTAGTAGATACAGGGTTTCACCATGTTGGCCAGGCTGGTCTCAAACTCCTGACCTCAGGTCATCCACCCACCTCAGCCTCCCAAAGTGCTGGGATTACAGGCGTGAGCCATCGTGCCCAGCCTGTAATCTTGTTCAGACTATTGACTTGCTTAAATTAAAAAAAAAAAAAAAAAAAGAATTTCTTCCCAGAAGGGGAAGAGACATGTCTTGCCACCCAGTTTTATTTAGTTAAAGTGAACTAACCCAAGAGGCTTCGCTACACCAGCAAGGCTGTCGAAGCCAAGTCCCTTCTGATTCTCCTCCCAGATCGCAGTCCTGCCCGGAGCCCTGGTGCTGGCCCGAGTCTACACCACTCCACGGAAGACCTGCGGATGCGGCAGAGTGCAAATTACGGACGTCTGTGTGAGTGTGTGCTCTGCCGCTCTGTGGCAGCTTTATTCAGGCTGTGGCAGCTGTGACATGGCCACATTGCCATAGGTGGGGGAGACAAAGCCCAGGATCTGCCAAGAATTCTCAGGGCATGCATCAGGAGGAGCCTAACTTTCACTCTAAACCCAGGCTGCTCTCAGGGCCTCATTTACTACCATAATATTCAAGTCATTCCTCTGAAAAATGAGGCTGTCAGTCACATCCTGGTGTAATCAATACCCACTCCCATATTCTAGGTGTTTTTATCTTAGTCTGTACCTTCATCTTCATCAAACTGACATTAACCCTGTTTTTTGGTGAAAAGCTTTCCTGGAAATGGAATCAAAAACAGGCAAGGTCCTTTCCTTCAGTTCAGTCAGGCAGCATTCCCATCACTGGGTGGCAGTCTCATGCCACCATGGAGAAGAAATGTGGGCAGAGTCACGGCCCCTTTTTTCTGGGAATGGCTGGTAGGGGGCGGGGTGTGGGTTTGAGGTGAGAGGTGACAGACAGGTTTTACATGCACCTCGTCAGGGATACACAGACAGGCGAGCTGGGGAAAAGAAAGGAGCGAACTTAGAAAGTGAAGTGAAAAAGAAAAAGCAGTGAAGGACTATTTTCCTTCAGGTACTTTTACTAAAATGCCAAGATGTTAACAAGTTCAGCCCAGTGCTGTACCCCTGTCCAGGCCCAAGGAGTGACTTGGGGGCAATGCAGCCCCTGCCTGTGGCCTTGGGCACAGCAGGCATTTGCTGCAGTCTTCTCTCTCTGTCCTGATGACCCAAGTCCTCTTAGTCTCCCCAGCTTTGTTATGCCACATAGGGATGCCCAGTGGCAGTGTTCAGTGGGTACAGAGTGGCTTCGGGAAGACCTTCCACTCAGTTATCATTGTATATGAGGTCACCTCCCTACTGACACTGCTTAGGGGTGGGAACCACTGGGACAAGAGGCACGAATGGATGATTGCAGCTTTGTGTGAACCAGGTCATATTCAAGGTGGGCACCCGCCATGAGGTGGCCCAGCATGCAGAACACAGCGCACAGGGGAAGGATCAGAGAGGAGGAGACACTGACTGAGTCTTGGAGCATAAATAGAAGTTTTCCAGGAGCAAGGAGGAGGAAGAGGGGGTTCTAAACAAACAAAACAAATAGGAGGTTGGGGGATGGAAGAGAAGGAGCTGGAGCTATGAAAATAAAAACATTAGTCCAGTTCACAGGAAGTGCAGGAGTTAAAGGGAAGAGAGAGTCAAATCAAAGAGGGCCTTGTGCACCCAGCAAAAGAACCCGGGTTTTATTCTGAAGATAATGGGAACCCCTGGGAAGCTTGAAGCAGGAGCATGCTGTGATCGGATTTCTGTCTGAGTAGGAATAATCTAGAAGGGGCAACATTGGAAGGCAGAGACTGAGCCTGCATTCCAGAATGGAGAGGAAGGGACAGAGGTGGAATTGAAGTACTGGTGGGAAGTAGGAGGTGAGGAAGAGGGAGGGCCCAAGGCTGCTCCTAGATTTCTGTCTAAAGGGCTGGTGGATGGGAGGGAGGGGCATTGAGTGGAATGTGTCCATGAGGAAAGTGATTTGGGGGCAGGTAAAGAGTTGCATTTGAGGTGCCAGAGGGGACTGCTCCAAGGAGTCTGCAGCTCAGAAGAGGAGTCAGACTAAAGATCCATCCTGGGCATCCTCAGCCCAAATGGGTGTTGGAAACAACAGGAGTGGGAGCGATTGACCAGCGGAGAGGCTGAGGCACCTGGAGGGGATGAGAGCAAAGACAAGGCCCTGGGATGTCCAAGCAGGAGAGGATCCTGGGACAGAAATGAGAGGAGGAGAGCCAAGAGGAGCAGCATTCTGGACACCAGGAGTGGCACAGGCCAATAGCCGAGACACGATAGGTCTGAGGGTGTCCACCAGATTGGGCTAGTGGGAGAGGAGAGCTGGCTTTCTCTCTCTTAACAGAGGAAGGAACTATTGGGCAGTTCAAATAATTGGCTATCACTGTTCTCATGGGAAGCCCACCTTCCTTCCCTCTGCCAGCCTAAATCCCCAGCCCATGTTTGAAGACTCTCACCGGTCATGGAGGACAGAGGTGAAACTGCTCCCCCTCCAGCAAATTCCAAGCTAAGTGACACATGGAACCTCACCTAATAATGCGTCTGTGTCCCTCCTCCTATCCGGGCCTGGTGCAGAGCCACACCCAGAGTAGACAGCCTGGTGACATCCAAGACGTTGGGGTGGAGGAGTAGAGACTAGAGTGTGGTAGATTGAGGAGGGAGAAGGAAACAGTGGAAACTGGAGTCTAACACCTCTTTCAGGAAAGCAGCCATTGAACAGAAGGAAAGTGAGAGGATGCTAGTTTAAGGGGACTGCAGGATTAAGGGGGAGGGAGTTTGCTTTGGTTATGAACATGGGAGAGGTACATGAGTAGGGCCCATAGGAAAGGGACCTGCAAGAGCCTGGCTTCCCCTGATGGATCTTCTTTTCCTTTTCTCCTAGGTCATGCCCAGAGCAGAAGCATGAATGACATTTCTCTCACCCCAAACACAGACCAGGTAGTAAAACCCCTGCACTTAGCTGCAATGGAGGGCCAGGGCAGGAAAAAGTCTTTGGTTTCAGGAGCAGGGATCCCCTATGGGCAGAGTTCCACTCCTACAAAGGAGTGGGAGTTCCAGGAAGATCCCCAGTGGGGACTCTGGGCTGCCTGGGGGACTTTGCCAAGGCCAGTAGTCGGGGAATGACGGAGTCCCAGGTGCTGGCTCTGTGTCAGGCCCTGGGGGTGTGGGACAGAGAACATGATTAAATGAGGCGCCAGCTGTCCTTGAGCTTGGGATTTGTTGGAGAGAGAAGACCAGCACACATGGCTTCATCTATCCTGTGATCCACAAGCACCTTTAAAGATGGGATAGGGACTGGGGCTGGCAGAGAGACAGAAAAGAATCTCCCTGTGGCGAGAACAGTGGTAGTTAATTAGACTGTCCAATAGTGCATCTTCTTCCTGTGGTCTCCCATGAACTGGGCTGAAACCCTCGTGATGAGATCAGAATTCTGCAAACAAATTGGGTCCAGTTCTAAGGCCCACAGCCCCAGAATCCTGTGACTGTGCCCCTTGGGGAAGCCCAGAGGAGGCCCCCTTAATTCCAACTCCTGCATACCTCAAGGACAGGAGGCCCCATGGTCCCCTTGTCTATCTCCCCAGGAGTAGGAAGAAAGATGACAAAGGAAACCTGAGACTTGGCGAGGAGCCTTCAGGAGCTTGGGTGACCTCCAGGCCTTCCAGCCACCCCTAAGTTTGGTGGAAGGCAAAAACAAAGTCAGCCCCTCATGTCAGTGTCCCGGGCACAAATAAATTAATAACAACAGTAACAAAATCAATCAATATTTAAGCTCCACACCACATGCACTACACTGTGCCAGGCATTTTCTGTGAATCACAAAGGCACTATTTTCATTCCCATTTTACTCATGAGAGAACACTGAGGCTTACAGCAGTTAAATAACACACCAAAGTCTATACAGCTGAAAGACAGAACTTTGATTTGACCTAGGCAGTCTAACTCCAGAGCCCTTAACTTGGAAGTAATTTAGGAACTAGTCAGTATTCTGGAACATTATTTGGAGAGGAAAACCACTTTTACTCATGCATACAGACAGTGCAACTGTGATAAGAAAGCATTACCTAGTAAAAGTTTTTTATAACCTGTTTTAATGAATGTGTGAGTGGTAATAATAACACTAGCTGTCCCTTTCACCAGACAGTGCTTTCTTGATTTGGGGATTGGAACCCATCACCTAGCGCCAGCATCTGGTTCTCCTTGCTGATACTTGATGCTGCTTCTCGGTATTTGCAGCATCAGTGGTCTCTGCTATTGGGTGCTCTTCAGGTGCAAGCCCAGAGGCATTTGCTCTGCAGGCTCTTTCTTCATCATTGATTTGTGCAAAGCTAAACTCCATGCCTGCCCTCAGCTGGCAGATTCCCAGTGAACAGAGAGTAGATTCAGACAGCATCGTTGTGCTGCAGTGACTCTGCAGTGCAGAGCCAGATTGGAGTCCCCAAGGGTTCAGGAAGTGGAGTCAGCAGGGCCCTGGTTATACAAGCCCACATCCAGGCTTTGGGCAAGCCAGGGTTGGTTGGAACACTAGCATGCTCCCATTTCTGGGATGCCACAACCCTGGCCTTCTTACCAAACATGTCACAACGTGTAAGGAAGGACCAACTCCCTGGTTAAATTTCTCTTATCTTCTGTATTACAAGTGGGTTGGTTGGATGGCCAGGTGTGGTGGCACACACCTGTAATTCCAGCAGTTTGGGAGGCTGAGGCTGATGGATTGAGGCCAGGAGTTTGAGACCAGCCTGGCCAACATGGAGAAACCCTATCTCGATCAAAAATACAAAAATTAGCCGGGCGTGGTGGCACATGCCTGTAGTCCCAGGCATGTGCCAGACAGGCACGAGAACTGCTTGAACCCAGGAGGAGGAGGTTGCAGTGAGCCAAGATGGTGCCACTGCACTCCAGCCTTTACGACAGAGTGAGACTCTTGTCTCAAAACAAATCAAAACAACAACAAAAACAAGTGGGTTTGTTGGGACACCCTGAAGCATTGCTGCTTCCGAAGCCTCTTTCTCCAGGGTGCTCCTGCCCAGCCCGTATCTCCTCCCCTTCCCTGGACCCCCTCCCTGCCTGATGCTCGGAGACGGTGGCTGCCCTGTTACACCCAGCCCTCCACCCTGAAGAACGCTGCTTAGTAATCAGCTGACCATGCCTGAGACAAAGGGACTTTTTGAGTCTTGGGGACTCCGGTGTTCCTGTCAATTCCTGCTTTTTCTCACTATGTTAGGATCCTTGGGGCTGCTGATGGTTGCCCAGGTGGTTGTGGAGGGTTATTTTTTTTTTGTCTGATTGGATTTAAACGATTATAAGGGTAGTGCCATTGCTCACGAGCCCCTCCTCGTGCTGGTAGGCCACCCAGCCCAGTGTGTATGATGCCCCCACATGAGTCGAATTGGGAAACAGCTGTGGGGACAAAATGGCAGGACCTGTTGACCATATCCATGCCCATAGCTGACCCCTCCACAGGGACAGGAAGAGGCACAAGGAAGCTGTGTCTTCACTGAGGCTGTGAGAAACAGGCCTGTGCCCGCGGGAAAGACTGCAGTAGAAGGGGGATTGGTAGGAAAATTGTGATGTTCACAGGCGCTCTCTTCAGAGCTGTCCTCTACCCCCAGGCGCTTTCCCACTGTGTCAGCGACTGTGGACTGCACCCAGTCCTGCCGCTACCCCAACTGCTCCCCTCCATCTTCCGACAAAATTATCTCTGTCTCTTGTCTGTCCATGCCCTTGCTGCCCAGAGGGAAAGCAATCTGAAAAAGGAATTCATTCTAAGACGTTAAGGACTAAGAAGAGCTTGAAAGTAACCATCCCTGGGGTATCTTCAGCATAAAAGAGGACTCAGGAAGTTATAAACGCAGAGAGTGGGAATACATTTGGGTGGAGGGCTTGTCTCCAGTACCTCTCACATCAGACCCCACTGGCTCTGCCTGTGTGACCTTCCTCCCATGAAGTGACACTAGCCAGAGAGACTGGAGAGAGGCCACCTTGATAGTCTCTGCTGGAAAATTCCAGAAGTGATGAATTTCCTTGGGAGGTCCCCTGGGGGTAATGTGGGGGCATGGAAGTCTCCCACAGACTTGGAGACTGGTCCAGGAATTCCTGTGAGCCAGGAAGCTGGTGGCAAAGGGAAAATAAGGCCTGTTTACTCTGACCATCAGAACAGGCCTCCTCCTCCCCACAGCTACCAAAAGTGAAGGTGGAGAGGGGAGGTCTGGGTGGCTGAGGTAGAAGCACTGAGACTCCCATCTGCTCAGCCTGAAGGAGGCCATCCAGGCCTGATGTCCGGCAACCCCGGGGCTCTTCTCTGACCCCTCAACCCACATCTCAGTGGAGCCGTTTTCATCCGTCAAGGAATGTCTTAGTCAAGGAAAGTCGTTGCCAGTTCCTTCCCATCTACAAGGCTTAATGGTGCCTGGGGTTAACCTACATTCAGTCTCCCCATCTGCAGAATCGGAGGAGTACTTATTTATTCTTTCAGTCTCTTGGCAACATTGGGAGAATTTTTTTCAAGTTAGGCCTCAAAGCAGTCTGAAGGGGAGTGAGGGAGTGAGAGCAGGTGGGAGTCTCCTTGGCTATCTCGTTTCCCCTCCCTGTCCAGCGGAAAAACAAATTCATGAAGAAGATCCCCAAGGACTCAGAAGCGTCCAACGTGCTCGTGGGCGAGGTGGACTTCCTAGACCAGCCATTCATCGCGTTCGTGCGCCTCATCCAGTCGGCCATGCTGGGAGGAGTGACCGAGGTGCCTGTCCCCACCAGGTGAGAGCCATTGAAACCTGTCCCCACGCCACTCTCAGGTAGCCAGTCAGCAGTGCAGTCAGCAAGCAGTGCTGTTGACTGTTAGTGTTCTCAAAGGCACCTCTAAACGTGGAGGCTGCTGGGAAGGGAAATCTTCTGACTAGGGAAGAGTTTTAGAGTTTATTAAAAATAATAACAAAAGAGGCCAGGTGCGGTGGCTCACGCCTGTAATCCCAGCACTTTGGGATGCCAAGGTGGGCAGATCATGAGGTCAGGAGTTCGAGACCAGCCTGGCCAACAAGGTGAAACCCCGTCTCTACTAAAAATACAAAAAAATTAGCCAGGTGTGGTGGTACGCGCCTGTAATCCCAGCTCCTCGGGAGGCTGAGGCAGGAGAATCACTTGAACCCGGGAGGCAGAGGTTGCAGTGAGCCGAGATCATGCTATTGCACCCCAGCCTGGGCAACAGAGCAAGACTGCGTCTCAGAAAAAAAATAAAAATAATAAATAATAAAAGAGAAGGAGGCAACAACTAGGAGAGAAGTTGTCAGGTAAGCTTGGGCAGCAAGACAAAGGTGAGGATGCTCAAGGGGGAGCCTCATGGGAGGGGAAGAGGAAATGTTCCTCCAAAGCAAACATAGGGTTCCATGGAGGGAAGTAAAAAAGTTAAGAATGGGCCCAGCGCAGTGGCTCATTCCTCTAATCCCAGCACTCTGGGAGGCCAAGGCGGGTGAATTGCTCGAGCCCAGGAGTTGGAGACCAGCCTGGGCAGCATGGTGAAACCCTGTATCTACTGAAAATACAAAAAATTAGCCGGGCTTGGTGGTACACGCCTGTAGTCCCAGCTACTCAGGAGGCTGAGGTGGGAGGATCACTTGAGCCTAGGAGGTGGAGGTTGCAGTGAGCCAAGATTGCGCCACTGCACTCCATGCAGCCTGGGTGATGGAGCAAGACCCTGTCTCAAAAAAAAAAAAAAAATGCATACTGTTCAGGGCCAGAGAATTCTCTTCACTTGCTTCTGTTTTTCCTTCTCACTTTCATGCTCCTCTTCCTTAATCTTCTCTGTCTCCTCCTCCATCTTCTTTGCAGATTTCTGTTTATACTACTGGGACCTTCTGGGAGAGCAAAATCCTACAATGAAATTGGCCGTGCCATTGCAACCCTCATGGTAGATGATGTAAGTGGTAACCAGAAGCTTGTACTCCTGAATTTTACAGCTCCTGCACCAAGCACTGCACCTTCATTCATTAACTTATCCAGCCAGCACATTTGAGCACCTACTGTGTACCAGGCACTACATAGGATGCTAAAGATTATGAGAATCAGGGAATAGTCATTGTCCTTTAGGAGAACCAATCAAGTGTGAGGGACAGATTGATAATTGTAAAACTAACCATGTGCTAGCTGCCCAGGGGGTCAAGGAGGGCTTCACAGATGAGGGGGCTTTAAAGCTAAGGAGGAGCAGGAGGAAGGTAGACCCAGCACCAGGCTGTGAGGCAAGCATTCCAAACAAAGGAAATGGATCAGGCTCAGAGAAGCTGGATGGAGGTGGTTTGATATAGGCTCAGTGTAAGAGCTTCAAGGGCAGGAGGTAATACTGGAGAGGTGAGCCAGAGACTACACAGAGCCTGTAAGCAGAGCTGAGTCACACTCTGTCCCCAGAGTGATGGGGAGCCTAGAGGACTTTAACTCTTTTTCCGTTTGTGCCAAGAATACTCACTGGCGGTGCTTGCGGCTGCAGGCTTTACCCTGAGATAACTTTTCCCCACGAAATGTCTCACTTTTATTATTATTTTTGCATTGCTCTTATATGTTGACTTTGGAAACAAAAGACATCATTCTACTTAAAGCATTCTGTTTTTAGTTGTGGCATTTCCATTTACAAAATACACTAACTCTCAATCATTGAAAATATCAAATCCTAGAAAACTAGCATTCCTACGAGTGATGCTAACATCATTCTCGAACAGTTTTTGGCCTAAGATTCATTTGATGAATCCAGTGTTTCCAAAATAGATGATTCTGATCATTCCAATGATTCCAATGTTAGTTCTTTTTAGAAATAATTCTAAGAATAATTTTTATATTGCATTTTCACATTGAAAATCAGTCAGATTTGCTTCGGCCTCAAAGAGTGTGTTTATGTAAAATTAAATGAGTGCTGGCAGTGAGCTGCACTTTTTTTTTTTGCCTAAATGGGAAAGGGTTAAATGTGAGCATAGTCCCATCGAATCTGTAAGTCAGAAAGCACACTCTGGAGACAGTGTGAAGAACACGGCCTGAGCCTCCAAGGGCGAAGGGCTGGAAGTAAAAAATGGTTATGAAATATCTGAGCTCCTTGGACTGGGCTCTACAAAGGTTTTCTAATATGTATGATGTGTGGAAAACTGAAAACAGAAAGGTTAAGTAACTTAACCGAAGTCCTACAAGCAAGAATATGGAGACCTGGCCTTCAGATCCAAGAGAGGCTGTCTTCCCCCAGTGCCTGCTGTGTCCCATTGTGCCATATTTTACCAATGTACTATAGTCTCATTCCAAAAACTGAGAGTGAGTTGGCAGTGGGAGATGTGGTTCAAAGGGATTCCTTTAAAAACTAGATGTGATATGCTCCCAGGCATTTCAGAAACAGACCCGATCTTTCTTTTCTCCCTCCTCTCTCCTCGCCAGCTCTTCAGTGACGTGGCCTACAAAGCCCGCAATCGGGAAGATCTGATCGCAGGAATTGATGAATTTCTGGATGAGGTCATCGTCCTTCCTCCTGGAGAATGGGACCCAAATATCCGGATTGAGCCCCCCAAGAAGGTGCCCTCTGCTGACAAGAGGTGTGTATGAGAATGGGCAGTAGGGAGAGAAAAAGGAGGCTTCAACTCTGTCGGTATCATTTTATTTCTCTTTAAAATACATCTGAGGCTCAGCATAGTGGCTCATGCCTGTAATCTCAACACTTTGGGATGCTGAGGCAGGTGGATCACTTGAGCCCAGGAGTTTGAAACCAGCCTGGGCAACATAGTGAGATCTTGTCTCTACAAAACAAAAATCAAATTAACTGGGCATGGTGGCATGCACCTATAGTCCCTGCTACTCTGGAGGCTGAGGCAGGAGGATTGATTGAGCCCAGGAGGTCAAGGCTGCAGTGAGCTGTGATCATGCCACTGTACTCCAGCCTGGGCAACAGAGTTTGACCCTGTCTCAAAATAATGTTTAAAATAAGTTTAAAAATAATAAGATATATCAGAAACAAATATGGCTAAATGTGAACATTTGTAAAATCTAGGTGACCTGCGTGTGGATATTGTTAGACAATTTTCTGCATTTTTGTCTGTCTTTTAAGATATTTCATAATTTTGGTTGGAGAGGTGAGGGGTGCTCTGGGGGACCCACTCTCCTTCATCCCCCTTCTCTTCCAGGAAATCTGTGTTCTCCCTAGCAGAGCTGGGCCAGATGAATGGCTCTGTGGGAGGAGGCGGCGGAGCTCCTGGAGGAGGCAATGGAGGTGGTGGTGGTGGTGGCAGTGGCGGCGGGGCTGGCAGTGGCGGGGCCGGCGGAACAAGCAGCGGGGATGATGGAGAGATGCCAGCCATGCATGAAATCGGGGAGGAACTTATCTGGACAGGAAGGTGCCCACCCCAGGCCTCCCAGTGACCCTGCTGTCCTTTAGACTTCTCCCTTCTCAGCTGCCCTCTAGGGACTTTTCCCAACCATGGTCTGTAGTGCCCACTCGAGGTCACCCCTGCCTTCTTTCCCTCCCAGAGCCCTTGAACCCCATCATGGATCCCCAAAAGGTTGCCTCAGGAGAGGGGAATTTGAGACCCATACAAGAGGAGAGGAACCCAAACTTTTCTCTTAGATATCCTTTGGTGCCTGTTTCCTGGGTCTGCTGTAACAAAGTACCACAAACTAGGTGGCTTAAAACCACAGAAGGTTACTCTCCTGCAGTTCTGGAGGCCAGGAGTTCCACAGCAGGTGTTGGCAGGACCACCGTGCTCCCTGAGGCTCCAGGTGGAATCCTTCCTGGCCTCCTCCTGGCTTCTGGTGGTGGCCAGCAGTCCTTGGTGTTCCTGGCTGGCAGCCGCATCACCCCCGGCTCTGCCTCTCCACCACATGGCCTCCTGTGTGTCTGTCTTCACAGAGCACTTTCCTCTTTGTGTATGGACCCCAGTCATGTTGGAATAGGGCCCACCATAATGACTTAATCTAAACTGGATTACATTTGCATAGGTGTTACATAGATGTTAGGACCTTAATATATCTTTTGGGGGGACACAACTCAATAACAGTACCTTTTTTAAAACTTAATTTACCTATTCAAAAACTTTTTTTTTTTTTAAAGAAAATAAGAGAAAGTTCTCCTGGCCTGGGTTTCTTTTCCAGCTCTTGGAGTCATTCAGGTTGATCTAGATTTAGGAAAGGATGTGGCCTTGAAAATCTACATATAAATCATGACTTTGAGAATGAAGTCATGTTTTATATGCCCTTGGCTTTATACCAGTGGTTCTCACTGTAAGCAGCTTTGGCCCTCCTTAGTCCCCCTACCCCCGAGCCCAGGGAATTTGGCAATGTCCAGAGACATTTTTGCTTGTCACAACCGGAGAGGGGAGATGCTACTCGCATCTAGTAGGTAGCTGCTAAACATCCTGCAGTGCATGGGACAGCCCCTGCAGCAAAGGAGTATCCAGTCCAAAATATCAGCAGAACTGAGGTTGAGAAACTCTGCTCCATGCTAAGGACTGCATTAGGGGCTATGGGAATAGCAATCCCAGTAAACAGTGTCTCCAAACCTAAAATCTTCCACTCAGCTGTTCCAGATAGCAAAATCAAAAAACAAACAAATACCAACCAGTTATAAGGTTTAGGATCTGTTCTTAATGAATCTGTTATAATCTGGGATGCTTCTGTCACCGAAAGTTAGACACTCCTGTGTTCACCAAGAGCAGGCACCCTGCAGATGGTCAGGGATGTGAGGAGGACCACCATCTGTGGACCCCAGGACTTCCATTCTCCATGGAATGTTAGGTCTACCCCAGGACATATTCCCATCAGACTTTCCCTCTCCAAAACCCTCTATGTCCACCCTTCCCAATGTGGGTGGTGCCAACCACAAACTCAGTCCTACAGGAATTCATCCCTGGCCCTAAATGTTCTGGTGGAAAGATCTTTGCCCCATCCACCCTGGTCAAGTTCCTTTCCTCGCCCCAGACTCTGCAAGTTCTTGTAAATAGCCCTGCCCCTGCACTGGTGTTAGTGGTGAGAAAGCAGCCCCTGGGCCTGTCTTGAGCAGGTTCTTCGGTGGCCTGTGTCTGGATATCAAGAGGAAGTTGCCCTGGTTCCCAAGTGACTTCTATGATGGCTTCCACATTCAGTCCATCTCTGCCATCCTATTCATCTACCTCGGCTGTATCACCAACGCGATCACCTTTGGTGGGCTTCTGGGGGATGCCACCGACAATTATCAGGTGTGTGCGAGCCGGTGCCCTGAGTGTAAAAGTAAGATCTGCCGCCACCTGGTGGCAGCAGGAAGCTTCATCCTGTAATCCCAAAACCAAGGTTTCATCTACCATCCAGGTTGAGGCCATCACTATTTGTAATCCTTTACGCTTCAAGTAATAATAATATAATAAGACAATATTAAAAGATCTGAAGCTAAATCTCATTACTAAAGACCAAACTTAATGATTATTTAAATAGGTCAAACCGTTAAGGGGAATCATCTGCTGTGTTATTTGGTACTTTTCCCACTGATGCTGGAGTGAATTTAATCAGCACAATTAATGGAGTGCTAATTGTGGCCTTCTCCCCACACTTTTTAAAAACTAACCTTGAATTCTTAGTTTGGAGTTAAGACATTTTTAGAAGGATGGTAAGCTGTTGCCATGACAACAACTCAGGCCTCCCTGGGGAAAACAGCTCAGCAGACACCTGCCAATCTCCTAGGCAAGGGTCTTCTCCAATGGAGGCCTTCAAAGTAGAGCCATTGGAAAGCTCAGTACCCCAAGGAGAAGACCCATTTGTCAAGCTGCCTTTTGGGCATGTCCACATGGCTGCCCCTCAGGATTCCCCATGGCTGCCCCTCAGGATCCCCCAGTTCACACAGCTGACATTGCGTCCCTTATCTTCCCTCCTGACGTGCTGCTCCCTGCCCTTCCCCAGCACAGCAGGTGATACCGTGGTTCACCCAGCTGTCTACACCGGAAACTAAGCATTATCCTTGACTCATAAGTCCCAGCTGCCCCATGTGGCCCTCACCACATGGCCCTACCTGGCTCTCACGCCTCATCTCCCAGCATTCTCTTTCTCAGCATTCCTACCCTCCCCAACCATTCTACATTCTGTTTTCCATCAATCCTGATCATCTTTTGGTTCTTCAAGTACATGCTGTTTTTCAGCTCCAGACCTTTTAGACACTATTCCCTCTTCCTGGGACACTGTTTCTTATCACTCCACTTAACCCTATTCCCCTGGCCAATTCTCTGCTCATTTTTTGGATCTCAGCTTCCACTTATCTACTTCTAGGGAGGCCTTCCTGACTACATCTTTACCTCTACTGCGTGCTCCTGTGGCACCCTAAACCTATCCCAGCACACCTCTTGGCAGTGGCTCTCAACCAGGGACAATTTTCACCCCAGGAGACATTTAACAATATCTAGAGACAGTTTTCATTGTTATAACTGGGAGGAGGGTTCCTACTGGTATCTAATGTGTAGAGGCTGTGGATGCTACTAAACACACTACAATACACAGGACAGACCCTCCACAGCAAAGAATCATCTAGCCCAAAATGTCCATTGTGCCGAGGTTGAGAAACCCTGCTATATGGGAATTGCCTGGTTACTTACCTGTGTCTCCCACTGGAATGAAGATATGTTATCTTGTTCAGTGATGGGTTCTCAATACCTTTCACAATGCCTGGTACACAGCAGACACTCAGCGGACTTTGAATAAATGAATGATCTGACCTCTAAAAGCACCAAACAGATGTTTAGATGAATGAATAATCAGATGGATAAATGGGCTGTCCTCTGGGAGTAGAATGGACACAGAGAAAAGCACATCCACTGTTTTCTAGGCCCTGGGTGCCAGAAGGAAGTCACATGGTACCTTTATCTAGATGGAATTAAACAGAGTGACAATGGCCATGGTGGCAAGTTGTGGAGGGTGTAGGAGATGGAGAACAGGATTTAGGGAGGAAAGGGCCCAGAACGAAGGATAAACACTGTGGCCTGGGCCCGTGGAGAGATCGCTGGGGCTGCAGCCTGTGTGGAGAGACCGCTTCTCCTTCCTATGCTGAACCACACATTCCTTGTGCCCCCAGGGAGTGATGGAGAGCTTCCTGGGCACTGCCATGGCTGGCTCCTTGTTCTGCCTCTTCTCGGGACAGCCTCTCATCATTCTCAGCAGCACGGGGCCCATCCTCATCTTTGAGAAGCTCCTCTTCGACTTCAGCAAGTAGGTGTCCCTTGGTGGCCCCCAGTGCCTGCTCTCGCATTTGGGGCAGTATGCTGGGGCTAGGGCAGGGGAATAGGTCCCAAGGGTAGGTGGTGGTGCGGTGGTGCCAAAGCCATCTTTAACTATGGGAAGGGCTACCAGGTGGCCCCTCCTGACTCCTGCCAGCTACCTGCCTTTAAGACATCTTAGTGCATATTGGCACAGCCCATAGGGACCAGCCACGACAAGAGGAGAAAATTCACACCACTCAGTTTGTGAGCAATGGTGACTTGATAGGCAGTATAGTGTATGAAGTCTTGGGCTGAAGGTCAGAAGGTTACACCCAGACCCAGGCAGCTCCCATCACTACTCCAGGCTCAGTTGCCTCCTCTACAACATGAGGGTTTGGACCAGACCATTTCCAAGGGCTGCTCCAACCCTGTTCTTCCAAAATTCCCTGTTTTTCACTCACTCTGGTGTCTGTTACCAACTGTGAGCACTGAGATGTCTTGGCACCTTCCTGCCTCCTCCATAAGATCTTTAAAAAAAATTTTTTTTTGGCCGGGCGTGGTGGCTCACACCTGCAATCCCAGCACTTTGGGAGGCTGGGGCGGGCGGATCACCTGAGGTCAGGAATTTGAGACCAGCCTGGCCAACATGGTAAAACCCCGTCTCTACTAAAAATACAAAAATCAGCCAGGCGTGGCGGCGGGTGCCTGTAATCCCAGCTACTTAGGAGGCTGAGGCAGGAGAATCACTTGAACCAGGGAGGCAGAGGTTGCAGTGAGCCAAGATCACGCCATTGCAGTCCAGACTGGGTGACAGAGAGAGACTCTTTCTCAAAAAAAAAAAAAAGTTCTTATAAAGATGAACACTGGACCCCCATGAAATCTCAAAGATCAGACAACTCTGCCCAAGAATTGTCCCTGTCCCCAGTCTTTCACAGTCCCTGGGAGGGCATCAGTGCCACAGGAGGACAGATAAGCCACTTAAGGATGAGTCTGAGGAGTCAAGCACAGCCAGGAGCCCTGGGCTGGAGGCCCCTCACCTCCCCTCTGCCTTCCAGAGGCAATGGCCTGGACTACATGGAGTTCCGCCTCTGGATTGGCCTACACTCAGCTGTCCAGTGCCTTATCCTAGTGGCCACAGATGCCAGCTTTATCATCAAATATATCACCCGCTTCACCGAGGAGGGCTTCTCCACCCTTATCAGCTTCATCTTCATCTACGATGCCATCAAGAAGATGATCGGTGCCTTCAAGTACTACCCTATCAATATGGACTTCAAGCCAAACTTCATCACTACCTACAAGTGCGAGTGTGTCGCCCCTGACACAGGTGACCGGTAACCCCAGACATGCCGTGGGCCCTCACCTACCCCACCGGCCCCCTGATCCTTCACCACAGCTCTCTACTTCTACTGCTGGGGAGGGGCCATTCAGCCAAGGGCTTACAGTTCCAAGAGAGCAAATACAGGGTCTTGAACCCAGTGTTTGGAAGGAAACCAAGGGGACAGTAGCTCTAATAAGAGTCACAGGGTTGTCATCAGGAGGGCACAGGGATATCCTAGGAAGGAGTAAGGCATGCTTTGCCTCAGTGTGGGGTAATGTGGAGGCCACACCTATCAGGAGTGCCACTCAGGGGTTCCTGCTGCAGGCCAGAGATAGAACTGATGGTGCCTGAAGTCCCGCCCAGCTCCATCAAGTCATGATACGATGAGCTCTCCCCAAGACAGAGCTGCCCGTGTGGCCACATACCGTGTAAGGTGAGACCACACCTGAGGGATGGACATCCACACAGATGGAAACATGTCCAGAGTGGAGGCTCTGTCATCCATGCCATCTGAGAACAGTTGGAGAACCGGGGCTTATTCAGCCTCTTATGAATATGAGAGTTATGAGAGAAGGACTGTCATGTCACAAAGGAGCTGTGTTCACCCTCTGAAACCACAGGATGTAGAGCTGAATGAGGAACAGGGAGCAGAAGCTCCAGGAAGCCAGATGCTGGCTGAATTTAGGAAAGAACCTACAATGGTGGGCGTTAACCACCATGGGAGTTCTCGGCCCCCTTGGTTGGTAGCAAGTTACTTGGACACTCTCTGGATGTCCATCTGCCAAGGATATTGTAAAAAGGATCCCTGTACAGATGGGGTCAACCTGGTAACACCCAGTGCCACTCCTGTGGAGTTACTTTCTGGCCAAAACACCTGTCATCTGTAAATTAGGGCTTCCCATAGCATCTGAGCCTCCTCCATAGTCATGATCATGCCCCTAAGAGCTTTCAGTGGGATGTGCCCAGAGTGCCCAGGGTGCTGCAGAGCAGGAGCAGGAGGTCTATGCACACATCTCCAAGCACCAAGGCTGGACTCACAGAGAGCAAACTGAGGTCCAGAGACCACCCAAGGTCATGCCAAGCCTCAGTTTCCCTGGCTGTAAAAGAGGGGTCTCAATGCGGGCCCTGGTGGTCTCCTGGGACTCCTGTGGGGTTTCCAAATCTATACCCCGATTGAGTTGAAGGAAATAAGTGGATAGTGGGTTCAGCCCCTTAATACATTACTACGGGTAAAAAAAATCATAAGTCAATCGAAAATATTTGCTGCACAATTATTGTATGCCCTACTTTAGGCCTTGTGGAAGATAAAGATGTCCTGCCTTCAGAGAGTTCAGTTTTGATTATAACCCCTTCTCTCTGTGACTGCACTGATTTTGTAAAGAAGTCCAGACTTTTTTCTTTCTTTTTTTCTGTCATTAATTTTGAGTTATTCCACTAAAATCTAATGACAGGTGATGCTACCCTTTGTTCTGAGCCAAGGCATGTTGCTTGCCCAGAGGGGATCCTACCTGCAGGCAGGCCCTTTTCATTCTGCCCTGGAGCAAATCCTGCCTCTGTGGGGAAGCCCCATCAGGGCCCTCCTACGTGCTTGTATCTTATAGACTGTAGATTCAGTGTTGCATTGACGTAAATTTTACACAAACATAGCTTCTAGAAGCACACATCCTTGATCTCTTTTAGAAAAAATCCAAATTCTGTTTATTTTTATTTTATTTATTTTTTTGAGACAGAGTCTGACTCTGTCGCCCAGGCTGGAGTGCAATGGCGCGATCTCGGCTCACTGCAACCTCTGCCTCCTGGGTTCAAGCGATTCTCCTGCCTCAGCCTCCCAAGTAGCTGGGATTACAAGTGTGCACCACCACACCCAGCTAATTTTTGTATTTTTAGTACAGACAGGGTTTCACCATTTTGGCCAGGATGGTTTCGATCTCTTGACCTCGTGATCTGCCTGCCCTGGCCTCCCAAAGTGCTGGGAACTCAGGGGTGAGCCACCGTGCCTGGCCACTTTGGCCATTCTGAGAATCATCTATACACAGGAAAAAACAAACCCGGGGTGCTCTAGGAACAAGGGCCATAGGATCATATAAGGTGCATTATGAGGGACATAATGAAGCCACCTGTTCCCAAATAGCTTCCCCTCTGGCTTTGCCCAGGTGCCTGATGTCACCTCATTCTTTGGGGTCATGCTATTGTCATGGTTCTCAAAATGTCGTCCCTGGACCAGCAGCATCAGGGAACTTGTTAGAAATACAAATTCGTAGCCTCCTACCCCAGACCTGCTGAATCGGAAACTCTGGCTGGGCACAGTGGTGCACACCTGTAGTCCCAGCTAGTCAGAAGGCTGAGACAGGAATTTCACTTGAGCCCAGGAGTTTGAGACCAGCCTGGACAACATAGCCAGACCCTGTCTCTATTTCTAAGAAAGAAAGAAAAGGAGAGCGAGAGCAAGGAGGAGGAGGAGGAGGAAGAAGAAGAAGAAGAGAGAAGAGAAGAGGAGGAAAGAGAGAAAAAAGAAAGAGAAAGAAAGGGGAAAGAAAAGAAGGAAGGGAGAGAGAAAGGAGAAGAAAGAAAGAGAAAGAAAAGGAAGGAAAGAAAAGAAAGGAAAGGAAAGAAAGGGAAGGAGGGAGGGAAGGAAGGGGGGAGGGAGTGAGGGAAGGAAGGAAGGAACGAACAAACAAGCGAAAGAACTCTGGAGTAGGGTCCAAGCAGATGTATATTGAATCTTCCAATTGATTCTGATGCACTCTTAAGTTTGAGAACCATTGCTCTATTGAACTGTTAGTAATAATGGGCCGTTATTGACCACTAAACCCCAGTAAGATTAAAATTTCAGTTTCTTCACAGAAAGTAAAGGAACTAGAACTAGAACAAGTTAGTTTTGATTAAGATAACATGGAAAGGAAAATTCTACACATTTAGGAGACTGGGATGAGGGGGGAGAACTGTGGAGGGTTTCTTTCCCGGTCCATGGGCCACCTACTTAGTAATGGGCCCATATTCCTAGTTTTACTGCGAAGCCCAGTCTTACTATAGTATACTCTCACTCTTTGTCACTCTTCATCATAAAAGCTTGTTTGGGGGCACTCTCTTTCAATTTGCTTTTGCTTCCATTGTAACTGATTTGTATTCTATTTATGAATGCTGCACACACTGATTTGGCTGCTTTCAATCCCAAGTGAGTACCACTTTGTAAACACTGGAATTTTAAAATGTTTGATACTTGGACCCTTTCTGAAATTTTCCATGTTATATTTCTTTCATATTCATCTCAAGTGGCTTTCAGATAAACCCTACAGAGTTCTCGATATAAAAGAATTGATAAGCATAAGCAGAAGACATCAAAGGTGGTCTGAAGACATTGGGTAGTGAAAAAGACATCTGAACTCCCCAGGCTCAAGCGTCAGCCAGGAGTTCTCTAGCATTTGAATGAGAAGCCCTGAGCCAGCCTTCCTGCCCGGCTTCTCTGTCTCCATCATTAATTGCACATCATGTTCTTTTGGTCACTGATGTGAGGAAAGGCAATAGAACCCCAATTTCTAATAAATGAAGCCTTCCTCAGAACAATCCTAACAAACCTCTGGGTTGGTAGAGCTTCTAGGAATATTCTGCCCTGGGTCAAGATGGAATTCCTTAGCCACCCAGCGTCAGCAGGCCTGGGAGTGAGCAACGTAGCAGTTCAGGAAGAAGAGAGAGGGCAGCAGGCCTCCAAAGCCTGACTTCCTATGGGTGGCCACATCCCAGGGGAGCCTGGCCCTGTGAATGAGGAGCAAAGGAAGGACAGACTGCAGAACGGGGGAGCAGAAGGGTCCACATGGAAAGGAGAGACGGGCAACAGTGGTTCCTTGAAACTCTCCCTGTAGACCGTCATGTGATCCACATGCAGTTAGGGACACTGAGGCCAGGGTAGGGAAGTACCCAGCAAGGAATGCAGAGAGAGCCGCTGAGAGCAGCACCTTTGGGTTCCCGATTCTGCTTCAGGACCTGGACTTTGGTTTAACTTTCCTCAACTTGCATTTGGCAGATTAGAAAAGATACCAAAGCAACAAGTTATTTCAGGCCTAGCTGACCTTTAATAAAAAGCACATATGGGCTGGGTGCAGTGACTCATGCCTGTAATCCCAGCACTTTGGGAGGCTGAGATAGGCAGATCACTTGAGGTCAGGAGTTCAAGACCAGCCTGGCCAACATGGTGAAACCTTATCTCTACTAAAAATACAAAAAATTAACCAGGCATGGTGGCACACATCTGTAGTCCCAGCTACTCGGGAGGGTGAGACACGAGAATCACTTGAACCTGGGAGGTAGAGATTGCAGTGAGCTAAGATCACGCCACTGCACTCCAGCCTGGGCAAAAAAAGAGGCTGGAAGGGAAGGGACGTATCTGTGGAGGTGAACAGGGCAGGGAAGTTCATGGTGTAGAGCTGGGAAGTTTATAGGCTCTGGGCCAGCCTTTCTGGGATGGGATCATGGCTCCGAGTATGAACTGTGTGACCTTGGATGAATTACATAACCTCTCTGGGCCTCAGTTACCTCATCTGTAAAGTGGGCATACTTGGTGAAGATCTGGGAATTAAACAAATGAATATATGTAAAGGCTTGGCATAGGGCATGGCATAGAGTAAGTTCTTTGAACATTTTTAAGTCTAAAAGCCCAGTGGCCGGTGAAGATTCACAAGGCACGTTATCCTCCAGTTTGTCTTAGCACTTTGTCTTGGCTCCAGATTCCTTATTTCAGTTTTTAAAACCAGCTGTTCGTGGTCAGGCAGGTGCTGTCCTGGCCCAGCTGGTCTGTCAGAGCTGTGGCCCAGGCTCTGTCCCACCAGCCCTTCCCTAACTGGGGCAAAGTGAGGAAGGTGGAGAGGGAGCTGCCCTCACAATGGAAGCCAGGCCTTGGCTCTAAGGAACTGGAAGGAGATGGGAAGGGGTTGGGAATGCAGCTCCCAGCCCCACAGCTGCTGACCCTGCCCCGTGTCATGTGCTCATCCACAGTGAATACAACCGTGTTCAATGCTTCAGCCCCATTGGCACCAGACACCAACGCTTCTCTGGTAAGTCCTTTCCTCTTATGTTAGACATTTGAGTGCTTTTGTTTGTAGGAGGAGGGAGAAAAGATTTTGGAAATGAGACCAACTTATGGCCTCCCAGACTTGCAGAGGTCAACTCCAGCTGCACGTCAGGGTCACCTGCAGAGCTTTGTAAATGAACACTTTTTTCTTAGGTATATACTGTAAACATCCCACTTAAAAACATGCCTCATTCTGTTAAATCCATGTTTTTTTGTGCGTTTTTTTTTTTTTTTTGAGACAGGGTCTCACTGTGTTGCCCAGGCTGGAGAGCAGTGGCGTGATCTTGGCTCACCGCAACCTCCATCTCCCAGGTTCAAGCAATTCTCCTGCCACAGCCTCCTGAGTAGCTGGGATTACAGGCACGCACCATCACGCCCAGCTAATTTTTTGTATTTTTAGTAGAGACGGGGTTTCACCATGTTGGCCAAGCTGGTTTTGAACTCCTGACTTCAAGTGATCTGCCGGCCTCGGCCTCCCAAAGTGCTGGGATTACAGGCGTGAGCCACCGCGCCTGGCCCCCTCATGTGTATTAATAATATGATACGAGCTGGGTGTAGTGGTACACACCTGTAATCCCAGCTACTCAAGAGGCTGAGGCACAAGAATTGTTTGAACCCAGGAGGCAGAGGTTGTGGTGAGCCAAGATCGCACCACTGCACTCCAGCCTCGGTGACAGAGCGAGACCCTGTCTCAATAATAATAATAATAATAATAATAATAATAATATGACACGCACACAAAGGAAGGGGAAGTAGAGATGAGGGATGGTAAATAGAGCCTCACAAAGCTGTAAGCAAAGCCTGCCATTCATTTTTCTGCCTTCTTCCTTCTCTTTCTGCCTAGGACCCCCAATTTCTAGCAGTGCCACTCTCCAGCCCCAGAGAGTTTATTAGTGTTTCTTCCTCAATGAATCTAATGTGTCCTTTGCACACCTTAGTCTCTGGGGCCTAAGGTATGGTCTGCCTTTCCCAGTAATGACAGTGGTCTTCAGGAGCCAGCATCCCAGCCTAAGTGGCTTAATGATAGAAGTTCAATTCCAGATGAAGGTAGCACCTGGTAGGACTTGGGGGACATTTGTGAGCTTTTACTGTCTCCAAGGTTGCTTCTTAAGTTATTCCTGCCTAGGCAATTGACTGCTCTGCCTACACACATCCTAGTTGGCAATTTAACTTAATATTTTTCAAAGATTAGGGTTTTTTTTTTTTTGAGATGGGGTCTTGCTCTGTTACCCAGGCTGGAATGTAGTGGTGTGATCGTATCATCACTGCAGCCTCAAATTCCTGAGCTCAAGTGATCTTCCTGCCTCAGCCTCTCGAGTAGCTGGGACTACAGGCATCAGCCACTGTGCCTGGCTAATTTTTAAGTTTTTTGTAGAGACAAGGTCTCACTATGTTGCCCAGGCTGGCCAAGTATCAAATTTTGAGAGAGAAAGAACAGAATCAGTCAGTGCCTATTTCTGAATCCCTATTATATGCAAGGGGCCATGTGCACTGAAGGCTAAAAAAGACATCTAAGAAACCAACACAGAACCTGTCCTCAAATTTGTTTTTAATATATTTGTAGAGAAGAACCTGAAAAGTTATGGGACAGCATAAGCAGAATGTACCATGCATTAAATATAGGCCAAATGTGTACATCAATCTTGAAGGCAGGAAAGGAGGCTGCTGGAGAGGCCAAGAAAAGCCTCAAAGAGGAAGTAGAATGCGATCTGGTCTTCAAGGTTGGGAAAAAGTTGGCTCAGCAGAGAAAAGCACATTCCAGACTGAAGGAACAGCATAGACAGAAGGGCAAGAGAGGAAAAGCACAAAACCTGTGCAGAGGCTAGTGGGTGGGCTAGGCCAGCTAAGATGGGGTGAGGGTGGGGCTTGGAACACTGTCTCACAGTACACATCAGAGTGTGTCTCACAGTACACATTTATATATATATATATATAAATTTATATATGTATATATAAATAAATTTATATATAAAAATTCACTGTTGTGTATGCCTTGGATTTTAGGCATCTGAGACACCAAGGTGGGGAATGGCTGAAATGACCCAAGAGGGGACTGACAAGGGAGGTGATCCCCCATATATGAAAGGGTGTGACAGAGGGGATGGAGGGGAGAGAATAAAGATGAGACACTCCAGGAAGGAGGCGTCCACAGGACCTGTGGTTGGTTGATGGGAGCCAGGCATCCTGCCTCTGCACTTTTCCTACTTGCTAGCACAGCAGTGCATCCTAGAACACAATGAAGAAACACATGTGAGCTCCTAATCTTCCTAGGGAGCTTGTCATTCCTTGAACCAGCCCGTCCCCAGGAACATCACTCTGGGGGGCTGGGGTCCCTCAGAGGGTGGGAAGGTATGCTGGCTGCCTGGGGACTGCAGTGGGAAGGACACAGCTGACTCATCAGGAAGATGCTGACCCATTCTCTCCTGTGCTTGGTCTCCAAGTACAACCTCCTTAACCTCACAGCGTTGGACTGGTCCCTGCTGAGCAAGAAGGAGTGTCTGAGCTACGGCGGGCGCCTGCTTGGGAATTCCTGCAAGTTTATCCCAGACCTGGCGCTCATGTCCTTCATCCTTTTCTTTGGGACATACTCCATGACCCTGACCCTGAAGAAGTTCAAATTCAGCCGCTATTTTCCTACCAAGGTAAGCTCACCCTGCAGTTAGGAGGGGACCTGCAGTCAGACAGCTGCTGAGTCCCCCAGAGAGGGTTCTGGTCCACCGACAGGATGGACTCCATGCGAGCACTGGCCCACTGGGGTTTTTCAAGTTAAGTCAGAGAGAACTGTGTTCCCTTGTTGGCTGGTCCCCTTGACAACACTTGGTATTGTCAGGCTTTTATCTTTAGTCTTTGTCTATAGTAGTATCTCATTGTGTTTTTTAAATTTTTCATTTCCCTGATGACTAATGAAGTTGAAAATACAGCTATTCCTGTGTTTATTGGCCACATGCCCAATTGCCTTTCTTTTTGGAAGTGTCTGTTGAAATCTCTTGCACATTTTGGGTTGTCTGCCTTTCTGATTTGCAAGAGTTTGTTATATATTCTGGGTAGAAATGTTTTTGTGATTATATGTGTTGCAAAATCTTCTCCCACTCTGTGACTGTTTTTTTCTTTTTACATCCTTAATGGCATCTTTTGATTAACAGAAATTCTTAGTTTTATTGTAATTGAATATATCAAACTTTCCTCAAGGCAAATATTGGACAGCAGATATTCTTGTATGTTACCTTCTAAAAGCTTCATTGTTTTTCCTTTCATGTTAGATCTACAATCCATCAGAATTGATTCTGATGTGTACTGTGAGACAGTGTTTCTTTGTGATTTTATATAGTCAATTGTTCCAGTATTTTTTAAAGACTATTCTTTCTCCATTGCTTTGCAATACTTCCTTTGCCATATATCAAATATTCCTATATGACAGGGTCTGTTTCTGGGTTCTTTATTCTGTTTCACTAGTTTATTTATATATCAGTATCACAGTCTTCATTTCTGTAGCTTATAAGTCTTTATATCTTTGTCTCCCAAGCTCTCCCCTTTTGTCCTTTTTATATAATATTTTCTTGGCCCTTTGCATTTCCACATGAATTTTAGAATCATCTTAAATTTCACCAAAATGAAAACTTGTTGGAATTTTGATGGGATTATCTTTGCCTCTGTTTGGGAAGAATTAACGTCTTTCAAATTTTGAGTTTTTCTGATTTATGAATACAGTATACTTCATTTATTTTGGTCTTCTTTCTCTCCATAATGTTTTATACATTTTGATCTTTAAGTCTTGAACATTTTTTGTTAGAGTTATTCCTAGGTACTTGATTTTTTTATACCGTCGTAAATGCTAACTGCTATGTTATTATTATTTTATTATTATTATTATTTTTGAGACAGAGTCTCACTCTGTCACCCAGGTGGGAGTGAAATGGCATGATCTCGGCTCACTGCAACCTCCGCCTCCCGGGTTCAAGTGATTCTCCTGCCTCAGCCTCCCAAATAGCTGGGACTACAGGCGCCTGCCACCACACCCGGCTAATTTTTGTAATTTTAGTTGAGACGGGGTTTCACCATGCTGGCCAGGCTGGTCTTGAACTCCTTACCTCAGGTGATCCCCCCACCTCAGCCTCCCAAAGTGCTGGGATTACAGGTGTGAGCCACCGCACCCAGCCCTAACTGCTGTTTTAAATTTTATTTTCTACCTGTTTGTGGCTGGAATAAAAGATTTATGAAAACAGCACTTGCATACATAAGCAGTAACTGTGCCGTGGGGTGGGGGGTACTCGGAAGAATTTAAGCAACTCTTTCCCACCGTAAACTCCATTAGCAGTCTCCTAAAGCCATCTTAACTAAGTATTACAGCTGCTACTGCTACTAATCATAATGATAAAATCTTTGAAATAAATAGTTGAATTTTTCCCAGATTTTCTAAAGACTAAATAAAAGGTGCTTTAGGAAGCTTCACAGTATATAAACTGAGTAAAAAAATAGTTTGCTTACAACACAAATGCACCATCAAGACAAGTTCTCTTCCTTCCTGCCCACTTCCAGTCCAGAGCACATCCCTCAATCTCCTCTTATGTAAAAATTCTCAAGCAGTCACTGTATCTGAGAGTATCTATCTGTTGCCTACAGGATGAAAAGTAATTCATGTGGCATGAAATTCTTGTGCCAACAACATTTTTTCCGTCACATTACTTAAAAATTGCTCAGTTGGGCCAGGCACAGTGGCTCACGCCTGTAATCCCAGCACTTTGGGAGGCCCAGGCAGGCGGATCACGAAGGCAGGAGATCGAGACCATCCTGGCTAACATGGTGAATCCCCGTCTCTACTAAAAATACAAAAAATTGGCCGGGCGTTGTGGTGGGCGCCTGTAGTCCCAGCTACTTGGGAGGCTGAGGCAGGAGAATGGCATGAACCCGGGAGGCAGAGCTTGCCGTGAGCAAAGATTGCGCCACTGCACTCCAGCCTGGGCGACAGAGAGAGACTCTGTCTCAAAAAAAAAAAAAAAAATTGCTCAGTTGCCTTCTGGAATTTCCGGTTGCAGAGAGGAATGAGGCCACACCATTTTATACTCATCAGATTGGTAGACAGATGAAGGTCTTGGGACACCAGATGTTGGAGATGGAAAGCAGTAGGTGGGAATGTAGACAGATACATCCAATTTGGAGAGCAACTGACACTCTCTGATTAGGTTGGACCATATGAAGTTGCCCATATTTGACTGTTTCAACCTACAAAAAAAGTCAAGTTCATGTGGTTTAACTTAATAAGCATTCATATGGTTTTGATGTATATGCTAGGAATATTATAGAAAAGGAAGTATAAACCCAGCACACTACTTGGTTCTGCTGTGACTAATATTTATATGATCATGATAATATAAAGCTGTTACTAATTTTCAACTTTTGGAATTGACTTACAGATAAAACACACAAGCCATGTGTTTACGGAACAAGAAATGATTGTTCTCAGCTTCGACAATGGAAAGGTCAAAGTGGAGGTGTGACAGGAAGGAAGAGGGGAGGAGGAGAGAGGTGGTAGGAGGATAGAGGCAGTGGTCCTCACCTTGCAAGATGGAGAATGAGAGATATTAGCCAAAGCTAATGGAAGGAGATGTTTAATTATTATCACTTGAAAGTACAAAGGAAACCCATAGGAGCTTAAAATTAACTATCAAAGATTAGGAATAAGGAAAGGACAGGAGGCACAGTGTAAGTAAAGGTAAATTCTTATCAATAGATAATCCCTTAAATTAGTAAATGAAAATATTAAAGTATATGCATATTAGTTAATGACATGGAGGGAACCTCTGGAACAAGTAAAATCAAGCAGACATAGTGGATAGATCTGGAAGGCGGGGCTGGATTGAGAAAAGGGGAGGTGGGAGACTTTGCTTTTCCTCATAAGTATTTTCCACTATGTGGGTTTTTAACCAATTACATATGTTATGTTAATAACAAATTTAAAGAGAAAAGGGGGATGCAGGGAATGAAGTCAATGTACTGTCACCTGCCCCTGCCCTTCAAATTGCCTTCTTTGAAAAGATATTAAAAAGGCCACAGGGTAGACGTTGGGGGACCATCTGTCCTGAGACTTCTGGACATAGAGTTGGTTTGGAGGGGAGGTCGGAGGACATTGATTCAGAATGGGCAGGAAGGTCAGGTTCAGAACTTGGTCTAGGAAGGGCCTCCAGGTTCAGAACCTGGCCTAGGAAGGGCCTCTTGAGAAACAGCGGAACAAGAGACTCTTGGTGGACAAAAGGTCTGAGTGTAGCCAATGATCCCCAGTGGAATTGGGGAGCCTCCCTCCTAGCCCAGGTGGGGTACAACAACCTGTCACAGGCTTGTAGGAACTAAGGTTTGCTTCAGAGTCCAGCCCTTGCCCTCATCATACCTGCTGGGTGCCCCAGTTCAGACTGTCATACCAGAACACATCTTCAGCAGTGGCTGCCATGGCCATATGGATCATAACAGATCCCACATTGACCACCATATGCCAAGCACTCTAAATGTGTCACAGTTCACTTACACCTTTGAGGGAGATACTACCATCATCTCCATTTTACAGAGAAGGAAATTGAGTCTTGGAGAGATGACACGCTTCCCCAAGCTCACACAGTTAGCAAGGAGCAGAGCCTGGATTTGAGCCTAGTTCTGCTGCCTTCAGAGCCCAGACTGTAATAGTTCACCTCTTTGCTGCCGGAGGACTGGGGCTGCCTGGAGCTGGGTGGGTGCTTTACTCACTTCTTTTACTTGCTCATCTCCTGTCTGCAGGTCCGGGCCCTGGTGGCTGACTTTTCCATTGTTTTCTCCATCCTGATGTTCTGTGGAATCGATGCCTGTTTTGGCCTAGAAACTCCCAAGCTGCATGTGCCCAGTGTCATCAAGGTTTGCCCCTTTCCCTCGCTCTGGGCATCCAGTCTGCCTGCCTACCAGCTGCAGATTCTTTCCCCTCTGTGCTGATCAAACTCTCTTCTCCTCTTGGCCAAGAGACCATTTTAGTTCTCTGTGTGCCACCTTTCCTGAACACAGGCTCCCAGGAGCCAGTCCTTTGAGGTAGGGCGGGGAGGGGTAACATATTCACCAGGAAATCCTGATCTATAGTCACGAGGTGAGGAAGGCACTGGAATTCACCCTCCAACCCAGCAGAAGCCTCTTGATTCCTATTTGAGTGTCTCCAGTTCCCTGACCTCTAGCAATCTATAAGCTGGGCCAAATGGGATCCATTGAAACTGATCCCTTAGAACAGTGATTCTCAAAGTGTGGTCCTCAGACCAATATCATGGCATCACAGTCACAGGGAACTCGTTGGAAATGCAATTTCTCGGCCCCACCTGTGGAATCAGAAAAGCTGGGGGGTGGGACCAGCAATCTGCATTTTAACAAGCCCTTCAGGTGACTTGGAGTATGCTCAAGTTTGAGAACCACTGCTTAGAAATTACCCACTAGTTAGAACTGGTGACATATGCTTGTAGCTAAACCCAGCCCTACTCCCTCATAAGAGCACCAACCGGCCAGGTGCGGTGGCTCACGCCTATAATCCCAGAACTTTGGGAGGCCGAGGTGGGCGGATCATGAGGTGAGGAGATTGAGACCATCTTGGGTAACGGTGAAACCCCATCTCTACTACAGATACTAAAAAATTAGCCGGGCGTGGTGGCGGGCGCTTGTAGTCCCAGCTACTCGGGAGGCTGAGGCAGGAGAATGGCGTGAATCCGGGAGGCAGAGCTTGCAGTGAGCGGAGATCACGCCACTGCACTGCAGCCTGGGTAACATAACAAGACTCTGTCTCAAAAACAAAAAAAAAAAGAAAGAAAGAAAGAAAAAAAAAAGAGCACCAACGATCTCACCAGAGTAGGGAGTCCAGATTCTAGAACTTACCCTCCCTGTCTTTAAGGTTTTTTTTGTTGTTGTTTGTTTGTTTGTTTTTTGAGACAAAGTCTTTTTATATATTCTCCTCATTCTGAACATGCAGGACTGAACTGATGTTCAGCATTTTACAGACAATTCTATAATGCTCCCAGACAGGTGACTCAGGAGAGGCAGAAGCAGCTGGCCCTGGGCCCACCCATTTCTTTATTCTTTTCTGCTGGGCCTCATTCCTGCTGTTTGTTATTTGCAGCAGGTGACTGTGCTCTCTCTCCTGGCTGCCCTCTGACCTTCACCTCCATGTTTCCTGACAAACCCCAGGGCTGTTGCAGCAAATTACCTTCTTAGTTTTACAGACACTGTCTGCATGCATGCTCCTTCCCATGTCTGAATTTAGTCTAAAGTTGCAGCTACCTAAGGTGTTTAAGGGAAAAGATTGCACTTGAAAAGTACCCAAAGTCAGGGAAAGTTGAGGAGGTGGGACAGCAGGCCAGGCGACAAGTGCCCTGGGACAAGGGAGAGAGGAAAGGGCCCCTCTCTGTTTGCTCCCACTCAGCCAACGCGGCCTGACCGAGGCTGGTTCGTGGCCCCCTTTGGGAAGAACCCGTGGTGGGTATACCCAGCAAGCATCCTGCCCGCCCTGCTGGTGACCATCCTGATCTTCATGGACCAGCAGATCACTGCCGTCATTGTCAACCGGAAGGAGAACAAACTGAAGGTAAGGCCGGTACTAGGAGCAGAGGCATAACCTCTTTCTTCCCACAAAGTCAGAAAGAGCGAAGGAAGGACATGATGCTTCTTTCAGTACTTTGGGCCAGGAAAATATGAGGACAGAGACTAGAGTTCCCACTTGGTGTGTTGAGGGGGAAATGTGACCTCCAGATGTGGGTAAGGCCACCAGGGCTGGAGTGACTTTCTGAGGACCAGGACCAAACTAGGCTGGGCCACTGGGCACAGGCTCTCTGTCTTTCCCAAAGTGACCTCGAGTTCTTATGAGAATCAGCAGATCCTGACAGGGGCTCAGCCTAGAACACTGAGGCAGAGGAACTTCCTTAGCCTTCCTGGTCTCTGCAACTCCCCACCCAGCCTGTGAGCCTGAGAAGACTCGGGTCACCCCCTCCCCCATCCAGGTCTGGACCACTTTAGGTGTGGCCTGTCCCAGCTGGGGCCCCTCAGGAACCGCAAAGACCCTGTGGCCACCTTCTGGGCCCTTCTCCCCAGAGACCCAAACCCAGGGCCTCTCCAAGCTTGAACATCCCTCTCTTCTATGACCCATACCCCTTAGGCAGTTCACCCTTTCAGATGGGGTGGCAGGACACACCCACCTCTGCAATCCTTGCAAGGAGCACCTCAGGCCCCTTCAGTATCTTCTGGAAGGCAGGGGGTCCTTGAACCATGTTCCACAGAATGGTTGCATCCAGGAGGAACTGGCTCCCCAGAAACTTCTCCCTCCCCCAACCCCGCTCCTGCAGAAGGCTGCCGGCTACCATCTGGACCTGTTCTGGGTGGGCATCCTCATGGCTTTGTGCTCCTTTATGGGGCTCCCCTGGTACGTGGCTGCCACGGTCATCTCCATCGCCCACATCGACAGCCTCAAGATGGAGACAGAGACCAGTGCCCCTGGGGAGCAGCCCCAGTTTCTGGGAGTCAGGTAGGAGGGGTCAGGGCCTAGGGATCACCCAATGGGGAGGGGCCCACTCGGGGAGGAGAAGCTGGCTTTGCCTGCCACAAAAGGATTTGGACAAAAAGGGCCCCCGCTCTGACGGCCCAAGAACCACAGGGACAGGAGTGCTATCCCTGGAGGGAGGGAAGGAGAGAGACAGAAGTCCAGCTCTAAGTGGGGCTTTTTACCTACTGGGCTCCAAGCAGTATGCATACCCCATCCATAAATATGCACACGTGCCAGACACTCATCTTCATCAGCCACCCAAGGTCCCCACAAGGCTTCGTGCTGTCCTGCCCTTTTCCTCTTCCTCAAGACCCTCCAGGCCCCTACTGCCCTGATGGCCCTCCTGCGGGTTCAGGTCCTGCTCAGTCTCTATTCCTCCAGAAGGCTGTCCTGGGATCACCCCCGCTCCCCAGTCTGTGGCCCTGCCTGTTACTCCTGTTCCTTCACTTGCCTCTTCTCTCACGCCCCATGGTAGGCAGAGAAGTACATCTTCAGCCCCTTAGGGCCTCCAGGGCGAGACCACACCAAACCCTGGCTTTCTCCTACGTGGCTGCCCTAAGAACTTCTCCCACTATCTTGAGATACTTGGACCGCCCAGCCTGCCCGAATGAGGCTTCTCTGCCCGACTGCAGGGCTCACCTGCCTCCCACCCCTGACACCTGCTCTGCTGGTGTCCTCTTCCCCAGATCCTCATTCATTGTGCCCCACAAAAACGAAATCTTAAAATCAAAGGGCAGAGTAATAGCATTTTATCTCGCATGTATCCTCACAATAGGTGCCATTATTATCTGCATATACTGAGGCTCAAGATGGGCAGGCTCCTGCCCAATGCCACATAACTAGCAAGTGGCAGAGCCAGGATCCAGTCCACATCAGTCCTGCTCAAGCCCCCCAGCTACAAGCCACTACACTAAGCGGCCTCCCTCAATGCTCCTGCAAGATGCCCTTGCCCCAGTCAGGGGCCGCCTGTCTTCCCACATATGGTTCAGCTGGGCCTCAGGCAACCAGGCAGAGCTTCATGCAGAAGCCCTCAAGGCCATGGCCTTGGACACAAGCTTCAGGTGCCCACAGAGGGGCAGGAGGGCCAGAGTAGTTGCCAGGCATTTCCTGGTACACCCTGACCATGTGTTCTTCTCTGCCAGGGAACAGAGAGTAACCGGCATCATCGTCTTCATCCTGACGGGAATCTCTGTCTTCCTGGCTCCCATCCTAAAGGTGAGGTCCTGCACTGTCACCTAGGGCCTCGTTGCCTGAGAAAGCAGAGCGGATGCCTTAGGCAGGGAGGGGGTCCCCACATGGCTAGGGATCACTGGCCTATCAGCCCCCTAAGAAAGGCACAGTCTTGGCCGGGCATGGTGGCTCACACCTATAATCCCAGCACTTTGGGAGGCCGAGGCAGGCGGATCACCTGAGGTCAGGAGTTCAAGACCAGCCTGACCAACATGGTGAAACCCTGTCTCTACTAAAAATACAAAACTTAACCAGGCATGGTGGCACGTGCCTGTAATCACAGCTACTCGGGAGGCTGAGACAGGAGAATGGCTTGAACCCGGGAGGTGGAGGTTGCAGTGAGCCAAGATCGCACCACTGCACTCCAGCCTGGGCAGCAAGAGCGAAACTCCGTCTCAAAACAAAAAAAAGAAAGAAAAGAAAAAGAAAGGCACAGTCTTACTAGGCCAAAGCAATGTTTCCACACTGTCACCGCCGTTTTCTGTGATACTGCAGTTTTTTATCATCACCAATCCTCTCTCCCACCCATCCCAGGGCCACTCTCACCTTTCTGGAGGATACTCTTCCCTCTGAAAGTTCTGCCAAGTTGTAGCCCTGCTTAGATCAGGAACTTCCTGAATGGGGTGTGTTTCCACATTGCCAGGGTTTGGGGCTCATGAAGTTTAAAACTTGCAGCAGGAGGCCAAACATGGTGGTACATCCCTGTAGTCCGGCTACTCAGGAGGCTGAGGCGGGAGGATCACCTGAGCTCAGGAAGTCTGGGGACTCGAGTGACTTTTTCCCACACAGCTTGAAGCTCCTCTTGCTTATGTCCCACCACAACAGCTAAGAGACTAAGTCAAGTAGGGGTACAATGGAGGCAGGCGTCCCCCACAAGGGTCTCTTTCTGGAGAGACTCCAGAAAGCAAGGTGTTCCCACCAGGCTTCCCTGCTCTCCACTCCAGCCAATCGCCCATCACTCTCCCTTTCCCTTGATCAGTGCCCACGTAAGACTTTCCTTTCTTGAATTAAGTTTACCTGTAATTGCCTCAACCTTTTGCCGATATTATTTTTCCTCTTTGAATATCTCAAAACAGCTCATGACCAGGCATGGTGGCTCATGCCTGTAATCCCAGGACTTTGGGAGGCCGAGGTGGGAGGATCACTTGAGACCAGCCTGGGCAACATAGCAAGACCCCCATCTCTACAAAAAATACAAAAATTAGCCAGGCACGATGGTACATGTGAGGCATGATCACTTGAGTCCAGGAGGTCGAGGCTGCAGTGAGCCATGATCATGCCACTGCACTCCAGCCTGGGCAACAGAGTGAGACCTCTTCTCAAAAAAAAAAAAAAAAAACCTCATTCAGAGGTGACCTTGTAAGAAACAAACGCTAAAGAATGATGATTCTGGCTGATGTATTTACAATGGAAAATATTTCTGGCTTGAGAATTGGTGCTGGGCATACCCGAGCAGTAAGTAGGAGGCTGGCATTTTTTAAGGGATATTTCCCTTGTGGGGGAAACAAATTACACACAGGAGGGCAAGCATTTTGTTTATTGAAAAATATATTTTAAATGGCCAGGGACTACTTACTTTTGTAGAGAGGGTTCTAAGGTGCCATTGTGTATGTCAATTTTGACACTGTTTAACATACAAGTATTTGCATTAAAAAGCTCGAATCAGGCTGGGTGTGGTGGCTCAAGCCTGTAATCCCAGCACTTTGGGAGGCCGAGGCAGGTGGATCACCTAAGGTCAGGAGTTCAAGACCAGCCTGGCCAACATGGTGAAACCCGAAACCCTGTGTCTACTAAAAATACAAAAATAGCCAGGTATGGTGGCACATGCCTGTAGTCCCAGCTACTCAGGAGGCTGAGACGGGAGAATTGGTTGAGCCCGGGAGGTGGAGGCTGCAGTGAGCCGAGATTGCACCACTGCACTCCAGCCTGGGCAAGACAGAGTGAGACTCCGTGCCCCCCCCAAAAAAAAAAAACACCTTCGAATCGGCCAGGCATGGTGGCCCATGTCTGTAATCCTAACACTTTGGGAGGCCGAGGTGGGAGGATCACTTGAGAACAATAGTTTGAGACCAGAATGGCCAACATATCGAGACTCTGTCTCAAGAAAAAAAAAAAAGCTCAAATCTAAGAACAGACTTCTTTAGGGGCAAAAAATTCCTCTAAAGCCCTCCTAGTGTTGGCATAGTGCTCTGTGCTCTCCGGAGTGCTCTAACATGACCACAAGGAGGAACAGCCTCTGCTCACCATGGGGAGCCACAGCTGCAGGTGAAAGAGAGAAGGTAAGGGGCAGAAACAGCTGAGAGAGACAGCGGAAGAATGCTTTGAAAGGCTGTGAAGATTTGGAATCATTCTTGTAGAGTGGGATGAATTCTATGATCCCATTTTTGAAAAAGCAAACAAATTGCCTGTGTGCAAGTTTGGAGGGAAGGATACCCGCCAAACTATTGGTGGTTAGTTGGTGATGAGTGCTGATTAGTTTACACACTTTTGTTCTGCTTCTTTTGTATGTGATTGCGTATGAGGCATGATTTCTGTTTTTTTTTGGTTTTTTTGGGGGGCGGGGGGGTTTGTTTGTTTGCTTTGTTTGGTTTTTTTGAGACAGAGTCTCTTTCGCCCAGGCTGGAGTTCAGTAGCACGATCTCAGCTCACCGCAACCTCCATCTCCCGGATTCAAGCGATTCTTCTGCCTCAGCATCCTGAGTTGCTGGGATTACAGGCATGTGCCACCACGCCTGGCTAATTTTTTTGTATTTTTAGTAGAGACGGGGTTTCACCATGTTGGCCAGGCTGGTCTCAAACTCCTGACCTCAGGTCATCCACCTGCCTTGGCCTCCCAAAGTGCTAGGACTACAGGTGTGAGCCACCACACCCGGCCGGATGCGTGATTTCTGTTAAGTGTCCCGGGTACTCGCTGCTGATGTAGATCAGCTCATTAAAAGTCCCCATGCCCCTGCAGGCTGAGCAGTTTTAGGGGACCCTCAGCTGAGGCTGGAGGTAGGAAGAAGCTGGGCAGGAATGAGGAGGGGGCAGTCTGTGGAGTCTTCTCACTTTCCAGAAGGCATTTCTTTAGCCAGACCACATGGCCTCCGCACGGTGCAGTGAGGGGCCAGGCCAGGAGAGCAGCTGCATGCTGGGCCAGCTACCCCAGCCAGAGAAGGGGCAGTACAGCCCCAGTGACCCTCATCTTCACCCCTGCCCACATCCCAGTTCTGCTGACTCTCTGTTCCCCCAAATATCCAGTTTCCTAGCTGCCTCTGTGGTCAGGAGCCACTGTCATCCAGAACAGGGTGGCCAAGGGCCGCCCCAGGCAGAGGCCGATCCAAAGCTCTGCTCTCATTTTAGTGTATCCCCCTGCCGGTGCTGTACGGAGTCTTCCTCTACATGGGCGTGGCCTCCCTGAATGGCATCCAGGTAAGGCTTTCCCTCCAGATCCCTTCATGATCTGGAGTCAACATTCCATGTCTGGTTCCATGTCACCAAGACCCCCAATTCAGTTGTCCCAATTGTCCCCAATTGTCCTAATTCAATGAAAGAATAATAGTAATAATGATACTACCACTTACTGATGCTATCAGGCAAAATAAATATGTTAGGCACTTCATAGGCCTCATATAATTGAATCTATGTAATTAGGTCCTCTGATCCCCATTTTACAGATGGGGACCGGAGGGTCAGAATTCAAAATCCAGAAGAAGCTGACTCCAGTGAGCATTTCACTGTACCTCTCTCTCTTCCCTAAGGCAGCTATGCAGAAGAAAACATTTTTGTTTTGTTCTGTATTTACTGTGAAATCCCAGAATTCTTAAACAGTTTGTGTTACAATTAACTTGCACTTTCCCTGAATATGGACAATGTCCATTTTGTGGCCAGCTCCAGGGCTCCTCCCCTCACCCAGGGCTCAGGACCCTTTCTCTAAGACCCCATTATGCATCCGCCTAGACACCTCCAGCCCCCCTCCCGTGCATCCTTAAGGCCTGAGCAGGGGGCTTCCCCTCTCTGAGACCCCACCCAGGCACCCCTTCCCCTAGTCCCAGGACCCAGCGGGCCCTCGGGGTCTGGCTGCCTGGCTGAGCCCCCGCTGTCCCCCTAGTTCTGGGAACGCTGCAAGCTCTTCCTGATGCCAGCCAAGCACCAGCCGGACCATGCCTTCCTGCGGCACGTGCCGCTGCGCCGGATCCACCTCTTCACCCTGGTGCAGATCCTCTGCCTGGCGGTGCTCTGGATCCTCAAATCCACGGTGGCTGCCATCATCTTCCCGGTCATGGTAAAGTGGGCACGGGCTTCCCCCTCCTGCCTGGCAGGTTGGCCTGGGCAACCCAGAGGTGCAGCGCAACCTCCCCTCCTGCCACCTTCTGCCTTCCTGTCAGCTGTGGCCTGGCTCCCTCGGGTCACGGAGGCTGGCACAGAATGACCTGATTTGAGTTGTGAGTCCAGGCCAGATGGTGTGGGGTGGGGCAGAGAGGAGGCGGAGGAAGGAATGTCAGAGCCGCTCAGTGAGAACCCAGGAGCCACCCTACCTCCTGGCTCCAGGGAGGGACGGAGAAAGAAAATCAGTTCAACCAGGAGACCGAGTTCCCACTGCCAAAATTCCAACCAGTCTCAGAAGTCGATGCGTACTAAATATAGATCTTTCCACCATTCAAGATAGCTAAATTTAAAAAGCTAAATAGTGAAGTAGGGGGGCAGGGGAAGAACGAGGGTCAGAGATCAAGAACAACAAAACCCAATGATGGTATATATAAAGCTTGAGCAAGGGAAAGGTTACAGGTCTTTCACTATTCTTGCAAATATTGTATAAGTTTGAAATTACTCCAAAATAAGAAGTGAAAAGAATGCAAAGCCAACAACATGTTGCATCTGGCCCCCTAGATAACTCACCGAGGGCAGTGACCCAGGCCCTTGCCAGGAGCCTGGAGTGTGTCAGCAAATGCCTGGGGAAAGCCTGAGGGCTCTGGGGTAGGGGACAAAGTAAGGACACTGAGGAGAACTTGAAGTGCACACTGCTGGGAGGGGTCTAGTCCATGGTTCTTGACCCGGGCTGCCCATGAAAATCAACCCAGATCAACAAATCAGAATCTCTAGGGAAACCCAGACTTTGGTATTTTTATGAGGTCCACAGGTGAGCATAGACCTGCAGCCAGGGTTGAGAACCCCCACTGCAGGGAAAGGGAGATAGATCCTCCCCCCAGTGCCCTCAGGGGCCTCAGAGCTGGCGAAGGGAAAGGCAGTAGTAGTCATGATTAGCATTTACTGAGTACTGTTCCACTGAGTCCACACCAGCCCCCAAAGCACTAATAACCCCGCTTTACAGATGAGAAAATGAGGCTCAGAGAGCATGAGCAGAGTGACCCTGGACACACAGCCAGATAGGGCAGGGCAAGACCCACACCCTCCACCTATTGATTTTTTTGTTTAATTTGCATACAGTAAAATTCAATGTGTGGGTCTATGAGTTTTGGCAAATGTACAGAGTGGTTAGAGACATAAATTCTCAGGCATTACCTGACCTGCTAAATCAGAAACTGGGGGAATCCAGTGATTTGTGTATTAATTAACAAGCCCTCCAGGTCCTGGTGCATGCTCAAGTTTGAGAGCCACTAATTTATGTATTTATTTTATTTGTTTGAGATGGAGTCTTGCTCTGTCGCCCAGGATGGAATGCAGTGGCACAATCTTGGCTCACTGCAACCTCCGCCTCCCGGTTTCTAGCGATTCTTCTGCCTCAGTCTCCTGAGCAGCTGGGACTACAGGCACCCACCACCATGCCTGGCTAACTTTTGTACTTTTAGTAGGGACAGGGTTTCACCATGTTGGCCAGGCTGGTCTTAAACTCCTGACCTCAGGCGATCTGCCCACCTCGGCCTCCCAAAGTGCTGGGATTACAGGTGTGAGCCACCACGCCTGGCTGAGAACCACTAATTTAAAGAATAACTGTAGTTCTCCAGCCCATGGCCTTTCTGAGGCTCCCCACTTCGGCTGTCACAGGCTCCGTCCCTCTTGGTCACTGGTAGGCATGGTCACTCACCTGAGGGGCCAGACAAGAGGAACTACGGTGGAGGGAAAGTGAATAATGGCTTATGGGAGCTTCGAGACGGCTCCAAAGACACCACAAAAAGTCCCTGAACTCAGCCGACTGAGGGAGAAAAAAATCTATGCCTGAGTTTGGGCATTGAGACCACAGTTTTCTCCAAATTCTCACAAAACTTTAGTCTCTCTCCACCACAGATCCTGGGCCTCATCATCGTTCGAAGGCTTCTGGATTTCATCTTTTCCCAGCACGACCTGGCCTGGATTGACAACATCCTCCCAGAGAAGGAAAAAAAGGAGACAGACAAGAAGAGGAAGAGAAAAAAAGGGGCCCACGAGGACTGTGATGAGGAGGTGGGGAAGATGTGAGGCCGGGGCACAGAGGAGAAATTGAGAGACCTTCTCTCCACTTTTGCCAGGGACAGGGAGAGGGCGGCTTCTTGGGTGGCCTGCAGCAGTGCCTCGGCCCAGTCCAGGATGGGCTGGGGCATCTGCTTGTCTTGGTCTGGGGTGTTGAGGGCTCTTCTGTTTATGTGAATATCCTCAGGGTGGGCCAGAGTGAATGAGACTCCCTGTCCAGGGAAAAGGTGACTGGCCATGCCCACTCTTTCCATCACTGTGGGCTTTACGGCCGTGATCACAGCAAGCGGGTTCCTGTGGGAAGGGCCAGGAGGCAGCTCCAGCATGGAAGGAGGTTATGAAGACTGACCTCCAAAGAGTGGAGCAGACTTGGGGAGAGGTGTCTAATGGGGCCTTATAAGTAGACTGGACTCCAGACAGGCAGGAGGGGCTGGGAACAAGTTTTGCTTGCGCCTTTGCCTAGGGTATTGAGGACAAAGATGGGGAAAGAGGCAGGTATCCTCGCCAAAAGGAGACTGGCTACATTTCCCAGATGTCTGGGACAACATGGTTGCCCCATCTGCCCCTCTTCTCCCATGGTCCCTTCCCATTTCATCCCCAAAACACTCAGGGAGTCAACAGACAAGGGGCCAGTCCAGAAATTATAGTGAATCACAAAACATGAGGCAGAAAGATTCTTAATTCATGTGTTCATTACTTATGATGAAACTGTCCCCACAAAAGGAAGTGACTTACCCAAAATGGACATGTAGCTACATTTCTAAGAAGGAATTAAGAAAATAATTCCTGACTTTGCTGGTTTCTGATATGCTAAGCTGCCTGTGCCATCTCCTAATGCTGTGCTTGGTTCCCAATCTCCCAATTTGACCCAAACTCACGTCCCTGCATCCACCCTGTCCTGTTCTCGTGATTTTGCCTTGTGCAGATGAAACCTGTTCAAGGCAAATCCCTTCTGACTGGCTGGTGGTGATTAAACCATCTTCTGATCAGTCAGAACTCCCCTGGTCCTTAATTACTGTGCTCTTCCAGGAAGAGTCCCATAATGCATGTGTTTGTAGATGATTTGTAAAGGTGGGTTCTGAAAACAAAGAAACAGAGACTAAGTGCCTTTTAAAGACAAATACTTCTTTTGTTGATACTTTCAATAAATATCTGAGTGGCTACCACATGCCAAGAACTATTACAGGGTTGGGAAAAAGAATCTCTGAATTATGATATATCAATGGAAAAACAGGATTCAATTTATACAAATTCATTTTACTTGTCTTATAGCAACACAGTTGTTGTGTGAGGTTCATTCCCAAGTGACTGGTTGCTGTGACAGATAAAACTGTTTTGATGAGTAACATTCCTGGAAGAGTTCCGGTCTGTCTGATGGTGTGTATAGGACAGCAGGCTAACTGTGCCCATTCCCCTTCAGTGGACCCCAGGGTATTTGCAGCATCCCCTAACTGTTTAGAGGTGAACAGAATGGTGGTTTGCAATGTTCATGCATGCATTTTCCATCTTGGCAAGAAAGCCAAGTTGTTGGCCACGCGCGGTGGCTCACATCTGTAATCCCAGCACTTTGGGAGGCCGAGGCAGGGGGGATCACAAGGTCAGGAGTTCAAGACCAGCCTGGCCAGCATGGTGAAACCCCATCTCTACTAAAAATACAAAAAATTAGCCAGGTATGGGGGTGCACGCCTGTAATCCCAGCTACTTGGGAGGCTGAGGCAGGAGAATCACTTGAACCCAGGAGGCAGAGGTTACAGTGAGCCGAGATCGCACCACTGCACTCCAGCCTGGGCAGTAGAGCGAGACTCTGTCTCAAAAAAAAAAAAAAAGAAAGCCAAATTGTTGTGTTGGTGTTTATCCTCTTTTCCCACTGTTTTTCTCCAGCCCCAGTTCCCTCCTCCCTCGGTTATAAAGATTCCCATGGAAAGTGTCCAATCAGATCCCCAAAACGGTATCCACTGCATTGCCAGTAAGTAAAACACATGATGTCTCTCCCTTCTTACTACTAGTCCTCCATGTCTTTCCCCTAGGAACTTTCATCTGTAACTCAGGGGGATCTAATCATTTTGGATGCTAGAGCAGCAGTCCCCAACTTTTTTGTCATAAGGGACAAGTTTTGTGCAAGATAGTTTTTCCACGGACCAGTAGGGAGTGGGGAATGGTTTTGGGATGAGACTGTTCCACCTCAGATTCTCTTAAGGAATACGCAACCTAGATCCTGCATATGGACAGTTCACAATAGGGTTCTCACCCTTATGAGAATCTATTGCTGCCACTGATCCCACCGGAGCTGGAGCACAGGGGTTAATGCTTGCTCGCCCATGCTCACCTCCTGCTGTGCGGCCTGGTTCTGCTACTGTTCCATGGCCTGGGAGCTGAGGACCCCTGCGCTAGAAGACCTTTGTCCTTGGCAGAGATCAAAGAGAACTGGGCCACCAGGACTGGTACTCCAACCAGATGGAAACCCCAGAGCAAAGCCTGCAGACTCGACTAATTCTCACTTTAGTTGAGGCAAAATCCCTCATTCCCTCCTTTCCCCAGGTGTCCCCAGATCCCTGTGGCATCTCCTGGCCCTCTTCTATGTTGTTTCAGACCACATCAGTCCAAACATGGCCCACCAGGCCTCCCATGTTTTCCAGTGGCTGTTGAAATGGTTGAGGGCTCAGAACCAAGCTTTTCCCTTTAGAGAAATAGGTAGCATAGCACTTGGGTTATAAGTCAGGCATAATTGGAGGTCCTCGTGGTGGTTGTGCTGTGCCTCTGTGTGAATCCTCAGCACCTTCTCAGCAGACAGCTGAGAGGGAGGCTGCCTAGGAGGGACTGGGCATTGCTTATGGAAATCCTGGGAGATTATATTACTGCCTTTAACCCCTCCCAGCCTCAGCTCCCTATAGGTGGCCAGTCCTGTCATCCAGGCAACATAGCCTGTCCCGAGGTCTTCTGAAAGATCCCTACCTTAGTCCCGAGCCCCGTGCTTCTAATACAGGGCTTGCCACCCTCAAAGACAGATTAGGGGTGGGTAGCCAGGGCATCCTTCCCATCAGCACTGTCCATCATAGGTACCTCAAGATCTTGAGTTTCTCAGACTCCTCCCCCACTCCTATTTCTCTCTTCCCTGGCCCTCCCATGCCTCACACCCCCTAGCCCTGGCTGAGCACCTTCTGGGTGAAGGAGTAACTAAGCCCGAAGCCACACATCTCTGAGGCCCCGTATTCCTCTTGCATAGTGTTGGCTCTAGGGTTAGAGAAGGAAAAGAAAGGAAATGGTGGGGGAAGCCCGGAGAAATATGGTGCTCAAACCTGCTCCACATCTGACATTTTTCATTTTCCTGCCAGGAAAAAGATCTTCCAGTTGGAGTTACTCACTCTGATTCTTCCTTCAGTGACACAGAACTTGACCGAAGGTAAACACTGTTAGGTAGACTCCTTGCGTATTAGGTAAGAGACTAGGAAATGGCCGGGAAGGTGGAGGGTCTAGGATTTCCCAAGCTAGCTGTCCTCTCAGTAGAAGGCCCTTGCTGGCCCCCAACTGGGAGTCAAAGGCTGACAAACCTGACTCATCATTCAGGGCCAAGAAACAAGTATGTCTTCTTACTGACTTAACAACATGGTTACAACACACAAAGGTATTCAACTTTAGTAAAGGAAATTCTTATAAAAGATTAGGTAGAACAAAAATTGAAAGTAAACGTTGTGGCCCAGCACGGTGCCTCACACCTGTAATCCCAGCACTTTCGGAGGCCAAGGCGGGTGGATCACGAGGTCAGGAGATCGAGACCATCCTGGCTAACATGGTGAAACCCCGTCTCTACTAAAAAAATACAAAAAAATTAGCTGGGCATGGTGGTGGGGGCCTGTAGTCCCAGCTACTAGGGAGGCTGAGGCAGGGGAATGGCATGAACCCAGGAGGCAGAGCTTGCAGTAAGCCGAGATCGCGCCACTGCACTCCAGCCTGGGCAACAGAGTGAGACTCCATCTCAAAAAAAAAAAAAAAAAGAAAGGAAATATTGACAGAAAACAGAAGCCAGGCGCGGTGGCTCACGCCTGTAGTCCCAGCACTTTGGGAGGCTGAGGCGGGCAGATCACAAGGTCAGGAGATGGAGACCATCCTGGCTAACATGGTGAAACCCTGTCTCTACTAAAAATACAAAAAATTAGCCGGGCATGGTGGTGGGCGCCTGTAGTCCCAGCTACTCGGGAGGCTGAGGCAGGAGAATGGCGTGAACCTGGGAGGCGGAGCTTGCAGTGAGCCGAGATCACGCCACTGCACTCCAGCCTGGGCAACAGAGCAAGACTCCATCTCAAAAAAAGAAAAAAAAAGAAAACAGAAAAACTAGGCATGGCTTAAGTGTAATATCACTGAAAGCCAGGATAAATGAACGCTAAGGATCGAAACCCTGGGGTACTCTGTAGAATGAATTAACAGCAGGGTTAATTAGCAAAGGTCAGAAAGGGTATGGAGGAAAGCCAACATCAGAGATCAACATCAAAGCTAACATCAGAGATCAACTGGAGATGGGAACTGTTAAGAATAGGTTCAAGGCCAGTTGCCAGGAGCCCCCATGCCAACAATGTGATTGTTCTTCATGAGAAGCCACCCGTGAAAAAGGTGAGACTCCCTGATGATGACATAGTGGGGGCAAACACAGAAAAGATGAATTTAGAGGCAAGAAAGGCTTTACTTCATTGTTACTTGGGAAGATGCCAGGGGCAGTCCCACTCCTACCTTGTGCCCTAGAATGGACAGGGATCAAACAGTAATTACAGCACAGGCTATCCCAAGTCTAGAAGATCAATCTCCAGGCACAGAGGGCACTCATCCAAGAGATTTTTGGGGAAACGGGGCAGGGGATCTTCTGAATTATAAGGCAAAGCTGCTATCCCAATGCCAGGGTGAAACGACACACTTTTCCCCAGTTCAACCCTCCCTAAGCAGCAGTCCCAAAGATGCTCTAGCCCAAAGTGTCACCTGTCCCAGTTAATCTCCACCTTCCTTCTCATCCCACTTCCCCAGTCAGGCTCCTATATATGTGATGCCATTGATCTTTATACATTAGTATACACCGGTATTATGAGAAAAGCAGTCTATCTTATTTTCATTTATAAAATAATCTACATGAAATTGACTGACTACTCCCAATTTCAGGCAGTAGAGAGAAAATTTGGACCAGGTTAGGGGTTTCCAAAACCCTGTTAAATTACACAAGGCCCTAAGACAGGGTCAGAAATGAAGAAACTTTGGTAACTGGAGATGGTATCTCCCAACCTCATTGGTGTTTTACTGAATTTATGAAAACAGATGGAGGCAAAGATCACTAAATAGCAAGATTCTGTTTCAGTGAAAGGCTCTGCAACATGATCTGGTTTAACAAAGACTAAGCATCAATGATCTACCAGGTGCGATGCTTAATCCCTGAGGATGTGGAAAGAAAGGCATGCAAACAAAGACAGAGCACCCTGTGCAAGAATATCGGAGTACACAGGGAGGGAGTAGCCTCGTTTTGAGAATCTAAGAAAGGGAAACTGGAATCTGCCAGACATAGAGCGGGGCAGAGAAAAGAAAAGGCATTTCAGGCAGTGGACACAGGCCCGAAGTACCATTTGAAAACACACACAAACACACACACACACACACACACACACACACACACACACACACACCTCCAAAGAGCAAAGAACACTGCAATGGATGGGGCAAACTAAGCAGGCAGGACTACAAACACAGAAGACTGTGTTTGTGTTTGTGAGAAGACAAGACACTCCTGTCTTCTCACACTAAGGAGCTTAGATTCTTTGAACCCAATGAGGAATCACCAAATTTGTGATTTCAAAAGTTCACCTTGGCAGCAATGTGAAGATAGGTTTACAGGGTGAGACCAGATGCGTGACTATGGCTGAAGGCCAAGCCAATAGGAAACTGCTCATTCTGGCATGTGCTGAGAGTTCAGAAGCAAAGATGGAAGTATTTGCATTAGAGCCCTGCTCTAGGGGATGGGTTCAAAACACCAAGAACTACGTAATCCTTCTTTCCTACTTCTCGTTCAGCATCACCTTGCACTTCAAAATATCCTGTCCAGCTTCACCTGCTTTCAGCTACTCACGGAACCCAGTGTTCATGGTGCCACAGGTGAAGATAGAGATGGAGTCAGACTATGACTTCACAGACATGGATAAATACCGAAGAGAAACTGACAGTGAGACCACCCTCTAGGATGAAGCAGCTTCTCCCAGATGGGAGATGGAGAGCCTGGCTTAGTCTTCACTGGGAGGGTCTTAACTTCTCTGTGCCTGTTTCCTTCTTTATCAAACAGAGGGAGTCCGTCTGCCTATAGAAAACTGGAGATCTATTGATGAAAAGTATTGCTTAGATGCAAAGCTCTCCCCTTTGTAGTAATTAAAATACCTAAAGCTAAATATTATATTTTATTTTAAAATGCAGTTCAGCATAGAAATTCTAACATTTCTTTGGAAATAAAAAAATGCTTGTTTCCCCAAACCATAGCTAAGATAAAGGGGCAATAGTCAATTCATATTTAAAACAAATATCAATTTAAAATTGTTTAAAGGTTAGATTTAAATATAGATGTTCTCAAACAAACTTGTAATATACTTTTATGTCACTAGACCATCTTTGGAATATTTGGCAATTCTGCATATTAAGAAATGCTGAAAAGGTCCTATCTTTTCTCCCTGTCACATCCAATTTCCTAAGGGTTATATGAAAAGTTTGAACCAGCCGGGCACAGTGGCACACGCCTGTAATCCTAGCACTTTGGGAGGCCGAGGCAGGTGAATTGCCTGAGCTCAGGAGTTCGAGACCAGCCTAGGCAACACGGTGAAACCCCGTCTCTACTAAACTACAAAAAATTAGCCGGGTGTGGTGGCATGCACCTGTAGTCCCAGCTATTCGGGAGGCTGAGGCAGGAGAATCGCTTGAACCCAGGAGGCAGAAGTTGCAGTGAGCTGAGATGGCACCACTGCACTCCAGCCTAGGCAACAGAGTGAGACTCCGTATCCAAACAAAAAAAAAGTTTGAACCATCTGCATTATGGGCCTTGCTCCAGAAGTGTGACTGGGGCTTTCCCAGATTGAAAAGCCAGTTCCAAAACTCTGTTAATGAAAGAACCAATGCATCTGAGTGGATAAATGTTTCTAAAATAAAATAGTTCTTGTTAAAGTGAAATTTGAAACCACATGTTAAATCAAAATGATCCTTTAAATTAGTATCACTGGTTTTTCATACCTGGAATCACATTTCATGATACATTTGGGTGGGTCCTCCCTGCAAATTTTCAATGTTTATTCCCAAAGTCAAACTCCCATTCATGTGAACAATACAGGTTAGACAGAGGTAAGGTCACATTTTACATTACAACTTTGCAATATTAATCAACCTAGTACTTTAAAGGAATGATTGAAAACTATTTGGGAAGATAAAAACCAGTTTCAATGAAGCAAACCTATTCCTCATGAAACTTAAGATCAGTCATTTTATCTTCAATCCACATTTAATGAACACCAACCATGTTGATTTAATGCCTACTATGACCCTGACAGCCACAGTGCATCTGACACTTACTTTCTCCAAAACAACTATGATTTAAACCTTGAGTAAATCACTTGAACCTTGAGGTTAGAGTTACTATATTTGCTCAAGATGACAAATGCAGGTGCTTTCTTTTTTAAAGAAAAATGACACTAGATCATTAACACCTTGAGTATAGGACAGGTAATTGCCTCTGTAATTCCCAGCGTCTAGTGTAGTGCCTGGTCCATAGAAAGCTCTCAATAAGTGTTTGATTACATTTAATCTCAGAGCTCCCTTCCAAGGGATACTGCCAAGAGGTAAAGCTCCAAACCTCTACTCTTACTGAGAGCAGAATTTCTTAGAATTTCCAGAACCATCTCCTATGCTTAAGTATAAATTCTTGTCAGACACAGTGGCTCACACCTGTAATCCCGCTACTTGGGAGGCAGAGGTGGGGGGAATCAGCAGAGGTCAGGAGGTCAAGACCAGCCTGGGCAACATAGTGAGACCCATCTCTAAACAAATGTTTAAAAATTAGCTAGGCATGCTGGCACACACCTGTAGTCCCAGCCATTTCAGAGGCTGATGCAGGAGGATCGTTTAAGTCCAGGAGTTCAAGGCTGCAGTGAGCTATAATCATGCCACTGCACTCCAGCCAGGGAGACAGCTGGAATCCATGTCTTATAAACAATAATAATTAATTTTTAAAAAAAGTATTTATCATCCACACCAATCCTGGGGAAGCTAACAATCCACCCTTAACACATTTCAGTTTTAAAACCTGGCTGATCTGGAATAGAACTTTGTCCAAATTAAATTGTAGAAATGCTATGGATTCAAGAGTAAACCTGCTTGATTAATCAAACAAGCTGGAAAACTACTGTTAATTTCTTTGTTGTAAATTGATCACTGTAATTTTACCTTACATGTCATTTATATTTTGTATATACATGAACATTTTAATTTCCATAGCTTTTAACAGGTTGACATAATACTTCTCCATGCAGTAAGTCAGTCATTTTTTCCACTTGTAACTGTAATTCAATAAAATTTAATCCTGTCTGGTCATCTTGCTCCACATTTAATAATCTAGGTAAGCAGGCATGGATTAGAGACATAAGCTATACGTCACTTACAAAAACATCTCCAGCAAACTATCTAAACTTCTTTAAACTCCAGAGAACTATCAAAAGAATAACGCCAGCTGGCAGAAGAACGAGGACGGAGGTAGGTCAACTCAATTGTTTCTTCTCTTTCTGCCTCAAGCTGCCTAGAGCAGGAGCTACTTCTGCTCGCATGAAAGCCAAAAGCCAAAACAGACAAACCTATCCCTGCCTCAAGTATTTTACAGATTAAGCTCCTAGCTTGGCACAACCTGTTGTGATATAAGACTGTAGGACAGGCCAGGTGCAGTGGCTCACGCCTGTAATCCTAGCATTTTGGGAGGCCGAGGCAGGTGGATCACTTGAGGTCAGGAGTTTGAGACCAGCCTGGCCAATGTGATGAAACCCCATCTCTACTAAAAACACAAAAATTAGCCAGGCATGGTGGCATGCACCTGTAATCCCAGCTACTCAGGAGGCTGAGGCACAAGAATTGTTTGAACCCGAGAGGCAGAGGTTGCAGTGACCCGAGATCATGCCACTGCACTCCAGCCTGGGCAACAGAGCAAGACTCAGTCTCAAAACAAACAAACAAAGAGACTGGAGGACGAGGCTGGTTTCTCCAAAGCTCTTTAAACCTCTGTTTGGGTGTGGGTGGCCCAGGCCTGTAATCCCAGCCCTCTGGGAAGCTGAGGCAAGAGGATTGATTGCTTGAGGCCAGGAGTTCAATACCAGCCCAGGCAACATAGCAAGACCCCATCTCTACAAAAAAAAAAAAAAAAATAGAAGAAAAAAAATTATCTATTTAAGGCTATAGAAGTAAGTGTTACTGAATATAGGAATAGCTACATTGATTAAATGAGAAAAAAACTGGTTAGGTCACAACTAGGAGTCATAGGAAGACAGAATTTCAGAAATTCATACCATACCAGACAGATGTGTTTTATTAAAAAAGAAAGAAAACCCTTTAATCAGAAAGTCTGATTAAATTCAATAGTAACTCAAACTCTTAAAAAATTTCTGGAAAAGTCAACAGGATACATACATCACAGAAAAGCAGGCAGCTGCTGACAGTTCTTTGGTGGAAAAGTAAGTTGCGTACTTACCCAAGCTGCCCAAATGATTATCAAGCCAAGTTTGTTTTTCAAAAATAGGTTTTAAGATACACCAAAGAAACTATACAATACAAAAATTTAACAATGAAGTTAAAGTATATAGCAAAAGCCAAATATGACAACACACATGTATAATGTAGAAAAGAATCCTTTCAGTCCTAGAAAACTAAAATGGGGAGAACTTACTGAAGGGTAACATACATAAAATGAGTACTAATAGCAAGGAATAATCCTAAACATTTTCCCAATAAACTGACTAAGCCTCAAAAGGACAGCTTAGGAAAATGATTAACATGCAGTTTTTCTTTTTTCCTAGCCAATTCAGTTCTACTTAGATAAATCTGGTTGCCAATCAATACATATATAAATTAATTTTTTTCTGCTCAATTACTACCATTTTTTCTTTTTCACCTTTTCCCTAATTTTCTCTAGCAACACTTTTCCTTTGGTTTGATCAGTTGAACTCAAAAGGTTTGGTACCTAAAATGAGTATCAACTGTTATTGCAATAGCACTTGGGAAATGCAATCCTAGAAAAGGCGAATGTGTAACTGAGGTGCTTGACAAAGTGAAGCATCCATCCTCCATATGGTAATGTCTCCCATATTAATCACTAGGTTAATGGCTGCTCCTGGCTAGATCACAGGACCCTGCATGATACTGGAATGCTCCCTGGTGAGGTACTGCAGAGGTATGTGCAGAAACACCCACCCATTTAAGCTTTCAATAAATACAAGGCATCATTTTAAACCATTTCAGTAGAATAAATTAAAAATATTGCATTTCTATTGGCCTGCTTTGCTTCTTGAGCTGGCCTGGAGTGCTGTTTGTGACACAGAAGACACAGTAGTTAATTAGTGGCTACCCCAAGCTCTTTAGACTTCAGCACTTCTCGCTCTTCAAGCCTCAGCACCTTTTTTGCAGCAATAATGGTATTCTTCATTAGCATTGCCACTGTCATGGGGCCAACACCTCCAGGAACTGGAGTGATATACCCAGCTTTTTGTCTGACTCCTACATAGAAACAAGACAGGCAGGCTGCTTTAGTTATGGCAAAGGACATGTGTGTACTTTAATATATTATTAAACAAGCATGCAAGGAAAAAGTAACATACATAAGCATAAAACTCAAAAATCACATCTACATCATTCAAGGTTTTGTGAACACACTAGTAAAATAACATGCACATACAGAGTTGTTCAAGGAATATTTATACATCTAAGTAACCTATAAAGAAATCTATTAAAGAAATATCTAGTAGGTTAACTGTGTGGGAGTTGTAAGTATAACAATAATAAGCATTACCTCAATACCTGCCTATAGCATTTTCTTAATTTAATTTTAAGTATAATTTGTCCAAAGCAGAAAGCACAGTAATTTTTTAAAAGTGAGAAGTTAAAAAAAAAATTAACCTAATGTTAAAGTGAAAATCCTTACATACCTAGGCATGGGTTTGACTGCTTTAATAAAAACAGAAAGCTAGGAATAGGATTATCAGCATAGGCCGGGTACAGTGGTTCATGCCAGTAATCCCAGCACTCTGGGGGGCTGAGGCAGGGTGTGAGGTGGGGGAGATTGTTTGAGGCCAGGAGTTTGAAACCAGCCTGGGCAACATGGTGAAACCCCATCTCTACAAAAAATACAAAAATTAGCCAAGTGAGGTGACATGTGCCTATAGTCCCAGCTACTCAGGAAGCTGAGGCAGGAGAATTGCTCAAGCCCAGGAGGCAGAGGTTGCAGTAAGCTGAGATCCTGCCACTGTACTCCAGCCTGGGCAACAGAGAGGGATCCTGTCTCAAAAAAAAAAAAAAAAAAAAAAAAGGAAAGAAAAAAAGGATTATCAGCATAAAACTCGGATAAACATTCTATCTTAAGAACTGAAAGGAGAGGCCAGGTGCAGTGGCTCACACCTGTAATCCTAGCACTGTTAAAGGCTGAGGCAGGCGGATCACTTGAGGCCAGGAGTTCAAGACCAACCTGGCCAACACAGCCAAATTCATCTCTACTGAAAATACAAAAAATTAGCCGGCATGGTGGCTCATGTCTGTAATCCCAGCTACTTGGGTGGCTAAGGCAGAAGAATCACTTGAACCTGGGAGGTGGAGGTTGCAGTGAGCAGAGATCACACCACTGCACTACAGCCTGGGCAACAGAGTGAGACTCTGCCTCTTAAAAAAAAAAACAGAACTGAAAGAAGAAATCTACTAGTATATTCTAGTATTTCAGGGGTATGGTTTTTTCCTGGACCATTTTAACTTTCTAGGCCTGTGATCTCTCAGTGTGAAAATGAGAAATCTCTAACACTTTTTGGGAAACTCCATGGTTTAGAAAAATCACTTCATCAAATTTTCAAACTTGTTAAAAGTCAAGAAATTGCTTGAATTATGAAATAAGTCTAAGGAAAAAAACAATTCCCTGAAAAGTTTATAACTGCTCTCCATCACTATGATAAAACACCTAAAATAATTCTAGAAAAGCCATAATTTTAAAAAGGTTTCTCTAATTCTTATGAAAAGCCTACTAAGGCCAGGTGCAGTGGCTCATACCTGTAATCCCGGCACTTTGGGAGGCCAAGACGGGTGGATCACTTGAGGCCAGGAGTTCCAGACCAGCCTGGCCAACATGGTGAAACCCCGTCTCTACTAAAAATACACAAAATTAGTTGGGCGTGGTGGCCCATGCCTGTAGTCCTGGCTACTGGGGAGGCTTGAAGCACAAGAATCGCTTGAAGCTGTGAGGTGGAGGCTGCAGTGAGCCGAGATGGTGCCACTGCACTCCAGCCTGGGTGACAGAGTGAGACTGTCTCAAAAAAAAAAAAAAAAAAAAAAGAGAAAGAAACGAAGGAAGAAAGGGGTGGGGGGAGAGGAGGGGAGGGGAGGGGAAGGAAGGAAGGGAGAGAGATGGAGGGAAGGAAGGAAAGAAAGAAGGAAGGGAAGGAGAGAGGGAGGGAAAAGCATACTGACTGGGCGCAGTGGCTCACACCTATAATCCCAACACTTTGGGAGTCCCAGCTACTCGGGAGGCTGAGGCAGAAGAATAGCTTGAACCCAGGAGGCAGAGGTTGCAGTGAGCCGAGATCGCGCCACTGCACTCCAGCCTGGGCAACAGAGTGAGACTCCCATCTCAAAAAAAAAAAAAAAAAAAAAAGTAAATAATCTATCCTAAATGTCCATGAAAGGTAGTATTTATTGATTTCATTTTTAAAAATAAAATTTCACCATTTACCTTCAAAATCCACATCTCCAACCAACTTGGGTTTGGCAGTTACAGGATCGTGAACTCTATTTATTCCCACATCAATGACTGCTGCTCCTTCCTTGATCATATCTGCTGTGATCAGATTTGGAATACCTGGAAATGGAGAAAGGAAAGATCAACTTAGTACTGAAAACAGTCTACCTGTCAGATTCTTGTCTAACTTCAATTTCAAGAGACCCTGAAGAACTAATCAACATGTTTTATTAAAACCTGTTAAAAATATTAACTAAGGAACTATTTACTTTTATTATTTTTTTATTTTGGCTCCTGACAGGAAACAAAAGGAACCATTTAAACTTTATACAGTAAATATTAATATAAATATTTTGAAGCTTTAGGAATAACATTCACCCATCTAGACTATAATGGACTGCCAGAAACCGGTATTCCAATCACAACTCTATCCTCATCTTTGTAGGCAGCTCAAAGAATCATTACAAGGGGAATGATGAATAGCAGCTAGGCAGGCGAATTCTAAGATGAGGGGTACAACCTCCTCTTCTGAGGTGAAGTCCTTCCCTCCATCCCCCTTGTGTTCTTACCTGCAGCAGATATTACAATATCTGCAAGAATTGTATGTTTCTTCAACTGCTCTTTGGGAGTATATCGATGAGATATTGTAACAGTGGCATCACCTAGAAAGAAAAAAATAGATGTCTTGATTTCTGACACAAAGCTGGGATTGGATTAGGTCTCAACTAGTCAAGTCATTGTAGAAACTCAACATCTCTGAAAAATAATTGACTTACGGCCAGGTGCAGTGGCTCACGCCTGTAATCCCAGCACTTTGGGAGGCCGAGGTGGGCAGATCACCAGGTCAGGAGTTCGAGGCCAACCTGGCCAACATGGTGAAACCCCGTCTCTACTAAAAATACAAAAATTAGCTGGGCGTGGTGGCGCATGCCTGTAATCCCAGCTACTTGGGAGGCTGAGGCATGAGAATCACTTGAACCTGGAAGGTGGAGGTTGCAGTGAGCCAAGATTGTGCCACTGCACTAGCCTGGGCAACAGGGCAAGACTCCATCTCCAGGAAAAAAAAAAAAAAAAACTGACTTAATGGCTTGTGCCATGTTTTCTGAACAGCTAATTGTCATTTACTTTTTTAAAATTAATACCTAATATCATATAGCTTTAACCCATTGGTCCCAGCTCGACTGTTTTGAGTCATATAATTAAATTTATTCATCCTATTTTTAAAGCCTTTCAAGAATTTTACCTTTTCTAAGCAAAATATCACTAAAATTACTCAAGGTTGTTTTAAGTATGTTGAAAGATAGTTGAAAGTATATAGTTTTGCCTTTATTTCTGATATAATCATGTAAGGTCATTATTACAATAATTATGTGATAACTGATTGACGAGGCTTTACCTTAGAACCAATTAACAGAACCTGACAGGACACATTACAGTCATACCAATCCAATCCTTTGCAACGGCTAAAGATTTTTTTCCACTAAATGACACAGTATCTTTGAATAAGAATTGCTCCTTAGCTCCAGCTATCAAAGCTATAGCTGAAATTTTCTAATTGCCTACAACCATGCTTATACTCAAAACTTAAATTTATTTCTGAAGCTAGTTACATGATAAATGAATAATAAAGAAACTCAGGTGACACTGGGTGCAGCTTCTCTACAAAGGTTACTCCCTGAATTGTCTGTTAACAAAATTTCAACAAATACAAAGTATAACAGAGTTAATACTTCCAAACATGCACAGGATGGCTTCTGAAAGTTCTTACATGGGGAAAAAAGGACAGTGTTCCCTGAAAGCAATTTCCTTACCTCCGGGACGTTCATGCGCCCCATCTGTGTGCAGTAACATTGCAATGGGCATTCCAACGTTTTTTGACCTTCCAGCCACAACCACATTCTTCCCTAGGGTTGGAATGCCTATAAAAATATATGTATTGACATTAAAAGTAGTGCCAGTCCAAAGGAAAACAAAGTCAGATGGCCTAGAACATGAACCCAATTTTGCCTCATCAGTCAACTGGAGCTGTAACTTGCTACACATAATAAGGGCTAAAAGAAAACAGGAGAAAGCATACTACAGGCTACAAAATGTTACAGGAATGTGCACTGTCACCACTATCAAATCTTAAATTTCCTTCACTGAGGGCTGGGGCGGTGGCTCACACCTGTAATCCCAGCAGGAGGGAGGATTGCTTGAGGCCAGGGAGGCTAAGGTAGGAGAATTGCTTGAGGCCAGGAGTTTGAGACCAGCCTGGGCAGCATGATGAAACCTCTGACTCTTAAAGAAAAAATTAAAAAGAAAAATAGAGGCCACGCGCGATGGCTCACACCTGTAATCCCAGCACTTTGGGAGGCCAAGGCAGGTGGATCACAAGGTCAGGAGATCAAGACCATCCTGGCTAACACGGTGAAACCCCGTCTGTACTAAAAATACGAGAAAAAAAAAAAGTTAGCCAGGCATGGTGGTGGGCACCTGTAGTCCCAGCTACTCAGGAGGCTGAGGCAGGAGAATGGCATGAACTCAGGAGGTGGAGCTTGCAGTGAGTCGAGATCACGCCACTGCACTCCAGCCTGGGCAACAGAGCAAGACTCCGTCTCAAAAACAAAAAAAAAGAAAAAGAAAAATAGAAAATTTCCTTCACTGAGACTTCTGGATTAAAAAGCAAAAACTGTCATAGGCAACTGTTAAGGGCAGGCACGATGGCTCATGCCTATAATCCCAGCACTCTGGGAGGCTGAGGGGGCGGATCACCTGAGGCCTAGTTCGAGACCAGCTTGGTCAATATGGTGAAACCTGTCTCTACTAGAAATAAAAAAATTAGCTGGGCATGGTGGCACGTGCCTGTAATCCCAGCTACTCAGGAGGCTGAGGCATGAGAATCGCTTGAACTCAGGAGGCAGAGGCTGCAGTGAGCCAAGATCGCGCCACTGCACTCCAGCCTGGGTGACAGAGCAAGACCCTGTCTCAAAAAAAACAAAAAACAAAAAAAAAACTGTTAAGAGAGGTAAACTTTGGGGAGTAAGACTAGAGGATATGCAGTAGGGTTTCCACTCTTTGGGACTGTATGAGTTTTTACCATTTGCCAGTACTACTTTTATAATATTAACACAGACATGCAATTCTGGGATATACCTACCAGTTCGCTTGATTATTTCCCACACACCCCATGGAGTAGCCGGTAACATGGAATACTGATCCAAACACATTCGTCCTACATTAATTACATGAAAGCCATCAACATCCTTGTCTGGAGAAACAGCATTGCAGATCCTTCTCTCATCAATATGCTCTGAAAAAGAAATTGGCACAGTTGCCTTAAATCACCACCGCATAGTCAGCACTGCCTGACTCCAGCTTATCTGCTTCGCAAGGAAATCTATTCTTCTACAGCTTGCCTCTGAGATGTACTTCATCTGCATGGAAGGAACTCGCATAAGCAAAGCCAAACACCAATAGCAAAGCCAATATCGTCTATCACAGCTGCTTCCCTCCACTGTCCTTTGTATCAAGACCACAATACTAAATCAAGGCGTAATTGGTATTCTGAGTTGGTCTGTCCCATTTCTAATAAAATATTCACTCTTTTGAGTTTATTTTGCCTTTAAGCCAAATCCACATGAAGAACCAGGTGTATAAAGTAACAAGGCCTTTTTACCCCTCAGAAACCATTTTAGGTAGGGCATGGTAGTTCATGCCTGTAATCCCAGCACTTTGGGAAGCACAGAGTCCAAGACCAGCCCAGGCAACACAGACAGACTTTCATTTCTAGGAAAAATGTAAAAATTAGCTGGGCATGGTGGACATGCCTATAGTCCTAGCTATTTGGGAGGCTAAGGCAGGAGGATCCCTTGAACCCAGGAGCTTGAGCATGCAATGAGCTATGATTGTACCATTGCACTCTAGCCTGGGTGACAGAGTGAGACAAGGAAAGGAGAGGGAGGAGGAGGGGGATGGGGAGGGAGAGAGAGAGGGAGGGAGAGGGAAAGGAGCAGAAGCAGCAGCAATCATGTTAAATGGAGTCCAAAACTCACCTGGAAGAGGCAACTGAACAAGGAGGCCATCTACATTATCATCATTATTCAGTTTATTGATTAAATTCAACAATTCTTCCTCTGAAATTGAAGCTGGTTTCATAATTGTCTCACTGTTGATTCCTATTATAAGAAATTTTGAGGTTAAAAAAATTTTTGAGGCATTTAATGAGCACTGCTATGTTGCCTACCATACTTGGCTACCATACGGGTTTTGTATCATCACACTCATCCCTAAAAGCTGAAGTAGCTCAAGGAACCTAAAAAAGTAACTTCACAAATATATACACCAGAGAATACTAGCTTAACACATCCTGTATACCTCATTCTATGCAATCTTCATTAACCTTATTTTACAGACAGACTGAGGCTCAGAGAGGTTTAAAAATAAGCGAGCTAGGCCAGGCACAGTAGCTCACGCCTGTAATCCCAGCACTTTGGGAGGCCAAGGCCAGCGGATCACGAGGTCAGGAGATGGAGACCATCCTGGCTAACACGGTGAAAACCCGTCTCTACTAAAAATACAAAAAATTAGCCAGGCTTGGTGGAACGCGCCTGTAGTCCCAGCTACTTGGGAGGCTGAGGCAGGAGAATCGCTTGAACCTGGGAGGCGGGGGTTGCAGTGAGCTGAGATCGCACCACTGCATTCCAGCCTGCGCAACAGAGCGAGACTCCGTCTCTAAATAAATAAATAAATAAATAAGCGAGCTAATAATACAGCCAGTCTTTCTGGTTCCAAAATCCATGTTCTTTTTTTCTGCACCACACTACCTCCCAATGTCTTAAAATGCCATGGCTTGGCCAGGCACAGTGGCTCACGCCTGTAATCCCAGCACTTTGGGAGGCTGAGGCAGGCGCAGATCACCTGAGGCAGGTGGATCACCTAAGGTCGGGAGTTCGACACCAGCCTGACCAACATGGAGAAACCCCATCTCTACTAAAAATACAAAATTCGCCAGGCATGGTGGCCCATGCCTATAATCCCAGCTACTCGGTAGGCTGAGGCAGGAGAATTACTTGAACCCGGGAGGCGGAGGTTGCGGAGAGCCGAGATCACGCCGTTGCACTCCAGCCTGGGCAACAAGAGCGAAATGCCGTCTCAAAAAACAAAACAAAATGCCATGGCTTGCCATTATCTAGAGGTTTCTAAAGGCTTTCAATTAAAAGAGCAGGAGGCCTCACTCCTCAATAATAAAGAACAGAGAAAACCACAGGCTTACAGGCCAGTAACCCCACCCAGCCACGCGAGTGGTTTCACAGCCCTTCGAAGGAAAGGCCACCTGCTGCTCAGACCACAGGCCCACAGATGGGCAGGCAGAGGCATATCTGAGCCTGCCCACCCACCTCTTGTCCACAGAGACACAGTAATCTGTGGTACCGTGAGACCTAGAACACAAACCCCATCATCCAGACCTGAACTGCTTCTAAACTGCATGTTTGGCTTTAGAACCAATCGGTGAAGAACTTGAAAGCTATTTCCCAGAAGTCAGAGTCATTTCCTTCAAATCTACGACTGTGTTCCTGACCTCATCACTGAGGTCACCTAATACTGTATTGCTCAATCATGCCCCCTAAGCCTCTAAGGCTTTAAGCTGCAAACACTCAAACACCTCCACTGGAGACCCATTATTGCTCAAGGAAAGCAAATGTAAAATGCATTCAGGGTCACCTATCAAATATAAAGACTAAGAACAGAATGTAGCTTATATTCTTTCCAGAAGCCACAGAGAATACCAACCAGTATCTCCTGTCCTACTGTATAAACCCCGAAAGATATAGTCTGATTTCCTATGACAAAGTTTTGGGATACAGTTCAATCACATTAGCCTCCTCTGCTTGGGTTTCCTAATCAGAAAAAAGAAATCATAAATTAGAATGGACTTTGCCTCATATAAACCTCAACTGAACCGCAGTCGAGGTCTCAGAAGGACACATACCCACAACTGCAGCTGCCCTGGTTTTGTTGAGGACATAGGAGTGACTTGCAGGATTCTCGCCAACCAGGATCACACTCAGGTGTGGCCGTTTGTTGCCTGAGGCCACCCACTCTTCTACCTCCTGCCGCACTTCCTGCTTGATCTGCTGGGCCAGTTTCCTTCCAGAAATGACAACAGCTTCATTTCTGCAGAAGGCAACAGAGTCACAAAACCAAATAACTTGAATTTTTATAAAAACTAAAACTCTGCCAGGTGTAGTGGCTTATGCCTGTAATCCCAGCACTTCGGGAGGCCGGGGCAGGAGGATGGCTTGAGCCCAGGAGTTTGAGACTGGCCTGGGCAACATGGCAAAACCCTGTCTCTGCTAAATAAATAAATAAATGAATGAATATATCCAGCTACATATGGAGGGGGATAAAGTTGATAGAAATCATTATTATCATTAATTTGAAGCTCAGGGAGTTTAAGTGACTGACAGCGCTTGGTCAAGCTGAGTCTCACATCAGTCTGGGCTCTTAACTGCTACACCACCCTGCGCCCTGATCATTACTAAGTGTTTTACAGTTTTAATTTGCAATTGTTTGACCCCTCACCATGAGGTTAAATAGTTTTTCTTATCTGCTTATATGCCATTTGTAGTTCGTGTTTTGTCCCTGTTGTTAGCAGCCAGGCATGTATTTCAAATCATTTCCCAGTCAACTGACTTCATTTTTATGGTGGTTTAAATCGATAAATTATATTCTGTAGTTGAATAAACAAACAATATAGGCCGGGCACGATGGCTCACGTTTGTAATCCCAGCACTTTGGGAGGCCGAGGAGGGCAGATCACAAGGTAAGGAGTTCGAGACCAGCCTGGCCAACACATGAAACCCTGTCTCTACTAAAAATACAAAAATTAGCTGGGCGTAGTGGTGGGCTCCTGTAATCCCAGCTACTCAGGTGGCTGAGGCAGGAGAATCACTTGAAACCAGGAGGCAGAGGTTGCGGTGAGCTGAGATTGTGCCACTGCACTCCAGCCTCGGTGACAGAGCTAGACTCCGTCTCAAAAATAAACAAACAAACAAACAACATACTGGACAGGTCAAACATCAAAATGACCACCACTCCCCACAGTCCCTTCTGGGGAAGACTTTCCTGGTAAGAATAGGGGCAGGGCAGGGGACTGGAGGAAGCTCCTTCTCACAGTTGGCAATGTGCTCTTCCCAGGGACCCCACCATATCATCCAAAGCTGACAGACCAGGAGTGAGTATGTGACGCCAAGGGCAACAATCTCTAGGCTGGCCAGTGGTCCAGTTGGCGCAAAAGCTTAGCTCAACAGAGCAGTGAGAGTTAGTTGAACCAGTAAGAGCTCGTCCCTGAGGCAGTTCAAACTAGAACCACAGAACAAAGACAGAAAGAATAGGCAGAATAATAGTCACACCAATGGGAGACAACAGGGCAAGAAATCAGAAAACTGTTGCTGAGGTGGGGAGCAAGAAGAAAAATCAGGATCTAGAAGAACCTCCAGTTCCCAAAACCATGTTCAGCTGCCCGAAAGGCTGTCTCTTCCCAAAGAGAACTGCTTATGCAACTCTTCCTGGGTTCCATGAAACCCAAATGTGGAAGAGTCCCAGTTTTCCTATTTTCACACATGTCCTTACAGTAAAGTGCCCATTACTTAAAGATGAGCATCTGGCCCAGCGTGGTAGCTCAAGCCTGTAATCCCAGCACTTTAGGAGGCCGAGGAGGGTGGATTGCTTGAGGTCAGGAGTTCCAGACCAGCCTGGTCAACATGGCAAAACCCCGTCTCTGCTAAAAATACAAAAATTAGCCAGGCATGGTGGTGCGCGCCTATAATCCCAGCTACTCAGGAGGCTGAGGCAGGAGAATTGCTTGAACCCAGGAGGCAGAGGTTACAGTGAGCTGATATCACCCCACTGCACTCTAGCCTGGGCGACAGAGAAAGACTGCATCTCAAAAAACTAAACTAAACTAAACTAACTAAACTAAACTAAACTAAACTAAACTAAACTAAACTAAACTAAACTAAACTAAACTAAACTAGATGAGCATCTCTTCCTTAAGTAAAATGATCCCATTAAAAAAAGCCTTTCCCTTTAGATCTCTGTCCTTGGTGTCATGAAGACTGCTCTAACCTCAAGACCAATGAAGTAATCTCCTCTTATATTCTAAAACCTAACATCAAGGTACTGAATATCCTGTAGGGTCAGATAAAATTAATTCTCAAGATAACTGCTAATTTATTTATTTATTTTTTTTGAGACAGAGTCTTGCTCTGTTGCCCAGGCTGGAGCAATCTCAGCTCACTGCAGCCTCCCAAGTTCATGCAATTCTCCAGCTTTTGCCTCCATAGCTGAGAATACAGGCACCCACCACTGCACCCGGCCAGTAACTGCTAATTTAAATGGGATTTTAAAGCTTTCACAATCTTTAGGCCTTCAATAAGTGTTTTTTATTGCATTATGATTAAATACCAACTTTAAACCAAATCTCAACATCTTAGATATAATGCAATAATCTTATATATAAACTTTATCTTAATCTGTATTGCATCTTGTGAAGTATTAAATTATTATAATCTGGCCAGGCACGGTGGCTCATGCCTGTAATCCTAGCATTTTGGGAGGCCAAGGTGGGCAGATCACTTGAGGTCAGGGGTTTGAGACCAGCCTGGCCAACATGGCAAAACCCCGCCTCTACTAAAAATACAAAAATTTGCCAGGCATGGTGGCAGGACCCTGTAATTGTAATCTCAGCTACTCGGGAGCTGAGGTAGGAGAATATCTCGAACCCAGGAGGCATAGGTTGCAGTGAGCCAAGATCACGCCACTGCACTCCAGACTGTGTAACAGGGCAAGACTCCATCTCAAAAAAAGAAAAAAGTTACAATCTTACAGCAAATCAAATACTTTTACCCTGATTTTATATAATACTAGCATGGCACAACATATAATAGCATTTAATTATACCCATGGTATATGAAGAAATTGAAAACATATTAATATTCACAATTCCATTTCAGAATTAGAGTCGAAGAGGACTTCATTAAAAGGGTTTTGCAGGCCGGGCATGGTGGCTCACATCTGTAATCCCAACACTTCGGGAAGCCAAGGTAGGCAGATCATGAGGTCAGGAGATTGAGACCATCCTGGCTCATATGGTGAAACCCCGTCTCTACTAAAAATACAAAAAATTAGCCGGGCATGGTGGCACGCACCTGTAGACCCAGCTACTTGGGAGGCTGAGGCAGGAGAATCGATTGAACCCGGGAGGCAGAGGTTGCAGTGAGCAGAGACTGCCGTGAGCGGAGATCGTGCCACTGCACTCCAGCCTGGGCAACAGAGTCAGACTCCATCTCAAAAAAAAAAAATTAAAATAGGGGGGTTTTGCTGATACAAATACACCTGGCAACATTCCTCATTCCTGATTTGTATTAGTACCTGGAATGCCCACCGCAGGCCAAAAATACATTCCTAATCCTGGAACACTACAGAGTGAAAGACTACTTTAAAACGGCTTAGAACAGTCATTTATGTTGAATGAAATAACAAACATATATAATGTGCCAGGCATATATGTTCAATAAAACTAATTTCTTACTCTTTTCTCTTGGTTTTATATATATATGTATATATACACACACATACACATGTATCCTTAAAATAGATACACTTACACATAAGGAGATATATATAAGTATATACACTATATGTATATCTAGTCAGTGAGAATGACTTAGCTTGCACCTCATAAAAAGTTTCTTTTGAAAGCAGTAAACTTAGAGAAAATGGTATTAGCACATTCAGATAAAATCATATACTGAAGTTAAGGACACAGGGTTCTGGGAAAAGCCAGTGTTCCAAGTCCCAAACTTTGCTTCCAAAAGCAGGTTCTGGATGTTATGCCAATTTGCTTAAAAAAAAAAAAAGAAAAGAAAGAAAAACAGTCAAAGAGTAACAAGAACCAAAAACAAAGTCACATGCAATGAATATCTTTCATAGTATAACTGTCAGCCCTCCTCTGCTTCCCACAACTCTGCAAAATGTGAAATACAGCCTTGGGAGTGAGTCATTAACTAATTTAGCATCATCTCTTTTGCCAAGGGGCAGATTAACTGCTACCCCAAAATAAACAGGGAAATGGAGAGTCAGCTAAGTCCCACGGGGAATCCAAAATTGTAACTATATTAGCTAACATTTATCCCAGAATTAAATGCATTCACAGATGTGTTTAGAAAAAATTCCCAGGGCTGGGCATGGTGGCACAGGCCTTGTAATCCCAGCATTTTGGGAGGCCAAGTTCAAGACTAGCGTGGGCAACATGGTGAGACCCCATCTCTACTAAAAGTTAAAAAAAAAAAAAATTAGCCAGGCATGGTGGTATGCTCCTGTGGTCCCAGTTACTCACAAGCTGAGGTGGGAGGATCACTTGAGCCCAGGAGGTCAAGGCTGCAGTAAGCCGTGATTGCAGCACTGCACTCCAACCTGACCTAGGGAGAGATTCCCCTGCCAAAAAAGAAAAAAAAAAAGGAAAGAAAAAAATCCCATTAAGATAGGTAATCAACAGAATAGGAAGAAGTCAAGAGGACTGTTCAAATAAAATCCAAAACTGTGGCTCATGCCTGTAATCCCTGCATTTTGGGAGGTCAAGGTGGGTGGATCATTTGAGGTCAGGAGGTCGAGACCAGCCTGGCCAACATGGTGAAACCCTGTCTCTACTAAAAATACAAAAATTAGCAGGGCATGGTGGTGTGCGCCTATAGTCCCAGCTGTTTGGGAGGCTGAGGTAGGAGAACAGCTTGAACCCAGGAGGCAGAGGTTGCAGTGAGCCAAGATTGCACCATTGCACTCCAGCCTGGGCAACAAAGTAAGACTCCGTCTCAAAAAATAAAATAAAATTCAAAACTAAAATCCAAGTGAGTAGCATCTTCACTTTCCTTTTAATTCAATAGCTTACAGTACTGTAATTTTCCATGAGAAATTAGTATCAGGACATTTTACAATTCATAATCAAGTGATTTAGGGAAGAGTTGTTATCAATTATTAATGGGAAAAATAATGAGTGAAGGAAGACATAATGGAGAAAGGAACAAACATCTATTAAACACTAGGTGTTTTGCTTACACTTTAACATATATTACTCTGTTACCTTGGGACTATTATAATAACACTGTAATACAGAAGATGAAACTGAGGATAGTAGAAACAAGATTCAAAGGCAAACTTCTGCCTCTAAAGTCCATTGACTTCCTAATCCCACTGTCTCCTAGGCTACTATTTCTCCAACCATAGGTTTATGTTCCTGAAACTCTCATACCATCCAACAAAGAAAAAAAAAAAAAGAATGCAGACTCATATTTTTAAAAGGATACAACTTTTTAAAAATAAGCAGTATTTAAAAATAAACAGTATTTTAAAAAATAAGCAGCAGTAAGAAAGCAATATGTGGGAATTGTAAATAGCAAATGTGCAGTACAGATAATATGGATTGCTTTCAGAGATGTGGATGAAGCTTACTTGTTCTTTCAGAAAGGTAGTGAAAAGAGCATTTGTTATTGGAGAGTGTAGACAAACTGGCCCAGTTCTTTAGGTAATGAATGAGAGCATCTTTATAAATCTCTTTTGGACCATGGAAGCCTAGGAAAGGTCTGGTCCACAGTCACATGAGGCCAGCACTCAGGAAGAGGGAGAAGGGGAGAAAACACACAGTAACGAAACATGGGGGAGGTCAAGAGTCAGACCAGGGAAAACCCTGAAAGTCCCCTCCCACGTTTTCCTTCAAGAACTCATTGCTCCAACAAGCAGCGCCTTTGAAATATTTCTAACAGCATTTCCGCACTGACTGGAAATTACACGCGTGTTCTGCCCCTTGTCAGGAACATGAGCTCCATTAAGAACAGTTTTTCTCATCTTTGAATTCGCACAGCTTGGCATAGTGTCTGGTACACAGTGAACGTTAGATGAAAAAAAGAAGGGGCTGATGTTGTAAGGTGCAGGGCTCTAACAATGCCAACAATGCCAGCGCTCTAATGACCGACCAAATCACCTTCCCAAGGAAACCCAAAAATGCAAACAGAGCTTTTCCTTTCCTCCTCCCCTGTATATTTTTCCCAATTTTGTTATTGTGGTAAAATTCACATAACATAAACCTTATCAACTTTTTTTTTTTTTTTTTTTTTTGAGACAGGGTCTCGCTCTGTCGCCCAGACTGGAGGGCAGTGGTGCAATCACGGCTCACTGCAGCCTCGAACTCCTGGGCTCAAGCGATTCTCGTGCCTCAGCCTCGGCGCGTGTCACCACGCCCGGCCCATCTTAACCATTTTTAAGTGCAGTTCAGTGGTATTAAATACGTTCATATGTTGTGCAACCATCACCACCATCCATCTTCAGAACTCTTCATCTTGTAAAACTGAAATTCTGCAAGTACCGCTGAAATATGGGTACTTGTCACTCTCCATTCCCCCTTTCCCTAAGGCCCTGGGAGCCTCCCGGATGTTTGCCACCTCTATGTACGCAGCCCGGCACTGACAGGCTCTGGTGGGCTGCAGCCAAAGCTAGGGTGCCCAGAGTCCGTTCATGTTCCTGGCAGAGCGGAGGCAGCGCGGGCCACTCCCACCGGCGGAGGGAGGAGGGCGGCGCGGGGACCCCGAGCAAGTCGGCTCCGCGATTTCATCAGCTGCAGCAGCGCCCTCCGCCGCTAGGGTCCCCGCAAGGACAACTCGCCGAGGGCTGCTCTTTTGGAACCCTCGCCTGTTCTCCCCCAGACGACTCTCAGCATCCCAGCCAGAGGCGGCCGGCGCTGTCGGAAGGCTCCGCGTAAACTGATGCCTTCGCGTTCCGCACGCCACCCCCGTCCCGCCCGCCGACTGGCCACGGGCCCCGGCGACGCCCCGAGTCGCAGGAGAGCGGCTCCCTCCGAAAGGCGGGCTTCGGGTACCAGCCCTCCGCGCCGAGGAAGCGCCCCAGTCGAGAGCTGCGGCGGCGCTCGGTGCCACGTCGCCCCGCCACACCCCTCAGCGGCCACCACCGCCGGGGCGGAGATGTTCGGGAAGGACTTCCCTCGGTGTCCCTCGGGGGCCCGGCGTGCCCCTCGCCCTCCGTTCCCCTCAGCTTTCCGCGCTGACCGAGCTCTGTGACCCTCTTACCGAACTGCCGCGAGGTGGAAAGGGCGAAGGCGAAGGGAGCAGCTGTGCGCGGGCTGCAGCAGCCGGGCAGCCAAAGCAGACATTAGAGAAGTCGCAGCCATAGACCGCGCCGGTGACTGCGCCGGGAGGGAAGCGCGCGCGCGGGCCACGCGGTTATACTGCGGCCTCGTGGCAGGCCCCGCCTCCCTCCGCCACCCATTGGTCCCTGCCGCATGCCACTGGCTGTCTGTTGAGCCAGGTGGAGCCGAAGGGGCCAACCGGTTTTCTTTATTAAACGTAAGCGAAGTCCGAAAGAGCCCTGCTTTTGATTGGAGCCAGAAGAGCCTGGAGCGAGGTCCTGTAAGGCGCTGAAGCCTCGGCAACGTGCCATGATAGGCTGAGGAAGTCAAACTCCTGCCTGACGCCGCTAGTGTCACCGAAGGCCGGACAACACAAGAGAAAAGTTCATTCATTCATTCGTTGAACAATTATATGAGCGCCTACTGTGTGCCAAGCACTGTAAAGGGTGGATGAAAAGACAAGCTGATAGAATGCCAACGAACAGAAGTAAAAGGAATGATGGAGTTAGAAAATCACCATTTTCCAAAATCAGTACATGGTGGCGCGTGACTACAGTACCAGCTACTGGGGAGGCTGAGGTGGAAGGATCACCTGAGTTCAGGAGGTTGAGGCTGCAGTGAGCTGAAGGCGCGCCACTGCACTCCAGCCTGGGCGACGAGAGTGAGACCATATCTCAAAACAACAACAAAAAAAGTAAAATCATAAAAGATATTCAGAGACAGACGTCAGGGTTGCATGTGCAACCCTGATTCAGAAGCAGCAATAGATGTCAAAACAACTGGGTGAAAGTTGGATGAGGAGCAAGATATTTACATATAGGGTTGCCAGATCTAGCAAATAAAAACACAAGATGCCCAATCAAATCAGAATTTTAGATAAACACTTTGGGAGGTCATATTTATACTTTATTTATGGCTTATCTGGAATTCAGATTCAACTGGGCTTCCTGTATTTTTTCCCGCAAACTTTTTGCATAGTCTCAAAGTATCTCTCCCGCAAGGAAACTTAAGGAGGGCAGGGCGCGGTGGCTCACTTCTGTAATCCCCAGCTCTTTGGGAGGCCAAGGCGGACGGATCACCTGAGGCCAGGAGTTCGAGACCAGCCTGGCCAATGTGTTGAAACCCCCGTCTCTACTAAAAACACAAAAAATTATCTGAGCATCGTGGCGGACGCTGTAATCCCAGCTACTGGGGAGACTGAGGCATGAGAATCGCTTGAATCTGGGAGGCAGAGGTTGCAGGGAGCCGAGACTGTGCCACTGCACTTCAGCCTGGGCAACAAAAAGACTCTGTCTCAAAAAACAAAACAAACAAACAAAGAACAGGGGAAACCAATCCTGTCAACACCTTGACCTTTACTTCTAGCCTCCAGGAAGGAAAGGAAAATGGTAAATTTACAGTGAAGAAACATGACAGTTACTGCTTCAACCACGTGATCAAAGTTAGCACCACCCAGTAAGGGAACACACATATATGCCTTCTGATAGGATCCATTGAGGAGACACATCACTTCGTAGCTCTTAACAAGTCTGTAAATTTAATAAGGTGATTTTCCTAAACCAATGAGTCTCCTAAAAACGGTTACAGATTCCTCATTTCACATTGAGAAGAAAGATCACAGACCTAGAATGTTAAAACTGTCCAGGAAAAAAAACAGTTGTAAAGCTTTGGAACACACTAGTAGATCTTAATCTATTCACAAGGAAATATCAGACAAGCCCAAAGTGAGAGATATTCTACAAGATAAATTGCTTGTACTCTTGACAGCTCCAAGGCCATGAAAGACAAAGAATGAGAAACTGTTCTCCATTAAAGGAGCCTAGGCATGACAGCTAAATGCTGTTTGATTCTGGATTGGATTCTGGACCCAAAACTTTTTGTCTTTCTTTTTTTCTCTTTCTTGCTTCTTTTTTTCTCTCTTTTGCTATAGATGACATTATAGGACAATTGGCAAAATATGAATAAAGTCTGCAACTAGCTAATAGCATTTTATCAGTGTTAGCTAATCGCATGCAGTAATGTAAGAGAATATATTGCACTTGCTTCTAGTACTAAAGGACCATGTCTGTAACTTACTTTTGAATAGTTCAGAAAAAAATAATGCTTTGTATGTATAAGTTGGCTAGGGCTGCCATAACAAAATAACACAGACTGAGTCATTTAAACAACAGAAATGGGCTGAGTGCAGTGGCTCACGCCTGTAATCCCAGCACTTTGGGAGGCTGAGGCAGGCGGATCACCTCAGATCAGGATTTTGAGACCACCCTGGCCAACATGGTGAAACCCTGTCTCTACTAAAAATATAAAAATTAGCCAGGCATGGTTTCACATGCCTGTAATCCCAGCTACTTGAGAGACTGAGGCAGGAGAATTGCTAGAATCCAGGAGGCCGACGTTGCAGTGAGCCGAGATCGCACCACTGCACTTTAGCCTGGGCAACAGTGAGACTCGATCTAAAAAAAAAAAAAAAAGAAAGAAATGTATTTTCTAACAGTTCTGGGGGCTAGAAGCGAAGGTCAAGGTGTTGGCAGGATTGGTTTCTCCTGAGGCTTGCAGTCCTTGGCTTACAGAGGGCTGCATGCCTGCTGTGTTATGGCCTTTTCTGTGTGTGCACATGCAACCCTGACGTCTCTCTCTGAATATCTTTTATTATTTTACTTTTTTTGTTGTTGTTTTGAGACATGGTCTCACTCTCGTCGCCCAGGCTGGAGTGCAATGGTGCGCCTTCAGCTCACTACAGCCTCAACCTCCTGGATTCAGGTGATCCTTCCACCTCAGCCTCCCCAGCAGCTGGTACTGTAGTCATGCGCCACCACATCAGCCTAATTTTTTGTATTTTTAGTACAGACCGGGCTTCGCCATGTTGCCCAAGTAAGCCTTGAACTCTTGGGCTCAAGGAATTCACCTGTCTTGGCCTCCCAAAGTGCTGGGATTATAAGCATGAGCCACCATGCCCGGCCTCTCCGAATGTCTTAATCTCCTCTTATAAAGAAACCAATCAGATTAATTTAGAGCCTACCCTAACAGCCCCATTTTAACCATTTTAATCATTGTTTTAAAGGCCTTATTTCCAAATAGAGTCACATTCCAAGGTCAGAGTGTCAACACTGAATTTTGGAGAGGATACAATTCAGTCCATAACAATGTATATACATAAAAAAAAAACCCATAAAACAAGTGGCAAATGTAAAATATTAACAAGTGGGGAAGAGTATACAAGTATTCTTTGAACTTTTCCTGTAACCTTTCTGTATGTCTGAAATAATGTCAAAAATTTTTTAAAAGACCAGTAATTTTTTTTTCTCTTCTTTTCTTTTTCTTTTTTTTTTTTTTTTTGAGATAGAGTCTCACTGTGTCACCCAGGCTGGAATGCAATGGCATGATCTTGGCTCACTGCAACCTCCGCATCCTGGGTTCAAGTGATTCTCGTGCCTCAGCCTACCAAGTAGCTGGGATTACAGGCATGTGCCACTATGCCTGGCTAATTTTTGTATTTTTAGTAAAGATGGGGTTTCCCCATGTTGGCCAGGCTAAAAAGATCAGTAATATTTATGCCCTTATGGGGCATGGAGTGAGGCAGGCATACAATGAATAAGAGACTAAGAAAAAGAATGTGATGCTGAGAGCCCACAAAACAATGGATATGGAAGGTTTAGAGGTCAGAGAATGGCCTACAGGTTATATAACTGGTGATAAGACTGGGTGTGATAATTTGCAGATCCTGTCCCCAGTACGCTGTGGGGAGGAGGCACCTTAGAGTTACTTGAACCTAGCAACAGTGATTGAAGAGGGAAAGGAAATACACATTTCCCATCTTTTAAGGAAACTAACCCTCCATCCCTCTGCAAAATTTGGGAAATTTTCTTTTCCCAAAATGTGAACTTTCAGGAATGAATTGAAACCGCCTTTGCAAACATTGTTAACAGCGATCTAACATTTAGTTAGACCACTTTCATTAATGATCTGATCTAACCAACTTCATCTTGCCTTTAACTTCCAAACTTCCCTTGGTCATTCCTGGGCATGGACAAAACTATCCTTGAAACACCCAAACTTTCTGGGAGGCTGATTTGAGTAATAATAAAACTCTGGCCTGGCGCGGTGGCTCATGCCTGTAATCCCAGCACTTTGGGAGGCCGAGGTGGGTGGATCACAAGGTCAGGAGTTTGATACCAGCCCGGCCAACATGGTGAAACCCCGTCTCTACTAAAAATACAAAAAAAAAAAAAAAAAAAAAAAAATTAGCCAGGCATGGTGGCATGCACCTGTAATCCCAACTACTCAGGAGGCTGAGACAGGAGAATTGCTTGAACCCGGGAGGCGGGAGGTCACAGTGAGCCACTGCGCTTCAGCCTGGGTGACAGAGCAAGACTCTGTCTCAAAAAAAAAAAAAAAAATTCCAGTCTTCGGTTTAGCCAGCTCTCTGTGTATTAAACGCTCTCTGTATTATAATTCCTGTGTCTTGATAAATGGGCTGTATCTAGGCAGCAGGCAAGATGAGCCCACTGGGGAGTTACGAAACCCATGTGTGAACATTATTATATATTTTTAATATGCTTCACAAAAGGACCTGCTTCTACGCTCCCACTCTCTTAAAATATCATTTATTTAGACTAGGCTAAATAGTCTAACAGGCTAAATAGTCTAACAGGGTGGCTCATGCCTGTAATCCCAGTGCTTTGAGAGGCTGAGGTGGGAGAATTGCTTGAGCCCAGGAGTTCAAGACCAGCCTGGGCAACATCGTGAGACCCCATCTCTACAAAAAAATAAAAAACTTAGCCAGGCGTTGTGGTGCACACCTGTGGTCCCAGCTATTCGGGAGGCTGAGATGGAAGGATCACTTGACCCCGGAGGTTGAGGCAGCAGTGAGCTATGATTGGATTACTGCACTCCAGTGTGGGTGACAGAGATTCTGTCTCGGCCGGGCACAGGGGCTCACGCCTGTAATCCCAGCACTTTAGGAGGCAGAGGCGGGCGGATCATGAGGTCAAGAGATCGAGACAATCCTGGCCAACATGGTGAAACCCTATGTCTACTAAAAATACAAAAATTATCTGGGCATGGTGGCACATGCCTGTAGTCCCAGCTACTCAGGAGGCTGAGGCAGAAGAATCGCTTAAACCCAGGAGGCAGAGGCTGTAGTGAGCCGAGATCATGCCACTGCACTCCAGTCTGACAACAGAACGAGATTCTGTCCCAAAAATAAAAATAAATAAAATAATAATAATAATAATAATAATAATAATAATGAAATGGGCTGGGCATGGTGGCTCACACCTGTAATCCCAGCACTTCGGGAGGCCAAGGTGGGAGGATCACTTCAGCCCAGGAGTTTGAGACCAGCCTGGGCAACATAGTGACACCCTGTGAAAGGAAAATTAATTTCAGACTCTAAAATCACTAAACTGAGGGGAAAGTCAAGCTGGGAACTATGTCAGGCAAACCTGCCTTCCAATTTATTCCCCAATAAGATAGCTACAAAGATTAAAAAAAAAAAAAAAAAAGAAAGCTGCATATCTTCCTCACAATTTGCCCACAAGGAAATTCCTTGTGGGTCTCAAGATCTTTACCTGAAAACAGTTCTGTTGAATTTCATCCTGGCAATGTAAATTGATAGATGATCTTCACAGATGCAGGACAGAAAGTCATCCCTCTGCTTACCTGAGACAAATGCATATCTGATTGCTTCCTCTGCCCTATTGTTTTGTTTTGTTTTGTTTGTTTTTGTTTTTTTTTGAGAGAGAGTTTCGCTCTTGTTGCCCAGACTGGAGTGCAATGGCGTGATCTCAGCTCACTGCAACCTCCGCCCCCTGGGTTCAAGTGATTCTCCTGCCTCAGCCTCCCGAGTAGCTGGGATTACAGGTGCCCGCCACTATGCCCAGCTGATTTTTATATTTTACTAGAGATGGGGTATCATCCTGTTGGCCAGGCTGGTCTCGAACTCCTGACCTCAGGAGATCTGCTCGCCTTGGCCTCCAAAGTGCTGGGATTTCAGGCGTGAGCCACTGTGTCCGGCCTCCCCTATTGTTTATGTAAAAATGCAGATTCACTGAGCCAGACTAAATTGTGTATTCAGTGAAACGCTGATCAAGGACTCAAAAGAATGCAGCCTTTTGTATCTTATCTACCTATGACGTAAAAGCCTCCCCACACCACTCCCCACTTTGAATTGTCCCATCTTTTGGGACCGAATTAATGTACATATTACACATATTGATTGATGTCTCATGTCTCCCTCAAATGAATAAAAGTAAGCTGTACCCTGACCACCTTGGGCACATGTAATCAGGACCTTCTGATGTGGCTGTATCATGGGTGCATGCTTAAGCTTGGCAAACTAAACTTTCTAAATAGATTGAGACCTATCTCAAATATTTTGGGTTCACATTCTGTCTTTAAAAAATATTTTAAAATTAGCTGGCTTTGGTGGCATGCACCTGTAGTCTTGAAGCAGCCTCATTGTCTGGGGTAAAACCTGAGGTTCATTGTCTCACAGCCACAGAGATCAAGGACATGGACACACAAAGAGTGAGGTTAACAGCAGGAAGTTTAATAGGCAAAAGAAAGAAAATAGCTCTCTGCTACAGAGAGGGGTCCCAGAAAAATGGGTTGTCGACCCACGGTGAAATGCAGAAGGTTTTATAGATGAGCTGGTTGGAAAGTTGTGTCTGATCTACGTAGGGCACAAAAAGCTGGTTAGGACCAGGTGTGCCATTTGCATGGGGCACGATTTTCTGGCAGCCCCCACCCCAGTATTTTATTATGCAGGCGGGTTTTCAGCCTAAGCTGTGCCATGTTGCCCACTTCTTTCTTACTGTACACGTGCTAACAAAAAGGAAGATGAAGCTTCCATGATGGACATGCCTGGCCCCCAGGTACCCCTTTTCTATTGACACAGCTGCCAGCATTCCCCTGTGCAATGTTCCAGCTTGCTTACCTATGTTTGCAGCTAGATTTTTCAGGCTACTTTTTGTTAGGAGAAAACTAATTTCTTGGGCTGCTTTTTGTTAGAAAGGAAGCTCTGCTGAGGACTCATTTGCCCTCACTATCTGCCTAAATAATTTCTTTCTACCTCCTGTATCAGTCTCAGCTACTGGGGAGGCTGAGACAGGAGGAAGGCTTGATCCCGGGATGCACCTTGTGCTACTGCACTCCACCCTGGGTGACAGAGCAAGAACCTGTTTCAAAATAATGATAAAAATAAAATAAAATCTCTTTTGTTTAACAAAAATATTTTTTGCCCCAATTTTAGTCCAAATTCTGTGAGGTGGAGGTGCTCAAGCCTGTCTATATCCCACCCCAGCTAGTCTTTCTGCCTCGTCTTTCTTTGCTCTGCCCTCTATACTCTAAGCATACCCTGCACTTCTGCATGGTGTTTGATTACACTCCTTTCTCTGCTCCCTGTACCCCTACCCTGCCTGACTTAAAAACCTGGCCCCTAGTCCTCCACTTTAAGTGAGTCTGAATGCTTCATAGACACATAACCAGGAATCAGGACCGCACATAGGCAAAATAAACTTTTTGCTGCAACACAAAACAGACAGAATGAATTGCATTTTCCTCTGGGCTATTGTAGCATGTAGGAATACTCCTATTGCAACTCTAAGAACATCTTGATGTTGTTTGTGCACCTGTCTATCTTCAACAATAGTGGATGTAGGCTTATTTAACCAGGGCAATTTATATCTCATGATTCATCTCATTCATCTTTAGTGTGCAAGCAGACAGCACATTAATGACCAAACATATCTTTTTTTTTTGAGATGGAGTATTGCTCTGTCACTCAGGCTACAGTGCAGTGGCGCAATCTCAGCTCACTGCATCCTCCGCCTGCCAGGTTCAAGTGATTCTCCTGCCTCAGCCTCCTGAGTAGCTGGGATTACAGGCGCACGCCACCACGCCCAGCTAATTTTTATATTTTTAGTAGAGACGGGGTTTCACCATGTTGGTCAGGCTGGTCTCGAACTCCTGACCTCGTGATCTGCTCACCTCAGCATCCAAAGTGCTGGGATTACAGGAGTGAGCCACCACGCCCAGGCTTTTTTTTTTTTTAGACAGAGATTGAGGTCTCATTCTGTCACCCAGGCTGGAGTGCAGTGGCACGATCTCGGCTCACAGCAACCTCCACTTCCTGGGTTCAAGCAATTATGCTGCCAGTGACAGGGCCCCTCTGTACATCTTCATGAACCAAGGGGGATGAAAGGCAGCTGCTTAAGGATCCCGTGTTTGGAGAACTCCGACCTGAGAATTTGGGCTTAGGTGCCTCTTCAACTCTTGTTTGTTGCCTTGAACTAGGGGTGCTTTCAGTTTAAGGGGCACCTCTGGATTTGGGAGGAGTCAATGTGGCACCTAAGTAGATGCAAAGAGATTTTCTTCTAATTTCAAGGAAAAGTAAGGAAATCTTACTTATTTAACAGGATAGAAAAAGGGATAGGGAGTCAAAGGGTGAGGAATAAGGGCACTACGTTTATGGACCATTAATCATGCATCAGGCACTGTGCTAGATTCTTCCCCTACATTTATTCATAATGCTAACCTTCCTGTGAGGTCAATACTGTATCATATTATCTCTATATTAAAAAAGAAGAGACAGATTCACAAAGTGAAAGTAATTTGCCCATGGTCACCAGCTAGTAATGGCAGTGCCAGGATTAAATATAAGCCTGTCTTCATCCAAAATCCATGTTCATCCACAAAACCTAACTAGTACTGTTGTTAGTTCTGGTTGAAGACAGGGCATTTGGCAGAACACATTGGCCAGAATGCAGGAGAAGGAACCCCTGACAAGGTCACAGAAGACTTAAGGAAATGATTCGTACTGAAGGTTACACTCTAACAAACCTTTTTCTTTTCCTCTCCCTCCCCTTCTCCTTTCCCCTCTCCTTCCCTTCCCTCCCCGTCCTTTTCCTTCTTTTCCATCTTCTTTGTTTTCTTCCTCCTTTTTCTTCTTTTTTGCCTGCTAAAACAACTCTTGGCTGGGCCCAATGGCTCACACCTGTAATCCTAGCACTTTGGGAGGCTGAGGCCAGCGGATCACTTGAGCCCAGGAGTTCGAGACCAGCCTGGGCAACATGGTAAAAGCCTGTCTCTACTAAAAATAGAAATACATGCTGAGTGTGGTGGTGTGCACCTGTAGTCCCAGCTACTCAGGAGGCCGAGGTGGGAGGATCACCTGAGCTCGGGAGGTGGAGGAGGCAGTGAGCCAAGATCATGCCACTGTACTCCAGCCTGGGTGACAGAGTGAATTTAATTTCACTCTGTGAAATTAAGGAGGTGACAGAATAAATTTAACTTATTCGTTAATTTTTAAAAACCAAACAACTCTTATTAAATTTTTGCCATCTATGAAAATTTTGGGCTGGGTGTGGTGGCTTATGCCTGTAATCCTAGCACTTTGGGAGGTCAAGGCAAGAGGATTGCTTGAGCCCAAGAGTTCAAGACCAGCCTGGGCAACACAGTGGGACCTTCAAAAAATACAAAAATTAGCCAGGCGTGGTGGTGTGTGCCTATAATCCTAGCTACTTGGCCAAGGTGGGAAGATGGCTCGAGTGTGGAAGGTTGAGGCTGCAGCGAGCCATGATCACACCACTGCAGTCCAGCCTGGGTGACAGAGCGAGACCCTGTCTCAAAAAAAAAAAAAATAAAAATAAAAATTTTGTATGATTGTTTTATGAAATAGAGATGATGTTCACCAATGTGCTTAAAAATAAATTATTCTGACAGTAGCACCAGAAGTTGTTTTGGAGATGATTGTCTGACTTCCTTCAGTACTTAGATGCCGATTCATCATGTTTTTGCTTATCATCTCCTTACAATTAATTACAAGTGAATTGTAGCCATAATTATCATGAAAAAAGTTCTACACAGTTATTAGTCCTGATTTTATTAAATTGAACTTTTTTTTTTTTTTTTTTGAGATAGGGTCTTGTTCTGTTACCCAAGCTAGAATGTAGTGGTCCCAACATGGCTCACTGCAGCCTCGACCTCCTGGGCTCAAGTGATCCTCCCACCTTGGCCTCTCAAAGTGCTGAGATGACAGTGATGCAGGATTTTTCTTGGTCACTTTGCCAGCCAGGGACCTCCATGGCCAGTGTCATCCCCACCTGGGCCTGTTGGCCCCAGGCCTGCCACAGGAGTTGCCCCGTCCACTTGGCCAGCTGGGCCACACCTGGCTTGCACACTGGCCCAGATCCTGTGCTGGCTGCAGGATCCGCGCTCATCCCACAGCTATGCTGGGCATGCCCCAACCCGCCTGTGTTGCAGCTCGTATCCACATTTGGCAATCCCTGAGTTCTTGTCCTGCATCCAGGAAGAATGAGGTTATGCTGACAGTGGAAGTGTGAGGAGGGTGGAGAAGAATTTTATTGAGTGACAGAACAGCTCTTAGTGGAGAGGAGATGACAGGGTGATCCCCCACCCAAAGTCAGATGGTCTCCCTCCCAGTATGGCTGGTTGCAGGGCTTTTATGGGCTCAGAACGGGGAGTGTGTGCTGATAGGTTTGTGAGTATGCAAAAAGGCTAAAACAAAGGCACCACTCAAAGGTGGGCATGACAGTGTAAAAAACCAATTAGGGAAGGTAAGTATATGTAAAATAGGTGAAGGGTGGGAATCAATCAGAGGAAAGCATACCAAACAGGAAGAGAGGCTCTCAATCCAGTCCATGGATTTACCCAGGACTCGTAGCTTGACTTTCAGGCTTTAAAACTGTCTTTGGTTTGAAGGTTGGGTTTCACCAGGGACCTGCCCCTGTCTGCCTAGGCATTTGTCTGCCTCCTGCCACTATCGATGCTCCACATTCAGCATTTTAAAGTTAGTAACAATATTGGGAGAAATGATTTGCTGCAGAGAACAACGTAACTAACAGTTAGCCCTTACTATGTGCTAGTCACTGTACCAACTGCTTTATGCTTAGTAACTCACTTAATCCTCGCAATGACCCTATAAAGCAGTATACTACTATTATTCTCATTCTACAGAAGAGGAAATTGAGGCACAAAGAGGTAAGTAACCTCACACAGATAGTAAGTGGCCAATCTAATTTTCAAATCCATTTTCTTTCTTTCTTAAGATACAAGAGAAATAATCATTTTTGAACTTTAAGAGAGAAGGAAAGAAGTCAACAACACAAACCTTAGCTTCTGACTAATAATAATAGCCAGTATGAGGGGAAGCAGGGAAAAAGTACATTAACAAAATAATAATAATAACCAACATATACCACTTACCGTTCTGAGCATTTTACATGCATATTTAATCTTCACATTGGTCCTACTCTTATTCCTATTTTGCAGATGAGGAAACTGAGGCACAAAGAGGTTAAATAACTTACATTAGTTACACAACTAGTGAGTTAGAGTTAAGACAACAAAGGAAAATAATAAAAATATAAAAGTAGAGGCATTTTGGCTGAGCACAGTGGTTCTCGCCTAAAATCCCAGCACTTTGGGAGGCCGAGGCAGGTGGATCACCTGAGGTCAGGAGTTCAAGACAAGCCTGGCCAGTGTGGTGAAACCCTGTCTCCACTAAAAAATACAAATATTAGCCAGGGATGGTGGCACATACCTGTAGTCTCAGCTACGTGGGAGGCTGAGGCAGGAGAATTGCTTGAACCTGGGAGGCCGCAGTTACAGTGAGCCAAGATCGCGCCATTGCATTCCAGCCTAGGCAACAGAGCAAGACTTCGTCTCAAGAAGAAAAAAAAAAAGAGTAGAGGCATTTTAAAACTTCAGAGTGGGCCAGACGCGGTGGCTCATGCCTATAATCCCAGCACTTTGGGAGGCCGAGTGGGCAGATCGCCTGAGGTCAGAAGTTCAAGACCGGCCTGGCCAACATAGTGAAACCCCATTCCTACTAAACCCCATTTCTACTTTAGCCGGGCGTGGTGGTGCATGCCTGTAATCCCAGCTACTCAGGAGGCTGAGGTGGGAGAATTGCTTGAATCCAGGAGGCAGAGGTTGCAGTGAGCCGAGATCGCGCCTTTACACTCCAGCCTGGGCGACAAGAGCAAGACTCTGTCTCAAAAAAATAAAAAACTTCAGGGTGATTGGGGTCTCTCCACAGTTGAAAACAATATTAGGCAAATTTTTGTCAACAATATGAGCCAAAATTTTGTCATCATATCTCACTCAAAAGTGCACCTTCAGGCCAGGCACGGTGGCTCACGCCTGTAATCCCAGCACTTTGGGAGGCCGAGGCGGGCAGATCTCCTGAGGTCAGGAGTTTGAGACCAGCCTGGCCAACATGGTGAAACCCTGTCTCTACTAAAAATGCAAAAATTAGCCGGGTGTGGTGGCATGTGCCTGTAATCCCAGCTACTCGGGAGGCTGAGACAGGAGAATCGGGCAGAGGTTGCAATGAGCTAATATCGCACCACTGCACTCCAGCCTGGACGACAGAGCGAGACTCTATCACAAAAAAAAAAAAAATGCACCTTCAGAGAAGGCTACTCTGTAGTCAGAGAACTACAGGCCGTGCCTGGCAACATAGATTGTCATCTGTACCCTTGATTCCTGCCTGAATCCCTCCCCCTAGACCAATGTCTTTTGTGGGTGTTCACTCCTGAACCACTGCCGTGGAGCGTGACAATGAGAATGCTGTCAGAGGACTTTCCCAATGTCACCACATTTATCAACTTCCTCCTTCTGTCCTCCTCTTACAGGAACTTTCAAGATCATTGAATAGATCATTCTTTTTTTTTTTTTTTTTTTTTTTTTTTTTTTTTTTTTTGAGACGGAGTCTCGCTCTGTCGCCCAGGCTAGAGTGCAGTGGTGTGATCTCGGCTCACTGCAAGCTCCGACTCTCGGGCTCACGCCATTCTCCTGCCTCAGCCTCCCGTGTAGCTGGGACTACAGGCGCCCACCAACACACCCGGCTAATTTTTTCTATTTTTAGTAGAGACGGGGTTTCACCGTGTTAACCAGGATGGTCTCGATCTCCTGAGCTTGTGATCTGCCCTCCTCAGCCTCCCAAAGTGCTGGGATTACGGCGTGAGCCACCGCACCCGGCCGAATAGATCATTCTTAAACACTCTTCTCTTGCTTTTGTAATACTCCCTCTTAGTTTCCCTTCCGTTTCTCTGACTGCCTCTTCTCAACCTCCTTTGTAAGTTTCTTCCCTTGTGGTCTTTAAATGTCGGAAGTCTGGGCCGGGCGCGGTGGCTCATGCCTGTAATCCCACCACTTTGTGAGGCCAAAGCGGGCAGATCACGAGGTCAGGAGTTTGAGACCACCCTGACCAACATGGTGAAACCCTGTCTCTACTAAAAATACAAAAATTAGCCGGGCGTCATGGTGCGCGTCTGTAATCCCGGCTACTCAGGAGGCTGAGGCAGGAGAATTGCTTGAACCTGGGAGGCTGAGGTTGCAGTGAGCCGAGATGGCACCACTGCATTCCAGCCTGGGTGACAAAGCGAGACTCCATCTCAAAAAAAAAAAGAAAAAAAAAAAAGGTTCAAGACGACCAGCCTGGCCAACATGGTGAAACCCATCTCCACTAAGAATACAAAAATTAGCTGGGCGTGGTGGCATGTACCTGTAATCCCAGCTACTCGGGAGGCTGAGGTACGAGAATTGCTTGAACCCAGGAGGTAGAGGTTGCAGTGAGCCAAGATCGCACCACTGCACTCCAGCCTGGATGACAGATCAAGACTGTCTCGAAAAAAAAAATATATATATATATGTATATATAAATATATATTATAAATATATATATCAGACATCCTCAAGGCTCCATTTTGGCACCTCTTCCTCTTTACCGTCCCCTCAGCTATTTTACGCACTTCCATGTCTGTAAATATCTATATGCTGATAACTCCCAAGTTTATATCCATCCATCCAGGCCTCTTCTTTGAGTTCCAAATCTGTATATATCTATATAGTCTAACATTTCAGAGTTAATGCATCCAAAACAGACCCCTGATGTACCCCTAAAGCTACTTTCTTCCCACCCAGTCTTTTCCATCTCAGTAAATGGGAACAACCAGCTACCAGCTGCTTGTGCCAAAGACACAGGAATCAGCCTTGACTCCACATCCAGCTCTTCATTGAGACTTGTGTATTTTTTTCTCTAAAATAAATCTCAATTCCATCTACCTCTCTCTATTGACCTAGGCCAGGTCAACTCCATCTCCTACTCAGACAAATACAATAACCTCTTAACTGCTTCGCTTTTTTTTTTTTGACAGGGGCTTACTCTATCACCCTGGCTAGAGTGCGGTGGATTGATTACAGCTCACAGCATCCTCAACCTCTCAGGCTCAAGCAATCCTCTCACCTTAGCCTCTTGAGTAGCTAGGACTACAGGCACATCACCACACCTGGCTAATTTTTGTATTTTTTGTAGAGATGGAGTCTCCCTATGTTTCCCAGGCTGATCTTGAACTCCTAGGCTCAAGGATCCTCCCCGCTTAATCTCCCAAAATGCTGGGGTTACAGGTGTGAGCCACCACCCCTGGCCACTGTCTCGGTTTTTTAAAGAGTAAATGGTGTCATGCTTGTCCTGAAACCCTTTCAATGTCTGGCCACCTTGCTCCAAATAAGATCCAAGATTCTTGGTGGCTGGTTTCATCTCCCCTCACTTTCCCCCTTGTCTGTCACATTCTCATCACACTGGGCTTTTTTCAGTTCCTTGAACACAACAAACTCTTACTTGCTTCAGAACCTTCGCACATGCTATGGACTCTGAGCAGATCTCTTTTTTCTCTCCATTCAGCTAACTCATCTTCTGGAGACTAGGCTTAAATGACATCTCCTAAGACTCCTCAGTCTCTCTTAGGTCTCTCTTGTAACATGCTTTAAAAAAAAATGTTGCCAGGCACAGTGGCTCACTCATGCCTGTAATCCCAGAAATTTGGGAGACTAAGGAGGGAGGATCCTTGAGCCCAGGAGTTCAAAACCATAGTGAGACCCTGTCTCTACAAAATAAAAAAATTTAGCCAGGTGTGGTGGAGTGAGCCTCTAGTCCCAACTACTTGGGAGACTGAGGTGGGAGGATCACTTGACCCTGGGAGGTTGAGGCTGCAATGAGCTACGGTCACACTACTGCATTCTAGCCTGGGTGACAGAGCCAGATCCTGTCTCAAAAAAAATTTTTTTTGAATTACTGTTAAAAAATTTTTTTAAGCCAGTTAAATTTACCAGTAGGGGATTGTATATTAACTTTAGTGACACTAATATTTGTTTGTTGAGACAGGGTCTCACTCTGTTGCCCAGGCTGCAGTGCAGTGGCACGATCTTGGCTCACTGCAACCTCTGCCTCCCAGGTTCAAGCAATTCTCCTGCCTCAGCCTCCCAAGTAGATGGGAATACAGGCGTGCACCACCACGCCCGGCTAATTTTTGTATTTATTTAATTTAATTTTTTTTTTTGAGACACAGTTTTGCTCTTATTGCCCAGGCTAGAGTGCAATGGCGTGATCTCGGCTCACCGCAACCTCCACCTCCCAGGTTCAAGCGATTCTCCTGCCTCAGCCTTCCCAAGTAGCTGGGATTATAGGCATGTGCCACCAAGCCCGGCTAATTTTGTATTTTTAGTAGTGATGGGGTTCTCCATGTGGGTCAGGCTGGTCTCGAACTCCCGACCTCAGGTGATCCGCCCACCTCGGCCTCCCAAAGTGCTGAGATTACAGGCGTGAGCCACCGCGCCTGGCCTATTTTATTTCATTTTTGAGTCAGAGTCTTGCTCAGTCACCCAGGCTGGAGTGCAGTGGTATGATCTCAGCTCACTGCAGCCTCTGCCTACTGGGTTCAAGTGATTCTCGTGCCTCAGCCTCCCAGCCTCAGCTGGGACTACAGGCACACGCCACTATGCCTGGCTAATTTTTGTATTTTTTTTTCTTTTTCTGTTTTTTTTGAGACAGAGTCTGGCTCTGTCGTCCAGGCTGGAGTGCAGTGGTGCGATTTCGGCTCACTGCAACCTCCGCCTCCAGGGTTCAAGTGATTCTCCTGCCTCAGCCTCCCTAGTAGCTGGGACCACAGGTGCACGCCACCACGCCCGGCTAATTTTTGTATTTTTAGTAGAGATGGGGGTTTCACCATGTTGGCCAGGCTGGTCTCGAACTCTTGGCTTCAAGTGATCTGCCGACCTTGGCCTCCCAAAGTGCTGGGATTACAGGCGTAAGCGACCATGCCCAGCCGCTGAGTGAGTTTTTGATTTCTGATAAATTGGGATTTCTCCTTCACAGTCTGCAAAGTCTGCAACCTGAGTACTGAGATAATGGACAGGGACAGCTTACCAACTTATTTTATTTTATTTTTATTTTTTTGAGGCAGGGTCTCTCTCTGATGCCCAGGCTGGAGTGCAGTGGCACAGTCTCCTTTCACTGCAGCCTGGACTTCCTGGGCTCAAGGGATCCTCCCACCTCAGCCTCCAGAGTAGCTGGGACTACAGACTCAAGTCACCATGCCCAGCTAATTTTTGTATTTTTTGTAGAGAAGGGGTTTCACCATGTTGCCCAGGCTGGTTAGCAACTTTACTGTTTGTTTCTCTTCACCTATTTGTGACAAAGATTAAAATTCCTTAATCTGTCACAGGAGTAGAGTTTTTTGTTTGTTTGTTTTTGTTTAAAAAAAAAAAAAAAAGCTTGAGCTCCCAACAGCACCAACTGGCTGGGAGGGGCAGGAACGTTACTGCGACCAAAGTGGGAAGATGCCCTGTGTGGGTGAGGTTGTTAGGGTAAAACGGGAGTTTTGCAAATGATAGGATGGGCACTTACACAGAATGAAAATGCAGAGTTGCAAATCCTGCCTCAGGGAGCTAGAAAGGGGAACTGTGTGTGATGAAAGGCGGGTGGGGAGAGGTTCAGAAGATCTAGTCCTGGAGGCCTCATAATTTGCCGCTTAGCTTCTGCTTTCAGCATCTGCTGTGACCAGATGGTGTGCAGTGATCTCTGGCCGGCTAAGCCAAGAAGTGAATAAAACTTCTTCGGTCTTTGTATAGACCTTGTCTGGTAGGGAACAAATTGTCCTGTAGCAATTAGCAATGAACAATTTCTTTTTCTCTCTTTTACTGGAAAAATCTTATCTTTGATATCTAAGTGAACTATGTTGATATCGTGCTTAAATATTGATTGAGGATTTTTCCCTAACCCTGAAATCCTCCCTCCCTGCTACCCCAACCAAATTTAGCCATCCTGAAAGGTTTTTCTTATAAATAGCTGGACTTCTATCCTCAGTGATTCTTCAACTTGAAGAAAAATACCATTGAAAGAGGGAAACCTTTCATGAATTTCTTTTTTCCCATGTTATTTGGAAATTGTTTTTATGATATTATTTAAGTAATATAAATTACCACAGAAGTATAAATAGATGTACCTTTTTTCTTTTTTTTTTTTGAGACAGGGCCTCACTTTTGTCACCCAGGCTGGAGTACAGTGGTGTGATCTCGGCTCGTTGCAGCCTCTACCTCCAGGGCTCAACCCATCCTCCCGCCTCAGCTTCCCAAGTAGCTGGGACTATAGGCGTGCACCCCCACACCCGGCTATCTTTTTTTTTTTTTGTAGAGATGGGGGTTTGCCATGTTGCCTAGGCTGGTCCCAAACCCCTGAGCTCAAGTGATCTGCCCACTTTAGCCTCACAAAGTGCTGGGATTACAGGTGTGAGCCACCTCGCCCGGCCTAAATCTGTGTTCCTATATTTGTAACTTCCATATAGCGATATCAAATCGCATTTATTTATAAATCAAATTCCAAAAAACTACAAAAGTTTAAAAAATTAAAATTATTAATTTATTTTTTTCAGGGGAGGAAAAAGAGTATGTAAATTTGCTTTACATAACTGACTGAAAAATATATTCAAGAAATAGTAAATATAATTTAATACAGTCTCATGTGCCCTAACATCATTAACTTAATGTGACAAGTGATATATGAATGAAATAAAATTACTGGAAACATGAACATTGTGCAGTCAGGTACAGGGCAAACTCCTTTACATTGAGCACCCTGCACCACCATTTGCTGAGCTATGACTGAAGTCTCCCACTATTTTCCTTTTGTTTTCTTCATTCCACCATGGTGGAATGAAGGCGTTGCTTGGCTGTCACTTGGCATTAATACCACACAAAAGCCTGTACATGAATGTTCACGACAGCATTATTAATAATAGACAAAAAGTGGAAACAACCCAAATGTTCCTCAACAGATGAATGGGTAAACAGAATGTGGTATATTCACATAATGGAATATTACTCATCCATAGAAAGAAATAAAGTTTTTTTCTTTTTTCTTTTTTTTTTTTTTGTTTTAGAGACAGGATCTGGCTCTGTCACCCAGGCTGGAGTGAAGTGGCGCCATCTTGGCTCACTGCAGCCTCCATCTCCTGGACTCAAGGAATCCTCCCGCCTCAGCCTCCCGAATAGCTGTGACCACTGGCACACACCATTACGCCTGGCTAATTTTTGTGTTTTTGTAGAGGCGGGGTTTCACCATGTTGCCCAGGCTGGTCTCGAACTCCTGAGCTCAAGTGATCCGCCAGCCTCAGACTCCCAAAGTGCTGGGATTACAGGCGTAAGCCACAACTGTGCCTGGCCAGTAATGAAGCTTTGATACATGCTACAATATGGGTGCGTTTTAAAACATTATGCTAAGTGAAAGAAGTCAGTCACAAAAGACCACATAATGTATGCTTCCATTCACAGTGTATATGAAATGTCCAGATTAGGTAAATCCATGGAAATAGAAAGTAGAGTAGTGGTTGCCAGGGGTTGGGAGGAGGGAGGTGGGTAATAAAGAGTAACTGCTAATAGGTATGGGGTTTCTTTTCGGGGTGATGAAAATGGCCTAAAATTATGGTTAGGCTGGGCGCGGTGGCTCACGCCTGTAATCCCAGCTTTGGGAGGCCGAGGCGGGTGGACCACTTGAGGTCAGGAGTTCAAGACCGAGACCAGCCTGGCCAACATGGCGAAACCCCGTCTTTACTAAAAAAAAAAAAAAAAAAAAATACAAAAATTAGACGGGTGTGGTGGCGCACGACTGTGATCCCAGCTACTCGGGAGGCTGAGGCATGAGAATCACTTGAATCTGGAAGGCAGAGGTTGCAACGGGCCGAGATTGCACCACTGCATTCCAGCCTGGGTTACAAAGTGAGACTCTGTCAAAAAAAAAAAAAAAATTAGTGCTGATGGTTGGCACACTTTGAAAACATAAACAAAGCCGGAGGCAGTGGCTCACACCTGTGATCCCAGCATTTTGGGAGGTCAAACCAGGAGGATCCCTTGAGCTCAGGAGTCCAAGACCAGCTTGGGCAACACAGTGAGACGCTCGTCTCTGCAAAAACTTTGAGAAAATTAGCCGGGCGTGGTGGCAGGCACCTGTGGTCTCAGCTACTCGGGAGGCTGAGGCGAGAGGATCACTTAAGCCCAGGAAGTCCAGGCTGCAGTGAACTGTGAACTCCAGTCTGGGCGACAGAGCGAGACACCTCAGAAAAAAAAAAAAAAAAGAAAGAAAAAACCGAAAAAGACCACTAGAGGGTACATGTTTAAAGGACAGATTTTATGCTATGTGAATATATTTCAAGTAAAAATTAAATTAACAATTTTAAAAATTGCAGGAGTACGCAGCGCTTATAGAGGTCCCTGCATAACCTAGGGAGCGGGATCGAAACCCAGCAGCACCAAGATACTCTAAGAGCAGGACCAGCCACTGCCCCTTCCGCAGGACCGCCATCCTCGCCACGCCTCCGGGGGAGGGAGGTCCTGGCTTGGAGAGCGATGATTGGCCGAGTTCTAGGACGAGGCGGAGCGAAAGGGGGCGCGACAAGTCCCTCCCGGCGCAGCGAAACCTTAGCTCGCGAGATTTTGTTGGTTCCGCATTTCGGGTCTGCGAGGTGGGGTAGGCGGGCAAGGCGGGCGCCGAGGTTTGCAAAGGCTCGCAGCGGCCAGAAACCCGGCTCCGAGCGGCGGCGGCCCGGCTTCCGCTGCCCGTGAGCTAAGGACGGTCCGCTCCCTCTAGCCAGCTCCGAATCCTGATCCAGGCGGGGGCCAGGGGCCCCTCGCCTCCCCTCTGAGGACCGAAGATGAGCTTCCTCTTGTGAGTGGGGTCGGGCCGCGGGCGCCGGGCCTGCGGGCCGAGGTTGTGGGGGAGGCCTCCCCGGACCTGAGGCGAGGGCTCGGCCTGGGGGCCGAGGCGGGGGCGGGGTAGCTGGCGTTTGTTTTGCCTCTGTTCGGGTCCGCGGGGGAGGCCGAGATGTTGGGAGAGGCCGACAGAGATGAAGGTCGAAGTAAAGGAAACGGAGCGTGAAGGCTGGGGAGTAGAAAGGCCCCGGGGCCGTCGCGCCTCCAAACTTTTCCGCCCGAGCGCCCCCGAGGGCGGGGAGACGATCTGGGGGCGGAGCCGCGAGCCCCCAGTTTCTCTTGTCTCGAGCTTCTAGAAACCGTCCTTGCCGACTTAACTCGTTGCTCGGTTATAGGTCCAGTTTCATTATTGTCGGTGTTAAATGCCGCCCCAGGAGAATGTGCGTTGCCGCAGTTTGAGAAGCTTGAAGTTAAGATGCTGGCCTTGGAGTCGGATCGTTCTGTCCAGTTCTGATTCTGCCCACTTACTGGCTTTGATTTTAACCAACTTCTCTTGTCCTCGGTAGAATCCTGTGTTTTTAATCATTATGTAATATACCATACAGCATTATTATATAGTACATTGCAGTATTATAAATAATTTGGAAAGTTAAAACAAATTCATAGTCCCATTGCAGAAACACAGTATTGCCATTTTAGTGCACTACAGCAATTAACTTGATAGGCATACCTTAGAATCTCATTTTAGAGATAATGCCTGAGCCCAACCAAACAAGGCTAAAATGAAAAAGCTTGTAAATTCCCTGATGATTCTTATGCACATTAAGGTTTGAGAAGCATTGCTCTGGCACAGTATTTTTTATTCTCAGGTGTCTCTCTCTACCTTGTATATTGCTTAAATGTGTGTTTTGTGATTGAATAATTATCCAATTTTAGTTATGGATGTAATCCACATGCTTGACATTTTTATTAAATACAATATAAAAACACTATATAGTTTTTTTTTTATTTTTTATAACCAGAGTTTACCCACTTTATTGTGAGAAACTGGGATTCCTTCCAGTATTTACTATTATAAAATAGCACTACTCAGAATATGTTTATCTGCGTCTCATTTTCCTTCCTTTGGGTTATTCTCGTAAATGAATGGTCTCTAAAATACGATTACCTTGTCAAAAAGCCTGTATGATTTAGATTTAACTTCCATATTAATAGAAGTATTCCTCCCTCCTCCACTTTTTTCTTACGAGTTGATATTTAATTAGTGAATGCACAGTTGCTTTGTGGACCTTAATACGAGACTTTTTCTTTTTTTTTATTTTTTGAGACGGAGTTTCGCTCTGTCCTCCAGGCTAGAGTGCAATGGCACGGTCTCGGCTCACTGCAACCTCTGCCTCCGGGGATGGCACGGTCTCGGCTCACTGCAACCTCTGCCTCCCGGGTTCAAGCGACTCTCCTGCCTCACACTCCCGAGTAGCTGGGATTACAGGCGCCGGCCACCACACCTGGCTCATTTTTGTATTTTTAGTGGAGACTGGGTTTCATCATGTTGGCCAGGCTGGTCTCGAACTCCTGACCTCAGATGATCCACTCCCGCACTCGGCCGAGACTTTCTTTTTTTAAAACTTGGCCTTCTTGATGGACACTTGAGTTGTTCCCGCTTTTTGGCCATTATGAATAATGCTGCTGTGAACATATGTGACAGGTTTTTGCGTGGATGTATGTGTTCATATCTCTTGGGTATATACTTAGGAGCAGAATTGCTGGCTTAAGTGGTAACTATGTTTAACCTTTTGAGGAACTGCCAAACTTCAAAGTGCTGCACCATTTTACATTCCCATAAGTACTCTATGAGGGGTCCAATTTCCCCACACCTCTCATAGCACTTGTTAATTTTCTTTTTTTTTTTTTTTGAGACAGAGTCTTGCTCTGTCGCCCAGGCTGGAGTGCAGTGGCTCAATCTCGGCTCACTGTAAGCTCCGCCTCCCGGGTTCACGCCATTCTCCTGCCTCAGTCTCCCAAGTAGCTGGGACTACAGGCGCCTGCCACCATGCCTGGCTAATATTTTGTGTTTTTAGTAGAGACGGGGTTTCACCGTGTTAGCCAAGATGGTCTCAATATCCTGACCTAGTGATCCGCCCACCTCGGCCTCCCAAAGTGCAGGGATTACACGCGTGAGCCACTGCGCCCGGCCTTGCCTGTTTTTAAATTGGGCTGTCTTTTTGAGTTGTAGGACTTCTTTATACATTCTAGATACAAGTCTTTATCACATCTATGATTTGCAAATATTTTCTTCCTTGTTCAATATAGTTTTTTTTATCATGTTAAAAACTTTTCAGATATGATTTTTAGTGTTTTCATCATTCTTTTTTACCTCCTTTTTTTTTTTTTTTTTTTTTTTGAGACAGGGTCTCACTCTGTTGCCTAGGCTGGAGTGCAGTGGTGCGATCTCAGCTCACTGCAACCTCTGCATCCCGGGTTCAAGCAATTCTCCTGCCTCAGCCTCCCAAGTAGCTGGGATTACAGGCACTTGCCACCACGCCCGGCTAGTTTGTGTGTGTGTGTGTGTGTGTGTGTGTGTGTGTGTGTGTGTAGTAGAGGCGGGGTTTCACTATGTTGGTCAGGGTGGTCTCAAACTCCTGACCTCAAGTGATCCACCCGCCTTGCCCTCCCAGAGTGCTGGGATTACAGGTGTGAGCCACTGCACCCGGCTCTTTTTTACTTCTTAATCAGTCTTATTTAAATTCCAAATTACTCAGGTAAAGTAAAAGTCCATAGTTCTATTCCATTCCTCTTCCTAGAAGTAATCACCAGTTTTGATGAGTTTAGTTTTTGATATTTTCTATGTATTTACAAAATGGGCTCCTGCTGTACGTTTGGTTGTGTATTATGTTTAACCATGTATTAGATCTTTCCCTGTGAATACGTGTACTCTGTCTGGTTTTCTTAACTTCTATACAATATTCCATGATATGGATGTACCATACTTTAATTCAATCCTCTACTGATAAACTTGAGGATTGCTTCTAGGTTTCTCCCTATTAAAAACAATCTTGGAAAAAAATTCTTATCCATATCTAGAGGAGATATTTAGAAGTAGAATGGATGGCTTGAGGAGCTTTTCAGTATTAATAGATACTACCATATTGCCCTCCCAAAATGTTACACTTTATACTTTCACCAGTAGTGTATTAAAATACTAGTTTCTCTGTACCCTAGTCCAGTGGTCCCTAACCTTTTTGGCACCAGGGACCAGTTTTGTGGAAGACAATTTTTCCACAGATCTGGTTGGGGAGATGGTTTCTGGATGATTCAAATGCATTACATTGATTGTGCACTTTATTTCTATTATGACATTGGAATATATAATGAAATAATTCTACCACTCATCATAATGTATAATCAGTGGGAGCTCTGAGCAACTAGACAATCCCATCTGGGGGTAATGGGAGAGAGTGACAGATCATCAGGCTTTAGATTCTCATAAGGCACATGCAATTTAGATCCCTTGCATGCACAGTTCACAGTAGTGTTCACGCTCCTGTGAGAACCTAATGCCTCTGCTGATATGACAAGAGGTGGAGCTCAGGTGGTAATGCCAGCAATGGGGAGCAGCTGTAAATACAGATGAAGCTTTGCTGCTTGCTCACTGCTCATCTCCTTCTGTGGGCTCCAGTCTGTGTCCTTGGGGTTGGGGGCCCCTACCCTAGTCCACATTTAATGTAATCATTTAAACTTTTGACATTCAGATTAGGGAAAAAATAAATCTTACTTTAATTGAACAGTTTTTCTCATGCTCATTGATTGTCATACTTCTGAATTGCCTATTCATCTCCTTAGCCTATTTTTCTAAAGGATTCCTTATATTCTTAACGAGTTACAGAAGCCCTCTATTATCCAGTTCATCCTTTGTAATATATGTTACAAGTACTTTTATTTGGTTACTTGTCTTTTTGCTCTGTTATGAAAGTTTTAATTGATACTATTTGAAATCTGTCCACTTTTTCTTTGAGGTTTCTGAGTTTTGTGCAGGAAGACTTTATGGATGGTGTGAGATAGGAATAAAAACATTTTTTCCTCAATAACGAGTTGTGCCTGTCTCATTTATTTTCCCTATTATAAACTTAAAGATGTTAGTGTTTCTTTTACTGTGGTTTGCTTTCAAGGCGTCTCAAATATTTTGATATAGAATACTGGATTTTTGAACTAAACCTCCCTGCGCCATTTTCTTTTTATCTTCCCCACCCCCCATTCCGCCTTACTATGTTGTCCTGGCTGGTCTCAAACTCCTGGGCTCAAGAAATCCTCCTGCCTTGGTCTCTCAAATGGCTGGGATTAGAGGTGTGAGCGACTGCACTTGGCTCCACCATTTTCTTTTTTCTTTTCTTTTCTTTTTTTTTTTTTTTTGAGACGGAGTCTCACTCTGTTGCCAAGCTGGAGTGCAGTGGTGCAAGCTTGGCTCACTGCAACCTCCGCCTCCTGGGTTCAAGCCATTCTCCTGCCTCAGCTTCCCGAGTAGCTGGGACTACAGGCGTGTGCCACCACGCCCAGCTAATTTTTGTACTTGTTTTTTAGTGGAGACGGGGTTTCACCATGTTGGGCAGGATAGTCTCAATCTCTTGACCTCGTGATCCACTGCCTCGGCCTCCCAAAGTGCTGGGATTACAGGTGTGAGCCACCGCACCTAGCCATGGCCCCATCATTTTCTTTTTTTTTTTTTTTTTTTTTGAGACGGAGTTTCGCTCTGTCGCCCAGGCTGGAGTGCAGTGGTGCGATCTCGACTCACTGCAAGCTCCGCCTCCCGGGTTCACCCCATTCTCCTGCCTCAGCCTCCCGTGTAGCTGGGACTACAGGCGCCCTCCACCACGCCCGGCTAATTTTTGTATTTTTAGTAGAGACGGGGTTTCACCGTGTTAGCCAGGATGGTCTCGATCTCCTGACCTCGTGATCCACCCGTCTCGGCCTCCCAAAGTGCTGGGATTACAGGCGTGAGCCACCGCGCCCGGCATGGCCCCATCATTTTCTATAGCACTTTGGGAGGCTGAGGCGGGTGTATCACTTGAGGTCAGGAGTTCGACACCAGCCTGGCAAACATGGCAAAATCCCATCTCTACTAAAAAAAAAAAAAATTAGCTGGGTGTGGTGGTGCATGCCTATAATCCCAGCTACTCGAGAGGCTGAGGCAGGAGAATCGCTTGAACCCAGGAGGTGGAGATTGCAGTGAGCCGAGATTGTGCCACTACATTCCAGCCTGGGTGACAGAGTAAGACTACATCTCAAAAAAAAAAAAAAAAAAAAAACCGAAATTGAGGCCAAAAGAAGGTTCAGTTTCTCAAGAAGACACAGTTAGTGTCAGATCAAGAACTAAAATCCAGGATGTTTCTCTGTACCAGACTTCTTCAGAGGGCATAGTAAAATTGCCTTATTTGTGGAATTGTGCTGCTAATCTTGCTTTTACAGGCAGGGGAAAAAAAGCATTCTTGTATTGTGATCATCATCTTCCTATCTTGGCATTTTTCAGAGAGTGTTTTTGTTTTTTTTGAGACTGAGTCTTGCTCTGTCACCTGGGCTGGAGTGCAGTGATGCGATTTCAGCTTACTGCAACCTCTGCCTCCCAGGTTCAAGCCATTCTTCTGCCTCAGCCTCCCAAGTAGCTGGGACTACAGGTGTGCGCCATCATGCTTGGCTAATTTTTGTATTTTTAGTAGACGTGTGGTTTCACCATGTTGGTCAGGCTGGTCTTGAACTCCTGACCTCAGGTGATCCCAAAGTGCTGGGATTACAGGCATGAGCCACCATGCCTGGCCCAGAGAGTATTTTTTATTTTATTTTTACAGGCTACTTTATATACCTAAAATTATGTTGTTCTACCTGTTCTACTTCCAGTCTTAAAAATTCATATACTTGCACTTTTAATCTTACAGCAGCAGCCGCTCTTCTAAAACATTCAAACCAAAGAAGAATATCCCTGAAGGATCTCATCAGTATGAACTCTTAAAACATGCAGAAGCAACTCTAGGAAGTGGGAATCTGAGACAAGCTGTTATGTTGCCTGAGGGAGAGGATCTCAATGAATGGATTGCTGTGAACAGTAAGTTTTAAAATGTAACTTTGCTGTTTTCTAGAAAGGTTTTGCTAAAATCTCTTTGTTAATGAATTTTCTTTTACAGTTAGAACTGTTTTAATATAACAAATTATCTGTAAAGAAACATTAAGTACAAATACATCCAAAGCTATGTTGCTCTTTTCAGAGTACTAGGTGGTAGTTTGTGAGGTTGAGTAGAGGGAGCTGAGGAGAAATGATGAGTGCTTTTGGGCAATTTCTAAGAAGAATAGTATGAAAAGCTGAGTAAGGTCAGATAAAAGATTGATAAATGAAAAGATTATGCCTGTTGTGGTCTGTGACTTTGTAGCAAATCCATCTACAGTTTTACTTCCACTCCCAGCAGTACTCATCAGCCTGCATATCCAGAAAAGTCAATTGCAGTTCATATGGACAGTTGATTGTTGTGACTTAGAGTGGCAGAGGGAATTGAGAGATTGGGAGAAAATGGAGGGATCTGAGCTGAAAGTCACTTTAAGTTCAAGAGAACAAGTGCATGACATGGGACAATATGCTAAGGCTAGAGATTTGAATGTGAGAGTCTCTCATTTCTGAGATGATATCATTTCTGGGTAATAAAGTTTAAATTAGAGATTTCAGATGTTCCAGGAATAAAAAGTTTAAATAAAAAGTTTAAAACTTTTTATTTATTTATTTATTTATTTATTTTTGAGATGGAGTCTTGCTCTGTTGCCCAGACTGGAGTGCAATGGCTCAATCTTGCTTCACTGCAACCTCCACCTCCCGGGTTCAAGCCATTCTCCTGTCTCAGTCTCCTGAGTAGCTGGGATTACAGGCACACGCCACCACACCCAGCTAATTTTTTACATTTTAGTAGAGACAAGGTTTCACCATGTTGCCCAGGCTGGTCTTGAACTCCTCAGCTCAGGCAATCTGCCTGCTTTGGCCTCCCAAAGTGCTAGGATTACAGGCATGAGCCACCACGCCCAGCCTAAAACTTCTTAATGGAAAATTTCAAACATATAAAAGTAGACTAAGTACAGTGAATTCCAGGTATTCATTCCATTACCCAGCTCCAACAAATATCAGTTTGTGACCAATTTTTCTTCTTCTATATGTCACCCTGATTATTTTAAGCAAATCCCAGACATGATGTTTTATCTATAAATATTTCAGTAAGGTATGTCTAAAAGACAAGAACTTGTAAAGATAATGACAATGCCATCCTCCTTTAACTTATCAAATATCTGGTCAGTGTTCACATTTTTCATGACTGTCCCATAAATGTTTCTTTTATTTTTTATTTTTTTTTTATTTTATTTTTTGAGATGGAGTCTTGCTCTGTCACCCAAGCTGGAGTGCAGTGGCGAAATCTTGGCTCACTGCAACCTCCACCTCCACCTCCCGGGTTTAAGCAATTCTCCTGCCTCAGCCTCCCCAGTAGCTGAGGGATTACAGGTGTCCGCCACCACGCCCGGCTAATTTTTGTATTTTTAGTAGAGAGGAGGTTTTGCCATGTTGGCCAGGCTGGTCTCGAACTCCTGACCTCAAGTGATCTGCCCGCCTCAGCCTCCCAAAGTGCAGGGATTACAGGCGTGAGCCACCGCACCTGGCCAAATGTTTTCTTTTTAAAATTTTTTTGCTTTAAAAATCTATGCTTTGTTTAAATCAGGATCCAAAGAGGCCTGTGTGTATGCTTCTTGAATCTCTTTTTTTTTCTTCAGAGATGGGGTCTTGCTTTGTTGCCCAGGCTGGAGTGCAGTGACATGATCATAGCTCACTGCAGCCTCAACTTCTGGACTCAAGTGATCCTCCCACCTCACCCGTCCGAGTAGCTGGGACTACAGGCTCACACCACCATGCCCTGCTAATTTTTTTTTTTTTTTTTGAGATGGAATCTTGCTCTGTCGCACAGGCTGGCGCGATCTCAGCTCATTGCAACCTCCTCCTCCTGTGTTCAGGTGATTCTTCTGCCTCAGCCTCCTGAGTAGCTGGGACTACAGGTGCCCGCCACCACACCTGGCTAATTTTTCTATTTTTAGTAGAGACGAGGTTTTGCCATGTTAGCCAGGCTGGTCTCGAACTCCTGACTTCAGGTAATCCACCCACCATGGCCTCCCAAAGTGCTGGAAAAAACCCAGCCAAAAAAAAACCTTTTTTAAAAAACTTTATTCAGGGCCGGGCATGGTGGCTCACGCCTGTAATCCCAGCACTTTGGGAGGCCGAGGCAGGCGGATCACGAGGTCAGGAGATTGAGACCATCCTGGCCAACATGGTAAAACCCCATCTCTACTAAAAATACAAAAATTTAGCTAGGTGTGGTGGCACGCACCTGTAGTCCCAGCTACTTGGAGGCTGAGGCAGGAGAATCACTTCCCGGGAGGTGGAGGTTGCAGTGAGCTGAGGTTGTGCCACTGCACTATAGCCTGGGCGACAGAGCAAGACTCCATCTTAAAAAAACACACACACACAAAAACAAACAAACAAACAAAACTTTATTCAGATTATCATCTGTTATTCTGAAGTCATTTATTGACCTTCAGCCTTAGATTTTTCTTTGAGACTTAACTGCTGTAGATCAGCAGTTCTCAAATTTTTTGGTCTCAGATCCACTTACCCTCTTAAAAAATTATTGATTCCCATAAATATGTACCATTCTGTGTTAATTAAAAAAGTAAAATACAAGCTGGGCATGGTGGCTCATGTCTGTAATCCCAGCACTTTGGGAGGCTGAGGTTGGCAGATCACTTGAGGTCAGGAGTTCGAGACCAGCCTAGGCAACATGGTGAAACACCAGCTCTACTAAAAATACAAAAATTTGCTGGGTGTGGTGGCACACACCTGTAATCCCAGCTACTGAGGAGGCTGAGGCAGGAGAATTGCTTGAACCTGGGAGACGGGGGTTGCAGTGAGCCAAGATCGCACCACTGCACTCCAGCCTGGGCAACAGAGTGAGACCCAGTCGGGGGAAAAACAAGGTAAAATACAAAAAATACAAAAAAAATTATTGAGAACCCCAAAGAGCTTTTAATTATATTGGGTATATCTCGTGATACTCTGTTGGAAATTAAAACTGAGAAGATGTAAATAGTTATTTTTATTTTTTATTTTCTCTCGAGACAGTATCGCCCTGTCGCCCAGGCTGGAGTGCAGTGTCACGATCTTGGCTCACTGCAGCTGCCTCCTGGCTTCAAGCAGTTCTCCCACCTCAGTCTCCAGAGTAGCTGGGATTACAGGCATGTGCTACCATGCCCGGCTAATTTTTGTATTTTCAGTAGAGACGGGGTTTTGGCATGTTGGCCAGGTTGTTCTAGAACTCCTGGCCTCAAGTGATCCGCCTGCCTCATCCTCCCAAAGTGCTGGGATTACAGGCGTGAGCCACTGCACCCGGCCCAAATTCATTTTAAAATAACAATAATAAACCCATTACATGTTACCATAAATATGTTTTTACGAAAAATGACTATTTTCCATAACAAATTTTAGTGAGAAGTATGGCATTGTTTTATATTTTTGCAAATCTTATTTAATGTCTGGCTTAATAGACACCTGGATTCTTATATCCGTTTCTGTATTCAGTCTGTTGTGATATTACACATCATGGAGCCTCTGGAAAACACCATTGTGCCCTCTTGAGAGAGTAAGAGTGAAAAGAACAATTAAAATGGTTTGACCTTACAGATCCTCCCTCAGATAGGGGATTCCTGGACCACGTTTTGAGAATAGCTCTTCTAGACCAAACCAACTTCCACCTGGGCATATTTTTTGTTTTGAGTGAATATTGAATACCTAAGTGTTACTTTCTTAGAAACATGACTAAGAGGAAGATTTATAAGTGAGGGAGTTTTGTATAAAATTCCTTTTACAAGATAGCATTTTAAAAAAATCTATTTGTTTTTTAAGAAACTTGGAAAATACCTAGTTGTTTTTAGGTACTTCTTTAGACAGGAGACTAAAACTTTTTATTTATTTATTTTTTCGAGACAGGGTTGTCCAGGCTGGACTGCAGTGGTACCCTCACAGCTCTCTGCAACCTTGAACTCCTAGTCTCAAGGGATCCTTCCACTTCAGCGTCCTGAGTAGCTGGGACTACAGGCGTGTGCCACCATGGCTAACTAATTTTTTAAAATTTTCAATAGAGACCGGGGTCTAGCTGTGTTGCCCAGACTGGTCTCAAATCCTGGCCTCTTAAAGTGCTGTGATTATAGGCGTGAGCCACTGCACCTAGCCTAAAACATTTTTTGAAACTTTCCAAGGCTTATGTGGTTCTCTTTGCATAGAGTATACTCACTCAGTAAAGTTTATTTACTCACCCCCTGCCTCTTCCATTTTATTCTGGATCTAGCTGAAGCTCCCTCAGGAAGTACCCCCTGACTACTTCCAACTCTTCATGACTTTGCCTTTTCTCTGTAGCATTTATCGTTGGCCTTTGGATCCTGTCTTCTTATATCTTGTACTATTATTGCTATTTTTATTTTGAGACAGTGTCTCTGTCACCCAGGCTGGAGTGCAGTAGCACCATCACAGCTCACGGCAACCTCAGCCTCCTGGGCTCAAGCAGTCCTCTCGCCTCAGCCTCCTACATAGCTGGGACTGTAGGTGTGCACCACCACGCCTGGCTAATTTTTTAAAAATTTTTGTAGAGATGGAATCTCACTCTGTTGCCTAGGCTGGTCTTGAATTCCTGGGCTCAACCAGTCCTTCTACCTCAGCTTCCCAAAGTGCTGGGATTACAGGCATGAGCCACCATGCCTGGCCATATCTTATATTATTCATCTCTTTTAATTTTGTCCTTTCTGTTAGCTAGAGACTCCAGGGCAGGGGACTTTATCTGAAGTATTTTGTCCTCAGTATGCTGTAGACCTCAAAAACAAATGTTTATGATTAATTAGATCTTTTAAATGCCTCTGGATACAGCTGGTGCACCTTCTCCCTCACAGTATATTCCACAACATGTTTTGTCTCTTTCCTAACACAAATGGTATTA